>NC_000004.12:98921381-99546381 GCF_000001405.40 Homo sapiens | reverse complement strand
AATTGTCCATAGAGCCCTGAGAAAGTATACAGACAACAGGTGTAAAATGAGATAAAGAAAGAAAGGAGAATGGTAGAGATTTGAATTAAGGGCAGTAAAGGCATTTAGTAGTCATTAAACTTTGATTTCAGTTAGCATGCAGGTATTTATCTCTGTTTCCCTGTCTCATTACCAGACAAATATAGTAGTCATCTAATAAATGTGAAGAAGAGAAGCAGTGACAGAATCAAAAGGTGGTAATATTGACAATCAATGGAAACAGTAGGGAATTGGACTAAGCATAAGCCTTGCCACTGCCACTGTTGGTGTTGAGACTTTGGATGAGTTATTCAACCTTTGTTAGGCCTCAGTGTTTTTATATGTAAAATGGAAATGTTATTCCATTTACTCTGTCAGGGCTTGAGCAAACAATTGTCAAGCAGTAGCTAACGATAATGCTTGTATTGGCTTTCTCATTTCTTGCCTTATTTCCCTTGTTTCTCAGTCTTTTTGACATTGCCTGCCCTAAAATGGTAATAATATATAGGATTTTGATTCAGGCTGTACTTTCTGAGGAACCCAGGCTTAGATAAGATTTTTAAAATGTAAACTTTCTAAATTACCAAATGAACACTCACTAAACAAAACAAGGAAATTACAGATCATTTAGTGAAACATTTATAAAAGCAACAAAAACAATGCTAACATAAAACACAATCACACGACAAAATCTATATGGCCTATCAGCAAATTTAAATGGTCCAAAAATCTTCCAGATTGGATTTAAAAAAGAAATATATGCTGTATTTAAAACTACTCAGCAATATTGAAAATAAAAAATAGAAAAAGCCATACCAGGCTAATAAAACGAAGTCAGAAGTCACAGTCTTAACATTAGATAAGGTCCAACACATTACAAATAAAGAAAAGGAGAAGGACATGTTGTAATTGTCAAGAAGGCAATCCTTAGTAAAGATCTAACCATTATGAAAATCTGTGTATCAGGTAACAGTATTCAAAGTCACTGACAGCCTTTGGGAATTACATGAAACAATACATCAGTATAAGGAGTCTTTAACTCATACTTCTCAACCTATGACAATGTAAGTAGACAAAAGATGAGTATGTGGAAAATGTACATGCTATAATTAATACAGATAGTGATACCAAATTTTGTAGGCTAAAAAAAATGCAACTCGTATTCATAAAAGTAACTATATTAGACCACAAGGAAAATTTTCCAGAAGTAAAAATATAGGCAGCTTCTCTGATAACAATACATTAAACTGGAAAATAAACTTGGTGAGATGGGATGAAAGCCTTATTTTAAATTTGTTTTCTCAAGAGCTTATAAAAGGGGAAAGATAAAAAGAGGAAAGATAGAAGAGGAAACCAAATTTGAAATTATGTAATATTTTGAAAATAGAGATAATAAAAACACTACATATCAGATCTATAGATCTAGCTAAAGCTGTGATTAGAGGAAAATTCATCACTTTAAAAATTTATGCTAATGAGAATAACTGAATATAAACATATTAAAAAGATTTGACTCAAGGCATTAGAACAATAATGAACCTGAAGAAATAAAAAATGGAACTTAATAAAAAATGAAAAGAGATACAAAATAGAAATAGGAAAATTGTTGGACATATGAATAAATCCAAGATCTGTTGTTTTTTGAAAATGGTAGCAAAATGTGAAAAGTATTAGCTAACTGGATCAAGAAAAAAATTACAAATACACAAAAATGAGATTGCAGAATAAACAAATTTAGATGAATTATGAGATAAATCTCAATTCTATGAAAATAAATTTGGAAACCTGGATGGAATGGATAATTTTCTGGGAAAACATGAAGTTCCAAAATTGATCCTCCGCTCCAAAAATACAGAAAATATAAATAGAACAGTTACCACAGGAGAAATAAAATTGTCAAAAAGCTACAACTCCCAAAATACAAAACCTATGTGATCTGATAGATGAACGTTAGCAAATTTTTAATGAAAAAGAATTGGCAATGCCATTGTAACATCTTCATAACAGAAAAGCAAGAGAGAGTGCACTTTATTAATTTTATGAGTTGAGCATAATCTTGTTATGTGTCACTAGCACCTAGTGCTTAAGCACATAGATTCTAGCCATACCTTGAGCCAGCCATGAAATCTTTGTGTCAGAGAAAGTTGACTGTCCACCAAAAGCTAATTTTTGTTAACATAGAACATAGCTGTAATTGGAATATGATTCCCACTCAAGAGTTTTTAATCAGTTTCCCTTTCAGCTATACTAATTCTCAACCATGGAATGTAACTAGAAGTGATGTTTACCATTTCAAGGCAAAGACTTTAAGCAGATATATCCTCCTTGTGGAAGGCATAATAATGTCCGTTCAAAGATCCTAATTCCCAGAACCTTTGAATATGTTAAGTTACGTGGTAAGGGGGAATTTAAGGTTGAAGACAGAATTAAATTGCTAATCAGCTGACCTTAAATGAAGGAGATTATCTTGGATAAGCTGGATAACAGGCCTGATGCAATCACAAAGGTCCAAAAGTGGAAGATGGAGGCAGAAGAGTCAGCATCAGAGTGATTTGTTATGAGAACAACTTGACTGGCCATTGCTGACTTTGAAGATGAAAGAGAGCCATGAAGCAAGGAGTATAGATAGCCTCTAGAAAATGGAACAGGTAAGGAAACAAATAGTCCCCTAGAGCCTAGGAAAGGAATGCAGTCCTGCCACACCTTGATTTTAGCCCAGTAAGACCTGTTTCAGACCTCTGCCTACAGAATTGTGAGAGAATACATTTGTGTTGCATCAAGTCACAAAGTTTGTGGTAATTTGTTACATCAGCAATAGGAAACTAATACTTTACTCTCATTTTTTCTTTGGCCAGCATGGTACAGTTGACAATGGAGCCTTAGGTGATGGTTGAGCCACAAGATGGAAGGATCCTGGGCCTCTAAATCACCAAGTAAAGCAAAGTTATCTTTGAATCACACACTTTAGACTCTCACGTGGGAAATAATTGTATTTGAATGATAGCATTTGTTACAACTTATCCCATCACAATGAGTTCAAATCTGTGCCTCAGCTTTCTTATTTTAAATAATGAGAAAAATAAGAGTAGTTACCTCAAATAGTTTTTGTGAAAATTAAATAAGTTATTATATCTAAAGTGTTTAGAATGATTCGTGACACATAGTATGTTATCATTAAAAGTTAATGTACATATAGACATGCATGCATATGCACACACCACACACTGAATTTATAGTATCTCTGATGAACATCAGTGTGAACATTCTAAATAAAGGATTGGCTTATTGGTAGATAGACTGCAGCAACATGCTCAAAGAATCATATCTGTGGCCCAAGAGTGGTTTTTTTTTTTTTTTTTTTTTGAGATGGAGTCTCGCTCTGTCACCCAGGCTGGAGTACAGTGGTGCGATCTCGGTTCACTGCAAGCTCCGCCTCCCGAGTTCATGCCATTCTCCTGCCTCAGCCTCCAGAGTAGCTGGGACTACAGGCACCCACTACCGCGCCCGGCTAATATTTGTATTTTTAGTAGAGACAGGGTTTCACCATGGTCTCGATCTCCTGACCTCATGATCTGCCCACCTCGGCCTCCCAAAGTGCTGGAATTACAGGCATGAGCCACCGCGCCCAGCCAAGTGGTTTCTTTTAAAAACACAAAAAATTCAGTATGAAATGTTAATGTCCACCATTAGTACTGACTGAAAACTAGTTTCTTTCTGGCTCATGAGTTAGAAACAATATGTATATGTTTTCTTTTTGGAGGGGAGGGTAGCATTTTTTCATAATAGTTCAACAACAGTGAGACACTAGATGATAAAAACCATCTCACATGTTAAAATTCTGTTGTTGGGTTTGTTTGTTTTTGCGGTGATGGTGGTGTTTTGTTTTTTGTTCTTTGTGTTTTTTTCCCCCTCTAACAGAGTTTGGGGTAGGTGTCAAACTGTAACTGCCTAATTCTGATTATGGATGATTTTTCTAGTATCAGGGCTCTATGCTCATGTACTAATAGTGCAAGACTGGAAACATAGTATATAAATAAATGTATTTCTTTTACACATCGTATTAACTACAAATGGAAATATCATTTCCAGTAATATTTATTTGTAGCATTACATACAGGTATTTTTAGATTTACATGTGCCACCATAAAGAGGACCACTTGATTCCTCAATACCAAAAATATTCATTTGAAAAATAATTTGATGATGTAAATGTGAAGCTCATATTCATGAAAGAATTCACCCAGTCTAGAACTTCTACCTCCGGTGTGTTGAAGGATAACATGCTCTTTGGGGACAGAGGTTGTATTCTTGTATACTCCTTGCTGACACTGGTTTTGCTGATCCACTCTCCTGAGTGTTAGGCCTGGGAGGAGAATTTGGTTTGCTGAAATATTCTGCAACAGGTATTTTCATATTATTTCTTCTTATAAGTAGTGGAGGCTTGTGCTCAGCCTCTGAAATAGAGAAAAAAATCTAAATAAGACCATAATTGAGACACTGAATACACCTTCTCCATGTTTTAGTAGTAAATTATCTATAAAAAACTATATGAAGTTTAGGTGAATCAGATACACCCAAAATTCACAAAAGAATATATTCCTTTTCTTTTTTTTTCCACCACATGCTCATCTTTAATGAGTTATTTGTTCTGTAACATGCAGGATATGTTCCTTCACTCTCAAAAGTAAACATGATTTTGATTGCATAGAATTGTTTATGGGTAAGAGTGACAGTGAGAGAAAGAAGGAAGATCTATGGTCCTGATAGATGTAACAAGAGAAGAGACAAACAGGCTAAGACAAGTTAATTGTGCTCGTAAGACCTACATAGTTGCACCCAAGCAGGAATAGGGATGTAAGGAGATGCTAAATATCGACAATGGAGAGAAAGGGGCATGACTTGGGAATTCTTATACAAAAAATTCCAAATATCTAAATGATAAAATATGTGTGAGCCTTACAGGTAAGACATAAAGTTGAATAATAGAAACCATCACTGTCATGATGTTATAGTCCCAGGATGAGGAGTTTGGTAGGAGAGGCCAGATACAATAGGCTGTCCTTGGAGTCTAAGTAAGGGAGTACTTTGTAATTTTTAAACTATACTTATTATTGGCTGTTAGGAGATAGTGTCTTTTTTGGGTTTGGTTAATCACAGTGGAACTTGCTGGAGTCTAGGGTGACCCCAGTGAGCTCTAATTGATTATATATCATTCCTGGTATAAAGGGAACTTGTAGAAATGACAAGACACATTTTTGTATAAAGCTTGTAGATACACTTCATAGTTGTTGCTCTGTAGTCATGAATGCTCTCCTTGTTTTAAAGCTAGAAACTGCCAAACCTATAAGGATACTTTGGGCTATTTTGGACCAAGGTAGGACTTTCCACAATTCTTGATTCTCCCTGGTTCCCCTACAGACTGGAGCTGGGCTTCTGGTGGAACACAAAACTGCTCTTTTCAATTGTATTTCAGCTGTCTTGTAGGTCACCTGCTTGTGGCTGATTGCCATTTTACTCTTCTCTCTGGTTGACTTTGTCTCCAGTGAAATTATTTAACTCCATTAAGCTGTGAAGAACCAAAACTCTGAGATCATTGTCCTTTTGTTAGGTCAATGCAGGGTTTCCCTTTTCACTGAATTGCTATAACCAAACCTATAGTTCCTGTTGTCCTGCTGTCTTGCTTCTCAAAGAGTGTCTGTCCATGATCAGGCACTTTGCCTTTCAAAACAAAGGTAAATTTATCTTTATGAGAAAGTAAGCAGATGCTCTCTCAAGAATTGATCTGGAAATTACTATTGTATTTTTCTGTTTTTTTAAAAGCACTGATCCTTAAAATCTGTTCCCTGAGTCATTAGTACTTACTGGTTTCTTTATACCAACTCAATAGTTACCAAAAACTGTACTTAACCTTTTGGTACTTCCTTGTTTTCTTCAGATCCTTGACTTGACACTCTAGATCAGTTGGAGAAAGAAAAAAGTGAATTTCACAGATACAAAAAAGTATTTTCTATAGACTACACTGTCATCAATAAGTTCAGTGTATATGTATCTTAAATATGCTACCCCAATTCTTTGTTTTTTTTAATGCATACAGTATTAAATTTACTTCCCAATGAAAAATTCTTCTTACTTTGAGTAAATATTTAACTATTGTATCATATGTTAGTCATTAAGGTACAGATTAACTCTTACTATCTTCTAGTTTCTGATTTTATGGAAACTTTAAGATACGGACAGTTAGTAATACAATTTTTTTGTCTTAATGCTTTTTAAAGTGACATATTTATATTTTCAAAAATGTATTTTTCCTCTAACTTTAAGCTTTACTCAACTTTTAATTTTAAAGCAACAAGATTTTCTCTCCTAGCTTAAATAACATCCTACCACACATTCTTTCACCATGATTCTACATAAATATATATTTTTCTTCTGTTATTGAAATAACAGCATTTAAGAAAAATTTCTCCTGCAATAATTTCAATTATTTTAGTAGTTATTTTTCTCTCTAGGGGGCCCCAGGAGTAAATCAGAGGAAATTAAGTGAAGCAATTTATTTTAATCTTGCATTGTTCTACACAAAAAAGTGAAACCTGTGTGATACACATTTAACAAAATATACAATAACTGTAACAATACAATTTTGTTTTCCTTAATTGCATCTATTTTTAGTTAAACTATAAAAATCTTTATTATCTTAGATTTCTAGGTAGCCACTCTTGCTTTTCCCTTAGTGGAAAAATAATTTTTCTTAAAAAGAAAGGTTACCAGATAAGAAAGACATAGTTTCTGCCAAAATGTTCTAAACAATAGAATTGAGAACAATTCTTATATTACATATATGAAAATGAAAGCAAATATATATTGCAGTCACTTACTGAATAAAGCGGAGCTTTAGAACCTCCTGTTTAACATTTTGAAAGATAAATAACAAGAGAATTCAAAGTCTTCATGTGCCATAGGCCCTCCCTCTAGGGGGCCATTATATCTAATTACCTGGTTGGTTGATCCCCTTCTGTATCTCTGGTCAGCACTTTTGATTTTGCAGTAAAATTTGGGGGCAATTTAACTGTGGGTGGTGATTTAACTGTGGGTGGCTTCCCAGTCTCTGCTGCTGGTTCCATTGAGGTGTTTCTTCTGTGATGAGTTAACAGGTTTATCTCGGCAAGCTCAGAATGAATCAAAGCTGAGACCCACTCTTTTTCTGGTTTAAAAGACAAAAAAGGGTGGGAGGAGTGAAGGTTGCAATTATCATGTTGGATAGAAACACAGGAATATCCAGCTCCTGAGTATGAAAGACTGGTCATCTATTTTCTGGATAGTTACCTATGTGGGAGTAAGGACTTCTGCAGAAAAGTTGGTTCATTTTAACATAGTTTCTGTTGACCTGTGATACTGTAGAGTGCCCAGAGTAGTTAACTCACTGAGGCACTTGTCCCTGAATAGCAGTGGAATAGTTTTAAAATATTGAGTACAGTAGCCAGTCTTACAGGCTGCTGCCAAAGATATAAGGATACCTATACAAAAATAAGAAGGGTAATATGATTCCATTAAAATACAGACTAATAGGTAATAAATAGTTACAAGCATATCTAGGAAGATATACACCAAAGTATTCACTGAAATGATGTCTGTGGTAATTTTATTGATTATTTTTTTTCTGTCTCATCTCTTTTTTTCTTTCTGGTTCATCTGTTCTTTCTCCCAACAATAAGGATTTATTACTTGTATAGTTTATTAAATGTTACATTCTTTAAAAGGAAAAATAATTGGAAGGTAACTAAAGACCCATCGCCTCTAAACACTTCTCAATTGCCTAAAAAGTAGTGTTGAATTCCTGGGGAAAGGTAATATTTCCAGAATGCTTCCTACTTTAAAACATTAGACTTCCTCACACATTGGTACTTGCTAGCATTGATCAGTGCAGTGATTCTCAAAGAGTAGTGCTGAGACCAGCATTATCAGCATCACCTGAGAACTTGTCAGAAACACAAATTCTCAAGTCCCACTGCAGAGATTTTGCCTCAGTCAGTCTGATGATCAACTACATTTGAGGATCAGCTACAAGTGAGGATAGCTCTCTGCCATTTATCATTGTCCCGATTGGGAATGGCATGTGTTTTCATGGAACAGGCCAGGAAGGGCCCAAAAGAGGTTAGGAAATGACTGAGTTGATGGTTTTGCTGGGCAAATGGCAGAGCTGTTACAGGTTGGATAGCTCTTCTACTGTTCTCCTTACCAAAGGAAAGAAATAAGCTTTGTGTTCAGAGTTAACAACAGGCCAGAGGATGTGCTCAGGGAGGCCTCTGGGTGTGTGGACTCTGGAGGAGCATAAACCAACTCTAGCTGAGAATAAGACCGCCCTTGGACACAAGTGTTTCATGTCACCCAAATGAGTTCAATTTAAAGCGTACTGAATTTTGGGTTCATTGAATGACCCACATGCATGCAGCTGGATATGCAGAACAGTAATCACCCTGATACTGAAACATTGCGGAAATAATATTGCAACATTATCTTTGCAAATCCAAGGTACAAAACTTCAGATATTGGCATATTCCCAGTTTCTGACAATAAATTGAGCTCAGTGTTTTAAAATTTATATCTTAATCGCACCTTTTGAAGTTGCATGAAGCAGCCACTGTAAAACTTCTGCCAGAGAATCAGTATGCAAAATGCTACAGAGCTTTGCCAGGATCTGACAGAGAACATTAGAGTTACATATGAGCAAATAAATAGTACAAGGCTTATCAGTTTTCCTTTACCTTCTCCAGAATCCCATCTTCCCAAATATCACTTTGTATATGATGTGCAATTTAGTTAATTGGGATTTTTAACTCACGAGCTCGATTTCAAATAGCACACAGTAGAATCTTAGTGAAAACAACATTTCCAGTACAATTAGCAGTTTAGGGTAGGCTATGGAGTGTGTTTGTCTGAGGTATTGCTCCTCACAAGAGGGCATTAGCTGCGGGGGTCTGCCTGCAGACCCTGACCTCAACAACGGATGAATAAAACATACACTGACACACAGATATTCTGTTTTGCCAGTCCAGCTGAGTGTCCAACCGCCTGTGCACCAAGAGAGGTTTGTCACTGCGGCTTGCCCTGAGCAGCTCACACTCCAGGCATTTATTTGATATACAATTAACAACAGAAGCTTTGAGTAAACACACTTGCAGATAATTAACATGGTTAAGAGAGTAGTTCTAGGAATGATTAAAGCTCAGGTACCAAGGTCTAAGGTAAATACCATTAGGGGGCAATATCCCTAGTCGACCTCCCCCCAAGAAGGCCATCTGGGTCAAAGGTTAGTTAATGGAGGTGGGGTAAACAGACAACTGGGGAAGCCTCTATTGTCCCTAGTATTTACCCTATGACCTGATGTTCTGAGGGAAGAACAGGCTGCCTCCAGCCTGTTCAATTATTACAAGCTGTGTAACCTTTTGGCCTTCCAAAAGGTTCGTGACTATTCCCTATAACTTTCCCTAATATTTGACTTTAATATTTCTGCCACCATCCTGAGTGAATCCCAACATTTGTCTTGTTTTGTCTGTTCAGTACCAACATCTTCTAGTAGGAACATACTTTTGGTGAATTTATCCTTCCCACTGTACCACAGGGTTCTAATGAGAATCCATCAGTCACAGAACTGGCCCCATCTGCCCTGCTCCTCTACATAATCTGAGACAGAGGGAACAGGCTGGAGACTGCCTGTGATGGGACCAAGTTCCCAGGGGAAGGGGCAGCCAGCATATCTGTGTTTTGGTCAACTCAGCTGTTCTAGCCTGCTGGCTCCAGGGAGTGCAGGCCATCTGGACAAGGAGGAGTCCGCCACAACACAGCACAGCTGCTGTGCCAGATCATGCCCAGACTGCTTCTTTAAGTGGGATCCTGGTCCATTCCTCCTCACTGGGTGGGGCCTTCCTGTGGGAATTTCAGCAACTCCAGCCAGGGTCATACACACAGAGCTCTGATCTCCCCCTGGGACAGAGCCCCTTGGGGGAGAGGCAGCTGTTGTCTCTGCATTTCAGTTGACTCAGCCATTCCAGCCTGCCAGCACTGGAGAGTCCAGGTCTGGACGTGGAAGAGTTCCCCACAATGCAGCATACCTGCTCTTCCCAAAAGCAGTCAGACTGCTTCTTTAAGTAGGTCCCTGATCCCATTCCTCCTGACCCGGTAATACCTCCCAATAGAAGCCTCTACACACCTCCTATAGGAGCATTCGAGCCAGCAACAGCTCAGTACCCCCCTAGGATGGAGATCCCAGAGGAAGGAGCAGGCAGACACCTTTGCTGTCTTGCAACTCTCACTGATGATACCTCTAGGTATGGGAAAACTCAAGGCAACCAGGGTCTGGAGCAGACCCCCAGCAAACTGCAGCAGCCCTACAGAAGAGTGGCCTGTTAGAAGAAAAACAGAAAAAAACAACAACAACAAAGATGCCACAAAAATCCCATTTAAAGGTCAGCAACCTCAAAGATTGAAGGTAGATAAGCCCACAAAGATGAAAAAGAATCAATGCAAAAATGCTGAAAACTCAAAAAGCCAGGGTGCTGCTTCTCCTATAAATGACTGCAACACATCTCAAGCAAGGGCACAGAACTGGGCTGAGGCTGAGATGGCTGAATGAGAGAAGTAGGCTTCAGAAGGTGGGTAATAACAAATTTTGCTAAGCTAAAGGAGCATGTTGTAACCTAATGTAAAGAAGCTAAGAATCATGATAAAACAATACATAAGCTGATAACAAGAATAGCCAGTTTAGAGAGGAACATAACTGACCTGATGGAGCTGAAAAACACAAGAACTTTACAATGTAATTGTAAGTATTCATAGCAGAAAAGACCAAGTGGAGGAAAGAATCTCAGAGCTTGAAGCATATCTTTCTGAAATAAGACAGGCAGACAAAAATAGAGAAAAAAGAATGAAAAGGAATAAGCAAAACCTCCGAGAAATGTGGGATTATGTAAAAAGACTGAACTTACAACTGATTGGAATACCTAAAAGAGATGAGGAGAATGGAACCAAGTTGGAAAACATACTTCAGGATATCATCTAGGAGAACTTCCCCAAACTACCAAGACAGGCCAACATTCAAATTCAGGAAATCTGGAGAACCCTGGTAAGATACTCCATGAGAAGATCCACCCTAAGATACATCATCGTCAGATTCTCCAAGGCCAAAACGGAAGAAAAAACATTAAGGGCAGCCAGAGAGAAAGGCCAGGTCACCTACAAAGGGAAGTCCATCAGGCTAACACCAGATCTCTCAGTGGAAACCCTACAAGCCAGAAGAAATTGGGAGCCAATATTCAACATTCTTAAAGAAAAGAGTTTCCAACCCAGAATTTCACATCTGGCCAAACTGAGTTTCATAAGCGAAGGATAAATAAGATCCTTTTTAGACAAGCAAATGCCGAGGGAATTGTCACCACCAGGCCTGCCTTGCTCCTGAAGGAAGCACTAAATATGGAAAGGAAAACTTTTACCAGCCACTACAAAAACACAGCTAAGAACACAGACCAGTGACGCTATGAAGCAACCACATAAACAAGTCTGCAAAATAACCAGCTAGCATCATGGTGACAGGATCAAATTCACACATAGCAATACTAACCTTAAATGTAAATGGGCTAAATGCATTAGAGAAATACAAATCAAAACCACAATGAGATACCATCTCACACCAGTCAGAATTGTGATTATTAAAAAGTCAAAAGACAATAGATGCTGGCAAGGTTGTGGAGAAAAAGGAACAATTTTACACTGTTGGTGGGAGTATAAATTAGTTCAACCATTGTGGAAGACAGTGTGGTGATTCCTCAGTGATCTAGAGGCAGAAATACCATTTGACCTAGCAATCTCATTACTGGGTATATACCCAAAGGAATATAAATTATTTTGTTATAAAGATATATGCATGCATATGTTCACTGCAGCACTATTCGCAATAGCAAAGTCATGGAATCAACCTAAATGCCCATCAATGATAGACTGGATAAAGAAAATGTGATACATATACACCATGGAATACTACGCAGCCATGAAAAAAGATCATGTCTTTTGCAAGGACATAGATGGAGGTGGAAGCTATTATCCTCAGCAACTAATGAAGGAACAGAAAACCAAACACCACATGTTCTCACTTATAAGTGGGAGCTGAACAATGAGAACACATGGACATATGGTGGGGAACAACACACACTGGGACCTGTCAGGGGGAGTTGGGGGAGAGGGAGAGCATCAGGAAGAATAGCTAATGGATGCTTGGCATAATACTTAGGTGATGGGATAATCTGTGCAGCAAACCACCAGGGCATACATTTACCTGTGTAACAAACCTGCACATCCTGCACATGTACCCCGGAACTTAAAATAAAAGTTGAGGGAAAAAATAGTGTTTTGTTCTTGAACGTAATTAATATATTGGCAAGTGAACTTGATGTCTTGAAATTTTATTTTAGGATTTGAGAATCTAGCCTAGAGTAGCCTCTATTGCAGGGCTATTTTTAAGGTGTAACTTTTCTGGGGTCTGAATTGAAGTCCTGGTATGTTCCCGCAAGGTATCTTCACTCTGGCAAGGTCTTTTCAAGGTTTCTTAGAACTCCAGCAACTCTAAGCTCTGTGATACCTCCCATTATCTCTCCTTACCAGGTCTCAGAATCACCCTGTACCTGTGAGGCTTCATATTGGACTGAACACTTAATGGTACCCCTAAATTTCTGGAGCTCATTCTCTGCATAGATTTATCTTCTTCAGATCTTACTTTGCAAGTTCCAGCCACCTCAGCATCCTCAAATGCTAAACTCTGTTTTCTGTACCTAGTGAAGCTGCTGCTCTCTGTTCAGGCTCCACTTCTCTGTGCCATGATTAGGCATGTGCCCCAGGCAGAAGTCTGGGTTGAATATTGAAATAACCCCAATTGTTTCTCTTCTCTCAATGGTCCAATCTGTAGTGTCTGTTGCCCAGTACCTGAAAATCATTTCTGTATATATTTTGCTGAATTATATAGTTTTTTACAGCAGGAGGTTAAGCGTTGAGCCTAATCTATCATTTTGGAACCAGAGTCCCTTGTTTGCAACTTTGTCACCCCTTATCTCCCCAAATTAATCTGCATATTGTATCCAGAGTGATTTCTAAAGTACAGTTCTAACTATGTAATTCTTACGCTTACAAAGTAATTCAGTATCATTTAGTGCTTAAAATTCTTTGCTGGCTTCCCACACCCCTTGGGATGAAATCTGGACACCTTGATAGGACTTATAAAGTATTACATTATCCAGTCTGTTCTTAAGTCTCCAGCCCCATCTCTTGCCACTTTCTCCATGCACTGTCTGCATCAACCATATTAATTGTTGTTCGTTGTTTTAAATAAGCAATGCTCTCACTCCTTAGTCTTAAGATACGAAGGTCACTTGACTGGGAAAGATCTCTTCCACACTTCTCTTTATCTTCTAATTATATCCTAAACATTCTTTATGTCCCTTTCTCCTTAAAGGCTCTCTGAGCTACAAAGTCTCCTGGTACATATTCTTATAACAGCTGCACTATTATTTCATAACCTCTATGAATGAAGAAATTAATTGTGTCCTCACACTCTAGTATTTTGTAGTTTGACATTAAATATTTACAGAATAAATGGATGTGTTTGGTCCACTCTTCTTTTTAAATTTGAGACTCAGCGGGTACATGTGCATGTTTGTTATGTGGATATACCAAATAATGCTGAGCTTTGGGCTTCAGTTGACTCCATCACGCAAATAGTGAACAGAGTTCCGGATAGTTTCTCATTCTTTGCTTTCCTTCCTTCCTCCTACATTTTGGAGTTTCCAGTGCCTATTGTTCTCATCTTTATGTCTACATGTTCCCAGTGTTTAGGTCCCATTTACTGGTGAGAATATGCGGTATTTGGTTTTCTGTTTCTGTATTCATTGACTTAGAATAATGCCCTCTAGCTGCATCCATGTTGCTGCAAAATGTATTATTCCATATTTTATGGCTGTGTAGTATTCCATGGTGTATATGTACCACATTTTCTTTATCCAATTCATCACTGATGGGCACTGAGGTTGATTCCATGTCTTTGCTATTGTGAATATTGCTGTGATAAACATGCCAGTGCGGGTGTCTTTTTATCTTTTAGAACAATTTATTTTCCTTTGTGTATATACCCAGTAATGGGACTGCTGGTTTGAATGGCAATTCTATTTATAGTTCCTAGAGAACTCTCCAAACTGCTTTCCACAAGGGCTGAACTAATTTATAGTCCCACCAACAGTTTATAAGAGTTTGGCAGACATTTTGGTGTTATGTCTATAAAGATCTTTGGAAGGAAGGCTTAAAACAAGGTGCTAATAGACACGGAATTATGTTTCTCTTTCCTTTTAAAGTAATAATCATGAAACTGCATACCTTTTCACACATACCCCTGCAAAAACATTTCCTGATTTCACAGCCCATTTAGAGTTACTCAATGGATAGTAGGAAATTAGAAAATATTACACATTTTTTTGTAGGAAACATGGAAGAATAGAATGCCTCCAAGATGAGCAGTATTTCCGGGGCTCTTTTATACAAGCCAAAACATCTTGATAAAACCTACTTTATCACTTTATTCCCTCTCCGTTCATTTATTTAGCAAATAGTCAACAACTATTTGGCAAAATGCCATTGTCTGTGTGCCAGTTAATATTTTTCAAGCGAAGTGGTGAGTGCTAAGAAATCAGTTGTGAACAAGGCAGACAAGATCCCTGCCTTCAAAGAGTTTATATTTTAGTGTGTTTTATATCAACCGATGTCCAGTGAAGTTGATTTTTGTAGGATAGAAGATGCTTTTGAGAGGAGGGCTCTTTCATAGATGCCCAGAAAGCCAGCTCTATAGGATCACGCTGTTCTATTGATATGCCCAAGGAAGAATGACAGTCTTACTAAAACTGCATTCATTTTATGGATTATTTGAGTTGAGAACTATATATTTAGCTGATTTTCTACAGTTATCCTTTTGATTTTGAGTTCACTTTTCCTTTTAATTTATTTATTCAATATCCAACAAATACTTATCTAACAATTACTAGGTGTCCAGCACTCACCTAGGCACTGAAGATTAAGCAGTAGCAAAGGCAGACAAGTGTGAGATCTTATATGATTTAAATTTCAGTGGGAGTGGGGCGAGGAGAGAGACAAAATATTGAACTAAATAAATAAGTCTGAACATACATATATAGCATATTTATGCAAAAAAAAACAAAGGGTAATGGGATATAGAGTGACTGGTTAGCTACTTTAGATTGGATGGTTAGAGAAAGTATCTCTGAGTAAGCAATACTGAAACTGAGACCTTAATGAGCAGGTGATCACTGAGCCAATAAAGAGAAAGATAATTCTTAGAGGAAAGCTCTTAAGGTGAGAATGAGAAAATTATAGAAAGATCAAAGTGGCCAGAGTGTAGCAGGTGAAACAGTGGTTCTGAAGACTCTGTATAATATAAAGCCTTTAGCCAGAATCATCAGGAAATAATGTATAAACATAAGTCAAATATGTAGATACTCTCCTTTCTATACATTTCCTTTTATTCTCCTCAAGTTTAATTATCAGCATAAATTATTACACCAATGTCACTATCATACTCTGTGCTCTACTTTTAAAATACTTCTTTGTTAGGCTTATTCAATAACCATCTCTACAACATGCTCTGTTATTTGTATTTATAACTATAGACACTGATTACTTAAAATTCCAGTTAGAGGCATCATTACAATCTTCTAACCCTTAGTTCATTGTAGTGGGACTTATGGTGGTTCAATATGGAGGTTACCAAAGAGATTAAAAGAAGGAAAAAATGGCAGATGACAAATATCAGCTGACTGACGTATTCTTGATTTTATATCATTCTCAGAAATAACTGTGGCTGGGGACGGCCTTTCAGGAAGCTGATATGACATATTACTATTAATATAACTAAGTTTATAACCCCAGACAGAGAAAGTTTGAAGACATAGTTTTGCAAGGAAAAGAGGAAGAGATGAATGTTGATTGGAGGAATCTATGCTTTAAAATATGAGAAGTAAATGTATAGATTGCGGCAAGACATTAAGAGTAGTGTCTCTCAAGTATTAGAAAGATGATAACGAAAGATGGAAAGAATAGGGTTGGGTTTGTGTGATAAACACCAAGCTTTTCATTACGTCTGAATCAAAGATTGTGTTTATCTGACAGTGGCAAGATTCCAAGGAAAGTTAAGACTGGGAATGAAAATAGGAGTATGCCTTGGATTTCAGGCTAAGCAGTCTTAAATCAATTCAGTTATCAGTAAGGAATCATTTAAGAGTTTTAAGGATGCTAGTGGTATAAATTTTTTTGTATATTCATGCTGTTTCCAAGTTATGGATTTGATAAACCTGATACTTACTTTTATTTCCTGATCCAGATAGTTTGGTATGCAAATGGTGTTTGCTTTCACATCATTCTTGGTACTTGTCATCCCTGAAGAACAGGAGCCAGGAGTAGAGCATGCCTTTGGAGGTGATGGTGGTCTTTTGGCCTTAATTTCTTCCTAAATCAAAAGTATAATATAACCAATATACATTTGCATCCACCTATATTTTCTATGAAAATTCAATGTAAAATGAATGAGAAATATTGTGCCTAATAAGAGAGATACATGAAAGTAAAAAAAGGTTAGTTTTATCTTAAGCTATCAAATATTTATATTTGGAGACAAAACAAATAGTGATATCTTATTAACTTTTGATGAAATCATTTTAAACTCTTGGCTAAATAACAAGATAACAAATTTGTAATATGCAATGTATGACCTTTTATATTGCAGTTTCAGATAACAGCCAACTCATGACACATGAGATTTGCTGTTAAGTTGGGAAGATTTCTCTTTTATGGCCAGGAAAAGACAGCTGAGAGGTTTTATGCTTTGTCTGTGAAGCAACTGCATGATGCAAATTGCTACTTCCTTGCTGCAAGTAACAGCTAACAGCTGAGAGTTAGAAAGGCAAACTAAATTTCTTCCCTTTATCAGTTGGAAGGGAAATAGAAAGGTTATTTTCCCATTCTGGGAGGTAAGTATACTGTTTGCAATTTTTAAAAATTAAAAGGTTCTGGGAGCTTTTAAGTCCATGAAGAGTTACAGAAGCCTTAGATCCATGGGCCTGTTCCAGGAAAGGCTTTCTACCCTTCAGAAGTGACTGATTTATAACAACACATAGAACTTAGTGCCTAAATGAGCCAACAACCTGGGATTTTGATGATTGGAATTGATAAAACAATATTTAACTTTATGTTTAGCAAAAATAAATCTACATTATATTTGAGGCATTCTTTTTTTAAGTTTATTATACAGACTTTGTTATGGAAAAATAGTAACACAGTAAGTCCTTAATGTTGTTGATAGCTCTTAGAAACTGACTTTACGTGAGATGATGTATAACAAATCCAATTTTTTTTTCTCATCAACTGATATGGTTGGCTCTGTGTCCCCTCCCAAATGTCACCTTGAATTGTGATAATCCCCATATGTCAAGGGCAGGATCTGGTGGAGTTAATTGAATCATGGGGTCAGGTTCCCCCATACCATTCCCATGAAAGTGAGTTCTCATGAGATCTGATGGTTTTTATAAGTGGCCTCCCCCTTTACTTGGCTCTCACTTTTCTTGACTGCTGCCATGTAAGACATGCCAGTTTTGCCTTCTGCTATGATTGTAAGTTTCTTGACTCCTCCCTAGCCATGCAGAACTGTGAGTCAATTAAATCTCTTTTCCTTATAAATTACCCAGTCTTGGATATGTCACAAAAATAAAGTCCAGCAATTGAGTCATGAGTCAAAGAAGAAATAATAATGAGAATTAGAAAATACACTGAACTCAGTGAAAATGGTATATACAAAAATTGTGAGAGTGGCTAAAGCAATCTTCAGTGGGGAATTTATAGCTTTAAAATACATATATTAGAAAGATAAAATGAGTTAGAAAAACAGCAATAAGATAAAGTATGTAATAGAAAGAGAAAACTAATAACAGCAGAAATTAATAAAATAGAAAATATACAACATAGAGAATCAAAAAATCATGAACATCAATTCCTTGATACACTAATAAAATCAATAAACTTATTGAATAAACTTTTGTTGAAAATTATAAACTTCTTTTAATTGAGAAAAACAAAGACACAAGTTAACACAACTAATATGTAAAAGGGTACTTCTTACAGAACCAGCAGATATTTTTAAAAGAATATAAGGATATCATGCATAACTTTGTCAATAAATCTGAATTTAGACTGAATAAACAACTTTTAGAAAAGAATAGATTACCAAAAACTGATTCAAGGAGAAATAGAAAATCTGAACAGTTTTGTAACAAAATAGATTTTAAAGCAAAGAATAGTGTCAGGGATGAAGAGAGTAACTTCATAATGATAAAAAGGTCATTTTATCAAGAAGACATAGCAAACCTAAACAGTTTTATGCCTAATAAGAGAGCTTCAAAATACATGATTAAAAACTGGTAGAAATGGAAAGAGAAATTTAAAAATCCACAATTATAATTAGCGATTTCAACACCTCTCCCTCAATAATTGGCAGAAAAAGTAGCCAATCAGTAAGGCTATAGAACGAGGGTCCCCAAATCCCTGGACCACAACCTGCTGCACAGCAGAATGTGAGCAGTGGGAGGGCAAGTGAGCATTACCGCCTGAGTTCTGCCTCCTGTCAGATCAGCAGTGGCATTAGATTCTCATAGGAGTGCAAACCCTATTGTGAACTGCACATGCAAGGGATGTAGGTTGTGTGCTCCTTATGAGAATGGAACACCTGATGATCTGAGGTGGAACAATTTCATCCTGAAACCATTCCCCCCACCCCACCATAGGTCTGTAGAAAAATAGTCTTCCAAAAAAGTTTGGGAGCTGCTGCTGTAGAAGACTTGAACAACAGTATCACCTAACTTGACCTAATTGATATTTATATTGCGTTCTACCAAACAACAGCAGAGTGAATATTTGTTTCATGGGTACATGAAAAATTTATTAAAGTCAACAATATTCTAGGCCATATAACAAGTCTCAATACATTTAAAACATTACAAAGTATACAAAGTGTGTTCTCTGACTACAATGGGATTAAATTGGAATTAATAACATAAAGATATCTGGAAAATCCCCCAAATATTTAGAAAGTAAATAATATGATTTTAAGTAACCCATGGGTGAAAGAAGAAATTAAAAAGGATATTAGGAAGTATTCTGAACATAACGAAAATGAAAATTCAACACAGTAAAATTGGGGGATGCAGGCAAAGTAATGCTTATAGGAAAAATGTAATAATAAATGCTTATATTAGAAAAAAACAGTCTCAAATCAATGACCTAAGATTTTACCTTCTATAAAGATAGGAGCCAAAGTCAATGAAATGGAAACACAAAAGCAAAACAATAGAGATACTCAATGAAATGGAATACTGATTCTTTAAAATGATCAATAAAACTCACAAACCTCTAGCTACAAGACACGAATTGCCAAAATCAGGAATGAGAGAACAAACATTAAACATTATAAAATAATAAAAGGAATATTTTAAAAAACTTTACATCAGTAAGTCAACAACTTAGATGAAATGGACATATTCTTTGCAAAATACAAACTACCAATGCTGGCTAAAGAAGAAATAGACAACCCAAATAGCCTATAGCTATAAAAAAAAAAAAAAGAAAAGAAAAGAAATTGAATTTGTAGTTAAAAACCTTGACTCAAAGGAAATATCAAGCCTAATATTTTACTGAAGATTTCTACTAAACTTTTAAGGAAGAATTAATATCCATTCTACACAAAATCTTCCAGAATATTAAACAGGAATTCCCAACTTATTCTATAAAGCCAGCATTATGCTGATATTAAAACCACAAAAAGACTTTATAAGAAAACTACAAACAAATATTCCTCATAGACACAAGAATGCTAAAAATTTTTAATGAAATTTTAGTGTATGACAAGGATAATACATCATGACCAAGTGAGGTTTTTACTGGATATGCAAGGTTGGTTCCAATTTGAAACTTAGTCAATGTAATTCACTATATTAACAGACTAAAAAAAGAAACATCATTCGATCATCTCAGCTAGATACTGAAACAGCATTTGGCAAAATACATCTCTCCCCATTTCTGTTAAAACTCTTAGCACACTAGGAATGGAAGGGAACTTTCTCAGCCATATAAAGGTCATCCACTAATATGAACATAATATTTAATGGTGAAAGTCTGAACGCTTTCCTCCTACGATCAGGTACAAGGCAAGGATGTCTGCCCTCATCATTTCTATTCAACATTGTACTAGAGGTTCTAGCCATTGCAATAAAGCACAATACAGAGATAAACAGCATGCAGATGCGAAACTATGATGGAAAAAATTACAAATTTTTTAAAGACACATCAAAATAAGAGCAAGCCTCAGACTGGAAGAAAATATTTGCAAAAACATGCATAACAAAAGATTTAATCTAGAATATATGAAGAACTTTTACAACATTATAATAAAAAAGTCAACAACCAATTTTTTTTTTTTTTGAAACGGAATCTTGCTCTGTCACCAGGCGGCAGTGCAGTGGCACCATCTCGGCTCACTGCAACCTCCTCCACCTCCCGGATTCAAGCAATTCCCCTGCCTCAGCCTCCCAGTAGCTGGGACTACAGGCGCGTACCACCAAGCCCGACTAATTTTTTTTGTATTTTAGTAGAGACGGGGTTTCACCATGTTGGCCAGGATGGTCTCGATCTCCTGACCTCATGATCTGCCTGCCTTGGCCTCCCAAAGTTCTGGGATTACAGGTGTGAGCCACTGCGCCTGGCCAACAACCCAATGTAAGAAGTGGACGAAAGATCTAACAATATATTTCCCATAAAAAGATATATACATGGCAAGTAAGAATTGGAAAAGATGTCAACATCATGAGGAAAATGCAAATTAAAACCACAATAAGATACTACTACATACCCAGTAGGCTGGCTAAAAATAAAAAGACTGACCATTCTAAGCTTGGGGAAGACGTGGAGGAAAAAAAACTCATACACTGCTGGTGGGAATGTAAAATGGGACAATCATTTTGGAAAACAATTTGGCTATTTCTTAGAAACTTAAACATACAACTACTATAAGACACAGTTATTTCACTCATAGGAATTATCCAGGAGAAAAGAAAGTATATATCCAAAGACTTGTAGACAAATGTTCCTATTAGCTTTGCCAGAAATTGGGAAGGACCTAAATGTCCCTCAACAGGTAAATAGATCAACACATTGTAGGATAACCATACAATTGAATACTACTCAGCAATAAAAAGGAATGAACTATTGATGCACATAAAAACATGGATGAATCTTAAAATAATCATGCTGAGTTAAAGAAACCAGATTTTAGAAAGAGAACTCACCATATGACTTTATTTTTATAAAATCCAAAAAAGTCCATGCTAATGTTTAGTGACAGAAAGCAGACAAACAGTTGCCTGTGGGAGGGCCAGAATCGTGAGAAAACTTTTGGGAGTGATGAGGACGTGCATTCTCTTGACTGCAGTGGTAGTTTCCCAGGTGTGTATTTGTCAAAGCTCATTAAATTGTGCATTTTGAATATGTGTATCTTATATTATGTTAATTAGACTTTACTAAAGCTGTAAAAATATTGTGAAACATGGTGACTTTTCGGAAAGGTATGTAAAGAAAAGGAGAGGAACTTATAGAAGTCAAACTAAATAGATAGCAGTAAATAGCTGTTCCTTACCTTTTTAATTACTAAGGGATTCTCACTGGAAGTTTTGAAGCACTCTTTAATTTTTCTACTGGGCTCTGAAATAAAATTGAGGAAAAATGTATTTAGATTAAACTGAAAAAGAATTTATATCACATGATATATGTGTCAATTGCTGAAATAGATAGAGTGTTTCTGACTTTAAGGTCAATTCAGGAATCTGTTTATAAATATTAGGAAATTTGCAGGTAAATGGCATTATAATAACATAAAGTATTTGCATTTAAAAACTAGTTCTATGCCCAAGATGATGATATAAAAACACACGGCAAATGCTTTCTTGATCTGGTTAAACTGATTTAAAAAGTATATATTTTAGGGAGGCCAAGGCGGGCGGATCACGAGGTCAGGAGATCGAGACCATCCTGGCTAACACGGTGAAGTCCCATCTCCACTAAAAAATACAAAAAAATTAGCCGGGCGTGGTGGCGGGCGCCTGTAGTCCCAGCTACTTGGGAGGCTGAGGCAGGAGAATGGCGTGAACCCAGGAGGTGGAGTTTGCAGTGAGCGGAGATTGCACCACTGCACTCCAGGCTGGGCGACAGAGCAAGACTCCGTCTCAAAAAAAAAAAAAAAAAAAAAGTATATATTTTAGTATAAGACATATTTTTCTCTGTTTTCTGTCCATATAAATGTCACTTTATCTAATTAAAGAGAATTTTTTTGTTATTTGACCTTTAGACAGAAAGATGGTTTGTGCTGAATTACAATTACATTCTTTATTTTCTTTCTTCTTTTATCAGCCTCTCAACCCTACCCATTTCATACTCAGTCATATAACTAGATCCCCCTAAGCTGCCCTAAAACCACTTAAAGTTTTACTTAATTTCCCTTTACATTAATTTATAGATAAAAGAAAAAGATGACTTTTTCCCACATCTGCTATAGAAATCTTATTAGGTGGTGACACCTGATCCCCATCAAAGGCCTCTTTCTTGCAAATGTAGTTTTTAAGTTTCTAGGTTCTACAGTATAAAAAGGGACACAAGAAATAAGGGAAAATAAGTGGGCTTTGACTCTTCATTGCTAGCAGAAGGGAGGGAAGAGAAATTCTTGAAAGGATGAAATGAATTAAGTATGAAGACTTTAGAACAGTATATGTCCATATAGTGAGTACTCTATAATTGACCACTCTTATTGCTATCTTTAGAGATATATTTTACTACATTATGCCATAATAATTTTCATGTGTCCTGATAGTTTTAGTAATAGCATGTAAATTGTATGGGGCAAGAAAAAGAGAACTGGATATAATTTCTACCATGCAGAATTCCTTTCTTATTTTACCTTGCTCTTTGGATTTTTCCACATTTTACTTTTATCAGTGCCTTTTTCCTTCAATTCAGTAAAAATTAATTCAATTGTTTACTAAGGACCAGGCACTGTGCTGGGACCTGGGGAGAAAGGAAGGATGGCAGAAACACAGAAAGCAGTAACACAGGGCCTGACCTTAAGGAGACGACAGTCTCATGAGGACAATGTAAACATGCAATTTCATTCTTACTGTGTTTCCAGGACTCGATTTTCGTCTGACATCATTTCCCCATCAGTGTTGGAACAACATTCATTTCTGGCATCTTTTAGCTAGTTTTGTAGGGATTAAAGACTAGGACCACACCAAATATGTCTTAGGCACTATTAATAGTAATGGTAATAACATTTTTGACATCATTGTGCTACTGATGAGATTAGAAGAGTGAAAAAAAATTATATAACAAAATTTATGTTCCTCACAGTGAGGAAACTTGATGTAAAAACCACTGCAGCTATTTTAGCATCATATAGACTCCCCACAGCCTTGTTTGCAGGAGGCATAAGGAAACATTTCATCAGTTCTAACTCAACTCACCAGAATGAGGCCGTGGAGGCACTTTGGCACCGTTTGGGGCTGGCGACATTCCTCTTACAGGGCTCTCCTGGACTGCAGTGCTGGAGGGGTAACTGCAATTGGCAAATGGTATCCTGTTCTTCTCTAAGTAGTTAGACTGGCCAACTCCCCACAATGTTCCAAATGCATTCTCATCATCATTCACAGTACAGATTGGAATGTTATTCAAGCCTAGGTGAGTAAAGATTAAAAAAAGAGACAGATCAAGCAACCAGATTAGATGTTTGGAAGGTTTTCTTTGAATGATCAACAATTTCCCAACCAAATATCATTAAATGTATGTAAAATGTTGAACTTCAAATTGTATAAACCAAAAAAAAAAATTGTATTATGAACCAGTGCAAGGTAGACATTCTTTGAAAGTCAGTGTGGCCAATTACATGCTTCCTTAAAATCTCCGGCCATTTTGTCAGTCTTCAGGGCCAGACCACATCGTCGATGTTGGTCTGGGATTCAAGTGGAGTAGACCTTCTATCCCAGACAAATCTCACACTTCCCAAAGCTTGATAATGACTGAGAGGGTTTGTGCTAGCTCTCTTCATGAATGCCAGATTTAAATTTTTTAAAGCACTCAGAATGCCTCAATGTAACTAGGTCTTCTAGAAGAGATACAGTGGTTCCTCTTTTGTCCTGGCAGAGGTAAAAAGGTGTAGGAGCTGGAAATAGGAGACAGGATAAGGTAGATTGTGAAAGAAGGAGGAAGGAGAAGTTGGTATAAAAGGAACTCCTTCCTCATGTGAGAGACTTCTGGGTTCACTCTCTCTCCTAAAAATAACTATTCACTTTTGGCTCAAATATAGGATTTGGTTCAAATAATCAGTTATAGACAGGTTCTCTTTTCAATATCAATGCTAAGTCTTGTGGAATTGGACAGCTTAGGAAATGGGGGTGTGCCGGGCATTGCTTTCTGTTAATCAATGAGTTATGACAGGTATTAAGAGATGGCTGCGTTGTCTTCCCAGAAATTGCCAGGCAAGCTTCTGGATAGTGTTTTCTACACTTGCTCATTTTTCCAAATCTCTCTCCAGTACCACTGGTTCACCTAATTCTTAATTGTCTTCTCAAATAACATCAAAATCATCTTTGCTGGCAACTCTGTCTGAAATGTGCCTGATCACTCTCTGTCCCCTTATGTGCTTTTATTTTTTCCACAGCATTTATCACATATCATAATACATCTGTTTGCACACTGCTTCTCTGAGCTGCATTAGAATGTAAGATTAAATTATTTAAGATATAGATCTTAAATACACAATATGCAATGGTCACAAATTAAAATCTACTCTTTTTTTTTTTGAGACATAGTCTCTCCCTGTTGCCCAGGCTGGAGTGCAATGGTGCAATCTCTGCTCACTGCCAGTGCTCCCCCTCCCAGGCTCAAGTGATTATCCTGCCTCAGCCTCCTGAGTAGCTGGGATTACAGATGTGCACCATCATGTCCGTCTAATTTTTTGTATCTTTGGTAGAGACGAGGTTTCACCATGTTGGACAGGCTGGTCTCGAACTCCTGACCTTGTAATCCGCCCACCTCAGCCTCCCGAAGTGCTGGGATTACAGGCGTGAGCCACCGTGCCTGGCCCCATCTACATCTTAAATACACATTTAAGCTAATGCTTATTAGCTAATTTGGAATATTAGAATATCTAACAAATTAACTTTGGAATTACAGTTTAAAATGTTAAAATGATTTTACATTTCTGATTTTAAGTAGAACACTATGAACATATTATTAAGTTGGTAAACAGTAAAGAAATGGCTTAATCTATACTTATAAGTATAATTTATTTAACTTACAGGAGTTATTTACAGCTTAGTAAGAATTTGTTAAGTATGTAAAATATTTTTAAAAATCAAGTATATTTAATGAATAAGTGCCATTTAAAGCTTTTAAAGCTATTAACAAAGTTTGTAAATGGGACCAAATGTTAATCAAAGATTCCCTCCAACCAAGAAATGAGTTTTAAAATTTGCTAGATTTCTAAGGCAGACAAATAATGTTGGAATTGAAATTTTTCTTTCAATTGAACATATATTACCATGAGCATGGCTTTGTGGCAGGCATTAGAGGAGAGTTGAAGACATAAAAATTAGTCCCTTGCCTGCCAATAGTTTTATAGTATATGATAAGAAAATGTGAAGCAGAATGTGAAATAAAATATAGAAGAGGTATACATCAAGTGCTTTAAAGTATATAAAACCAGAAAGAAAATTCTTCAATGTAATACTATTTGTTTTTCATAGGAAAAAAAGTTTCAATTAAAAATTAAATGTGGGTTGGCTGGTTGCGGTGGCTCACGCCTGTAATCCCAGCACTTTGGGAGGCTGAGGCGGGCGGATCACGAGGTCAGGAGATCGAGACCATCCTAGTTAACACGGTGAAACACCATCTCTACTAAAAATACAGAAAAAAAAAATTAGCTGGGCACAGTGGCAGGCGCCTGTAGTTCCAGCTACTCGGGAGACTAAGGCAGGAGAATGGCATGAACCCGCGAGGCGGAGCTTGCAGTGAGCCGAGATAGCACCACTGCAGTCCGGCCTGGGTGAAAGAGCGAGACTCCGTCTCAAAAAAAAAAAAAAAAAATTAAATGTGGGTTTTGGGGTTTTTTCCCACATGTAGGTTGTGAAAAACTGTGCCCTCAGGTTTGGCCAAGACAATGTAATCCAAGGCCATCTATGACTTCTTTACAGTGACATCTGTTTGCTTCCCCTTGGCCTTCATTTTCCTAATCTCCTTTAGGAATATGTCTTTGCTCATCACCTAGCCATTTTCCTTGAATTTGTTTCCCTCTGCTGGTTCTCTCTGTGCTGCTTAGCTGGACTTTCCTCTCTCTACCCCAAGTTCAACCTTCTCTTCTCCTCTCTCTGCCCTGGCCTGTCCCTCATTCCTTCCCACTTTGATGACTGAATCAGTCTTCTAACTGATCTCCCAATGTCTAGTGAGGTCCTGCTCATCTTCCACTTTCTACAATGCAGCTAGAATGATCTTTTGAATGAAATCAATTGCTCAGGGACACAGAACTGTGAGACTACTGATGTAGAATATAAATCCTATTTAAAATCTGTCAGTAACTCTACAATTTTATCTGGATGCAATTTAAACTCCTTTCCTCCCACAATAATTTATCTAGCACCTCACTTGTGGCAACTACTCCTTAGGAAGTTGAGGTAAATCATGAACAAAACAGACACACCTTCATGGAGCTCACAGCTTAGTGGAGGATTTCTGAAACTATTCAAATAATGAAGAAAATAACTATTACCACACCATAAGGTGTGGTAATTGCTGTAGTACATCCACCACCTACCTAGATCATGCCTTCAGCACCTAGGCTCTCAGCTCCCCAGCTCCACATATGTCAGTTACTTATGGCTCATTCTGAGTCCCTCTCTAGGAATTGCTCTTGGCTGAAGGGAGCTCTTGTACACAGTGAGAGCTCTTGTATATAGTGACTGGTTGGTGGGAATTACAAAGGCCTGGCCCCCTTATCTGGAATTGAGACACCTCTGAAGGGATATCCCAGCTCCACGGCTCCTCGTGCGATTGGCTGAGGTCCCTATTGTATCCGCAGTTCCACTTCCCCTTCTACCCAGTTCTTCTTCCTTCATTTACGGCTTTCTTATCAGTGTTGTTCCCAAAAGCACTTCCTAATAAAGCTCCTTCACACAAATCTCCACCTCAGAGTCATCTAAGACAATTACTTTAAAGAAAAATATACAGTACTATGAAAAAATACCATAAGAAAATCTAATTTAGATTGAGGATGTGAAGCCTGAAAAGTCTCTCTGAAATGATATTTAAACCAAAATGAGGAACCACAAATAATGAGGGGAAGTTTATAATTAGAGGGAAGAGTATGTGTGGAAATCCAGACGGAGGTGGGAAAGGGCCTGTGACATGTTCAAGCAACTTAGACAAGTCCACTGTGGCATATGCATAATGGGGGAGGGAGTTGATAGGAGATGAGGCCACATAATAGGGAACATTTTAGCCTATGTCAAAATTAACCACTTTATCCTAAATGCATGGGAAGCCTCCAAAGGATTTTGTGTAGGATAAACAGTCTCTCTCTCTCTCTGTCTCCCTCCCTCTCTCTCTCTCTCTCTCTCTCTCTCTCTCTCTCTCTCTATATATATATATATATATATATATATTTTTTTTTTTTTTTTTTTTTTTTTTTTTTTTTTAAAGAGACAGGGTCTTGCTTGTCACCCAAGCTGGAGTGCAGTGGCACAATCATGGCTCATTGCAGCCTTGAACTCGGGGCTCAGGTGATCCTCCTATCTCAGCTTCTGAGTAGCTAGAACTACAGGTACACCACCAACTCCCCACCTCAAGCGATCCTCCCACCTTGGCTTCCCAAAGTGTTGGGATTGCAAGTGTGAGCTACTGAGCCTGGCCTAAACAGTTAAATTTACATTTTAATATGATCTTTCTGGTTGTTCTATGGAGGATAGACTGGAGAGAGGGCAAGAGTGGAAGTAAAGCTGCTATGAGGGCTACAGATTGCAAAGTAGTCATCAAAGGAGGAGATAACAGTGGCCTAGAATGGAGCTGTGACAGTAGCCATGGAGAGAAGTGGCTTAATTTACAAAATATTTAGAAGGAAAATGACAAGGTCAAGTGAAGTATTGGAAGGGAAAGAGAATGAGGGAGAGGAGTTAAAGAAGAACTTCAGTTTTACAAACTTCAAATTTACAACACCATTTATTTGTTAGGATACACTGGTTGGGGGACCTTGCTTTTGAAGGAAGATCAAGAGTTCAGTTTTGAAGAGCACAGTTCAAGGTGCCCATGAGGCATTCCATGCCTTGCAAGTAGACAGTTGAATATACAGGTCTAAACTTTTGAAGAGGTGTCTGAGTCTGAGATACATATTTGAAAAATATTTGGTCTATAGAGGGTATTTGAAACTTGTGAATGAACATGTTTGCCTAGCATCCCAGTACAGATTAAAAAGAGAAAACAGCCAAGGACTGAGCTGTGAGGGACTCCAGCATTTACTGAAGAACAAAAATTAAGCTAGGAAGGAGAAGGCACAGAGGTAGAGGAAAAACAACTGAAGCATATATTGTTACAGAATCTACATTTTTTAAAGGTGAAGAAAGAAAGAGAAAGAGGGAAAGAGAGACAGGAAGGGAGGGGTGGTTAGCTGTGCCAAATGCAGCTAAGGGGTCAAGATGAGGATTGCAGTGTAGTGGATATCTGTCAATTCTGCCCAGAACCTGTTTCTATCTTTCCTTAACAACAGTACCCAGATTATTTTGCTTCATTATCCTCCCCTTATCTACCACTCTGCAGCCCCTGCAGCCCCTGCAGCAATATGTTCTGGGGAAGATTGAATCCATTCCCCTTGCTGTAGTGATTGGTTATTTGAACCATGGCCTACTAATCTGTGCATGCCACTTCCCTGTCCATGAGGATTCATTCAAGGATAGCATGAGACCTGCCGTGTGCTGGTAAAATGAAAATGTAAAGAGAATTTTGCGAAATCTGCTGGGAAAGAAGTCAGAGTGGCATGCAGATGTGAAACTAAGAACTGATGTAGCTATGTTGCCACTAGGAGAGGAGCAAGCCAGCTCTAGGTTGAGTCTGGAATTGTGGAAGACAGAGAGAAGCGCTTTTAAAAAGCAGGTTGTTTAAGCGAGCCATCAAATCAAACCTAAAGCCCACCTCCCTGATGGACTTTCCAGTTACTTGAGCCAATAGATCCTCTTTGCATTGGATTTGTCTAACTGAAGGATAGTGGCAACCTTAGCAAGCCCAGCCTATGCAGAATGGTGGATGAAAAGGCCACGCTTCGGTAGGCTGAAGAGGGGCCCCGAGGAGAAGAAGTAAAAACCATGAATGTAGACATTTATTTTGATTGTGAAGAAATATAAATTCCCTAGCATGATATCCAGAGCCTGCCTAAATCTGGCCTCTTATCCACTTCTCCACCCCGACTTCCCATTATCCCTTCCCTCCTCCCCACATGCCCCATAACAGGCATATGGAGCTTCTTCTACAAAGTTTCCTAATATTCTTTTGCTGTTCTCTTTGCCTTACTTGTTTGTATACTTAACCCCGTTGTAGATATTATTGTTACTAATGTCATTTTACAGAGTGGCTGGACCAGCCAGATAGTCCAGCTCCTGAGGGCAGGCTCTTCGCTATATTTTCATTGCAAATAAATGTTGAATGAATGAATAAACGTATAGATGGCTGAATGAATAAAGAGATGATCAATATTCATGCCTTTAAATATCATTTCTATGCTGATGACTCCCAATGTGCATCTCTACTCCTAAGTTCCTATTTGAGACTCAGACATGGATTTCTATTCTAGGTTTGGGACTGTGGGCAGCTCATTTCCATTTGGATGCCTGATGTTACTACACATGCAGTATGTATACCACTGAATTGATTTTATTGTCTGACAAGAATGTGAGCTCCATGAGGGTAGGGACATTTTTTTCCTCCCTCAGAAACTTTGGTCTATCTCCCACATCTAGAACAAAGTTTGTTATATGTTTGAAATTGAATAAACATCTGCTGAATGAAATGACTTCACCTTCTCCCTTTCAGCTTTCCTGTTTCATCATTTTTTAGTTATAATAACTAAGGGTGGAGAAAGGTGCAAAGGATATGTGATTTGTTCCTCTTCACCTTCTATACTAATCAGTTACCAGGACCTTTTCATTTCTTCCCTGCAAACTCTCTCTAGCCTCATATTCTGCCATTGCTTGGTCCTGCTGCCAAGATCATAGCAGGGATGTTTGTCCTCGTGTATCTGCACAGGTGCAACAGCCTCCTAATTCTCTTCTCTATCTCCAGGATCTGCCCTTTTTTTCAACAAAGCTTGGTTTATTTGTATCATGACTTTTTTTTATTTTTAATTTTTTTAATAATTAATTTTTATTTTTATTTCAATGTTTTTGGGGACACAGGTGATTTTTGGTTACATGGATAAGTTCTTTTTTTAACTTTTATTTTAAGTTCAGGAGTACAACTGCAGTTTTGCTACATAGATAGGTACACTTGTGTCATGGGGGCTTGTTGTACAGATTATTTCATCATCCAGGTGGTAAGCCTAGTACCCATTAGTTATTTTTCCTGACACTCCCCCTCCTCCCAGTCTCCACCCTCTGAATGGCCCCAGTGTGTGTTGTTCCCCTCTATGTGTCCCTGTGTTCTCATCATTTAGCTCCCACTTACAAAGGAGAACATGTGATATTTGGTTTCCTGTTCCTGCATTAGTTTGCTGAGGATAATGGCTTCCAGCTCCATCCATATCCCTACAAAGGACATGATCTCATTCTTTTTATGGCTGCAGAGTATTCCATGGTGTATATGTACCACATTTTCTTTATCCGGCCTATCATTGATGGGCACTTAGGTTGAGTCCATGTCTTTGCTGCTGTGAATAGCGCTGCAGTGAACATACAGGTGCAGGTGTCTTTATAACAGAATGATTTATTACTGGATAAGTTCTTTAGTGGTGATTTCTGAAATTTTGGTGCACCCATCACCCAAGCAGTGTACGCTGAACCCAGTATGTAGTCCTTTATCCTCACCCGCTTTTTAACCTTCCCACTGAGTCCCTAAGTCCATTATAACATTCTTCTGCCTTTGCATCCTCTAGCTTAACTCCAACTTGTAACTGAGAACATATGATCTTTGGTTTTCCATTCCTGAGTTACTTCACTTAGAATAATGGCCTCCAGCTCCATCCAAGTCGCTGCAAAAGACATTATTTCATTCCTCTTTATGGCTGAGTAGTGTTCCATGGTGTATATATACCACATTGTTTTAATCCACTTGGTTAATGAGCACTTAGGTTGGTTCCATATCTTTGTAATTGTGAACTGTTCTGGTATAAACATGCATGTACATGTGTCTTTTTCATATAATGACTTATTTTCCTTTTAGTAGATACCCAGTAGTGGGATTGCTGGATTGAATGGCAGTTCTACCTTTAATTCTTTAAGGAATCTACATACTGTTTTTCCACAGTGGTTGTACACTAGTTTACACTTCTACCATAAGTGTAAAAGTGTTCCCTTTTCACCATATCCACACCAACATCTATTGTTTTTTTAACTTAATTATGGCCGTTCTTACAGGAGTAAGGTGATATCTCATTGTTGTTTTAATTTGCATTTCCCTGATAATTAGTGATGTTGAGCATTTTTTTCACATTTGTTGGCTGTCTGTAGATCTTCTTTTGAGAATTTTCTATTCCTGTTACTTGCCCACTTTTTGATGGGATTATTTGTTTTTTTCTTGCTGATTTGTTTGAGTTCCTTATAGATTCTGGATATTAGTCCTTTGTCGGATGCGTAGTTTGCAAATATTTTCTCCCACTCTGCAGGTTGTCTGTTTGCTGATTATTTCTTTTGCTGTGGAGAAGCTTTTTAGTTTAATTAGGTCCCATTTATTTATTTATTTTTGTTTTTGTTGCATTTGCTTTTGTGGTCTTAGTCATGAATTATTTGCCTAAGCCAAATGACATTGGTTTTTATTATCACTTTTTCTGTCACCTCAGGAATATGACACATTTCCATCTGCTGGAGCTCACTATGGCAGCGTTTCTCTTGGGGATAAGAATCTCAGGGATGGGTGTGAGGGTCTATTTAGATTACGCCCAATAGCCAGTGTTGATATGCTACTTTGTCGGGGGTGGTATCACACAGTCACCCCATCCTAGGTGAATTGGCTGGTTCACCCCATGAAGTCCAAACAATTCTGCTTGTTTTCCATATATTTCATAACCTTGAGAAATGTACCTCTCAAAACATCAGAACCCTTTTCTCTTTGTACCTCTCAAAACATCTCAGAATGCAAGATGTGTTTAAAAACTGTATACTTTTAAAATTCTTCAATCCAAGCTCCATTGAACTGCCTCTCTCAAAAGGGAAATGCTGTTATTAATATCTAATTTTGAGTAATTCTACTGTATAAAGTTAAAGTAAAAGCTAGGAAAAGAGAGAGGAAGGAAAGAGAAGAAAGGGAGGAAGGAAGGGAGGGAATGAGGGCAGGAGGCAAGGAGGGAGGGAGAAAAGACAAGACAGAAGGGAAGGAAGCAAGAGTAAAACATATGCTTCCTTAGGGATGATATTTAGCATGCAGATGTGTGGATTGTTAAAATACTGAAATATTTTTATATCAATTGGTCAAGCCTGCCCTGAGCTCCCTGAGTGGTCCCCATTTTCCTGGCCACTTTGGCCCCTCTCCAGGCCCCTGTCCTAACAATCAAGCAATTTAAGGGTTACTGTCCAACACAGAGAGGGACTGCAGGCCTCTGCTCTCACTCCAGGCCTCTGCTCTCACTACAGTGCTGGCATCTAGTCCCAATAGTCAATTCCCATACCTCTCCAGTGGTTAAATATTTTGAATAGCAGCGTTGTGTTTACCTGCCAGAATTATCAAATAGCCCAAGTGTAGAGAATAGAGACACATACTAGGACCTTAAGTCACCTTACCTTTGATGTGGCAGACTCTTCTGGGATGAGGGGTGTGCCTGACTAGAAAGCAGCTTACATTTCTAGCCATAATATGGCTGCCTTTGCCCTCGATCTGAAGAGCAGATGTCGGGGGGTTGAGGTTCATGTTTGTGGTGTGTTTATTTTCCCCTCTTCACTGTTGTCACAAAAGTTTTTGGGGTCTAACTTGATTGACCTCACTTCCAGATGTGCTCAGACCCTGAAATCACAAAATGACAAACATTCTGACAAGAGTTTCTTGTCACTTTCTTATATATCAAACATTTCTCCATCTTCTTTGCTTGAACTAAATTGTTTCTCATGTTACAGCAATGTGAGGCTATTTTGTTTTCAGACCAAATTTTTGTAAACGTTGAAAAGTATAGGCATGGGTGGATCTAAAACATTTACCCAGGGGAAAATCAAAGTGTTTGATTTCAAAATATTTATATTATATTTGTAAAAAGTATAAAGTATATTCTGTTTTTAATTTCATTTGAGCTCACTTTGTTGACTTACCAAAAAAAATTACATGATTATCAATTTTGATATAGTAAATTTAAATGATGACTTTTAAATACAATACTCACAAATGCACTTTACATTGAATTAATTTTAAGTTAAGTCCCTTCATATTGTACTTTTAAAACCCAGCATCTTAAAATGTATATCATCTTCGGAGAGAATGGTAAAACCCAAAGAAGGAAAAAAATCCAAAAGAGTGATGTATCTGGAGATGATAAACCAGAGAACCTTTGCCATGTTGTTGTTTGCAATATTGAGTAACAGTTAACATTTTTAGACACCTATGGTGTCATAGACCTGGGAGATTAAAGATAATGTTATGTATCTTGGTGAATTCACAACCATGTGAGAAAGAACATTTCTGGATTAAGAACATAGAAAGTCGTTATTTAAATTTTCTTGAAAATAGTATGCTTTTGAAATCTAAGAAGGATGATTTTCTGGTGCTTGTTGTATTTTTTCTATCTTACATGAAAATCTTATTCATCGTAGCAGAATTGGGAAATACACATTTTATTTATAACCATGGCAGAGACTTTTTGGGTTAGAATAATTTGCAGTGTCAAAAAATGTTCATGTTCTAGAAATTGATCTCAGGATTTTGTTGGGATGGATGCTTTTAGATCGTTGACTACCTTTTTAGAACAAAGCAATCTATGTTTAAGTGTTTCATGCTATATACTTAGACTGTATGGTGTATAAATTCCCAGACTTGTTGCCACAGAATATCTGGTTTTCAGGAACTTCAGTTTGATATATATAAATACTAAAATTATCCTAGGTTGGGTAAAATATATGTAGACATTAAATGCAGAAAATATCTATCTAGCAATAAAAAGTATATTTTCTTATTGCTGTTTATGAATATCACAGTGAGGAGCTAGTTCTAATCTCTTTGTTTAAATCACACTTTAGACTTACTCATTCTTTTGGTGTGGGACCTTTTGTACAATTAAGCCAGTAAATTTGCTTTTTACTTGTATTGAGGGGAAAAGAGTACAGCAGACAATTTGGAGAGTGAAAAAGACATTAAACCAGAAATTTAAAGATAGGATTCATGGTCCCAGATTTGCCATTAACCAGCAAAGTGACCACAGATTAATTGTTTTATTGCCTAGATTTCAGTCTGTTTGTCTATTACCTGATGAAATTGACTTAAATGTTAGCTGATATTATTCAGTTATTCTGTATGTGTCTGTCCCACATCAATTCTCTTAGATTAAAGGGTAGTGATACACTTTAAATTTTGAAAAAAAAAAAGTCAACAAGAAAACAATGTGTATTTCATTTTCTTAAAACAGACTTATTTGGCTTTCACATACTCTTGAAAAAAGAATGAACTTGAGGACTATTAACTAAATCATACCTAAAATTTTAGAACATTATTGTAATGATGAATTTAAAATTATACCTGAGGACAATATTAAAAGCAGGTGATCTTGCTGACAAGAACTCAAGTCTGTTGATACCCTCCCAGCCTCATAATATGTCTAGACTGAGTTTTTGTTGATCTCCTTAAATCTCTGCACTTAAGCTAGAAGTTTTTAGTTGGTAGAGACAGACCAATCTCGAACGCTTCCAAAAGAATACAGCTGTCTTCATCCAGTTTCTCACACTCTTACTCCAAGGAGCCTGTGTGGCTCCCTGGTTGTTAAGATATGTTACATAGCTTAGCAACGTGGTAACATTCCTTAGAAAAATCTAAGTTCTAGAACCTCTCACCCACTATTCTTCTCAGACCTCCAGTTACCCACTTGACAAAACCATGTGGCCACAAATGGCTTTCCTCAATTTTGGACATATAATAGAGTTAAATCCAATGCAAGAGAAAGAAAAAGAAGAAAAATAAAACAGAGAGCAATATAAATCAAATTTATAATTTTTCCCACAATTCTGCTTAAAGAACAATTATGATATAACCAAATATAGCTTAATCCAAAACCAACGGGGAGAAGGTATACATGCTTTTAAGGAGTTTCTAATAGTTGTGAATGGAATATACTGCTTTGGTAGTCAGGATGTCTGTGCTGATGACATGTTCAATAGCCATGAAAAAATATTGAAATGTTAATTAGAAGTCATAGAGAAACACACACACATGTACATGCGGTGCTTCACAAGACTTTTCAGAATACACATGATTTTGAATTTCTGAATTACAATCTCTAAGAGCAATATAGACAATTTCTGAAAGGCAAATACTAGCTTAAAACAATGCAAGGATAGAGCCTAATTTGTCTGTTTTCTTGACTGGCCCAAGAATTAAAGGTTTAATTGCCTTTGCCTATAACCCATTCTTATGCCTTATGCCTCCCTGTTTTACTGTAGTTTATGGGGAATTTTATGGGAGATCTAATTGACTTTCTAAGGTAATTTTTGTATTCTGAGATTTTTAGTTTTCACTTTGTATCAGTTGAGAAACTTTATTACACAGCTAATAACAGAGATCAGAAATAGTGTTCTAAGTAAGATAGATGTGTATTTCTTCCTCACATGGAAGAGTTCAACCATCTAGGGTTGGTATGGAAGCTTTATGAAGCATCATTATGGACCTTGGCTTCATCTATGTTTTAGGTCCATCTTTCTTAATATTAGGCTTCCATTTTTGAAATTATCCCTTGTTCAAGATGGTTCCTGAAGTTCCAGTCATCCAAGATGGCTGCTATATTTGCACATATCAAATCTGTACTCCAAGCAGGAAACAAGAGGAAGGTTGGGGAGGTAAGGGCTGACAAGGGCACATGCTAGCTATCTGCTCTCTTTGTAAGAGCCTTCTCATGAGTCTCAGACAATAATCTATGTTGCATTGATGATTTATAGCTACAAGAAAGGATAGAAAATGTAGTTTCTTAACAGGGCACATTGACACCCCATTCTAAAACAGGGGCTCTAACAAGAGAGGGAGAAAGTATAAATCGGGTTATAAAAAGCAATCTCAACCACAGATCCTGACATTAATACCTAACTCTGGGTAGGAGAAGTCTACACTCTGTGTGCTGTGCTTTCCCTTAGAGAGGGTCACTAGAGATAAACATGTACTTGGCTATGTAACTATGTTATTTTCCATTTATGAAGCCCCATGGGGAATTTTCCTGTCTCATTACTAGGAAAAAAATGATACAACTGGCTTGTTTGCATTAATTTTGTCAGAATCAAAAAGACAGAGGTTGCTCTGCTGCACTGCTCAGGGTAGCACAGGTATCCTTGTTGCCTTGGATACTCTATTATTTTAGCAAAGAAAACAGATGGAAAGTTTTTTTGGAATATGTGCATATATTTATGAATGGTAATTAGTGATTTTTAAACTTATCTGGGGTCATGATAAGCAGGAAATCCACAGGTTTTTCATTGCCCACAGATATTTTGAAAATTGTTATGGACTGAGTTGTGTCCCCCAACAAATTCGTATCTTAATCTCTAACCCCCAATGTGACTGTATTTACAGATGGGGCCCTCAAGGAGATGATTAAGTTTAAATAAGATTATAAGGGTTGGACCCTAATCTTATAGGACTGGTGTTCTTACATGAAAAGGAAGAAACACCAGAGCCCTCTCTGTCTCCTTGCATGAGCTGGCCATGTTAGGACAAAGGAAGAAGGGGACATCTATCACCAGAAAGTGGCCCCTCAGCAGACATTCAATCTGCCAGTGCCTTGTTCTTAACCTTACCAGCTTCCATAACTGTAAGAAATAAGTTTCTATTGTTTCTAAGCTGCCCAGTCTAGGGTATTTTGTTATAGCAGCCCAATTTGACTAAGACAAGGCTTCACCAAAAACTAAGCCTGCCAGTACCTTGATCTTGGACATTCAGCCTCCAGAACTTTGAACATATAAATTTCTGTTGTTGAAGCCACTCAGTCTGTTGTATTCTGTGATGGCAGCACAAGCTGATTGATACAAGTGTAAATATGCAGGATACTCTGTAAGCTCTGTTCTCTCCATGAATAAGCAGTGTGGCCACATCTCAAAGCTGTGAACTAGTTAGGCCTATTCATTTTGATCACCTAAAATCCTCACTTTGCATTTACTATAAAAATGCCACAGGTGTCTGATTAACATATGAGAAAGCAATGTAAGTGATTTCGGAAAGGAAAAGATGCTAATTTAACATAATGGAAGAATAAAATTTAATTTCGTCTGGTGCCTTGACCACCCTATATTCTGTTCTGTCAATTTTGAAAGCATATGTTTCAGTCTCGAATTTGTAACAAATATCTACAATCACAGAAAATGGTGCTTTTCACTCTGTGATCTCCAGAGTACAACAAAAATGCTGACATAAGTGTCATAGAAAGAATTCTACAATGGCTGCCAAGATTTCCTCCCCATGGTGTACATACTCTGTGTTATCGCCTTCTCTTGAGTGTGGGTAGACCTGTTAATATGATAAATATCACTCCTGCAATTAGTTTGCATTTTCTGGCAAAGATGAAGAGATTTTACAGATATAAAGTCCCTAATCAGAATGACTTTGAGTTTATCAATCTCTGTTAATCAAAAGGAGATTATTTTGGTCTGTCCCAAACTAATCAGATAAGCCCTTTAAAAGAAGATTTAGGCCTTCCCCACTATCAGAGATGCTCCCTTGCTTACTTTAAAAAAGCAAGGCATTACAAGTTCTCAAGCTGGGAGGAAATGAACCTGCAAACAACCATGAGAGCTTGGGAGAAGACCTCAGAAGAAGACCCAAGCCACAGCACATATCTTGATTGCAGCCTTTTGACAGTTCTCACCCAGCCTTTTCCAAAGACTTCCTGTTAGTCATACCTTCCTCTAAGAATATGAGTAACTCAAAACTTCAAAAGAATTAAAAAGAAGCTCTTCAAAAAAGGTGAATACACCCTTAGAGTTCTCTTCATGGGGCAAAATCTGGGTTCACATTGGATAGATAGAAAATATAAAGCTTCAGGCCAGGCATGGTGGCTTATACCTGTAATCTCAGTGTTTTGGAAGACTGAGGTGGGAGGATTATTTGAAGCCAGGAGGTCAAGAGCAGCCTGAGCAACATAGCAAGACCCTGTCACTACAATAAAATTTTTAAAAAAGAAAATATAGTTTCCTGTTAGAAGAGCACTGTAGCAAAACTCCTAAGCCCGGTTGCTTACCTTGTTATTGTCCAGTCATAACCAACCCCATATGATCATCTGAGAGCCTCTTTTGGCAGGCATAGGAGTCCTGTGCCTTATAACATTCTCTTGCTGATAACATTGACTTTTCTGTTCTTCTCAGGAGTTATGTAATTAGATAAATTAAGATTATCTCTAGAGTCTCTTCTGGCACTATGATTTGATTTTGTTTTCTTCTGTGAGGTAGAAGAGTATTATTTTCAGACACAAAAAAATAAAAATACAACAAAACCACCTTTGAAATTTATAATTCCTTGATATCAAAAGATGATGGAACAGGAAGTTCTAAGCCCTCATCTCCCTATAGAAACAATGAAATACTTAACAATGTTAAGTTAACAATGATATGCAGAGCAAAATATCTTTGCACATATTTCAGATTGCAGTTAAGAAGTACCCCCAGATGAGCAAAAATACTGATATCAGCCACACTGAAATGAGTTGGAAGAGCAATTTTACTTTACCATCAGCCCCTCCCCCAAGTTGGCACAGCTCTGAGCTGGGAGAAATTGCCTTAGCTTGTGGATGCTCCATTCAGGAGTAAAAAGAGAGTGGAGCATATATTCATCATTCCTGGCATTTTGGCACAGTGCCCAAGGGACTTCTTCCTGCCATGCCTCGCTCAGAACACTGAGAGAATCAAAATAGTTTAAATCCCTAGGGGAAGTCTAGAATAAGGAAAAGAGGTGAGTAGCTCATCGCAGCTGGCACAATTCTGCAAGATTGGGAAAAGATACATAACCCTTAAACATTTTCCCCAGGAGGAAAGGAGGGAAGTGTCTGTGAGGAGCCACTGCACTCCAGTCTAGTCAATGTAGCAAGATCTCATCAAGAAAGAAAGAAAGAAGAAAGAAAGAAAGGAAGAAAGAAAGAAAGAAAGAAAGAAAGAAAGAAAGAAAGAAAGACAGACAGAAAGACAGAAAGAAAGAAAAGAAAGAAAGAGCAAGAGAGAAAAAGAAAGAAAGAAAATGAGAAAGAAAAAGGAAAAGAAAGAGAAAGAGAAGAAAGAAAGAAAAAAGAAAGAAAGAGAAGGAAGTAAGGAAGGGAAAGAGAAAGAGAAAGAAAGGGAGAGAGAAAAAAGAGAGAGAAAGAGAAAGAAAGAAAGTGAGAGAGAAAGAGAGAAAGAAAGGAAAGAAGGGAGGAAGGGAGGGAGGAAGGGAGGGAGGAAGGGAGAAAACGGAATGGAGAAAGTGGAAAAACAAAGAAGGAAGGTTGGTTGAAAACTTCTAAATCTGGAGAGGAAAATAGTCATCCAGATTAATGAAGCTCAAAAGATCCCCAACAGTATAAACATAAGCGAATCCACACCAAGACACAATATAATCAAATTTTCAAATGTGAAAGAGAATAAAGTGACTCGTGATATACAATGCAGCCTCCCTAAGTCCATCAGCAGATTTTCCAGTGGAAACTTGCAGACTAGGAAGGAGTGGGATGATATATTCAAAGTGCTAGAAGAGTTTGTTATTTTTCCCCAAGATATCAGATAGGAGACATTGTTAGCATGCTTCTCCCACTTGGAAAGACAAAATAGTGTGTAGAGATTCACACGTGAACTTTCTTCCAAGAAGCAAACACAGGAACGTAATAAGAAAATTGAAAGCCACAGACTATTTGAAAGAAGCATTGGGCTGTAGCTTACACTGTGAGCCAACTAGAAAACTGTAAGTCCCCAGAGTGTGAGAAGAGGATAGACTACCTCTGGAACATACACTCCTACTGGGAAACCTGGCAATCCAGGCCATGGGGGAAGGCCTTAACTCTACCCAGTGCTGAAGCTGACTTAGTGAGTGGTAGGGAGTATATGAGAAGAATTGACATTAGAACAGGCTTTATATTCATTTTCAGTCTCCAGCAGGGGTGGAGGGAAGACATTCCTGATCCTGCCTCACAGGGGACCTTGCCGAAATCTACCAGCTAACTCAGGTGGCAGTCACAGGTAGAAGGAAGCTCCCAACTGAGATTCATGATATAATCTTCAGTGGAGACAAACCCCCTTGGCCAGAACTGAGGGTTGAGTGGGAAGTGTGCCGCAGCCACAGGCACAGGAGCTGGGCGCCCCTGCTTCACAGGCAAACGAGGAGAGGCATGGCCTGAAAGCCATGGTTGCTGTTTCCTTGGGGGAAGAAATATGGCCTGGGGCACTTTTGAGTTCTGAGCACAGACTGTGTGGAACCTAGCTAGCTGCTGCTAGTGGAATGCTGCAAGTGTGAGACTGGACTTGCCCAGTGAGTGGGAGCTGGGTGGAGCTTACTGCCACCTGCTACTCTCCACTCTCCATGTGGACTCTTCTATACAGCAGAGGCAACTGTGCTCTTCCCTGGAACATTACTCTGGTAGCCAGAGAACTGCTCTATAATCCCCAGTGGGGCCACTGCTTTTGCTCACATGTGGAGGGCCTGAGCACAGACTTGCCTGACCCAGTTCCCACTTGCCTTTGCCCTTCCAACCACCCTGGCAGCTTCAACAAAGGACAAAAACTTTTGTGGGTTCTGTGTGGCCCCATCCATTTCCTGAGTCACCACAGTACATCTTCTGGATAACATAAGGCAAGCACAAATCCCACTGCTACCACTGCAGCTGGCGATCTTTTGCAAGTGCCACCTCCTGGCTGGAGGCCAAGTGCCACAGTTCATTATAGTCTCTACAGGCAAAATAACAGTGTGCAGAATGGAGAAAATTTGTGTGTGACCTCAGCTATCACCATTGCCTGTATCATCCTGGCTAACCAAGAGGTCCTGAGTCTGTCCACATGACTAGTTCCTTACTAGTACAACTGACATTTGAGAAAGCCAACAATACAGTAACGCAACTTGTATTCAAGGAATCTCACAAACTCTATGTCACTCCCCACCACCCTTTTCAGAGCTGGCGCTGATACCCACTTCTGGGCACCTTGAATACAGATCACATCACTGGACCCCTTACAGACATTCCCCAACACCACTCTGGAGTGTGGCAGCCCCACTGGGCAGCTAGACCCAGAAGAGTAGCAACATTCATAGTAGTCTGGCTCTAAGGGACTCCTACTCCTAGGGGAAGAGGAAGTGCACCACATCAAGGGAGCACCTCTTGGGACAAAAAAAAAAAAAAAAATCCAGATGGTAGGCCTTGAGTTCTAGAATTTTCTAGTTGTGGGAAGTTTCTTTCAGCAGAGGCAGAGGTGCAGTGCTGGGCTTGGTGGAGAAAATCTGCAGCTCCACTCCAGCAATGAGGCAGTCCTGGTGCTCCTGAAGGGTCTTGGAGAATGGGACTTCTTTTCCCCCTCATCCACTACTGCAGATACAACTGGGGCTCCTCCCAAAGGAGCTCGGCATGGATGCGCCTGTTGACAGCCTTTCTGGAACACTTCAGGGTGTCTGCAACCTCACAAGGGGAGTGCCTTCCAGGTGCAGGCTTGCATGAGGGGTAGAGTCATAATCCCTCTCTACATGGAACATCAGCATTCCTGCAAATGAAAAGAGGTGCCTGCCTAATCTGAATAGCCATGACACTGCATCAGGAGTGTGACTGCGAGGTGGATTGCCTTCCTGCTGAACTGGCAGGGGAGCTGAGGTGGCTCCCTCCCTTCCCCTGAAAAGACCTTAGTGCCTTTCACAAAGAGCTCCCCAAGCTGTCTCTGTCAAGGCTGGGACCTCTGCCTACCATTGGGTATTGGGTTTGCCAACCTGCGTTAACCACAGCTGGTTTGAACCCATGGATGCCTCCCCTCCTGGCCTGAAGCCTGAACTTTTCAACCCAGTAAATAAAATGGTGGGGGAAAATAAATAAACAAAGTACCTACCGCTGGAGAATGAGATGAGCTTCAAGAGACCTCTGCCATTCCAACCCCACAGGAGACAGTGAACCTGCACACAAACTAAGCACATTACTACTACAACCAGCATCTAAGAAGCCACCATACAAAGACTCTATATAACCAAGGAACTCATTTAGAGTCTCCACCCCTGAAAGCACCCAGAGCTGAACTACGTTACCATAAACTAAAAACATTAAAGTCACATCCTCAAGGGGGCATTTTTCTTTAAATCACAGTCAAATACAAGAGAACCTGGGTCATCACATTTAACCATCTATCTTGAGCACACTATGGAAAATTAGCTCATTGGATTAGCTAGTTAAGATCTTGGAAAGGACAAAGACTTGTTGTGACATAGGACCAGTTTGTTTTGAATAGTCATGTGACAAAATGGGAAAAGGCTGGGGAAAATGGCATTAAACCTGGATAACTAGGTGAAAGGAGAGAAGGGATGGCTTGAGGAGGGCACTGCACCCTAGGAGTGGATGGGACAGGCTGACACAGGCTGGTGTGTGTCATGCATGTGTTCTTTCTCACACTAGATGGTGAGCCTCTGAATACCAGGCCCTGTGTCTTACACACCTTCATATTCCTCGCTGTGATCTACACACGGCAGCACCGCACATACTGCATGTCAGTTAGTTGAGGTCCTGAAAAGGGAATGTCCTAAAGAAGACTCTGATAAAAGGAGAAAGATGGGGGAATTCTGAGATAGGCAGGGCAGTGGGAGAGGGGTCAATTTTGAAGCAGGAAGAAAGGGAAAGGCCTTAATGAAAGAATGGAAGAGAAAGAAAAAGAACTGACAATGACAGAAATAGAGGTAGAGCAGAGACTGAGATCCAGAAGAGCCAGTTAGTAGTGGACAAAGAGAGAGAAAGCAAGGAGAGTGTAGATGTGGTTGCTGGATCTGTGTGCCCCTTAGACTGTTGCCCCAGAGCCGATAGAAATGGAACCCACAGCAAATAGTTGTTACTCATGGTGCTTAATCTGTGTGAAACCTTTTACCTCCATCATAACATCTAATTTTTAAAATATTTATGAAGCAGCTATTATCTACATTGTAGAGATTAGGAAACTGGCACTCAAAGAGGTGAAGTGATTTGCCCTGATAGCAAATGCATTAAACTGAAGTTTACCAGATTCCAAATCCAGTGCTCTTACCAGTAACAAGTGCACACTGAACTGCTGCCAGACCCACGCATCCAGATTCTGCTCTGGCGGGAAGAATTGATAATGCTGTCTGAATGTAGCTCTGAAAGTACCCCCTGAGAGTAGCGCAGGGTTTTTTGTTACTAACAGCTTTCTCCTCATGCTAAGAATCCTATACAGTACAGAGCAGGGCCATCAGAGTGAGACATTGGAGCTTTGACTCTGCCAGTTACATGTGACCTTTGACTTGAGCACTTGGCCACTGTACATCTATTTTATTATCAGAAAAAGAAGGATCTGAGAGGACCTATTTCATTGCATTGGCTGCAGAGAAGCCAGTGTTTGTAAAGTTCTTAGCGCATAGCCTGCTTAACACAGGGCCACTTAAATATTATAAACTTTTCCCCCCGTAGTCTATAGAAGGAAGTCAATAGGCTCTGTGGGGGCTGCAGATCTGGGAAGGGAACCTGAGCACCTGAGTTTAGGTCAGAGCACAGTCAATAAGGCCAAATTAAAGAGAAAATGTGTGGAATGCTGTAGCCAATTTGGGGTTTGCAATGGACCAAGAAAATGTGCATACCTCTAAAACGGAGTTTGACAATGTAGGAAGAGTCGAAGTAGATCTTGAGAGAACAGGCAGAGTACAAACACCAAACAGGGAAGCTAGGAACTGCTCCTTGAACACCAGGACAGGTACTCAGTAATATCATTACTGTTCTCTAATCGTGTGGGAGAGGTTAGGAAGTGCCTCTTCCAATTATATTGTGGCCAGACAGAACAGTGAGTGGGATCCCTAAATGCTTCTCCTCTTTTTCTTATTGTATTGTGTCTGACTTCTTTAACTCAACCTTATATTTGTAAAGTTTACTCCTGCTGTTGGGGGCAGTTTTAGTTGATTTTCATTTCTGCATAGTATCCCATTATAGAATATGCCATAATTTGTGTATTTATCCATTCTCATGTTGATGGACATTTGGATTGTGTATAAATTTGGCTGTTATGAATAATATTTCTCTGAAAATATTTGTGCATGCATTTTAAGTGGACACATATTTAGAAATGGATTGCTAAGTCACAGGTTGTGTATCTTCAATTTAGTAGATAAGGCCAAAAGTTTTTCAATCCAGCAGTATCAATTGATGTTCCTGTTAGTGGTGTAAGAGGTTTCTGGTTTTTCCATATCCTTACAAACAATTGGTATTATAAGTCTTTTTAAATTTTAGATAGTTGAGGTGGTGATTAGTGGTATCTAATTGTGAATTATAGATTTAAATTTTTTACTTACTTATCTGAAATATAATTTGCACATAAAACTCATCTTTTTATAAGTACACAGTTCAATAATGATTTTTGACAAATATATTCAGTCATATAATACCACTACAATCAAGATATAGAATGTGTCCTTTAACACAAATTTCCCTCCCTTTCCTTGGCAGTAAGTTCCCTTCCCTCATGTCTATGACCGTGCAACCACTGCTAGGACTGAATGTTTGTGCTCCGCTAACATTCATATGTTGAAATTCTAACCCCCAAGGTGATCATGTTAAAAGATGGGGCCTTTGGAATGTGATTAAAACATAAATGGATTAGTCCCCTTATAAAAAACCCCAGAGAGATCCCTTGTCCCTTCCACCATGTGAAGGCACAGCAAGAAGACATCAACTATGAAGCAGAAAGTAAGCCCTCACTACACAATGAATCTGCTAGCACCTTGATCTTAGACTTCCCAGCCTCCAGAACTGTGAGAAATTAATTTCTGTTGCTTATAAACTACTCCATTTATGGCATTTTGTTATAGTAGCCCTAACCGACAAAGACAACCACTAATCTCTTGTGTTCATATGATTTTACATTTTTGAGAATATTACACAAATGGTTTGTAACTTTTGGATATGGCTTCTTATATTTTCACAATATTTTGGAGATTCATCTGTGATGCTGGTTATATAATAGTTATCTCCCTTTTATTGCTGGGTAGATTCCACTGTTGGGATACACCACAATTTGTTTATTCATATACCAGTTGATGAATATTTGAATTGTTTCCAGTTTTGATTATGATTAATAAAACTGTTATGAACATTTTTGTGCCAGTTTTTGTCTGGAAAAGTATGTTTTCATTTCTCTTAGGTAGATACCTAGTAGTAAAATTGCTGTGATAAGTTTACATGTTATCTGCTCTTTGGAATAGGAAACTACAGAAGAAGTGTATCTGGTCACTTAAATATTTCCTGAATACTACTACTGGCAATGAAAAAACCAAGTACATAGAATACACACATCATTTTATTTAATATACTAGCTTACATACAAGACACCTATGACCTAGACAAATCCAGGGACTTATCGAAGGTCACACAGACCTTGTCAGAGTTAAAATTCCAACTAAGGCTTATTGAACTAACACTCATATTCTATTCCCAGCCTCTGTTCCACAGAGGGAGTAATTGTTGTTCAGATTCCTGTGGATTGATTTAAGCATCAGCCAAATTAATAATGGATGTAAAAGTGCTCTGCAAATGATAAAGCAATATGGAAAGTTTGATGTTACTATGACATGCTGAATTTGATTAGAGGTGGCAGATGATACAACAACTCAACAGGCTTGGCTGCAGAGCACAATAAAGCTGTGAGGGAAGCATGGTTAATGATTAAGAGCATGGACCTTATAATTAGACAAACTTGAATTTGAATCCTGCCTCTGCTTTGTACTAAATGTCTGGTCTTATAAAATTATGTAAACCCTCTTTGGGTTAGATCTTCACTAGATACAAGATAATAAAACCTGTTGGATAAGGAATCCATGAAGACTGAAAGAGATAATATTCAATGGCTGGCACAGAGAAAACTCTTACTTAATATATAGAAATATTTACTACTGGTTGATTCTTTTGAATCAAATATTTTTCTAAGGAGGAAGTAGATAACTGTTCACAAGTAGCATGTATTTGTTCAGATCCCTGCAAAGACATGAAATCAGAGGAAAGGAAACATAAGCACTCCTGGTAGCCTTTTAACCTTAAACCATTTTAGTTATCCTTTTAATTATTAGTTACTCTATGGGAAGGCTTAGTTGACAACCGCTTATGAATAAGAATAGAACATAGATTATGGACTTGGAAAGAAGTTGTAAAAGGGAGCCCTTGGCCTCTTTCTCACTGTTGATTACTGTTAGTTTTGAATCAAAATATCTTCTAGGTCATTTTTATCATATTTGACAGAGGTTGCCTATAATTTACTAGTAGTGTGACATAGGGGAGTAGCATTATATGAGCATTCAATCAGTTTTAACTACAGGTGTTGAGAGTGTGGGTGAGTAGTAAAGGGACCTGGATGAGTAAACTGACACTATAGATAGATGGGGCAATTTGGCGGCCCTTCTGCTCAATGAACATCTGCCCTGGAGTGAGAGTGACAGGACAGATATGAATCTATTTTTCACTGAGCAGATCTCAGTTACCTTGCAGCTCCCATGGGGCGATCCTCTTGCTTCATTCCTTGATTCTGGTGTTTAAAGATCAATCATATTTTTTGTAGCATGATCATAAATAGACGTTAACTTCATGATCTTGTGCCCAAATGAAGAAATAGAAAATCCGTTTCAAAGCTGGTAGAAAACTAGCTCTTAATAAACTGAGAAACTGAATATCTGAATACTATAATTTATGAATGATTTAGAAGAATTTCAAGGATGGTTCTGATTTTCAAACCTATTCTCTGCTTAAGGTATATCTTCATTGTAGATCAAAGACAGACTCCACATTATAAGATTCTCCTACATTGTATGGTAAAATCTGTGTGAATATAATGTATTTTATCATAGGAGCTTGCTGTAGTTTAATCAGCCTACCCATAAACTAACATGAACCCACATGATAATACCATTCATTTTCTTTTGATGCCTTCCAGTTATTAAATGCAAGGCACTTGTGGTGTGGGAACCAAACATACCCATTTCTATTGAGGAGCTGAGTTGTCCATCTCAAGAATCATGAGATTCGAGTAGAGACACAGTGGGTACTGCATATCTGAGGACTAGGCTGGACCATGAGGCACCTATACCCCAGCACCGTGAAAACTTACAGAAAGGCCTCTTAAAACTTTCCACTTAAATAATACCTTTGGTTCCATGGCTGAACTTGTTGGGAATAAGCCCCCAAAATCTGGCCATAAACTGCCTCCAAAACTGGCCATAAACAAAATCTCTGTAGCACTGTGACATGTTCATGATGGCCATGGCGCCCACGCTGGAAGGCTGTGGGTTCACTGGAATGAGGGAAAGGAACACCTGGCCCACCGAGGGCGGAAAACCGCTTAAAGGCGTTCTTTTTTTTTTTTTTTTTAATTCTACTTTAAGTTTTAAGGTACATGTGCACAACATGCAGGTTTCTTACATAGGTATACATGTGCCATGTTGGTGTGCTGCACCCATTAACTCGTCACTTAGCATTAGGTATATCTCCTGATGCTATCCCTCCCCCTCCCCCCACCCCACAACAATCCCCGGTGTGTGATGTTCCCCTTCCTGTGTCCATGTGTTCTCATTGTTCAATTCCCACCTATGAGTGAGAACATGTGGTGTTTGGTTTTTTGTCCTTGCGATTGTTTGCTGAGAATGATTGTTTCCAGCTTCATCCATGTCCCTACAAAGGACATGAACTCATCATTTTCTATGGCTGCATAGTATTCCATGGTGTATATGTGCCACATTTTCTTAATCCAGTCTATCATTGTTGGACATTTGGGTTGGTTCCAGGTCTTTGCTATTGTGAATAGTGCTGCAATAAACATACGTGTGCATGTGTCTTTATAGCAGCATGATTTATAATCCTTTGGGTATATAAATCCCAGTAATGGGATGGCGGGGTCAAATGGTATTTCTAGTTCTAGATCCCTGAGGAATCACCACACCAACTTCCACAATGGTTGAACTAGTTTACAGTCCCACCAACAGTGTAAAAGTGTTCCTATTTCTCCATATCCTCTCCAGCACCTGTTGTTTCCTGACTTTTTAATGATCGCCATTCTAACTGGTGTGAGATGGTATCTCCTTGTGACTTTGATTTGCATTTCTCTGATGGCCAGTGATGATGAGCATTTTTTCATGTGTTTTTTGGCTGCCTAAATGTCTTCTTTTGAGAAGTGTCTGTTCATATCCTTCACCCACTTTTTGGTGGGGTTGTTTGTTTTTCTCTTGTAAATTTGTTGGAGTTCATTGTAGATTCTGGATATTAGCCCTTTGTCAGATGAGTAGGTTGCGAAAATTTTCTCCCATTCTGTAGGTAGCCTGTTCACTCTGATGGTGGTTTCTTTAGCTGTGCGGAAGCTCTTTAGTTTAATTAGATCCCATTTGTCAATTTTGGCTATTGTTGCCATTGATTTTGGTGTTTTAGACGTGAAGTTCTTGCCCATGCCTATGTCCTGAATGGTGTTGCCTAGGTTTTCTTCTAGGGTTTTTATGGTTTTAGGTCTAACATTTAAGTCTTTAATCCATCTTGAATTAATTTTTGTATAAGATGTAAGGAAGGTATCCAGTTTCAGCTTTCTACATATAGCTAGCCAGTTTTCCCAGCACCATTTGTTAAATAGGGAATCCTTTCCCCATTGCTTGTTTTTGTCAGGTTTGTCAAAGATCAGATGGTTGTAAATATGCAGCATTATTTCTGAGGGCTCTGTTCTGTTCCATTGATCTATATCTCTGTTTTGGTACCAGTACCATCCTGTTTTGGTTACTGTAGCCTTGTAGTATAGTTTGAAGTCAGGTAGTGTGATGCCTCCAGGTTTGTTCTTTTGGCTTAGGATTGAATTGGCCATGCGGGCTCTTTTTTGGTTCCATATGAACTTGAAAGTAGCTTTTTCCAATTCTGTGAAGAAAGTCATTAGTAGCTTGATGGGGATGGCATTGAATCTATAAATTACCTTGGGCAGTATGGCCATTCTCACGATATTGATTCTTCCTATCCATGAGCATGGAATGTTCTTCCATTTGTTTGTATCCTCTTTTATTTCCTTGAGCAGTGGTTTGTAGTTCTCCTTGAAGAGGTCCTTCATATCCCTTGTAAGTTGCATTCCTAGGTATTTTATTCTCTTGGAAGCAATTGTGAATGGGAGTTCACTCATGATTTGGCTCTCTGTTTGTCTGTTATTGGTGTATAAGAATGCTTGTGATTTTTGCACATTGATTTGTATACTGAGACTTTGCTGAAGTTGCTTATCAGCTTAAGGAGATTTTGGGCTGAGACGATGGGGTTTTCTAGATATGCAATCATGTCATCTGCAAACAGGGACAATTTGACTTCCTCTTTTACTAACTGAATGCCCTTTATTTCCTTCTCCTGCCTAATTGCCCTGGCCAGAACTTCCAACACTATGTTGAATAGGAGTGGTGAGAGAGGGCATCCCTGTCTTGTGCCAGTTTTCAAAGGGAATGCTTCCAGTTTTTGTCCATTCAGTATGATATTGGCTGTGGGTTTGTCATAAATAGCTCTTATTATTTTGAGATACGTCCCATCAATACCTAATTTATTGAGAGTTTTTAGAATGAAGGGTTGTTGAATTTTGTCAAAGGCCTTTTCTGCATGTATTGAGATAATCATGTGCTTTTTGTCTTTGGTTCTGTTTATATGCTGGATTACATGTATTGATTTGTGTATGTTGAACCAGCCTTGCATCCCAGGGATGAAGCCCACTTGATCATGGTGGATAAGCTTTTGGATGTGCTGCTGGATTCAGTTTGCCGGTATTTTATTGAGGATTTTTGCATCAATGTTCATCAAGGATATTGGTCTAAAATTATCTCTTTTGGTTGTGTCTCTGCCAGGCTTTGCTATCAGGATGATGTTGTCCTCATAAAATGAGTTAGGAAGGATTCCCTGTTTTTCCATTGATTGGAATAGTTTCAGAAGGAATGGTACCAGCTCCTCTTTGTACCTCTGGTAGAATTCAGCTGTGAATCCATCTGGTCCTGGACTTTTTTTTGTTGGTAAGCTATTAATTATTGCCTCAATTTCAGAGCCTGTTATTGGTCTATTCAGAGATTCAACATCCTCCTGGTTTAGTCTTGGGAGAGTGTATGTGTCGAGGAATTTATCCATTTCTTCTAGATTTTCTACTTTATTTGCACAGAGGTGTTTATAGTATTCTCTGATGGTAGTTTGTATTTCTGTGGGATCGGTGGTGATATCCCCTTTATCGTTTTTTATTGCATCTATTTGATTCTTCTCTCTTCTTTATTAGTCTTGCTAGTGGTCTATCAATTTTGTTGATCTTTTAAAAAAACTAGCTCCTGAGTTCATTGATTTTTTGAAGGGTTTTTTGTGTCTATTTCCTTCAGTTCTGCTCTGATCTTAGTTATTTCTTGCCTTCTGCTAGCTTTTGAATGTGTTTGTTCTTGCTTCTCTAGTTCTTTTAATTGTGATGTTAGGGTGCCAATTTTAGATCTTTCCTGCTTTCTCTTGTGGGCATTTAGTGCTATAAATTTCCCTCTACACACTTCTTTGAATGTGTCCCAGAGATGCTGGTATGTTGTGTCTTTGTTCTCGTTGGTTTCAAAGAACATCTTTATTTCTGTCTTCATTTCGTTATGTACCCAGTAGTCATTCAGGAGCAGGTTGTTCAGTCTCCATGTAGTTGAGCAGTTTTGAGTGAGTTTCTTAATCCTGAGTTCTAGTTTGATTGCACTGTGGTCTGAGAGACAGTTTGTTATACTTTCTGTTCTTTTACATTTGCTGAGGAGTGCTTTACTTCCAACTATGTGGTCAATTTTGGAATAGGTGTGGTGTGGTGCCAAAAAGAATGTATATTCTGTTGATTTGGGGTGGAGAGTTCTGTAGATGTCTATTAGGTCCACTTGGTGCAGAGCTGAGTTCAATTCCTGGGTATCCTAGTTAACTTTCTGTCTTGTTGATCTGTCTAATGTTGACAGTGGGGTGTTAAAGTCTCCCATTATTATTGTGTGGGAGTCTAAGTCTCTTTGTAGGTCACTAAGGACTTGCTTTACGGATCTGGGTGCTCCTGTATTGGGTGCATGTATATTTAGGATAGTTAGTTCTTCTTGTTGAATTGATCCCTTTACCATTATGTAATGGCCTTCTTTGTCTTTTTTGATCTTTGTTGGTTTAAAGTCTGTTTCATCTGAGACTACGATTGCAACCCCTGCATTTTTTTGTTTTCTATTTGCTTGATAGATCTTCCTCCATCCCTTTATGTTGAGCCTATGTGTGTGTTTGCATGTGAGATGGGTTTCCTGAATACAGCACACTGATGGGTCTTGACTCTTTATCCAATTTGCCACTCTGTGCCTTTTAATTGGAGAATTTACTCCATTTATATTTAATGTTAGTATTGTTATGTGTGAATTTGATCCTGTCATTATGATGTTAGCGGTTATTTTGCTCGTTAGTTGATGCAGTTTCTTCCTAGCCTTGATGGTCTTTACAATTTGGCATGTTTTTGCACTGGCTGGTACCAGTTGTTCCTTTCCATGTTTATTGCTTTCTTCAGGAGCTCTTGTAAGGTAGGCCTGGTGGTGATAAAATCTCTCCACATTTGCTTGTCTGTAAAGTATTTTATTTCTCCTTCACTTATGAAGCTTAGTTTGGCTGGATATGAAATTCTGGGTTGAAAATTCTTTTGTTTAAGAATGTTGAATATTGGCTCCCACTCTCTTCTGACTTGTAGAGTTTCTGCTGAGAGATCAGCTCTTAGTCTGATGGGCTTCCCTTTGTGGGTAACCCGACCTTTCTCTCTGGCTGCCCTTAACATTTTTTCCTTCATTTCAACTTTGGTGAATCTGACAATTATGTGTCTTGGAGTTGCTCTTCTCGAGGAGAATCTATGTGGCATTCTCTGTATTTCCTGAATCTGAATGTTGGCCTGCCTTGCTAGATTGAGGAAGTTCTCCTGGGTAATATCCTGTAGAGTGTTTTCCAACTTGGTTCCATTCTCCCCATCACTTTCAGGTACACCAATTAGATGTAGATTTAATCTTTTCACATAGTCCCATATTTCTTGGAGGCTTTGTTCATTCCTTTTTATTCTTTATTCTCTAAACTTCTCTTCACACTTCATTTCATTCATTTCATCTTCCATCGCTGATATCCTTTCCTCCAGTTGATCACATCAGTTACTCAGGCTTATGCATTCGTCATGTAGTCCTTGTGCCATGGTTTTCAGCTCCATCATGTCCTTTAAGGACTTCTCTGCATTGGTTATTCTAGTTATCCATTCGTCTAATTTTTTTTCAAAGTTTTTAACTTCTTTGCCATTGGTTCAAACTTCCTCCTTTAGCTCAGTGTAGTATGATCTTGTGAAGCCTTCCTCTCTCAACTTGTCAAAGTCATTCTCCGTCCAGCTTTGTTCCATTGCTGGTGAGGAGCTACTTTTGTTTGGAGGAGGAGAGGTGCTCTGATTTTTAGAGTTTCCAGTTTTTCTGCTCTGTTTTTTCCCCATCTTTGTGGTTTTATCGACCTTTCATCTTTGATGATGGTGACGTACTGATGGGTTTTTGGTGTGGATGTCCTTTCTGTTTGGTAGTTTTCCTTCTAACAGTCAGAACCCTCAGCTGTAGTTCTGTTGGAGTTTACTGGAAGTCCACTCCAGACCCTGTTTGCCTGGGTATCAGCAGCAGTGGCTGCAGAACAACAGATATTGGTGAACCACAAATGCTGCTGCCTGATCCTTCCTCTGGAAGTTTTGTCTCAGAGGAATATCCGGACTTGTGAGGTGTCAGTCCGCCCCTACTGGGGGGTGCCTCCCAGTTAGGCTACTCAGGGGTCAGGGACCCACTTGAGGAGGCAGTCTGCCCATTCTCAGATCTCAAGCTGCATGCTGGGAGAACCACTACTCTCTTCAAAGCTGTCAGACGGGGTCATTTAAGTGTGCAGAAGTTATTGCTGTCTTTTGTTTGTCTGTGCCCTGCCCCCAGAGGTGGAGCCTACAGAGGCAGGCAGGCCTCCTTGAGCTGTGGTGGGCTCCACCCAGTTCGAGCTTCCCAGCCACTTTGTTTACCTACTTAAGCCTGAGCAATGGCGGGCACCCCTCCTGCAGCCTTGCTGCAGCCTTGCAGTTTGATCTCAGACTGCTGTGCTAGCAACGAGCGAGGCTCCGTGGGTGTAGGGCCCTCTGAGCCAGGTGTGGGATATAATCTCCTGGTGTCCCATTTGTTAAGCCTGTTGGAAAAGCACAGTATTAGGGTGGGAGTGACCTGATTTTCCAGGTGCTGTCTGTCACCCCTTTCTTTGACTAGGAAAGGGAATTCCCTGACCCCTTGCACTTCTCGGCTGAGGCGATGCCTCACCCTGCTTTGGCTCATGCACGGTGCACTGCACCCACTGTCCTGCACCCAGTGTCCGGCACTCCCCAGTGAGATGAACCTGGTACCTCAGTTGGAAATGCAGAAATCACCCATCTTCTGCATCACTCATGCTGGGAGCTGTAGACTGGAGCTGTTCCCATTCAGCCATCTTGACTCCACCCCCCTCAAAAGGTGTTCTTAAACCACAAGCAATAGCATGAGTGATCTGTGCCTTAAGGACATGCTCCTGCTGCAGATAACTAGCCAAAGCCCATCCCTTTATTTTGGCCCATCCTTTGTTTCCCATAAAGAATACTTTTAGTTAATCTATAATCTATAGAAACAATGCTTATCACTGGATCACTGTCTTGCTGTCAATAAATACATGGGTAAATCTCTGTTCAAGGTTCTCAGCTCTGAAGGCTGTGAGACCCCTGATTTCCCACTCCACACCTCTATATTTCTGTGTGTGTGTCTTTAATTTCTCTAGTGCCACTGGGTTAGGGTCTCCCTGACCGAGCTGGTCTCGGCAAGCGGTGCCCAATATGGGGGCTTGAACCTGGGTCAAAGGGTCACCAGAAAGATGGTTGGAGAATGTGGAACTAAGCTGGAGGACACCCAAGTTCTCTTAAGCAATCCCCGTGGTGAGTAAGAAGGGGAGCTCAGAAGCATCAGGGTAACAATGGGACAAGTGTGAGCTCTGGTTCATTCCACCTTGGAACCTTTTCACACCAATGATGAGGAGGAAAGAAAGAGGTGGCAGAGCAGGCTTGTTTGCCAGCTAAAGCTAAAGCTGCAAAGGAGGAAGAGGTTCATCCCTACCCTTCTGCACTCCCTCATTATTTTGAAGAAAAAGAGTGGCCTGACCCTCCAGATCTTTCTTTTCTGGAGGACACTGAGCGAAAAGTAGCTGCCCCAGTGACTGTTCGAGCAGCGCCTCGAGTGAGCACTTTCAGTTCTGTTCAGGCAGGAATTCAGCAAGCTAGACAAGAGGGTAATTTAGAGGCTTCACAGTTCTCTGTTAGAATACACCCCCAGATCAACAGGGAAATATTATAGCTACATTTGAGCCTTTTTCTTTTAAATTACTCAAAGAATTTAAACAAGCTATTAATCCGTAAGGACCAGGCTCTCCTTTTGTAATGGGACTGTTAAAGAATTTTGCTGTTTCCAGTCAGATGATTCCTACTGACTGGGATGCTCTTACTCGAGCTTGTCTAACTCCTGCTTAGTTCTTACCACAATTTAAAACTTGGTGGGCAGATGAAGCTTCCATTCAGGCTGCTTGCAATGCCCAGGCCCAACCTCAAATTAATTTGACTGCAGACCAACTTTTGGGGGTCAGCAGCTGGGCTGGTTTAGATGCACAAGTGGCCACACAGCATGATGCCATAGAACAGCTTAGAGGAATGTGCATTAGAGCTTGGAAAAAAACCTCTTCAGGTAGAGAACCATATCCTTCCTTTAGTGCTGTAAAGCAGGGACCAAAAGAACTGTACATGGATTTTATAGCTTGGTTACAAGAGCCTCTTAAATAGGTGATTGCAGATTCGGCTGCTCAGGATATAGTGTTGCAGTTATTAGCTTTTGACAATGCTAATCCCAATTGCCAGGCTGCTCTGTGACCTATTAGAGGGAAAGCACATTTAGTTGATTATATCAAGGCCTGTGACGGTATTGGAGGTAATCTGCATAAAGCTACTTTGTTGGCACCGGCAATGGCAGGAATGAGAGTGGATAAAGGAAATACTCTGTTTCCTGGATCTTGTTTTAACTATGGGAAACATGGTCATATTAAAAAAGAATGTAAAAAAAATCAGTGAGTCAGGCTGCCAGATAGGGGAAAAAGGAAAACTGCTGAGCCTGAAATATGTCCAAACTACAAAAAAGGAAAACACTGGGCTAATCAGTTTCACTCTAAGTTTGATAAAGATGGGAACCTGATTTCAGGAAACACCAAGAGGGGCCCGTCCCGGGCCCCATTCCAAACCAGGGCATTTCCAGCTCAGGCCATTCCCTCACCCCTATACAATGTCTGTCCGCCACCACAGCCAGTAGTGCTACAGTAGATTTACACTGCACAAAAGCTGTGAGCCTTTTGCCTGGGGAACCCCTGCAAAAGGTCTCAACAGGGGTCTGTGGACCCTTGCCAACAGGGACCATAGGATTACTTTTAGGAAGGTCTAGTTTAAATTTAAAAGGGGTACAAATACATACAAGAGTCATTGATTCAGATTACAATGGGGAAATTCAAATTGTTATATCTATTTCCGTTCCCTGGAAAGCAGAGCCAGGAGAGCGCATAGCACAGCTCCTGATTGTGCCATATGTAGAAATGGGGAAAAGTGAAATTAAACAAACAGGAGGATTTGGAAGCACAAATAAACAAGGCAAAGCAGCTTATTGGGTAAATCAAATTACTGATAAACGTCCTACCTGTGAAATAACTATTCAGGGAAAAAATTTTAAAGGTTTGGTAGATACAGGAGCAGACATTTCAATCATTTCTCTACAGCACTGGCTGTCCATGTGGCCAATTCAACCCACTCAATTTAACATAGTTGGAGTTGGTAAAGCCCCTGAGGTATATCAGAGTAGTTATATTTTGCATTGTGAAGGGCCTGATGGACTACCTGGGAATATTCAACCAATTATAACTTCTGTACCTATAAATTTATGGGGGAGAGATTTATTACAGCAATGGGGAGCACAAGTTCTAATTCCTGAACAATTATATAGCCCTCAAAGTCAGCATATGATGCATGAAATGGGGTATGTCCCTGGTATGGGACTAGGAAAAAATTTGCAAGGTTTGAAAGACCACTTCAAGCAGAAAGACAAAGTTCCTGCCAAGGTTTAGGATATCATTTTTGATGATGGCTATTGTTAAGCCTCCAGTACCTATACCTTTAAAATGGTTAACATATAAGCCAATTTAGATAAAACAATGGCCACTGAGTAAAGAGAAACTGGAGGCTTTAGAGGACTTAAAATTGGCCTTTAATAGTCATAGATTTAAAAGACTGTTTCTTTACTAGCCGCTTAGCTGAGCAAGACTGTGAACAGGTTTGCATTTACAATTCCTGCGGTAAACAATCTGCAGCCTGCTAAGTGTTTTCATTGTTTTACAGATGGGTCTAGTAATGGTAAAGCTTCTTATTCTGGCTCAAAAGGTAAAGTTTTTCAGACGCCCTATACTTCAGCTCAAAAAACAGAGCTTGTAGCTGTAATTGAGGTATTGACTGCTGTTGATATGCCCATTAACGTGATTTCTGATTCTTCATACATGGTTAATTCCACACAGTTAATTGAAAATGCTCAGTTATGATTTCATACAGATGAACAACTGATGACTTTATTTACCCAATTGCAAACAGCAGTTAGGAGTAAAATGAACCCTTTTTATATCACTCACATTAGGGCTTATACACCTCTTCCATGACCTTTGACTGAAGGGAATCAAATGACTGATCGCCTAGTTGCTAATGCAATATCTAATGCTAGACATTTTCACAATTTAATCCATGTTAATGTCACTGGTCTCAAACTCAGATACAGCATTACCTGGAAAGAAGCTAAAGCTATTATCCAGCAATGCCCAACTTGCCAAATGGTACATTCCTCATCTTTTACAGGAGAGTTAATCCTTGAGGATTGGAACCTAATTCTCTTTGGCAAATGGATGTCATACATGTTTCCTCATTTGGGAGACTAGCTTATGTACACGTATGTGTGGACACCTTTTCTCACTTTGTCTGGGCTACATGCCAATCAGGAGAGTCTTCTGCCTGTGTTAAATGTCACCTTTTGCAGTGTTTTGCAGTGATGGGCATTCCAGCTTCTATTAAAACAGATAATGCCCCAGGCTATACTAGCCAATATTTAGCTACATTTTTCTCTATATGGAATATTAAGCAATCACTCGTATCCCATATAATTCTCAAGGACAAGGCATAGTGGAAAGAATAAATCTCTCCCTATAACAGCAGTTGCAAAAGCAGACAGGAGAAAACAGCAACTATGGAACACTGCAGATGCAACTGAATCAAGCATTATTAAGTTTAAATTTTTTGAGCCTGCCCAAAGGCCAGATGTTATTAGCAGCTGAACAGCATCTACAGAAACCAGCTGCAAAGACAGAAGCAGAACAACTGGTTTGGTGGAGAGATCCAATAACAAAAAGTTGGGAAATAGGTAAATAATTTGGGGTAGAGGTTATGCTTGTGTTTCTCCAGGCCAAAATCAACAGCAGATTTGGAAAACATCAAGACACCTGAAAACCTTATGACCCAGTTGCCGAGGAAGAGATTCTGGGAGGATCCCAAGGACCCCCCAGTGGCAGCCACATTGAGACTGACACTGAGGAGGACCCCAGCTATCATGAGCAACACCCATTGAACACAGCAACCCACCTGGGGAAGATCAAGAAGCTGTCACAGATGGTGGAAGAAAACCTGAGGAAAGTGGGACAACCAGTCACAATGAGCAATTTAACGGTAGCTATGATAGCAGTGATCATCACTGCCATGAGTATTCCTTCAACAAGGGCTGACACAGAGAACAATTATACTTATTCAGCATATTTATCAATCTTGGCTGGCAATAATGCCTGGATGTAATCATTCTATGACACAGTTACACATGCTTTCTGATCTCAGTATTTACCATAATAAATCTGCTCCTATAATTGAGGCATACCACCCTCAAAAACCTATTTGTAAATAAAATTGAAACTGGCCAGAAAATATGAACGTACTTGTTTAGGAAGATCGCATTGCAGAACAGACAGAGGTGCTGCACGATGATTCCTATGGAAACACTATTAATTCGTCCCCTAAGGGGATGTTTAGCTTAAATTGCACCTCTCAGACTGCATGCCATGGTCATACTATGTTCAGCTGGTCTGAACAAAATGGTCAGATGGTAGAAATGGTAAGAAGCACAGCAAGAGTTCCTGTTATCTGTATCTGGAAACATGGTGGTATAGTGGCACCTCAACCTCAAATGATATGGCCCATTGTAGGAGCTAAATACAAGGATTTGTGGAAACTATTAATAGCTCTTAGTAAGAACAAAATTTGGGAAAGAATAAAAAAGCATCTAGAAGGACACTCTACAAACTTGTTTTTGAATATTGCAAAATTAAAAGAATAAATATTTAAAGCATCCCAGGCACACCTGACCTTAATGCCAGGAACCAGAGTGCTTGAAGGAGCTGCAGACAGATTAGCAGCTATTAACCCATTAAAATGGACAAAAACACTTGGAAGCTCTGTAATTTCAATGATGACTGTGCTTTTAATCCGTTTTGTTTGTCTTTGTATAGTCTGCAGATGTGGATCCCGACTCCTGCTAGAAGTAGCTCACCATGGCAAAGCTGCCTTTGCTTTTATCGCTTTGCAAATCAAAGAAGGGGGACATGTTGGGAATAGGCCCCAAAAATCTGGCCATAAACTGGCCCCAAAACTGGCCATAAACAAAATCTCTGTGACAGGTTCATGATGGCCATGATGCCCACACTGGAAGGTTGTGGGTTTACCAGAATGAGGGCAAGGAACACCTCTCCCACCCAGAGGGGAAAACCACTTAAAGGCATTCTTAAACCACAAACAATAGCATGAGTGATCTGTGCCTTAAGGACATGCTCCTACTGGAGATAACTAGCCAGAGCCCATCCTTTTATTTCAGCCCATCCCTTTGTCTCCCATAAGGAATACTTTTAGTTAATCTATAATCTATAGAAACAATGCTTATCACTGGCTTGCTGTCAATAAATATGTGGGTAAATCTCTGTTCAAGACTCTCAGCTTTGAAGGCTGTGAGACCCCTGATTTCCCACTCCACACCTCTATATTTCTGTGTGTGTGTCTTTAATTCCTCCAGTGTTGCTGGGTTAGGGTCTCCTCGACTGAGCTGGTCTTGGCAAGTGGCGCCCAACGTGGGCAAGCTGGTCTCAGCATGAATTCAGGTAATGTTTGTTTATCACTCTAACAAAATTCCTGCAGTATATTGGTATCCCTAATAAAAAAAAAGCTATTGTTTGTAATTTGATTATGCATTCTTTATGATTGTGAGATCTGACTATGCAAGTTAGAAATATGTAAGGCAGACTGGCATGCTAGCAACTCTAGAGCAGGAGCCAATGCTATGATCTGCAGGTAGAATTACTTTTTCACTGGGGAAACTTCAGTTTTACTCTTAAGGCCTTTCAACAGGGTAGATGAGTCCCACCTACTTTGTTGAAGATCATCTCCTTTACTTAAAGTCAACTGATGGCAGATGTAAACCACATCTACAAAATACTTTCACAGCAACACCTTGTGTCTTAGTCCATTTTCTGCTGCTATAACAGAATACCACCAACTAGGTAATTTATGAACAATAAAAGTTTACTTGGCTCACAGTTCTGGAGGCTGGGAAGTCCAAAAGCATGGTGCCAACATCTAAAGAGGGTCATCCAAAGGTAGAAGGCAGAAGCAAGCACAGAACAGAGAAAAGGGGGGCTGAATTTATCAGGAGACCACCCACATAGTAACTAACCTACATCCACAATAATGGCATTAATCCATTCATGAAGGCAGAGCCCTCATGGTCTAATCACCTCTTAAAGATCTCACTTCCCAGTACTATTGCATTGAAGATTAAGTTAAGTTTCCAAAATGTATACTTTGCAGGGCATGCTCAGATCATAGCACCTACTTTAATTGAATAGCTGGGCACTATAGCCTGGCCTAGGTGACGCATAAAACTAACCATCATAGTACATTCCTGTCAGCATGGCATTCACACACATCTTAAATTGTATATAATCTTGAAATGACAACAATAAATTCCCATCAAGATGGCTGACTGAGAGAAGCTAGTGTACACCACTCTCATGGAGAGAAGAAAGAATGGTGAGTCAGCACTAACTCTTCAATTGGATCATCCAGGTGGACACACTGGGAATCATCAAGAAAGCAATGCAACCCACAGGGAATGGAGAAGAGCAAGACAGGATAACCTTTGACCTGGGAGTTGTGTGGAGCCAAGGGAGGCTCCCCACTGTGGTGAAATGCTGAGTGAGAGTTCCCAGGGACCCACACTTATGCCATGAACCTTTGCAACTCTAGGCTCAGAAAATCCTCCAATAATTCCATTACCCTTCACTCTGGGGATTCCAGATTGACATGAAAATGTATGTGGAGTCTTAGCAAAGCTTCCACTCAGGCACATGAGTGACTCTGCATTTCTCTGAGGTGGACCTCCCAGAGGCAACTGAAAGCCTCTTTGCCACTACCCCTACTGCCCATGGGCTAGGGAAGGAACAAAGATCCTGTGAGCTTTACCCACACCTCCAGTAAGCCACTGCTACCCTAAGAAGAGGCCAGTCTCTCTCCCTCATGTCCCCCTCCTCCCCTGGTTTATCACCAGGCAGAGGATCTTGGCTTGAGCCCACGACACAGCTACCCTACTCCAAGCCAATCATGTCAATTGGTAGTGGCTCTGCAATTCTCTGGTGGAGCCCCAAGAGACAAGTAAAAGGACCTCTGCTACAATGACAGCCAAGATTTCTTCCCCTGCTGCCTCCAAGCTGGAGAGTGAGCATAAAGCCTGAGCTTCACCCCACAGCTGTGGTGTGCAGCCCAGGAGTGCCAAGCCAATATCTGCAGCCAGAACTCAATGGGGCAAGGAGCCCACACTTTCAGAATACTGAGAGGGAGCATGGTTGCAAGCATGAGGAAACACAGAGGAGCAATGTAGCTGAGCAAGGGCCTATCTACTGGCCATTAAATTTAAGCACCATCTACTGGGTCACAGCCCAAACTTCAACATGAAAATATTTTACTAATATGCCCCCCACAACATGAAAGCCAGGATAAGAATTCAGCTACAAATACGACCCTACACAAAGCCTCAGCCCTCTGAAAACATCCAGAAAAGAACTTAACTGACTATACTCAAGTTACTCCACCATCGTTAAAGGAACATCAGCCCACATAGATGAGAAAGAACCAGTGCAACTTGTAATCTGGTAACTCAAAAAGCCAGATTGTCTTATTTCCTCCAAATGACCACACTAGCCCCCCAGCAAAATTTCTTAATTAGACTAAAATGGATGAAATGACAGATATAAAATTCAGAATATGAATAAAAGCTAAGATCATCAAGATTCAGGAGAAAGTCAAAACTCAATCATAGAAATAGAAGGATTATAATAAAATAATGCAGGAGCTGAAATATGAAATGGACTTTATAAGAAAGAACCAAACTGATCTGATACAGCTGAAAAAGAGTACAATAATTTTGTAACACAGTTGCAAGTATTAACAGCAGAATAGACCAAGCTGAGGAAAGAATCTCACAGCTCAAAAATAGGTTCTCTGAACTAACTCAGCCAGATAAAAACAAATTTAAAAGAATAAAAAAGAATGAATGAAATCTCTAAGAAATATGAGATCATGTAAAGAGGCCAAGTGTATGACTCACTGGTGTCCTTGAAAGAGAGGGAGAGAAAACAAGCAAGTTGGAAAACATATCTGAAGATATCATGCACAAAAATTTCCCCAACCTCACTAGAAAGACCAACATTCTAATACAGGAAATTCAGAGAACCCCTGCAAGTTACTATATAAGATACCATTCCCAGGATATATAATCATCAGATTCTTCAAGATCGACATGAAAAAATATATATATATATAAAAGGCAGCTGGAAAAAAGGAACAGGTTACCTATAAAGGGAAACCCATCAGGGTAACAGCACATTTTCAGCAGAAACCTACAAACCAGAAGAGATTGGGGGACTATATTAAACATTCTTAAATAAAAGAAACTCCAACCATGAATTTCATATCCAGCCAAACTAAGTTCCACGAGCAAAGGAGAAAGAAAAATCCTTTTCAAACAAGCAAATGCTAAGGGAATTTGTTACCATCAGACCTGCCTTACAAGAGGTCCTTAAGAGAGTGCTAAATATAAAAACAAAAGACCATTACCAGCCACCACAAAAACTTACTTAAGTCTACAGACCATTGACACTATGAAGCAACCACACAACCAAATCTGCATAATAACCAGCTAATAATGTGATTGCAGGATCAAATCTACACATATCAATATTAACCTTGAATGTAAATGGGCTAAATGCCTTAATTAAAAGGCACAGAGTGGTAATTTGGATAGAAACGCAAGGCCCAACTGTATGCTATCTTCAAGAGATCCATCTCACATGCAATGACACCCATAGGCTCAAAGTTAAAGGATGGAGAAAAATCTACCAAGCAAATGGAAAACAAGCAAATAAACAAAAAGCAGAGGTTGCTATTTTAACTTCAGTCAAAACAGCCTTTAAATAAATAAAAGGAGACAAAAATGGGCATTACATAATGGTAAAGAGTTCAATTCAACAAGATCTAACTATGCTAAATATGTATGCATCAAAGACAGGAGCACCCAGATTGATAAAGCAAGTTCTTAGAGACGTACAAAGAGTCTTAGACAATCACAGAATAATAGAGGGAGACTTCAACACCCCACTGACAGTATTAGACAGATCAATGAGGCAGAAAACTAACAAAGATAATCAGGATCTGAAATTGACACTTGACTAAATGGGCCTAACAAATATCTACACAACTCTCTACCCAAAAACAACAGAGTATACATTCTTGTCATCTGCACATGGCACATACTCTAAAATTAACTACATAAGTAGCCATAAAACAATCCTTAGCAAATTCAAAAAAAACCCAGATCATACCAAACTCATTCTCAGACCACAGTAAAATAAAAATTGAAACCAATACTAAGAAAATAATTTTAAAAATGCAATTATATGGAAATTGAACAACCTGCTCCTGAATGACTTTAAGGTAAATAATAAAATTAAAACAGAAATTAAATTCTTTGAAACTAATGAGAACAAACATACAACATATAAGAATCTTTGGGGCATAACTAAAGTGGTGTTAAGAGGGAAGTTTATAGCACTAAATGCCCATATCAATGTAACCAACATTAGAGCTGAATGGAAAGAAATGGAGATGCAAAAAACCATACACAAGGTCAATGAATCTAGGAGTTTGTTTTTGGAAAGAATAAGTAAGATGGAGAGACTTCTAGCTAGACTAATAAAGAAAAAAGAGAGATTTAAATGAACACAATCCAAAATAGCAAAGGGTACTTTATCACCAAATCCCACAGAAATACAAAAACCCTCAGAGACTACTATAAACACCTACAAGCACAAAAACTAGAAAACCTAGAAGAAATAGATAAATTTCTATAAACATAAAACCTCCCAAGATTGAACCAGAAGAAGCTGAATCCCTGAACAGACCAATAATGAGTTCCAAAATTGAATCAGTAAGGAAAAAACCTACCAACCAGAAAAAGCCCAGGACCAAATAAATTAACAGCTGAATACTTTCACAGCAACAGTTGTACAAAAAATATCTGGTACCATTCCTGCTGAAACTATTCCAAAAATTGAGGGAGAAGGACTCCTCACTAACTCATTCTATGAGGCCAGCATCACTCTGATACCAAAATCTGCTATCAGACACAGCAAAAAAAGAAAACCTTAGGCCAATATCCTTGGTGAACATAGATTTTAAAAAATCCTCAACAAAGTACTGGCAAACGAAATCCATCAGCACATCAAAAAGCTCATCCATCAAAATCAAGTAGGCTTTATTCCTGAGATGTAAGGGTGGTTCAACAAACACAAATCAATAATGTGATTCATCACATAAACAGAACTAAAACCAAAACCCACATGATTATCTCAGTAGATGCAGAAGTCTTTCAATAGAAATCAGGATCCCTTCATGTTGAAAGCTCTCAATAAACTAGACATTAAAGAAACATACCTCAAAATAATGACAGTCACCTATGACAAACCCACAGCTGACATCATACTGAATGGGCAAAAGCTGGAAGCATTCTCCTTGAGAACTGGCACAAGACAAGGACGCCCTATCTCACCACTTCTATTCAACATAGTACTGGAATTCCTAGCCAGAGTAATCAGGCAAGAGAAAAATCAGAATCATCTGTTTGTAGATAATATGATTCTATACCTAGAGAACCCCAGAGGTGCTGCCCAAAAGCCTCTAGATCTGATAAACAACTTAAGCAAATTTTCAGGATTCAAAATCAATGTACAAAATTAAGTAGTATTTCTATACACAAACAACGTCCAAGCTGATAGCTAAATCAAGAACAATTCCATTCACAATCACCACAAAAGAGTAAAACACCTAGGAATACAGCTAACCAGGGAGGTGAAAGATCTTTGCAATGAGAATTACAAAACACTGCTGAAAGAAATTAGAGATAACACAAACAATTGGAAAATTATTCCATGCTCATGGGATGGAAGTATCAACACTGTTAAAATGGCCGTACTGGCCAAAGCAATTTATAGATTCAATGCTATTCGTATCAAACTACCAATAACATTATTCACAGAATTAGAAAAAACTATTTTAAAATTCATATGGAACCAAAAATGAACCCAAATAACCAAGGCAATTCTAAGCAAAAAAAAAAATGAAGAAGAAGCTGGACTTTGTTCCCATTTTCAAATTATACTACAAGGCTACAGTAACCAAAACAGCATGATACTGCTACCAAAATAGATACGTAGAGCAAATGAACAAAATAAAGATCCCAGCGATAATGCCACACACCTGCAACCATCTGATCTTTGACAAAATTGACAAAATTATAAATTGGGGAAAGGACTCCCTATTCAATAAATAGTGCTGAGATAACTGGATATGTAGAAGACTGAGATGACCCCTTCCTTGCACTATATACAAAAATCTACTGAAGATGGATTAAAGACTTAAACATAAAACTTAAAACTAAAAAAATTCCTGGGACATAACATAGGAAATGCCATTCTTCACATAGGCCCTGGAAAAGATTTCATGATAATGCCAAAAGTAATTGCAACAAAAACAAAAATTGACAAATGGGATATAATTAAACTTAAGAGCTTCTGCACAGCAGAAGAAACTGTCAACAGAATAAACAGACAACCTACAGAATGGGAAAAAATATTTGCAAACTATGCATCCAACAAAGGTCTAATATCCAGAATTTATAAGGAATTTAAACAAATGTATAAGCAAAAAACAATCTCATTAAAAAGTGAGCAAATGACATGAACAGATCTGTATTAGTCAGGGTTCTCTAGAGGGACAGAACTAATAGGATAGATGTATATCTAAAGGGGAGCTTATTAAGGAGTATTAACTCACATGATCACAAGGTCCCACCATAGGCCATCTGCAAGCTGAGGAGCAAGGAAGCTAGTCTGAGTTCCAAAGTTGAAGAACTTGGAGTCTGATGTTCAAGGGCAGGAAGCATCCAGCATGGGAGGAAGATGTAGGCTGGGAGGCTAAGCCAGTTTAGCCTTTTCATGTTCTTTTGCCTGCTTTTATTCTGGCCTCACTGGCACCTGATTAGATTGTGTCCACCCAGATTAAAGCTGGGTCTGCCTTTCCCAGCCCACTGACTCAAATGTTAATCTCCTCTGGCAACACCCTCACAGACACACCCAGGAACAATACTTTGCATCCTTCAATCCTATCAAGTTCACACTCAGTATTAACCATCACAAGACCCTTCTCAAAATAAGACATACATGTGGCCAAAAAGCTTATTTAAAAATGCTCAATATAACTAATCATTGGAGAAATGCAAATCAAACCTCAAAGAGATTACCAACTCACACCAGTCAGAATGGCTATTATTAAAAAGTAAAAAAATAACAGATGCTCTCGAGGTTGCAGAGAAAATGGGACACTTACACACTGCTGGTGAGAATGTGAATTAGTTCAATGCTTGTGGAAAGCAGTGTAGCAATTTCTCAAAGAACGTAAAACAGAATTACCATTCAACCCAACAATCTCATTATTGGGTATACACCTAAAGGAAGAGAAATTATGCTACTATAAAGTCACGTGCATGTGTATGTTCATAGCAGTACTATTCACAATAGCAAAGACATAGAATCAACTTAAATGCCCATCAATAGTAGACAGGATAAAGAAATGTGGTACCATGAAATACTACACAGCCATAAAAAAAAGAATGAGATCATGTCCCTTGTAGCAACATGGATGGAGTTAGAGGCCATTATCCTAAGCAAACTAACACAAAACAGAAAGCCAAATATCACATGTTCTTACTTATAAGTGGGAGTTAAACATTGAGAACATATGGACACAAAGAAGGCAACAATATGCACTGGGGGCTATTTGAGAATGGAGGATGAGAGGAGGGAGAGGATCGTAAAACTACCTATGAGGTACTATGCTTATTACCTGGGTGATTAAATAATCTGTACACCAAACCCCTGCAATTTGCCTTTATAACAAACCTCCACATGTACCCCCGCACCTAAAATAAAAGTTTTTTTAAAAAAAGGACAATAATAAAATTGTATTTTCACTTCACAGATGTAACTATTCTGTATACAATAAAAAATGTGCTAATACTTTCCCCCAAAAAATATGCAAAGACCTTGGGTGATGTTCATTCTTCTCATTGATCTGCTCTAACTTATATACTGTAATGGAAAATTAACTATCATTAATACATTTTAAAAGATAAAGAGATAAGTGTGCAAAGGAAAATATTTTTATATAAGCATATATATGTATATATACATATATATATATAAACAGACTCATACCAAAATATGAATATTCATAACAACTATAGTCCTCGTTTCTACAGCTGGTCATATGATTGTAGCTTGTATTTATGACTATCATATTCCACCACTCTTTCTGTGTTCCCTTTGCCCTCGGCAGGTATTTCAGCTGGTCATGGTTTTTTCCTGGAAAAATGACACAAACCTTCATCCTAAAGGATCTGGTAGTTCTGCCAGAATTGAATTGTAGTTTTCCATTGACCTTAGTCACAGGACATGTTTGTACTGAAAGATGCTCTAAGGGATCTCCTCTACTCAAGACACATTCTTTTTAATTTAATTATACAATAGCAGCCCAATTTCCCCTTGATAATCAGGATCAATCACTCCAACCAGTACAGTAACTCCCTTCTTTGCCTAAAGAAGGGAGGCATAAAAGACCAAAGTGTCTGAGTTGTAGTCTTAATTTCCACTTCAGTGGAATCGTGTCTCCTGGTGAAATCATTCTTCCCTTTGGAACTAAGACCTCTAGGTCAGCAGAGCATTAGGTTTTTGGGATAGGAAGAAAAGAATTGCTAGTGAGTCACTAAGGGCAGCCTGCTCACTGTCTGCAAGCTGAACAAGGTAAATGTTGAGTAGCCGGATGCTCAATCCACCAATTTTCCTACTACTACATACTCTATCCATTAGTGTAAAATAAGCAATTAATTGGGAGAACTAGCAAGCATTAGGAGATTGTCCTATTCTGCAAGGTTATTGGGAAGGAGAAAATGTTAATTGCCACTAAGAAAAACAAAACAAAACAAAAAATGAAGTGCTGAAATCTATCATATTCTGGCATTAAGAATTTTCTGTTTTTCCCATAGAATATTGTAAAACATTTAGACAATAGGGTTTGTACTGTTATAAGATCATTCTGTGTTTATAATGGTTTCTTTAAAACATCATGTTAAGAATAAATTCTGGCCTGTAATATCAGCACTTTGGGAGGCTGAGGTGCAAGTATAGCTTGAGGCCAGGAGTCTGAGACCAACCTGGGCAACAAAGCAAGACCCTGTCTCTACAAAAACAAAACAAAAATTGTAAAAAAGAATAAACTCTGCTATTGAACAATATCAGTGAGGTAGTATAGCTTATTGAGATTAAATAAATAATCAAAGAACATACATAGAAAAAATTAACAGCATGCAATTTTGGTGGGATTGATGAAATAAGTGCAGAGCCAGTAGAATGATCTCAAAGGACTGAGGATTACATGCTATTGTATTTTAGGATAGGAAAGTAAATTGAGCTAATACATTTTAAACTTTTGACTTAAATGAATGATACAATGTTATTTATATAAGTCTATGCTTTTATAATTGATTATAACCAGAAAATATAAAAATAAAATACTGTCACTCTATTTGAACTAGCTTGAGAGAAATATTATCTACGTCATAAAATACTAATGAATTTTGTGTATCTTTCTTTTTTTTTTTTTTTTTTTTGAGACGGAGTCTCGCTCTGTCGCCCAGGCCGGACTGCGGACTGCAGTGGCGCAATCTCGGCTCACTGCAAGCTCCGCTTCCCGGGTTCACGCCATTCTCCTGCCTCAGCCTCCCGAGTAGCTGGGACTACAGGCGCCCACCACCGCGCCCGGCTAATTTTTTGTATTTTTAGTAGAGACGGGGTTTCACCTTGTTAGCCAGGATGGTCTCGATCTCCTGACCTCATGATCCACCCGCCTCGGCCTCCCAAAGTGCTGTGTATCTTTTTTGTTTTATCTCCTCACAGATTCTGGCCATCAGCTTTTGTGGCACAGACGACTGTGCAATTAATGGAAAATTAAAAACTAAATATCCATTTCTTCTAGGACACGAAGCAGCTGGAATTGTAGAGAGTATTGGAAAAGGAGTGAGAAAGGTAAAACCAGGTAAAATAACACAAAAGTAGAGACTTGTCAAATAGTGTTGGGGGGTGGTGGTTTCTGACAGTTTACAGATTGGAAAGAGGAATTCCAGTATGATCTTCATCCTATCATAGATTTGACTAGTGTATATTTAGTGCCAACTATCTGCTAAGTAATAGTTTGGTGCTGAATCTTTTTTAAAAATTAAAGAACCAAATCTCTCCTCTCATAGAACTTACATTCTGGTGACAGTGAACAAGATAAAAAGAAAGCTAGGCCCCAGTGTGTATTGTTCCCCTCTATGTGTCCATGTGTTCTCATCATTTAGCTCCCCCTTATAAGTAAGAACATGTGGTATTTGGTTCTCTGTTCCTGAGTTAGTTTGCTAAGGATAATTGCCTCCAGCTCCACCCATGTTCCCGGAAAAAGACATGATCTTGTTCTTTTTTATGGCTGCACAGTATTCCATGGTGTACATGTAACACATTTTCTTTATCCAGTCTACCATTGATTTAGGTTGACTTCATGTCTTTGCTATTGTGAATAGTGCTACAGTAAACATACGTGTGCCTCTGTCTTTATGATAGAACAATTTATATTCCTTTGGGTATACCCAGTAATGGGATTCCTGGAACAAATGGTATTTCTGTCTTTAGGAATTTGAGGAATCACAAAAACCATCTTCTACAGTGGTCAAACTAATTTTACGCTCCTACCAACAGTGTATAAGCATCCGTTTTTCTTCACAATCTCACCAGAATCTGTTATTTTTTGACTTTTTAATAACAGTCATTCTGTCTGGTGTGAGATGGTATCTCTTTGTGGTTTTGATTTGCATTTCTCTAATGATCAGTGATGTTGAGTGTTTTTTCATGATTGCCGGCTGCATGTATATCTTCTTTTGAAAAGTTTCTTCAATTGCCTATTGCAGGGTGGAGAGTGGGAGGAAGGAGAAGATCAGTGCTAGGCTTAATACCTGGGTGAAGAAATAATATGTATGACAAACCCCCAGGGCACAAGTTTACCTATTTGACACACCTGCATATGTATCCCTGAACTTAAAATAAAAGTTAAACTAAAAAAGAATAAATTGAAAATGACAGATACAAATTTAAACAAAGAAGATACACATAAAGCCTCATTTAATTAAATAGTGTGTTTTAAATGGACATGAAGTAGAACACTGTAGTACACTGTAAGGACTTTTACTCCTAAATGATTTTGAGTAAAAATGATACGCATTCTTATATGTTTAAAAGGAACACTCAGCTGCCATACTGAAAAAAAGAGATGAGGAGGAAATAAAGGTGGAAGTAGGAGGCAAGTTAGGATGTTATTATAGCAGTAAACACAAGAGGTGATGATAGCTTGGACCAGGATGATAGTATGAAAGTAGTGAAAAGTGATTGGATTCTAAGTATATTTTGAAGATAGAGTCAACAGAACTTGCTAAAGTGTGAGAAATAAAGGCATCAGGATGACTTCAAAGTTTGGGTAGAAAGACTAGTAAGTACATTGGGATTGCAATTTACAGAAAAGAAGGCTATGGAAAGCGTAGATTTTGAGGCACTATAGGGAGCTTGAATTTGGCCAGGTTATATTTAGGGTGTCTGATGAGAGCTTCCTTATGTCTTCATTATAGTGGAGATATATGTGTGTGTACATATATTTTTATATATTATATATAAATATATATAATTAATATATATTAATTTATAGATATTTTAAAAATTCTTTTGCTCTTGGAGAAGAGCTAAACATGTAAGCTCAGTTTATCATCTTAAATCAGAAATATCCTCTATATTTTCTTTACTTCTAATAGTTTTTTCTTTCAGATGTTGTCAAAATATTAGGTTTCTTGCCCCTAAACTCAGGCCAGATAATCTTGGAAGTTGAAATAACACAGCCCTTATTATACCCATATGACATAGTTACCATAGTAACTCAATTCCATGGTCATCCAGTAAAACTTCCCCCAAAGAAGTGGCTTGTCAGATAGAGGTTCAATGATCCAACATAATTTCAACCAAGTTCCAGAAAGTTGAATAAATTCCCTGTGATTTAATAAGATTTTACTTTACCAGTATCATAGAGATGAAATTAAAAATTAGAGGTGTCAGCTTTTTGGGTTTCTGACAAATGGAGTGAAGTGAGTAGGTTTAGCTAAAGTGACCTGAGGCATGGCCATTTGAGGTTCTAGTATTCATTTGACTAGGGACAATGTGTCTCACAGGTTAAATTTCTATTCCTCTTTAGGTATAAAAGCCCTCTCTTTCTCTGAAGCACTGTCTTCACTTTTCTTCCTTCTTCTTAATTTTAACCTTGCCTCACTCAGAAGGTAACAAGACTACTGGGTGAGATCTGAGGTGGGGGCCGCTTAACGGCCTCTCTACCTCCAGTTCTTCCCAGGCCCATCATCTCCAATGTCCCCAGTGTTGTGTTTCAAAACTAGATTTCACCTCTTGAGCGGTTTCCTCAGTTATCATCAAGATGTAAATATTGTAACAGAAATCTTTTCCCTCTCAGGAATCTTAATAAACAATAAGAGAGTTCTCCTAGTTCTCTTCTTAGGGAAAAAAATATTTCATGAGCTACTATGGCTAATGTATAAAATTGCCAAGTGCCAATGAGAGATAGCTGTTAAATGCTTTCTGTCTTTACCACTAACTTACTGAATGCATTAAGAACTCTATTGATGTGTATTTCACACACCACACAATTCACGCATTTAAAGTGGACAATTCAATGGTTTTTAGTATATCTGCAAATATGTGCAACCATCACCATAGTCAGCTATAGAACGTTTTTGTCACCTTAAATACAAACTCTGTACTCTTTAGCTACCCCCATTCCTCCTCCACTGACCAAGCCCTAAGAAATGTGCAATCTCCTATTTTGTCTCTGTAGATTTGCCTATTCTAAACATTTTGCATACATTGAATCATATGATATGTAGTCTTTGGTGTCTGTCCGGCTTCTTTCACTTAGCATGAAGGTTCATTCATGCTATAACATGTATCAGTATTTCATTTCTTTTTATGGCTGAATAATTTTCCAGTGGATACCACATTTTATTTATCCAATCATGAATTGATGAGGATTTGGATTTTTTTTTTTTTTTTTTTTACATTTTGGCTGTTGTAAATAATGCTTCTATGAATATTCACATACAAGATTCTGTGTGGACATACATTACCATTTTTCCTGGGTAACTCTGTGTTTTGTAGTTTGAGTACTGCCATACTGTTTTACACTCCTGCCAGCAGCGTAGGAGAGCTCTTATTTTGCTACATCCTCATTTTTTGATTCTTGCCACATGCTAGTGGGTGTGTAGCCAGTTTCAAAGGATGATGAAAATAGTCCCCACTAGGACAATGTCAAGCAAAACTGTGATGTCAGGGCAACCACAGAGAATCCCCACTAGGACAATGCCTAGTGGAGCTGTGGGAATGGGGCTGCTTCCAAGATGCCAGAACTGTAGAGCCACCAGCATGCATCATCAGCCTGAAAAAGCCTCAGGTATGTGACTTCAATGAATGAGAGCTGAAGCATGAACTGTTCCCAGCAAAGCCATAGGTGCAGGGCTGCCTGAAGCCTTTGGGGCCCAACCCTCACCCCAGTGTGTCTAGAAGATAGGACATGGAGTAAAAGAAGATTATTCTCAAGTCTTAAGACCTGACGTTGTTTGCTTTGTTGGGTTTTGGACCTACTTGGGACTTGTTGCTTTTCTTTTTTTCACTGTTTCTCCTTTTTGGGATGGGAATGTCCTTCCTGTAGCTGTCCCACCATTGTGTTCTGGAAGTGCATAGCTGGTTTGCTCACAGGCTCACAGTAGAAGAAAATTTAACACTGGAGCTAGTTAAGACTTCGGGGGCTATTAGGGTGGAGTGCATGTATTTTGTACGTGAGAAGGACATGAATTTTAGGGGACCAGAGGTCAAATGCTATGGTTTGAATGTGTCCTTTTCAAAATTCATGTGTTGGAAACCTAATTCCCAATGTTACAGTGTTGGGAGGTGAGAACTTTTGGGAGGTGATTAGGTCATGAGGGTGGCGCCCTCATGAATAAATTAATGTTGCTATGAAAAGGGCTTGCAAAAGTGGGTTTATTCTCTCTTATCCTTCCACACTCTGTCATGTGAGAATGCAATAAAAAGGCCCACATTAGATGCCCATATCTTGATTTTGAACTTCCCAGCCTCCAGAACTGTGAGAAATAAATTTTTGTTCTTTATAAATTACCCAGTCTCAGGCATTCTGTTATAGCAGCACAGACTAAGCCACCTTCCTTTATTTAATTATAGTTTTCTTTAGTTCTTTGATCATATTTATAATGTCTACTTTGAAGGCTTTGTGTGTTAAATTCAATGTCTGGTTGTTCTCACAGGCAATTTCTTTTGCCTGCTTTTTTTTCCAGTGTATGGGTCATAATTTCTGGTTTTATTTTTTTGCATGTCTTGTAATTTTTGAGAAATTGGACATTTTAGATAATACTGACAGAACAATCAAGTGTCTTACTACAGCTAGGAAATAGTAAGTACATGGCTCAAAACCCAGTTCTTTGATAAATTTAATCAAGAAGATAAAGGATATCTAACTTTGTTAAAAGTAAGCTTGGGCATGTGTTGTGAGAGGTTTTAATTGAAATACACCGTAGTCTTTTGTATATATTTATCCTTTCAACATTCCAGAGAGACTTTTTGATGAATGATTGCATTGTTCTCTCCAGGAGACAAAGTCATCCTTCAGTATGGAAAATCTGACCCTTGTTTGATCCCTAAAGGAAATATATGCAATCAATTCAAGTAGGTCTCTTTAATTACTAAAATTTCATCCTATACCTCCATTCATCTCTCATATGTGCTTTTATGGTTTGCTTTACTAAGCTTTGATGGTATTTGTGAAACCATGGCTGATGACACCACCAGATTTACCTGTAAAAGAAAACCAATCTACCAACTCCCTAACACAAGCACCTTCACTGAATACACAGTGTTAAGAGAAAGTGCATTTGTCAAAATTGATCCTGATGCTCCACTAGAAAAAGTATGTTTGATAGGCTGTGGATTACTTGCAGGAAGAGGGCAGGAATAAATAATGCAAAGGTAAGGATTTAGATTGGCTTTTTTCCATCACAGTCTTTTAAAGCCTCCATCATAGGCTCTTGCATTTAATGTATACAAGAAGTAAACCAAGCTCATCTCTGTGATGCCTCCTTCAGGCCATCCTGTTTAAAAAGCTCAAGGCACAAAAGAAAGGGGGGTAGGAGGAAGAGATGTATGCCCAAGACTGCCATTTTTCAGCTTTTATGGTTGCCTTCTTTTCCCCCATTCTAGGTTTAATGGTTTTATAAATTTTCACAAAATGAAAGGAAGGAACAAACACATAATGTTACAAGTCAGGCTTCCTTGTTGCTTAGCACATTTGAGAATACACAACTTAGTTTATACCACTTAGTATTTTACATTTACTTATTGCATTTTTCTTTGTTTTCTTGCATATAGAAAAGAATGCATGGAAAACAGGAGTAAAGGGAAGTGTTGAGAGTGGGATAGCAACTCATTAGGATTCTTGGAGTTCTCTCATAAAGTACTAGCAAAATGGTAGCATCTGTTCTTAACTGGTATTTTTAGGAGATTATCATTTAGAAAGCTTGCTTTTTGAAGAAAACTGGAATATGAAAAGTAAAGAGTTTGCTGGTCTTCTCTTTTGGTATAGGAAATTTAAATACCCTCATATACTAGTCTGGGCTGTCTTAAAGTGGAGAACAGAAAGGGAAAGAAGACAGCTCTTTCATTTGTCCTTTGTCTACAAGAATTTCTGCTTACAACATTTGGGGCCAAATTTTAAAGGCCCAAATAAATCTATCAAGAAATAAAACCCCCTAATACTACTGATTTTTGCAACTCTCAAGTCTGACACAAATTCATAACTTTATAAACTGCCTATGCTCCATTGGTAACTGGGCATTGTGTATGCTCAGTTGACTACCATGAATAGACAATCCCCCAAAAGAAGTGACACTGAACTAATGACTGAAGGTGCTGACCATTTCTGTCTCAACAGAAATTGCCTGAAGGGCCAAGGGCTTCTCAGTCAAGAAGTTATTTTTTTAAAAAAACACCCTTTTCAGGAAGATTGCATAAGTTAACTGGCTTTTTTTAGTGCAATAATGGAACCTAAGTGTTGTCCTCTTCTAAACAAAGGTAAATAGGTTCGGGTTAAAGATAACAATTCAGCTACCTTTTGTTGCCCTTTCTCATTTTTATGAGCCTTAGTCACATTTCGTACCCCCTTCCAGTTATTTCAAAGGAGAATAAAGGCTTTATAAGGAATGACAGTTACTAAATAGATTCTATGGATGCGTACTTTATTAGAATTGTTTAGCCTAATCATTAGAATGGAATCATTTAGAATCATTACATGTGTATCCTTGGTTAAAGGAGATGCAGTCAGTACAGATTTTTATGTGCATTTCTAGGAAATTCTTAGCCACATATTTCTGTTTTTTATGCATGGCAACCTCATAAGTAGACACCAAAAACTGAATCACAGTGGCTGGGTAAAATAAAATTTTTGCAGCTTCCTTCATGTAAATATAATGCCCAAAGGGAGAAAGTTACATCGACAGCTACTGCTACTCAACTGGTCTTCAACCTAAAAAAGAAAAATTGGAAACTGCTCTCCAAGCCCTTAGGGGAATCATAATTTTGACAATTCTAATACTAGTTTCTGACATTCCTATAAGAAATCTTTTCCTCTGTTGTCTAGAGATTGGTAGTACATCATATAAAGCTCTCAAGTTCCTTTCAAAGGAAAGTGTTATTTGAAAGATTTAATAATTTAAAAAGACAAATTGACCAGAAACATCACCTCCCTTTCCCAGTGGAATGGGGTCCACTCACTTTCTCAGCCTGCATTGCCTTTGGATGTCTGTGTCTTCTGATAATTTAGGTCAAATTCTTTCTAACTTGTACTGTGTTTGGCCTGGGTGAAGTTGGTCTCTTTATTATTATGGGTTGCAAAGCTACTGGTGCTTCCAGGATCATTGGTATTGACATCAACAGAAACAAATTTAAGAAGGCCATATCTCTGGGAGCTGCTGAATGTTATTAGTTCCAGGGATCTTGAGAAGCCTATCTGACACGTGCTCATTGAAATGAGTGACAACATAGTATTTGAAGTTACAGGCTTTGTTAAAACCAAGGTGTACTCCCCCCTGTAATTTTTAAGATTGCAGATTTTATGGTTGGGCAACCAATATGATTTGGCTGTGTCCCCCCACCCAAATCTCATCTTTAATTTTAGCTTCTATAATTCCATGTGTCATGGGACAGACCCAGTGGGAGGTAATTGAATCATGGTGGCAAGTCTTTCCTGGGCTGTTCTGGTGATAGTGAATAAGTGCCATGAGATCTGATGGTTTTATAAAGGGGAGTTCCCTGGCACAAGCTCTCTCTTTGCCTGGTGCCATATGAGATGTCTCTTTGCTTTTCCTTTGTCTTCCACCATGATGGTGAGGCCTTCCTAGCCATGTGGAACTGTGAGTCCATTAAACCTCTTTCCTTTATAAATTACCCAGTCTTTGGTATGTATTTATCAGCAGCATGAGAATGGAGTAATACAGCAACCCATCAGTTGCTGGGAATCTGGCTTTTAATAGCCTCTCAGAGTTGGGACGAGGCCTTTAAGATGATCTAATCCAGCCACTATGTAAGAGCAGGGAATCCCTTTCTTGCTGTTGCTACATTAACACTTCCAGTGAGGGGAAATGTCACACAAGAAAAGGCAGCCATTGCCCTTTCAGAAAAGTGGCAGTTTCTCATGTTCACCCTTTAGATAGCTCTCTCCTTCCTCAATGTATCCACAATCAGAAAGATAGGTTCTTTTAGTATCCCAGAATATAATTTGCCAGCATTCAAACCTACCACTTGCTATTTTACCATCATTTGACCTGTATTAGAATTTGTTTCTTAATGTTTAGTCTACCCATGATCGACCTATCAGAGTTTTCCTTACTGAAAAGATGTAAGAAAAATGACCTGAGTAATTCTGCTTTCTCTAGCTACTCTTTTCTCTTCCTTTTTCCTTGTTTGAGACATAGCATTATAACATTAACCACATTAAAAGCCTCCTTATTTGCCCTTAACTTTTTTTTAAAAAAAGAAAGTCTCAAGTCATTCTTTTGGTCTTTAGTTTTGAGACACTGTTCTTATAGGTCCCGAGACTCTATTTTATTATCCTGGATAGCAGGGCTCTCCTTTAATTTGTTGTTCTCTTCTTTGAGAAGTCTGTTTTAAGAGCTCTAGTGCAGCCATGTTGGAATCGTTACATGTGTATCCCTATTCTTCCTCACAGAGATCATTTGCAGAATCCATTGTCAGAGTTTCATCCTTTAAATATTCCTCCCCTTTGAAACAACTTATTGTCTTGAGTACATAGCCATGGGCTCTAACCTATTTTTCCTAAACTTTAAAAAATTTGGCCTTTACAAAGCTTAAATATAAGTCTGATTCTTCTTAATGTTGCTTCCTTGATGATTAGGAAGGAAATCATCTAAGATGACATGGTCATTTCCATCCTTCATCTTACTACCAAATAACGTTCCCTATTTGCATAGAGTTCAGTCAGGAAAAAGAGTTCTTTTCATTGCTCTTTGAGTTGGTTGGAAAATGCAGCTGTCAGCAAACAAAGGCAAAATGAGACTTCCAGCACATATTCAGTTAGTCTCCAGCACTGCTATTCATCACTGAGCCTTATCTCTATGGTTTATTTTGCCTTTTGATTCTTTGTTGAAGTGCTATCCTCTGCACTTAAACTCAGTTATTGAAACTTCGTAGGGATCTTCTAGGTGCACAGAACATTTATTTTTATTTGTAAGTAATTTTCTCACAAAAGGGGGTTATTTTAATGGACAGATTGTGATAAAAAGAGATTATTTTAACTAATGGGAGGAGAGTGGTTTTGCCAGGGATTGCTAAGCAGGAGCAAATCTGACTCCATAATTAAATGCTGTCTTTATATGAAAAAGTCTCTCTTTTTCATTCTCTGACCTTAAACAAGTTGACTGCCCTGAAATCCTGCAATAAGAATTATGGAAAATGTATGATTAATGGAATAGTTCCTTTTGGAACACACTTCATTTGATCCAGTGCTGCTCTTTTTTGGAAAAATAAATAGAAAGGCTCTCTGGAGGTTAAGGCACTAAGAAGACAATAATTTCTAGTATAAATGTGAACATAGCCATACATAATTGATGTCTTTCCAAAACCCAGATTGCTATTTTACCTGATGAAAAGTATTTTTAAGAAGTTTAAAAAACAAAACTAACAAAACACAAAACAGTAAAATGTGAAGGAAAGATTTTAGCTGCTGTGAGTACCATTCATCTTCACGCCTGGCTGCAATCGATGTCAAGAGAATTCCTCACCAACTCCCATCTGCAGGATGTGTCAACACAGTGGTTTAAGCAGCCTCCACTACCACACCTCCAAGAATTAAAATAAAGGGAAATAACCCATCAGCAGTCCAAGAATTAACATAAAATCAAGGCTTAAAACATTTTGGTGGGGTGAATTGTTTGAAGGTTAACACACAGACAAACACACACACACACACACACACACACACACACATTTTGGCTGTCTTAAAAATAAAAGAGAAAAGCAAAAGTGGGTACACGTTCACATATAGTTTCCAAATCTCTTCTAGTCAGAGGATTCTCTTCTAGACTTCATCATAATTTTCTTTCAGCCACTAAAGGTTTTATAATCATTTTTCAATAGCCAGGACACCCAAGGGTATTTAATCATCAACAGATACAACATGTTCCTATAAATGGAAGAGAGAAAATTCCTTAAAATAAAGGGTACTATATATATTCTATACCTTATGGGAAAAGGCCTGAAAGAAAATTCTCCAAAATGTTAAATGTGTTTTTTCTGATTTCTTTTCTTTTCTTTCTTTTTTTTTTTTTTAAGACAGGGTCTTGAGACCAAGCTGGTCTGAAGCTCCTGGGCTCAAGTGATCCTCCCGTCTTGGCCAACCAAAGTGCTGAGATTACAGATGTGAACCACAGTGGCCAGCCTAAATGTGGTTTTTCTGGGCATAAAGAGGACGGCTAATTTGATTGATTTATTTTAGTCTTTATTTTCTAACTCTTCTCCATGAGTATATTATTGTTTTTTAAAAATTTATTTTTAAACTGGACAGCAAAAACTTTTGTTTCTTTAATTTTTATTCCTTTCTTATTCATTTTTTAGTTGTAAAAGTAATATAAGAATAAATTTTCATTATAAAAATTTAAATCACATAAATGTAGAGAATATAGAAACTATAGAGGCATAGGGTCCAATGAGGTAGCCACTAGCCATATGTGGCTATTAAACACTTGAAATATGGCTAGTTCCAATTAAGTTGTGCTATACATGTAATGGAAAATATTTGATTCATACTTTTTGATTTAATTACATGTTGAAATAATATTTTGGGATATACCTGGTTAGATTAAATATGTTACTGAGATTAATTTCACCTGTTCCTTTTTGCTTTTTATAATGCAATAACTAGAAAATTAAAGATTAAATATAAAATTCACCAGTAAAATTAAATATATAGTCAAATTCAGAATATGCCAATACTGTTATGGTGCTTTGTACATCTCTAGTATAAAGATTAAAAGTCAAAACAGCCAAAAATAACTACACAGGGGGATTTATTCCTGGTATGCAAGGCTGGTTTAATATATGGAAATCAATCAATGCGATACATCACATTAACAGACTGAAGGACAAAAATCAAATGATCATATCAATTGATGCAGATACAGCATTTGACAAAGTTCGAGATTTTTCTTGATAAAAACTCTTAACAGTTTAGACATAAAAGGAAACTTCCTCAACTTAAAGGTCATCTATAAAAACTCCCAGCTAACATCCTAATCAATGGGGGAAAACTAATTAATTGTTCTTGATAATACTTTTAAACAAGAAGAAGAAATAAAAGGTACCCAATTTGGAAGTGAAGAAGTAAAATTATCTCTATTTTCAGATGACATGATCCTATATGTAGAAAACCCCAAAGGCTCCACCAGAAAACCGTTAATATAATAAATGAATTTAGTAAAGTTGCAAGATATAAAATCAACATACAAAATTTGTGACATTCTATATACAAATAATGACCTAGCTGAAAAAAAAATCCCATTTACAATAGCATCAAAAAATAAAATAAAATATTTAAAAATAAATTTAACCAAGATGGTGAAAGACCTCTACAAGGCAAACTATAAAACAGTTAAAGAAATTGAAAAGAATACAAACAACTGTAAATACATCCCATGTTCACAGATCAGCAGAATTAACATTGTTCAAATGACCATACTACTCAAAGCAATCTACAGATTCAATACGATTCCTACCAAAATACCAATGACATTCTTCACAGAAATAGAAAAAAATTATAAAATTTCTATAGAACTACAAAACCCTCAATAGCCAAAGCAATCCTGAGCAAAAGAAAGAAACCTGCAGGTATCACAAGATCTGACCTCAAAATATACTACAAAGCTATAGCAACCCAAATAGCATGATACAGGCATAAAAACAGACACATAGACCAATAGAACAGAACATAGAGCCCAGAAATAAATAAATCCAAATATGTATGGTCAATTAATTTTCAACAAGGGCACCAAGAAAACACAACGAGGAAGGGATAGTTTCTTCAACAAATGGTGCTGAGAAACTGGATTTAGTCCCAAAAATAAATAAATGGGACTATATCAAACTGAAAGGCTTCTGCACAGCAAAGGAAAGAACCAACAAAATGAAAATGCAATCTACAGATTGGGGAAAAAATACTTGTAAACCATATACCAGATAGGAGGTTAATATTCAAAGTTTATAAATAGCTCATACAAACATATATAACCCGGTTTTAAAATGGGCAAAGGACTTGATGTAGACATTTGTCAAAAAGCACATAAAAATAGCTAATGGATACATTAAAAGGTACTCAACATCCCTAATAATTAGAAAAAAAACAAATCAAGCCTGGGCGCAGTGGCTCACCCCTATAATCCTAGCACTCTGGGAGGCTGAGGCGGGCAGATCACTTGAGGTCAAGGGTTTGAGAGCAGCCTGGCCAACATGGCGAAACCCTGTCTCTACTAAAAATACAAAAAATTATTAGCTGGGCGTGGTGGCAAATGCCTGCAATCCCAGCTACCTGGGAGGTTGAGGCAGGAGAATCGCTTGAACCCAGGAGATGGAGGGTGCAGTGAGCCCTGATCGCGCCACTGCACTCCAGCCTGGGTGACAGAGTGAGACTCCGTCTCAAAAAAAAAAAACAAATCAAAATTACTGTGAAATACATCTTTACACATCTTAGGATAGCTATTATCAAAAAGAGAAGCAACAGAATGTGTGGGTGAGGGTGTGGAGAAAAGGGAACCCTTGTACACTGTTGATGGGAATGTAGATTGGTGCAGCCATTATGGACAACAATAAGGAAGTTCCTAAAGAAATTACAAATAAAGCTACCATATAACCCAGCCATCCCTCTTCTCTTGGCTTGCTGGCTTACTGTGTATTTCTCAACTCTGCCTCTATTTTCACATGGTCTTCTCCATCTCTCTGTGTTATCTCCTTTGTGTGTCCTAAAAGGATACAGGGTGTTGGATTTAGGGCTTACCAAGATAATATAGAATGATCAAGAGATCCTTAACCTAATTAACATCTGTAAAAATCATTTTCCCAAATAAAGTCACATTTATAGGTCCCAGAGAATTAGTATATGAACATTTTTTGGGTGTCCACCATTCAACCCAGTAGAAGGTGACTGTAGGATCATGGTTCTTTTAAACAAAGTAATGTGGCAGGGGAATTGAAACCCAAAAACACGTGAGCAAGTTCACCAGTGTCGCACAGAAGCCAGTGGCAGAACTGGTTCCATGTTTAGAAAAAATGGGAGAAGTGGTGCATCATCAGCCTGAGAATGTTGACAGATTCTCAAAATTCACACATATGAATGAGCTCTTTGTTTCTCATTTTTCTGCTCCCTCAGCTGAATAAAAAGGACAGACAGTGGAAATGTTTCCTGAGCTCCTTTAGGGAATCTTAGGATGAGTGACATTACTTTGGATTACCAAAGTAATGCAAAGTATTATGCATTTACTTTTTCCAGTCAGTGGGTCTAATTACTATCAGCTGTTATCAAGCAATATCTTAGGTTTATTTCTGTTAGAACTCAAAATGGAGCACTTCTGAATACATAGTTCTTCTGGCTCTGAGAAGAGATATTTCAATTCATTGAGAGAAGTGCTGTAATTTAAGTGTTGATAAAAGAAGTTTAAAGAGCATTCTCTGCCATTTGCATATCCATATTAGATATTTCACAGATACTGAATAGTTAAAATGATAGTTGGTTTATGATTTAAAAAAAGCTTTTAAGGAAAAATTACTGTAGGGTGTGACAAGAGAAAAGACAGCAAAAAGGCACTGGAATGCCTACTTTTAAAAATAGCTGATTATGTACTATCTAAACTTGTCAAAAGAATATATCTATATCAGGGTGGCTTTCTGGAGTGGGAAGAGAAATTCAAGATTCTTTTCAAACCGATGTTAATCTAAGTCTACCTATATATTCTCTTCTAACATCTTGTTTCCAGTCACAGGGTTTAAGTGCTATATTCACCACTAGGTGGTGGTAACACACCAGGCACAGACTTCACGGTGCCCAGTCAGCTAGGGAAGAGGTGGAACACAAGATTGGAGGCAAGAAAGGCTGTGGCCATTTACCTCCCTAAACTAAAAACCCTTAGAAGGTAAAAGTAAAGGCTACTATATAGCCCTTTCGATAAGACATTATTGATAAGTTGGAACATTCTGCAATACGTTACTTCCACTGACATAATTGACATTTTGCATCCTACCTCAATAATTGACATTCTGCAACCTACCTCAATAATTGACATTCTGCAACCTACCTCAATAGTCTTCCATTTTTTCTTCACTAAAGTTAAGCTATAAATACTTATAATAATACATCCCAAGATAAGCAGAATTAACAATTAAAATAATCCCTACAAAAATGCTTTACAAACTCACAAGTGCCAGAGAAATATGGAATATGCTTGGCCCTTAAATTTTTATTCAAGGATGAGAATATTTAGAAGAGTCCTTCTCGCTCTGGGAATACCAAAGGATCACTTGGGGACTTTTTGCAGCAGATTCTCCAGATATTTAGGTGGGATTTACCCTCTGTGATAGTTCAATAAATATTTACTGAGTGAATGAGTGACTTAATGAATGAATACATAAGACAAGTGTGGAGTTGGTGAAATGAAAGGCACTGACTTAGAGATAGACTCTTATGGCTGGACAGTAGGCTGTGGGAAAGGAGGGCAAGGGAAGAGGGGGAGACACAAAGAATCTCCAGTCAGTGACAGGCACTGTCCTTCCAGAAAAGTTGGAATTTGGGCAGTTGCAGTAACCCTGAAGCACCTGGATGTTAACAGACCATGTGCAGAAGTCAGCAGTTTGAGAGTTTCCCTCTGAGAATACTGAGTTTGTTAATATCTGGTACCAGGGCTTTATTCCAAGTTGAAGAGGCGTCTCCTACTTCTAATCTGTGGCTGGTAACCCTGCCTCAAGGATAAATATTATCCTCCTAACCCTAGGATTTTCTAAGTATTTGCTTTCTCTGAAGATATGTTGGTCCTCTCTGGCTATGGACTAGAGGAAACCTACAGGGCATAGCCCAGGACCACCTCTGTCCAGGACAGTACCAATGACCCTTGGAATAAAGAGTTTTGGCTCTTAACCCAAACATCAGAAGCACCTGAGGAGCTTTGCAAAATCGTGTAGGCTCTGAAGTCCAGCCAACAGTTTATGTTTGAAAAACCTTCCCTGGTGATTGATAAAGACCCAGGGTTGAGAAAAATAACTAGAACCAGGCCTCAAAGACTTGCTCTAGGGCCAGAGGGCACTGACCGCTCCACCAATGCCCTGTCACCCTGTTCCCTGTCATGTTGGGTTTATACAATACTGAGTTTTCAGTAGCTTGACCAGTACCAGAAATGTTACAGTATTAAAGGCAAATTTGACAGCCCAGCTGCTCATTTATGGTCGCCTGGGGGGACATCCTTTTCTTTTTCCTAGAATAATAATATTAATAGCTAATTGAATGATCACAATGTTCTACACTCCATTAAGCAATTTACATGCATTTATTCCATTTAACCCCCACAATCATCCTACGAGGCAGGAACTTTTATTACCCATATTTTACAGGTGAGAAAATTGAGGCTTATAAAGAAGTTGTGGATGGACCACTTAGTTTGGAAGGTGGCAGAGTCATGACCAGAACCAACTTGCGTTTGAAACCAAAGCTTCTGTTCCTCCAGAGCACATATTTCTGTTATCTATGGAGGCAAGCTTCATGAAATAATCTGACTGATAATATCTATAGGTTATTGAAACAAAATCCAATGCAGTCTGGAAGGAATAATAGTAGAAAATGTAACAATCATTGTGTCATTTCTGGCTTTAGTAGGAAATAAATAGGTGGTGTCATCAAGGTGAGTTATTGCAAAGAGTTTAAGAGATTATTTATAAACCTATGGATAGCATTTTGTAAAAGCAACCAGAAAGGGTCTAGGACCCTGGAGCTGGTATGTGTGGGAGCAGGAGAGGAAGCACTTGCTGGAAGCTGGAGAGAGGCAGGGCTGTATGAAGAGGGCCTCAGGACAGAGATTCATTGGATAGAGGGAGCCAGCCAAGAGGTGTCTGGGGAATAAATACCCCAACCTGATTCTGCCTCATTCTGTCCCTGCACTCTGTTTCCCAACCTCCAACTGACACCTCCCTTGGCCAAAATGCAGCCAAGGGGCAAGAAAGCCCTGGACTAGTCCACCTGAGTCAGTTAGCCCACCCAGTTACAGAGCAGGATGGATGGGGGACCAGGGAAAGGAAGTTGGTGCTGTCCAGAAGACTTACATTGACTTAAAATATATCTTTAGGGCCGGGCACGGTGGCTCATACCTGTAATCCCAGCACTTTGGGAGGCCGAGGGAGGTGAATCACTTGAGGTCAGGTGTTCAAGACTAGCCTGGCCAACATAGTGAAACCCCGTCTTTACTAAAAATACAAAAATTACCCAGGCATGGTGGCATGCACCTGTAATCCCAACTACTTGGGAGGCTGAGGCAGAAGAATCACTTGAACCCAGGAGATAAAGGTTGCAGTGAGCTGAGATCGAGCCACTGCACTCCAGCCTGGGTGAAAGAGTGCAACCCTGTCTCAAAAAAAGTGCATATATATATATATTATATATCATATATATACAGATATATATCAGAATATATATATCTATATATCAGAATATATATTCTATATATAATCTTTAGGTACTTTGGTTGAAAAATGAAAGGTATTACCCTCCAAAATAATGATTAGCAATCACAAATAAAACTGTCCTAGTAAGTACCTATTACAGTGTGCACTTTAACTTCATTATGTTATTCTACATTTATAATACCTCTTTAAGACATGCCTTATTTACTGGGTCTCTGAAAAATGCAGTACCTTTTTCAAGGTACATAGTTAGTACCTGGTCAAGCTTAGATTCTAACTCCAAAACCTGTTTTCTTTTCACCATGAAACACTGAAAATGAACCAAACTGAAAATGACTAAGCAAATAATTTTATCTAGAAAGACCTAAAAGAGTAAGAAGAAAAAATATAGTTAATATTTTTAGATAAATCATTTTTATAACATGATAATTCAAAGTATTAAAAACATTGATGTTTCTCAGTCTTCTCTCATTTTTCTCTTTAAAAGGAACTACTCCAATATGATAGTGCACTCAAAATAAGTTAATAATTGGCCTGTCTTGCTGAATCAATTTAGACTTACCTAATTTGTTTTGTTGACTTTCACTCCTCCACTGGGGTGGATGGAGAAAGCTACATTTACACAGGGCTATGTTTTAACATAAACTGAGGTGGGGTTCCTGAAGCTGGGCTCTCCAAAGGAACAGAATAGGCAGCATATAGTGCAACCATGGTATGACTGCCTCAGACTGACTCGATGCCTTTCTCAAAGTCCCAATAATAGAATCAATCTTTAGCTGGCACATTTCCTAGCGTGGTGCCATTTTAATCCATGAGCCCAAATTCGTTGGTCAGATGGGTTGGCGAGCTCTCTCCTCACACGGAGCAAAACAAGAACAGAAGGAGGGATATAAGTCAGGGGAGAGGATATAAGAAAGACCTGGATCTCAAAACATTTCAAGGAGGGAGCTCTACTTTTGAGACCCTGTGTTGTGTGAGGCAATCTAGCGGGCAGACAAGGCAGAAACCAAGGAAACAGGAGATTCATGACTAAACATGCATAATTATATATGGCACTAGCCACAGGCAAGAGTCATTCTGTGAGCTCACCTGTTCCCAAGCCCATCCCAGATTCCAGTGCTCTTGCCTCTGAATTAATACAATACTCCTTGTTTGATTAATTAATGTTAGCTGCTTATCGTCTTACGAAACTTTTCATAGGACAATGTCTTATGTTTTCTGCCCTACTGTAATGTGTCTTTTATGTTGCACATACTACAATGTTGCGCCACTGTTAGGATAATCGGTAGCTAAATGAATGAGTGGAATGAAGGAATGATAGTTAAGAATCTTTGCAGACTAGGGCAGAGACAGGAAGGTGTTGGGGGAGTCTGAAACAGGAATCAGGTTTCACCTCACAGCGTTCCTTAGGAATGATTGTTCATTCAGACAACTCCAATTTCCTGGTTTTCTTCTTTTGGTTAAAATGTGTACACCTCTTCTCTCAGAGTCTGTTCCCTGGAAGCAGCTCATCTTCCTCGGCGGCTGTCCTTTACCCCAAGGCTGTCCTCACCTCCTGTGCTCCTCGGCCATGCCAAGAGTCTCCAGGCCTCTGCTCCTTTATTTTTCCAGCTGTGGGGGGAAATTACCTTTTGTGAAAAGTAATACATAGAAACAAATAAGAAACAGTAAAATCATTTAATATATTGATTATTTCTTCTTGTGATGACTTACTGGATTAGAAAAAGAAATACAATGTATACTTTATTTCCAAGAAAAAGTTTCTGCATTTAAATATCCTAAGAATTCGAGTCCGTACAGGATTTGGAATCCAGATTTGTGACTGTTATAGAAGAGAAGGTTACATACGTGGTTTTCAAAATTGCTTTAGCCATAAAATTCTTACCATTCTTCCCTTGTGCTGTCCCTGAGGGAATCAATAAAGAACATGTGAAATCTGTTTCTAGATGATTGGAAAAGGTAGAACTCCAGACAGTGCCAGTTAGTGGGGTGCTAAGTTAGTTGGCTATCAGGCTGAGGAGATATGGAATCACTGGCTGTTAGATTTAAGTCAGTATTATGATACACATTGGTGGGGGATAATCTATTAATAGTTAGAAATATTGGTCTTGATAAAGTCTGGATTCAGATTCCACTGCTGCTTAGCTGTGTGATATTGGATTAGTTACTTAACCTCGCAACCCTTCAATTTACTTATCTGTGATATGGGAATACTAATATCAACCACTTCATAAAGTTATTTCATAAAAATGAAACGATATAATGCATGTAAAGCTCTTAGCCCTGCATCTGGCACATGGTAAACATTCAATAAATATTAGCTAACATTTGTGTAATCATATCTCTTAACAGCTTGAATTGATTTTCATTTATGCATAGTGCAGAAAGCTTATTGTCCAATACAACTCCAAACTACTTTTGATGACTTTAGTTGAAGTCCACCAGGGAGACACCTGAAATCAAAGAAAGATTTGGGTTTATTTGCTTGTTGTAACAAGAGACAACATGCCTTTGGGAACTGTAAGGTATCTCATAAGAGGATGCCAGAAAGAAGTTATTATAAGAGTTGTGCTTGTGTTAGATGAGTCTGCAAAGGGTTTAAGGAAGTGGAGCTTTGCCTGGGATTGGATGCTGTCAGGAAGCAGGGGCAATTCTATGATTGGGCATTTTAATAGCATTTATCAAGAAGGCAAGAGTAATAAAGTGGAAATGAACCTGTAATTGGTAAAGAAGCAGCAGTTACTCATTTAACCAGATACTGTAGTTATCTTTTCTGTGCAGCAAATTATCCCAAAACTTAGCAGCTTAAAACAACCACCAGTTAGTTGTCTCTCACTCTTTCTAAGGATCAGATATCCAGGAAAGGATTAGCTGCGTAGTTCTGGCTCAAGGCGTTTCTTGAGGTCTCACTGAAGCTGTCAGCTGGAGCTGCAGTCCTAGAAGACTGGGGCCAAAGTTGAGCTTCCAACACTTTCAAGTGGCTGTCGGCAGGAGGCTCCAGTTCCTCTCTATAGGGCTGCTCTGACATGGCTTACCCCATTGTGAGGAAGAAGAGAGCGCAGAAGGAATAAGGTCCAATGAGTTTTATGATGGAGTCTTAGAACTACACATTGTCACCTCCACCTGATTCTATTCATTAGAATCAAGTCACTAAGTCCAGCCACCCAACAGGAGGGGAAGCTCTACCTCCTGAGGGGAGGAGGATTCAAAAACTGCAGACATTTTTTTCACACTTCCACATTAGGGAAGTATGATGTTTTGTCACTTTTGTGATTTGAACAATGATCATGTATGTAGACATATGTGTATGCATGCTCTGACATGATTACAGAGTGGCCATGTTTTTCTTAATCCATTATGGTCACACAGCAGATTTGTGTAATGTTGGTATTTGGGAAGTTATTTATGTTTAACAAAGAACATCTGAACTTGCTGTGAGTGTCAGATCAACTCCTGGATATCAGGGACTGATTTATTTCTCCTTACTGTCCATAATAATTTCAACATTAAGGACTGTTGCCCTAGACACAATGATATGGCTCGCAGACCATTTTCCATGTATTTCTTTTCTACTCGAGTAACAGAATCTGAGCTTTATTTGGCATACATCTCAAGGCAAGTATCCCCTTCCCTGCTGCTAGTCTAGGTTTCACAGGTGACCTAGTTCTGGTGAAAAGTGGTAAAGGGACATCGCCAGGATGCTTTTTGGGAAAGATTGCTTTCCATGAAAGAAGGAGGCATGTGAATGGGAATGTCCTATTTAGTACTTTTCTGGATTTTTGTGTTTGTGTGAGGATGAGATGTTTGCAACTGCAGGCGCCATCTTGCTAGAATGAGAGGAAGGACAAAAGCCAGCCCAAGGTCCTGACATCACTAGGGCCCTAGACCAAGGCCAGCAATCACCAAACTCTAAACTTCTGGCTAGTTTGGATTTTTTTAAACACACACACACACACACACACACACCATTTTATTTAAAGTATTTCTGTTCCTTGGAAGAAAAATTTCTAACTGTCATAAAGAATCTCCTCAAGATAAATTTGATTGTTTCCTTTAGGAATTTTGTATAAAACAAAGAGAATAAAAATTGTTTCTATGAAGAAACAGGAAAGCTGCCACTTTGTACAAGGCACAGTATAACAGAATTACCTATGTACTTTGGGTGTTCTCATCATATTCCTACATAATCCCTGTATGGTATTAAAACATTCCCTTTTCACAAATGTTTAAACTGAGATCTAGATGGGGTTAGTAACTTATTATGGTCAGCTGCTAAGTATCAGAGCCAGAATTCCAACTAAAATCTATTAGACTCCATACCCCAAATTTGCTTGCTAGCACTGGCCTGATTTAAAGCAGCATGTGATTAAAGTAATATTCTAGTTGTCTGTCTGATAAATGACATTGGCTAGTATTCCTTCATAACATCTCTCATCTCTAGTGGAGAAATTGATAAGGAAATATGAGAAGACCAAAACTAGAGGAGCAGTTCAGCTTATAGAAATGCTAAGGGAATTCAAAGGGACTTGAAAAACAGATAAGCTTTAAAATATGAAAAATGCTACTTTTTAATCAAAAGTGACATTACAATTTTAGAGACTAAAACATGATGTTCAAGAAAATGTCTTTCATTGAAAGAATACAAAAATGTAGACTGGTAGTTCTTCATAGAGTATGTTTTTGCTGAGAACAAATTAGCCTAGATTTTATCTTTACTCTTCTTTTTGGAAAGTAGAGTTATTTGGGGACAAAAGATTATTGATATAAAAGTTGATTAAACATGTATTATATTGTAAACTTCTTGGAACAGAAACTACATCATAACCATTTTAATACTGCCAACTTAAATAACAAACAGAAGAAAAGGCTCTCCAAAAGAAAATGATGTTTATTCAGGAATAGGGTATTGCAATGGGAATATGTGTGCCACAGTGTACTATGTGCACATTCAGGGAGATGAAGAAAGACAAAGGTTTTGAAAGGAAAAATGAGGCGGGATGTGGCCAAGAAAGCCAACTAGAAGCAGCTAGTGTGCATGGCTTTCATGGAGAAAAAGAGAAGGGGCAAGTAAATACAACACCTTCAACTGAAACATCCAGGTACCCGCATTGGGACTAATTAAGGAAACAATTTGACCCATGAAGAATGGAGAAAAGCAAGGCAGGACAACGGCCCACCTGGGAGTAACACAGAGCCAAGGAAACCTCCCACACCCAGGGAAGCAGTGAGTGAATGTGCAACCTCGAGAATGCATGATTCTCTCACAGATCTTTGCAACCCTTGGGTCAGGAGATCCCCTCATGAACCCACTCCACTGGGGCCTTCTGATACACAGAGCTGTGTGGAGTCTTAGCAGAGCAGCTGCTCAGGAACACACAGAGATTCAGGATCGTTAGATATTCAAGTTCTCTGGGCTTTCCAGCAAAAGTAGCTGCAACTCCAGCAAAGCAGGAAGTTAGACTTTGGTACATATCACTAGAAAAGAGGCTGAATCCAGGGGGCTGAGCAGTGACAGTCTGCAGGCCCCATTTCCACGGCACCTCACAGGATAAGACCCACTGCCTTGGAATTCCAGTCAGCCACCAATAGCAGCATTGCACTTCCCTGTGATGGAGCTCCCAGGTATAGGGGCGGGCTGCCATCTTTGCTTTTTGGGCAACTTAGCCATTCCAGCCTTCAGGCTTTGGAGAGTCTGCTTCCCTGGGTGTGGGAGGTTTCCTTGGCTCTGTGGTACTCCCAGGTGGGCCGTTGTCCTGCCTTGCTTTTCTCCATTCTTCATGGGTCAAGTTGTTTCCTTAATTAGTCCCAGTGGAGGTACCTGGATGTTTCAGTTGAAGGTGTTGTATTTACTTGCCCCTTCTCTTTTTCTCCATGAAAGCCATGCACACTAGCCAGGGACAAAGGTAGTACCCAAGCACAGCACAGCTGCTCTGTGAAAATGTGAACAAACTGCTTTTTTAAGTGAGTCCCCAATCCCATTCCTCCTCACTGGCTGGGAACTCCCAAGTGAGGTCTACAGCCACCTCCTACAAGTACACTTGGGCCAGCAACAGGTCTGTACCTCCATGGTACAGAGCTTTCAGAGGAGGGACAGTCTGCCATCTTTGCTCTTTTGCAGTTTTCCCTGGTGATACCTCCAGGTACTGGAAAATCCGAGGAGACTAGAAACAGGAGCAGGCCTCCAACATACTGCAGCAGCCCTACAGAAAAGTGGCCAGACTGTCGCTTGGGTGCCTATTCCCATATCTCCTCAGCGGGCAGGTCCTCCAGGCCTGGGCCCTAGCTGACCCCTCCCAGACCTATTAAGCCAGTTGCAATTCAACAACTCCCTGAACAGAGTCTCCAGGGGCAACTAAATGCCTTTCTACCACTGCCTCTGCAGTGGAACTGCACTTGCTACCCTTGGACCAGTGAAGGAGCAAAGACCCTAAGTGCTTTAACCATACCTCCAACAAGCTGCAATTGACCCAAGGAAAGGAGATCAGTCTGTCTCCCATGGGTCTCACACACCCAGCACTGCTTGTCACCAGGCAGAGACCCCTGGCTTGGACCCACAGCACAGACCCTCCATCCTGAGATGATTGTACTGAGTAATTGCTGACCTGCATCTCTCTAGGTTGGAGCCCCTAGGAGACAAGCAAAAGACACTTGGCCACAACCACTACTAAGGTTCTTTACTCTGCTGCCTGCAAGTTGGGGAAGGAATATAAACACTGAGATTGTCCGAGAGCTACAGTGGCCAGCCCAGGAGTGCCAAGCCATGATCAACCACCAGCACTCAATGGGGAGAGGCACCCACACTTTCAGAGCACTGAGAGGAACATACCTGCAACTGTGAAGAAACACAGGGGAGCCACACAGCTGAGCAAGAGTCTACCAACTAATAAGCCTAAGTGACACCTATTGGATCACACCCCGAAGCTTCAACACCAAATCCTTGCTAACACATCCCATTCTGAAACCAGAGACAAGAAATCAGCTTCAAATAAAGACCCTGCACAAAGTCTTGGTCCGGTGAAAACATCAAAAAAGAAGTCTATTGACTGTATGCAATCTACACTGCTGTAAAGAACATCCACATGCAGAGACGAGAAAAAAAAAAAGTCAAGAACTCCAGTAACTCAAAAGGCCAGAGTGTTATATGTCCTCCAAATGACTGCACCAGTTCTCTGACAAAACTTCTTAACCAGGCTGAACTGGCTCTAATGACTGAAGTAAAATTAAGAATATGGATAGGAAAGAAGATCATCAAGATTCAGGAAGACAGCAAAACCTAATCCAAGGAAAATAAGAATCACCTTAAAGTGATACAGGAGCCGAAGGATAAAACAGCCGGTATAAAAAAGAGCCTGATGGGTCTAAAAGAGCTGAATAACAAAATACAAGAATTTCACAATGCAATCACAAGTATTAATGCAGAATAAATCAAGCTTAGGAAAGAATCTCAGAATCTCACATGAAAATAAAGAAAAAAGAATAAAAAGGAATGAACGAAACCTCTCAGAACTCTGGGATTATGTAAAGAGGCCAAATCCACTAATCACTGGTATCACTGAAAGGGAAGGGGAGAAAGGAAACAACTTGGAAAACCTATCTCAGGACATTGTCCCTGAAAGCTTCCCAAACCTTGCTAGAGAGGCCAAGAGTCAAATTCAAGAAATGCAGAGAAGTGCAACATTCTACACAGGAAGATCACCCCCAAGACACATAATCATCAGCTTTCCCAAGACTGAAATAAAAGAAATAATGTTAAAGACAGGTAGAGAAAAAGGGCAGCTCACCTACAAAGGGAACACCATTAGGCTAACAGCAGACTTCTCAACTGAAACCCTACAAGCCAGAAGAGATTAGAGGCTTAGATTCAACATTCTTAAGGAAAAAAAATCTTTAACCAAGAATTTTTATATCCAGCCAAACTAAGCTTCCTAAGTGAAGGAGGAATAAGATCCTTTGCAAATAAGCAAATGTTGAGGGAGTTTGTTACCACCAGACCTGCCTTATGAGAGATCTTGAAAGGTGCACTAAATATGGAAAGAAAAGTCTGCTATCAGCTAATACAAAAACACACTTAAACACACAAACCACTATCACTATTAAGCAACCACACAAACAAGGCAACATAGTAACCAGCTAACAACACAATGACATGATCCAATCCACACATATCAATACTAACCTTGAATGTAAACAGGCTAAATGCCCTACTTAAAAGGCATAGAGTGGCAAGTTGGATAAAATAGCAAGACCTAGTGGCATGCTGTCTTCAAGAGACTCATCTCACACAAAATGACACCCATAGGCTCAAAATAAAGGGATGGAGAAAAATCTACCAAACAAATGGAAAACAGAAAAAAGCAGGGGTTGCAATCCTAGTTTCAGACAAAAGAGACTTCAAACCAAAAAAGCTAAAAAAAAAGACAAGGGCATTGCATAATGATAAAGGGTTCAATTCAACAAGAAGACTTAACTACCCTAAATAGATATGCATCAAACACAGGAGCACTCAGATTCATGAAGCAAGTTCTTAGAGACCTACGACAAGACACAGACTCCCATACAATAGTAGTGGGAGATTTCAACACTCCACTGACAATATTAGACATAACTTTGAGGCAGAAAATTAACAGAGATATTCAGGACCTGAACTAAACATTGGACCAAATGGATCTGATACACTTCTACAGAACTCTCCACACCAAAACAACAGAGTATACATTCTTCTCTTTGCTACATGGCACATACCCTAAAATCGACCATGTAATTGGACACAGAACAATCCTTAGCAAATGCAAAAAAATCCAAATCATACCAAACACACTCTCAGACCACAGTGCAATAAAAACAGAAGTCAAGACTAAGAAAATAATTCAAAACCATGAATTACATGGAAATTAAACAACATGCTTCTGAACTACTTTTGGGTAAATAATGAAACTTAGGCAGAAATCAATAAGCTTTTGAAACTAAAGAGAACAAAGATATCATATTCCAGAATCTCTGAGACAAGTAAGGCAGTGTTCAAAGGGAAATTCATTGCACTAAATGCCCATGTAAAACAGTCAGAAAGATCTCAAGTTAACAACCTAACATCACAACTGAAAAAAATTAGAGAAGCAAGAAAAAATCAGCCCCAAAACTAGCAGAAGACAAGAAATAACCAAAATCAAACCTGAACTGAAGGAAAATGAGACATGAAAAGCCATTTAAAAGATCAATGAATTTAAGAGTTTGTTTTTTGAAACAATTAATAAGCTAGGCCACTAGCTAGACTAATAAAGAAAAGAGAAAAGATTCAAATAAACACAATTTGAAACGATGAAGGGAATGTTACTGCTGACCCCATGGGAATATAAATAACCATCAGAAACTACTACAAACTCCTCTATATGCACAAACTAGAAAACCTAGAAGAGATTGATAAATTCCTGGACACATACACTCTCCCAAGACTGAACCAGGAAGAAATTGATTTCCTAAACAGACCACAACGAGTTCTAAAATTGAATTAGTAATAAATATCTGACTAATCAAAATAAAGCCTAGGACCTGATGCATTCACAAATTCTACCAGATGTACAAAGAAGAACTATTATCATTCTTACAAAAGCTATTCCAAAAAATTGAGGAGACAGGACTCCTCCCCAACTAATTCTATGAGGCCAGCGTTATCCTGATACCAAAATACTGTCATAAGACACAAGAAAAGAAAACTTCAGGCCAATATCCTTGATTAATATCAATGCAAAAATCCTCAATAAAATACTTGCAAATCGAATCCAGCAGCACATCAAAAAGCTAATCGACCATGATCAAGTAGGCTTAATCCCTGGGATACCCAAGGTTGGTTCAACATAAGCAAATCAATAAATATGATTCATCACATAAACAGAACTAAAGAAAAAAACACATTATTATCTCAGTAGATGCAGAAAAGGCTTTTGATAAAATTCAACACCCCTTCACGTTAAAACTCTCAATAAACTAGGTATTGAAGGAACATACTTCAAAATAATAAAAACCATTCATGACAAACCCATACCTAACATTATACCAAATAGGCAATAGCTGGAACCATTCCCCTTGAACACCAGCACAAGACAAGGATGCCCTCTCTCACCACTCCTATTCAACATAGTACTGGAAGTCCTAGCCACGGTAATCAGGCAAGAAAAGAAATAAAAGGCATCCAAATAGGAAGAGAGGAAGTCAAACTATCTGTTTACAGATGACATAATTCTATATCTAGAAAATCCCATAGTCTCAGCCCAAAAGCTCCTTCAGCTGATAAACAACTTCAGCAAAGTCACAGGATAAAAAATTAATGTGCAAAAATCACTAGCATTCTTATATACCAACAATAGCCAAGCCAAGAGTGAAATCAGAAAGGCAATCTCATTCACAATCACCACAAAAAGAATAGAATACATAGGAATACAGCTAACCAGGGAGATGAAAGATGTCCACAATGAGAATTACAAAACACTGCTCAAAGAAATCGGAGATAACACAAACAAATGGAAAAAACATGCCATATTCATGGATAGGAAAAATTAACATCATTAAAATGGCCATACTGTCCAAAGCAATTTACAGATTCAACGCTATTCTTATCAATCTACAAATGACATTCTTCAACTAGAAAAAAAATTTTTTAATTTACGTGGAACCAAAAAACAACCTGAATAGCCAACATGATCCTAAGGGAAACAAAACAAAACAAAAACAAAGCTGGAGGAATCATGTCACCCAACTTCAAACTATACTACACGGCTACAGTAACCAAAATAGCATGGTATTGGTACAAAAACTGGCACATAGACCAATGGAACAGAATAGAGAACCCAGAAATAAGGCTGTACATCTACAACCACCTGATTCTCAAAAAAAACAAGCAATGGAGAAAAGGCTCCCTATTCAATAAATGGTACTGGGATAACTGGCTAGCCATATGAAGAAAATTAAAACTAGACCCCTTCCTTACACCATATACAAAAATTAACTCAAGATGAATTAAAGACTTAAATGTAAAACTCAAAACTATAAAAGCTCTGGAAGACAACCTAGGCAATACCATCCTGGACATAGGAACGGGCAAAGATTTTATGACAAAGACACCAAAAGCAATTGCAACAAAAGCAAAAACTGACAAATGGAATCTAATTAAACACAGGAGCTTCAGCACAGCAAAAGAAACTATCAACAGAGTACACAAACAACCTGTAGAATAAGAGAAAATAGTTACAAACTATGCATCTGACAAAGATCTAATATCCAGTGTCCATAAGAAACTTAAACAAATTTACAAGATAAAAACAAACAGTCCCATTAAAAAGTGGGCAAAAGGCATGAACAGACACTTCTCAAAAGAAGACATACACGTGGCCAACAGTCATATGAAAAAGAGCTCAACATCACTGATCATTAGAAAAATGCATTTTGAAACCACAATGAGATACAATCTCATAGCAGTCAGAATGGTTACTATTAAAAAGTAAAAAAAATAACAGATGCTGGTGAGGCTGTGGAGAAAAGGGAATGCTTATACACTGTTGGTGGGAGTGTAAATTAGTTCAACCATTGTAGAAGACAGTGTGATGATTCCTCAAAAACCTAAAGTCAGAACTACCATTTTATCCTGCAATCCCATTACTGGGTATATACCCAAAGCAATATAAATTGTTTTATTATAGAGACACATGCACACACATGTTCATTGCAGCACATTTCACAATAGCAAAGACATGGAATCAACCTAAATGCCCATCAGTGGTAGACTGGAAAAAGAAAATGTGGTATATATACACCATGGAATACTATGCAGCCATAAAAAAGGAATGAGATCAGTCTTTTGCAGGAACATGGATGGGGCTGGAGGCTATTATCCTCAGCAAACTAACACAGGAACAGAAAACCAACTACAGCATGTTCTCATTTATAAGTGGGAGGTAAATGATGAGTATGAACACAAAGAAGGAAACAACAGACACTGGGCTCTTCTTGAGGGTGAAGGTTGAGAGGAGGGAGAAGAGCAGCAAAGATAACTATTGAGTACTGGCTTAATTCCCAGGTGATGAAATAATCTGTACAACAAACCTCCATGAAATGAGTTTACCTATGTAACAAACCTTCACATGTACCCCTGAACCTAAAATAAAAGTTAAAAATAATGAGCAGAATTGTATAATTGTTTTGAGATAATTATCTTTCACTACAAAGATTAATAACAAAGGAACAAAGGTGGTGCCAGTCTGAGTTTGGACAGGCAGTTAGTTGCTGGGCAGATATCCTCACAGAAGTATTTTTTGTGTAAGGTTGTGATGACCTTTGTGCATTGTTGTGGCTTCTGTAGAGTCTTTTGTGGAAGTTTTTATTATCTGGCATATAAGTGTGAGAAGCCTCTCTTCATAGCCCTCCCCAGCTCTATTTGTCAGGGTTTTTTGTATTTGTTTGTTTGTTTGTTTGTTTTAAACATACATGACTCCATTTTGATTCCGACCACTTTCATATTTCTCTTTTTGATTACGATTGTTCTCGGAAGGTATCACAGATCAATCATCCTGTAGTTAGGTTTTGATTGTCCTTCAGTACCCAAATGAACCTGCACTGAGTTGCTGGTCTGTCCCACACTGGAGAGAGTGATTGGCAGCTAAGAGTCAATGTCAAACTCTGTTTAGCAACATTTCAGCAATAAGGGAAGTTTGAATGGACAGCTCTCCAGTCACTCCTCAGGTGGCTCTTCTCTTTTAAAGACAGAATTATTTGGGGATGAAAGACTATTGAAAAAAAAGATTGTTGAGAATCTATTATATTCTAAGCCTATTGGAACAGAAACTGTCTCAGAATCATTTTAGTATCTGACCCCACCACCAATATCCCGGCACCTAGGCCCACAGTAGAAACTAATAAAAAATCTCATTGAATGAATAAAAGATTTATTGCCTGATTAAGTAAATGAATGGTCACTCACACTTGTGACATTTGTAACTTTTAGGGGATCCTGTGAACTGAGTTTCCCAGGCTCCAATTTGATTCAGTTCTTTTCTTTCTCATAGCCCAGCCAAGCCTTCTTGATCCCATTGTGATCCTTCACACTGGAGGACTAGTCAAGCAGTTAATCACAGCCGGTGGTTTCTTCAGCTGCAAAGGGAAATGTCACTTTCACTGTGACTCAGCTCTTTTCCACTGCTTTCTCGAATTGCTGTTTGTTGAATAAATCTGGTCGAGTTTGACAATAAAGGTCTCCCAGGAAGTGTTAAAATAAATGAGGTCTTGGTAAGGTGTCTCCTAGACATTTAAAACAAACAAAACAAAAAAAAAACACACTTCATAAAAACAATTGTTTGGTTAATGGGCTATCCTTTGATTAAAATTGTAAGCATTTGATTTAAAACTGGCTGGTAGAACTTTCATTTACTAAGTAGTTTACATTTAGGTATCAGTGTTGTCTTTGAAGTATAAGAAGGTGGTCATCTTTTTGCTATATGCTTAAAAGGATTTATCAGTTAGTGTTGACTGGAGTGCCCAGACTCTGAATCTACATGGAGAGTCACCCTTGCAGTACTTGAGCAGCCCCATGTCTAAAAATTTTGTTCCTTTCAATATGATTATGTTTCCCTGCCTCTTCATGTCTGGCCCCCCACTTGGGATGTTACAGAACTACCCTCAGTTGCCCAATGAGCCACTGATGTAACAGAATGTGTACCTGCCCTTACAGTGTCTTCCAGGACCCACTTTCTGATGTCCTGTGTTTTTCTGGATACATTTGGTACTCCTATACACACGCTTTCTTCACTTCTCCTTGTTGACCCTGCCTGGAGAGGAGAGATCCTATAATATTCCTTTTGGTTAGAGACCGCTTTTGTGTTCATTTCATAGAGCTGCCATAACAAGGTACACAAACTTGGTAGCTTAAAACAACAGAAATTTGTTCTCTCATAGTTTCTGAACACCAGAAGTCCAAAATCAAAGTATCATCAGGATTGGATACTCCTAGAGTCTCTGAAGCAGAATCTGTTCCATGCCTTTCCCCTAGCTTCTGGTAGTTCCCAGCAATCTTTGGCATCCTTTGGCTTGTGGATGTATCACTCCAATCTCTGCCTCTGTGGTCACATGCTGTTCTCCTCTGTGTGTCTCTTTGCATCTTCACCTAGCCTTCATATAAGGACACTAATCTTTGAATTTAGAGCTCACTCTAATTCAATATGACCTCATCTTAACTACTTACATTACATCTGCAAGGACCCTATTCTCAAATAAGGCCACATTCTGAGGTTCTGGCATACGTGAATTTTGGAGGAACACTATTCAATCCAATACACCTCCTTTCTTCCCAGCTGGGTCTTACAGGAGCACAAGGTATCATTCAAGCTTTCTTGAGATTTTGCCCACACCCTATGCCTACATATATATGTGCAAGCTCATTTATCTAAAGAGAAAAGAACTAGAAAGCTAGGCTTTCATCATTTGAATGCACATTTAAGAGTGGCAGCTCGGAGAAAATAATGTGCATATAAATTATTCAAAGCTTGTCTCGTGGTATCCCAATAAGGGTAGTTACCTTGCAGTGGGCAGGCTTATCACTGATCTTCAGTAATGATAATAAAAGCTAACACTTGTTGATCATAAACAGTTTTTTAGGGAATATTTCAAGCATTTCATAAATGGTATCTCATTAAATCTTTACAACAGTTTTGTGAAAGAAGTACTAAATTGGTATTATCCTCATTTTACAGGTGAAGAAATTAAGACTTGCAGAAATTAGTTTATCAAAGGTAACAATATTCTTAAATGGATGTCAGAGTCCAGAGATGAAACTTTTAAACACTTCAATGTGGTCTTCTTATAAAAAATACATTGTCTTCTCCATTTGGCAGATGAGAAAAAACGTGGGTACAAGAAGTTAAGTCATTTGTCTGAAGTGTTATAGCCGGTACATCTGAAATGAAAATCCTGATCTGTTTTCCCTTAAAGCTAAATTCTTTTTATAGCACCTGACTGCAAATTTGTTTCTACAGGGGCCCAGGTGATGACAGCAATGGAGGAAAGTGGGTAGCTGGCTCTTTGAGGATCCAGCAGATCAAAAAAAAAAAAAGAGGTTGAATTATGAATAATAACCTCAATGGTTTGTCCAAGAGTTTGCTAAACCCACACTAGCCTGACTATGCCTGAGTTTAAATTTGGGAGCCCTTTCTTTCCTTTTGACGCTGAGATTCTGTGAGCAAGACACTGCCCTCAGCTCCATGGGTGTAGGGACACAGAAACTCCCATTTAGGGGGCTTCAGGCTGATAATACTGACTATACTGATACCTAAATGTAAACTACTTAGTAAATGAAAGTTCTACCAGGCAGAACTTTTAAATACTTAGAATTGTAAGTATTTAAATCTAATACTTACAATTTACTTTTAAATAATTAAAATTTTAAGTATTTAAAACTAATACTTACAATCAAGGGATAGCCCATTCCTTGATTAAATGATGATGGCCCAACTTAGAACTTGGTGTTAGGACTCAGACCACTTGCTGGCTTCCAGCTCATTTCCTTTCCTCTTTTTTTTGCCTTTTCCTACTTATTTATACCCTTTGTTCAACTATTTTATAAATATTTTCCACAATCCACCAATAGGTTTCCTATCACCCATGTAGCATATCATTTCCCCTTTGAGATTACCTTGAGATTTATTTTAAATTGTGCCTCAGTCTCTTTCTCTAAAATGAACAATATCATCTGCTTTGTAAGAGTTTTATAATCAAATGAGATAATTATTTAGTGATCTAATAAACATTTGCTATGATTAATTGAAGGAACATTCAGTTAAAAAGAGAAAGATATAGACCATAATTTAACCAAGGTAATTTCTAACAAATTACGGGCCATAATTTCAGATAGAAGGAGGTTACCTACTCTCCTTACACAATGGCAAAAATTTGGCCAGGTCTCTGACTTTCAAGCATCTTTTGATATAAAATATCCTGTTCTACTTTTTCTATAAAGCACTGAAATATTTCAGAAATTCTTCCATTTCAGTGTCCAAGTTACATTTCCAACACCAAGTCTCAAATATGGAAGTGACATCAACAACATCAATGCCAAAACTCTTTACCAGACTATGCATTGATTTTTAATTAATTCAATTAATTCCCCATAGTTTAGGCAGAGTTAAACCTTTTTATTTTAAAATTACAAGTTCTTCGTTTTGAAGAAATCCAGGACAAACCATAGCTTCTTGTCAGTTTAGACCTCTCTTACACAATTATAGCTCTGACCTCAATTTAGCCACCAGCATCCTCATAGTTATATAATTCCTGGTCTCGTCCTCAGTCAGCACTGCCATAAGACTCAATCTTGTCACAAAACTTCATTCCTAGGACAAGAAAAAAAAAAATACAAGGCCACAGTGTTGTCTGACCATAGTTCTTTAACAATGTCCGGGGCTCTTTCCTGCAGAGGTGTGTTTAGCTGAGGAACCTCAGATTTCATATCAGACAGGCACCTGCTCCTTAAGGTTCAATTGGGCTCTTCCTTTTGCTTTTATCACTGAGAATAAATGCACATTTTACACTCATACATTTCCATTTTTTCCAGGCAAATTATAGAAGGAGTGAGAGAGCATACCTATGTTATCTGAGAGAAAACTGGCAAAGACAAGCCAACCCTTTGAGGATGCTATGCTTTACCTCGGTAATGACACAAAAAGTGATGAAGGATGCAGTGCCAGTCTTGGAAGGACAGAAAGTACAGGGGCATATCTCACAAAGCATAGTCTTTGGAATGAACTAGGGTGATCTAATACATGGTTTTGGGCTGTGTTTCTTAAACTATCTGTGATGAAGACCCTTTCTATTCCTTCTCCAGTCCATCATGGACTGATCCTTTTATAAAATATAATAAAAATGGATTACTAGAAAAATAATGAGAAGCAAAATACTAATCCATATTTTTTGATTATATTTAACAGATATAAACTTAATTTGTCAGTTTCTATAGAAGTTTCTAAACACTCTTAGTTTTGAGGTCCGTCTTCTCATGGACTGAGGAGGGTTCATGCTAATAATAATAATAATAATAATAATCAGAGGGATCACGCTTTGGGTGGCACTGCTAGTATGGAAGAATAGTGGTCCCAGATAGGCTTCACACTGGGTCACTTGGGAAGATGTCCCCAAACTTGTGTTTATTGAAAGGGGAATCATGTGGATGTTGTTCTGGTATTGTGTTTTTTTAACAGCTTCTCAATTCTTTCTAATGTGCAGTGAAGTTGAAAAACATTCCTCCAGAATAACAGGCCTTGTTATTTAAGCTTCATTTCTGTCAATTACTGACAAACAGCCAGATCTACATAAAGAGTAATAACCTTGAAGGTACAGACAGCTTAGACATTCTAGCCCTGACCAGCTTAATTACATAAATAAAATTCTAGCTTTTATTTTTTAGAGATAGCCCTGGCATTCATTAAAAAAAAAAAAACTCAAGGAATTTCTTTAAGACAAAATGACATTCTTTGCTCTGATATCAGCATTAGTTGACCATTTGATCTAAATTTGTTTCTTGTGTGAATTTACCAGAAGGGGATACATTTTACAGTATGGTACACATGGACCTGTGTGTAAAACCAGACTTCATTTTACTACCTGTGGGAATATGGGCCAGTTATCTAAAATCTCTGAGTCCAGTTTCTTTTTTAAAAAACTTTTAAGTTCGGGGGTACATGTGCAGGTTACATAGGTAAACACATGTCATGGGGTGTTGTTGTGCAGATTATTTCATCACTGAGTTTTTAAGCCTAGTACCCATTAGTTATTTTTCCTGATACCCTGCCTCCTTCCACCCTGTACCCTCTTATAAGCCCCAATGTGTGTTCTTCCCCTCTGCATGTCCATGTGTTCTCATCATTTAGCTCCTACTTATAAATGAGAACATGTGGCATTTGGTTTTCTGTTCCTGCATTAGTTTGCTAAGGATAACAGCCTCCAGATCTATCCATGTCAGAGCAAAGAATATAACCTCATTCATTATAATGGCTGCCTACTTTTCCGTGGTGAATATGTACCACATTTTCTTTATCCAGTCTACCATTGATGGGCATTTAGGTTGATTCCATGTCTGTGCTATTGTGAATGGTGCTACAATAAACATACATGTGCATGTGTCTTTATAATAGAACAATTTATATTCCTTTGGATATATACTCAGTAATGTGATTGCTGGGTCGAATGGCAGTTATGTCTTTAGGTCTTTGAGGAATCACCACACTCTTTTCTACAATGGCTGAACTAATTTACACTCCCACCAACAGTGTATAAGCATTCCTTTTTCTCCAGAACCTCGCCAGCATCTGTTATTTTTTGACTTTTTAAAATGGCTAGTCTGACTGGTGTGAGATGGTATCTCATTGTGGTTTTGATTTTCATTTCTCTAATGATCAGTGATGTTGAGCTTTTTTTCATATGATTGTTGGCCACATGTATGTCTTCTTTTGACAAATGTCTGTTCATATTCTTTGCCCACCTTTTAATGGTGTTTTTTCCTTGTAACTTTAAGTTTCTTATAATGCTGTATATTAGATTTTTTGTCAGATGCATAGTTTGCAAAACTTTTCTCCCATTCTATAGGTTGTCTGTGTACTCTGTTGGTAGTTTCTTTTGCCGTGCAGAAGCTCTTGAGTTTAATTAGATACCATTTGTCAATTTTTGCTTTTGTTGCAATTGCTTTTTGCATCTTCCTCATGAAATCTTTGCCGGTGCCTATGTCCTGAATGATATGGCCTAGATTGTCTTCCAGAGTTTTTATTGTCTTGGGTTTTACATTTAAGTCTTTAATCCACCTTGAGTTAATTTTTGTACTTGGCTTAAGGAAGGGGCCTAGTTTTAATTTTCTGCATATGGCTAGCCTGTTATTCCAGAACCATTTATTGAATAGGGAATTCTTTCCCTATTGCTTGTTTTTGTCAGGTTTGTTGAAGATCAGATAATTGTAGGTGTGTAGTCTTATTTCTGGGTTCTCTGTTCTGTTCCAGTGGTCCATGTGTCTGTTTTTGTACCAATATCATGCTTTTTTGGTTACTGTGGCCCTGTAGTATAGTTTGAAATTGAGTAGCAGGATGCCTCTAGCTTTGTTCTTTTTGCTTAGAGTTGCCTTGGTTATTTGGGCTCTTTTTTGGTTCAATATGAATTTTAAAATAGTTTTCTCTAGTTCTGTGAAGAACGTCGTTGGTAGTTTAATGGGAATAGCATTGAATGTATAAATTGCTTTGGGCACTATGGCAATTTTAATGATATGGATTTTTCCTATCCATGAACACGGAATATTTTTCCATTCATTTATGTCATCTATGATTTCTTTGAGCAGGGGTTTTTAGTTCTTCTTAGAGAGATCTTTCATCTCCCTTGTTAGCTGTATTCCTTTTTGTGGCAATTGTGAATGGGAGCTCATTTGTGACTTCGCTCTCATCTCATCTTGACTGTTGTTGATGTACAGTTGCTAGCAATTTTTGTGCATTAATTTTGTATCTTAAGCCTTTACTGAAGTTGCTTATCAGCTTACAAAGCTTTTGGACTAAAGTGATGGGGTTTCCTAGATATAGGATCATTTCATCTGCAAGCAGGGAGAGTCCAGTTTATGAAATGCCTTCCTCAAACTACATTTTATTACCTGTGGGACCAAGAGGAAGTTATCTAAAATCTCTGAGCCCTTGTTTCTTAAATGCATTCCTCAAAGGATCATTGTGAGTTTTCAATAAAATAACCCACAAAAATTGATTATATATTAGTGTCTGGCAGGTAGTCGGATTACTCAAATATTAACCCTCACTCATTCCCAGGGCTGACATCTATCCGATATGCCTGGAAATGGCAAGTCAGCTGGCATCTATTAAATTAAGCTGTGGATGCACTGATTGATCAGTGCCATGTATTTTAGGTTGATAAATATTTTGAATATTTTGAATATTACATCTACCAATCGTGTTTCTTATGCGGAATCTGTTCAAAGTTATAGTGCCAGGCAGTATATATTAACAAATTGGTACCTTGTTTATCAATTTTTCATGTACATGATTAATGTGAATCAGATTCCAGAATCTAATCAACCTCAGAATCTAATCAAAATCAGGCTCTCAAACTTACATAGCTGAGAATTTTTTAGACCCAAGATAACCTCATCATACTATAGGAATCCCAGGGAGATGGGATTCAATATCATCCTGGATCTGCCCTTAACCACCTTAAAAACAATCTAAAACTCATGGGGCACCTGGGTGGAGAACAAAAGCAGAAATACCCGGTTCACTGTAAGAGCAGTATTCCTTTTGTTCTCGGAAGGTCCAGACAGCAGTGAAGCTTTCACCAGTTCAATAAGATGAAAGAAAACAGTTAAGAAGTTAATGAGAGTTGTGGTTTTTATCACATTTATAATATTGTATTAGGTTGTTGCAAAAGTAATTGCAGTTTTTATATTAAAAGTAATGGATTACTTTTGCACCAACCTATTAGCAAATTGTTGTTTTTGCCTCCTCTTCCTCTCTTTCACCTTCCTCGCCCATCCTTGCAAATACTCCTACATTTCAAGGTTCATGTGATATAATTGTATTTGGAGACTTAGACCTCCAAGGACTTTCCAGTTCACCTCCTGGGACATGTTGATCCATGTTTGGATCCATTCTGGCTTCTGATCTCTAGCAGCCAGAATGGATCTAGCAGCTCACTGGGGTGAATGAAGGAAGTCACAATGACCTCTGTTGGCTGCAGCCTAGATGAGTGCTCTTCACTATCCCTTGCATTTCCAATTATCAGTCCTTATGTTTCATGTCTTAGGTAATACTGAAGTTAGTCTAACCTCTCCCACAGTGCAGGAGTTTGGTCTGTATTGTTACTTGCAGATGGTTGTGACCTTTTCATGATAAGCAGCTCAAAACCTTCATAAGTTAACCTATTTAAGCTTGGAATTCTCTTCTCCATATATATAACAAGTTAGTCTCAAGAGTTTCTCTCATGTTTCTACTTCCAGGCTTTAGAAAATACAAGGGGGTAAAACCATGAGGAACCTCTTTTCTCCAAATAAAGGCTTGCAAATGTGAAACAGGTTAAAGCAAAACTTCAAGAGTTGAGGTGCGGTGGGGAGTCACTGAGGTTTCTTCCAGGCTTGCCCCTGACCACACTGCTGCAGCGTAAGGTGAGGTACTAAGTATGTGCAAAGCTCTGCAATGAAGAATTGGTCCAAGGCCACTTCCGCTGCTACCATACCATTCCAGGAGCCTGCTCTATATTTTAGTGACATGAGTCCTGAGGGGACCTTCGGAAACAGATGCAAAGAGAGAAACTTTAACTTGACTTAATGAGATACTGAACACCTCCCAGAGCCATGTCTGTCTTCTTCGCAAGGTTGTGCCTCCCATCTTCCAGTTTTTAGGCACGCTCCCTTTCTGATTGCTGTGTTTTGATGCCGGTCCTTCCCTGCCAGAAACAGCCTTTAGGCTCAGTCTCTGTAAAGAACTGCTAGGCCTTAGTGCCTTGGGGTCATTTTCAACAAATCCTTAGTTGCATACATCACAAAACTGATTCTCCTGTGCTTTTTTTTTTTTTTTTTTGAGATAATGAGTAGGAAAAAGAAAAAAACTTGGGTTTATTTTTTTCACAATCCTTGACCTCCTTGAAATGAAATTCTCATCAGCCAGCACACCGATTTCATGAGCTAAGTGAAATGGAGAGTTTATGGGAAGCAGATGTGAAGCCCTCATCTTGTGAAAAATCTGCTTTGGATTCTTTTCTTGAGTAGGGTGTGCATGCAGAAGCAAATTTTCTGAAACTACTAGGCACAATCTCCCATGGCAGTTCTGAAAGCTGGCACAGTGTGCCTGAAAAAGGATTAGCAAAAGCGTGACAAATCTGGGCAGAGCTGCAGAGGCCCGATCTCTGCCCTACTCGTGGCACAGCCTCATTCCCAGTTGGCTTGGCAGAGCTGATGGTATGAAAGGATGAGTTTCAGCTTGCATCTAGCCATAGGATTTACCACCTGAGTTTGCAGTGTTGGAGAAAGAGAATTTTAGAGACAATGGCAAGAATGAAACCCCACCCTCAAGGTTTGTAGTTTACTAAAGTGGAGTGTAAATGAGCAGCATTCACCCTAATACAGGGTGTCTAGTTATATCCCACTCAGTAAGTACAATTGCATAACTATTTATGCTATTAAGAATGATTTAGCAATAAACAGATCCTTTCTTCCCTTCTTAACCTTAGGGAAATACCTATTTAATTTTCAGTTACTGAGTGTTTGACAGTTTAATAAGCACTTCCGCACTTGTGCTTTACAGCAAGTCCTGAAGTGGGTATTATTTTCTCCCTTTGTGAAGGTTGGAGCATTTAGTTTTCTCGCCATAAGTGCCTACCAGTCCCTATGGAGCAGATACCTAGCTCTTTTGACTGTAGTGACTCTTTCACTTCTCTGCTGTCATTATGAGACTGGAGTGAGAACACTTCTGGACAGGGTCCATAACAGAAAGCTGTTACCGAAGGGCGAAGGAGCAAGGCTGTAGGAGAGTAGTGCTGATAACATGACCCTGTAAGCCTCCCACACTTACAGACTCCCACACTCACAGGTGCTGCAGAGTATGGACAGGGTAACCGACTAGTCTCCATTTGCCTGGGACTCTCCTGGTTTGGGAACTGAAAATCTTGCATCCTGGGAACCCCCTCAATTCTGTGCACACCAATGGCTGGTCAACACCTGTGTGGATCATATTTTGCCTCTTAGGTTTCATCTAAATTTCTGGTAGCACTTCCAGGTTCAAAAGACTTAGTCCTCAAACTCTTAGGAAATTCTGGCGGCTTCCAGGACCTCACAGTCGATTGCTGCAAGACAGCTTTACTGAGTCAGGACTCCGGGACATTTGGTCTCATGTGGTTCCATATTTAAATATTTGAGCAAACAATCCATAATAATAATAATAATCCAAGCAGCCAACTGGAGTCAAGTTAATAATAATGACATCTGCTACTGATTATGAATCAGGCAGTATACTTCAGTGCTTTCTGACCCTCACTACCAGTCCTCAGGACACCCATGCAATGTGGTTATCATTAGTCTTATTTTATGAATATGGAAGCTGAAGTCATACATATTCAAGCAAGGCTCCAGGCCCTGAACCAAGTGACTCTAATTCCAAAGCCCATATTCCTGTAGTACACTTTTCAAAGTTCCTCTAAGTTCCCCTGTATCTTGACCTGAGGAAATTACAGTTGCATGGGTGCTTTGAGGTAATCATTAAAGGCTTTTGTAAACTTTGGGAGTAGGACCAGGCTCACAGTAACTAGGAGATTGAGTACCCTGAGGGTTCTGGCCCCAGAATTTCATAGAAATATGGTGTTTAGAAGAAAGAAGTCATCTGTTAAATTCTCTAAACCTAAAATTAAGACTTAGCTGCTATATATCCAAACTGACCCATTTTTTTTATTACCTTCCAAGATTCAGCTTTTGGCACTTTATCATCCAATCAAGTTTCATGGAGACTGGATTAGGACCATAAGACTTATTCAGATATTAAGCCTCACATGATACATTATTTTTTGTAAAAAAATTTTAGATTAATATGATACAAAGTTTTGCCAAGCCCTTAAGAGGGAGTTTATCAATTCAGCGCTTTTGCATTTATGCTGTCACCACCCATGTTTGAACTCATTTTCTTTTGTTCATAAGTAAACAAGTTTTTGTTTGAAAGTCGAGACTAAGAATACCTGTCCTTGTCCACACCTGTTTAACTTTGTCTTATAGTGCCAGCAAACATACTGGAGTTCTTCAGCACTACTGCTAAAGCAATGGTGCTTACTCACAAGCCAAATCAACTGGCAATGGTTTTTCCTGGTGGATTTGATTTGGTTAATGAGTTGTAGTAACAAATTCTAATTACAAATTCTGAATTTGACATAATATATGTTAAATTGGATGTACATTTACTATGTTATATTGAAAGAGAGATGTGTGGAAAAAATGTATACTTATTTTTGAAAAGAAACTTTTGTTTGTATCTGAAAAATAAACTCTTAGCAAATTTCATCTCTGGGTTGTTAAGAGTCCAGGTTCTGGACTTCATAGCTTGAACAGCTTTGTCTGAAGACTTAGAAAACCTGCTTCACTGGATCACTTAACAAAAGTAAAATATCCTTTGTGTAAAGTTTTCTTGGAGGTGATGGTGTACCAGTATGCTGACCATCTGGTGTACCAGTATGCTGACCATCTACTGTCAAAAATAACATCTATACTGGACATTCTCCTATCAAATAATAGATCCAGAAGCTTCTGGAGCCATTGCAACTTATATTAAGAAATAATGGTCTGTAATGGTTAAACAGCTACTCAAGAAGACCTAGGTACTTGCCCAAGTAGATGAAAACCCTCTGGCATTCGATAGCCAGTATGCAGGCTGGATTTCAATTTCTCTTGAGCCCCTGCACTGTGTTACATTGGTGCCGTAAACAAACTGTACAACCATATGAGGCAACTCTGTGGTTAATGGGATTTGGAGTCAGATGATAATTTCTCTAAGTGCAGACACAGAAAGTTTCACTTAACTTTCTACACCTAAAATACTTAGAAACCATAGTCATCCATATTGATATTTTATATCATCTCAACTTCTCTTGCCCAAACTTGACCTACTGTTGCAATTATTTTACATTTCCTTGGCTCTGTTTTCATTTATATTTAATTCCAGAAACCACATCAAGTCTTTGCAGAATGAAGTAGAGCATTAAGAAGTAGAGATGTACACACGCATCTCTAAAATCAGCCATGCCTAGGCAAAGCAGCTTGCACTTAAACACCCAATACATTTTTCATGATTGTGTTGAAGTGAAGTAACCTAACCCGTTTTTATATCCTTCAAAATAAGGTGGATAGGAATGCTTTCAGCCCTTTTCAATAGCTTTGATTATCTTGTTTTTGTTAGATCCCTCCTCTTGGTTTGATCATAGTAGTTACTGTATTTCTTTTTATAAGTTGGTCTGCAAAGGGTAGGGCTTGCAGACCATTGCAAAGTTGTGACGGCTGTGAGTCATATTGCTGAAGGTGGAACTCTGAAGCCAGACTATCTATGTGAAGGCACAAGCTGCTGTTATATACAACAGAGTGAACTGAGCATCAGTCAGAAAAAGTCTATGTTTGCAGAAATACAGATCCAAGACAAAGACAGGATGGGCACTGCTGGAAAAGTAAGTGGAACATTTCTGTCCCCTCCTCATCATGACCTAATGATGTGAGGCTGATACTTAGAACTTTGAATCCATTAAAGTAATTAAACACTTGGAGATATTCCTTGAGGAATGAAATGCTTGGTGAGCAGGCATACAGTGAGGGAAACACTGGATATGGTGTTTCAGAGAATGTCAGTGGAAGCAGGGGTAAGTTGGAAATAGTATATCCAATGTCAGCAAGACATTGGTGGAAAATAGAGAAATTGATTTATATTGGCATTATTCATAATTTGATTTCCGGATAGCTGGGCAATTGCTCCAGGAAGCCAAATGTTTCCACAAGGACACTTCAATCGTCTCAGTAGCATGTGCTGCACTCGCTGCAGTAGTTCAATGGGAAACCAGGGTCTCATGCCCAGATGTTGGAAGAAACGTTCCTGCCATTAAGAATGGAAAATGCTAATTCTGGGATGCAAAATGGCCAAGAAAGTGTCATGAATTTTAGGTTTCTTACAAATGTAATTTTTATCAAAATATATATTTAAAAATTCTTTAAAATCAAGACTATATTATTGGTAAAGTATGTTTATCGTTCTAAAAACAACAGAGTTAGCAGAGTTGGTATTAACTTTAGAAACAGCTTTGCTTTGTTTTTTTTTATTTGAAAATAGGTCAGTATATTTCCTTACTTTAAATGGGTACATAATTGCTTAAAGGACTAAATTTTTTTGTTTGTTTTGTTTTAACTTGAACAATTTTGCATTTAGCTTGCTTAAGGTTTTGGAAAAATAAAGATGACATGAGAAGTCTGGGTAATGTGACAAGTCAGGAGACTCTATGATGTTAGAATTTGAAATAAGTTTTACTAGAATTGGATAGAACTGGAATAAAACCATCCTAATTTGGGTCAGAAATCCAGCAAAACTAGATTACTTGGGAAGTTAATTTTGCACTACAGAAACTAGCAACTCTACCCATGGATATTAATGAATCTTAGAACTGAAAGGAATCTTAAAAATTTGCAACTTTTACCACCCAACAGATGCTTCAGGTCTGGTTACACTATTTCTAGGAAGTCGATATTCATCCACTGTAAGAACATTTCTGATGATGGAGAAAGTAGCCTCAAGGCAGCACTTTCCAATTAATAATACAGTATATAATATATAAAGAGTATAAAAGTTATATGATTTTGATATATGGTCATGCAATAGTGTGGTTTGCCTAAGGATTATATATTTCCCAACTTTCTGTAGTGTTCCAGTGTAGCTCTTGAAAGGAGTTTCCCTTTACATTGGGATTGATTTTTTCTCTTTATAATAAATGTTTTCTTTTTCATTAAAAAAGTAAAAGATAACTGTATTAGTTTCCTAGGGCTTCCATAACAAAATATCACAGACTGGGTGGCTTAAACAGCAGAAATTTGTTTTCTTGTACATCTGAAGGCTGCAATTCTGAGATTAAGGTGTCATCAGGGTTGGTTTCTTCTGAGGCCTGTGTCCTTGGCTTGTGGATGACCCTCTTCTCGCTGTCTTCACATGATCTTCCCTTTTCCTAATCTCCCCTTCTAATAAAGACACCAGCCATATTGGATCAGGTTCCACCCTGATTACCACATTTTAAATTAATTACTTCTTGAAAGACCCCATCTCCAAATACAGTCACCTTCTGAGGTACGGGGGGTTAGGACTTCAACATACGAATTTGGAGGGAGACACAATTCATCCCATACCAATGATTATTCTAGAAAATTTGGAAGGTCAGAAAATATGAAGGAAAAAAATCAATCATAATATCACATCCCCAAACTACCATTTTTGTGTGTGTGTTTCCTTCTATTTTTCCATCCATAGTTTATGTAGCTGTACTCATACAATATACAAATATTTTATCCTATTTTTCCATCTTAAACATTTTTCAATTTATAACAATTTATAAACATTTTTAAATGTCTAATTTCTGCATTTAGCACAATTTATTTCATCATTCCTCTATTATTGTTTATGTATTTTCCTTTGTAAATAGTGCTGTGATGACATCTGCTATATAGAGAGGTTTTTCTAAAATTAATATTTCTTCGAGGTAGCCTTTAAAAATGGAATTACATGGGTAAACATGCCACAACATCCTTAAATATCTTGATGTACCATGCAAATTACTTTCTAAAGGGTTGACATAGGTAAGATGGCCCATTTTACCATTTATCTGACAATACTGTGTATTCTCATTAAGTTCTCATTAAGTAAAAAGTCATTTTCAGAGCATGGTGGCTTGTGCCTGTAGTCCCAGCTAACTGGGGAGGCTGAGATGGGAAGACCACTTGAGCCCAGGAACTAGAGTACAATCTGGGCAACAGAGTGTGATATTGTCTTAAAAAAATTTTTTTTTTTAATTCATTACAGACTTGATAGGCACAGAATTGTATCTCATTTTTATTTTTTTAAAAGGCGTTTTTATGAGTGAGAACAAACATGTCACAATCTATTCATTAATCTGTTGCAGTTTTTTCCATAGGTCCTTTGCCTGCTATGTATCTCCCAGGATGTAAGTGTGGTATGTGGAAGTGGGAAGGAGTGTTAGGAGTGAAGTTGTTAACACTTCCTCTGTAAATTTGAGTAAGCATTGTATTTATCAAATGTGGTAACTTTTATCTATTTAATATTTTCCCTCAGTACTATTTGATGTCAATGTGGAAAATTTACTATTTCTCAACACACAAAATTTTAATTCTTAGAAGCTGTTTCCTTTATGACTTTTTTTAACTTTTATTTTAGGTTCAGGGGTACATGTGCAGGTTTGCTACATAGGCAAATTGTGTATCATGGGGTTTGGTGTACAAATTATTTTGTCACCCAGATAATAAGCATGGTACCTAATTGGTGGTTTTTTCATCCTTACCCTCCCTCCACCTTCCACCCTCAAATGGGCCCTGGTGTCCATTGTTCTTTTCTTTGTGTCCATAGGTACTCAATATTTAGCTTCCACTTATAAGTGAGAACATGTAGTATTTAGTTTTCTGTTTCTGCATTCGTTTGCTCAGGATAATGGCCTCCAGCTCCTTCCATGTCCCTGCAAAGAATATGATCTTATTTTTTTATGGCTGCATAGTATTCTGTGGCAAATATGTACCACATTTTCTTTATCTAGTCTAGCATTAATGGGCGCTTAGGTTGATTCCATGTCTTTGCTATTGTGAATAGTGCTTCCGTGAACATACGCATGCATATGTCTTTATGGTAGGATGATTTATATTTCTTTGGGTATATACCCAATAATGGGATTGCTGGGTCAAATGTTAATCCTGTTTTATGTTCTTTGAGAAATGGCCAGACTGCTTTCCACAGTGGCTGAACTAATTAACCTTCCCACCATCAGTGCATAAGTATTCCCTTTTCGCTCCAACCTCACCAGTTTGTTTTTTGACTTTTTAGCAATAGTCATTCTGACTGATATGAGATAGTACCTCATTGTGGTTTTGATTTGCATTTCTCTAATGATTAGTGATGTTGAGTATTTTTTCATATGCTTGTTGGCCATAAGTATGTTTTGTTTTGAAAAATGTCTGTTCATATCCTTTGCCCAGTTTTTTATGGCGTTGTTTGTGTTTTGCTTATTATTTTGTTTAAGTTCCTTATAGATGCCGGATATTAGACCTTTGTTAGATGCATAGTTTGCAAATATTTTCTCCACTTCTATAGGTTGTCTGTGTACTCTGTTGATAGTTTCTCTTGCTGTGCAGAAGCCCTTTAGTTAAATTAGGCCCCTTTTGTCAATTTTTGTTTTTGTTGCCATTGCTTTTGGCATCTTTGTCATTAAGTCTTTACCAGGTCCTATGTTCAGAATGGTATTCCCTAAGTTATCTTCCAGGGTTTTTAGAGTTTTGGGTTTTAGATTTAAGTCACATCTTAAGTTAACTTTTATGTATGATATAAGGAAGGGGTCTAGCTTCAATCTTCTGCATATGGCTAGCCAGTTACCTCAGCACCATTTATTAAGTAGAGCATTCTTTCCCCATGGCTTGTCCTTTGTTATTTTTTCTATCACTCTTAAGCATAAAAGTTACTCCATGCTCAGTATGATCAATATTTACATCTTCACTGATTGATAAAATAGTTTGACTTTAAAAATAAATCTTGGGCCAGGCACAGTGGCTCACACCTGTAATCCCAGCTCTCTGGGAGGCCGAGGAGGGCAGATAACAAGGTCAGGAGATCGAGACTATGCTGGCCAACATGGTGAAACCCTGTCTCTACTAAAATACAAAAACATATTAGCTGGGCGTGGTGGCACACACCTGTAGTCTCAGCTACTCGGGTGGCTGAGGCAGGGGACTCACTGAACCTGGGAGGCAGAGGTTGCAGTGAGCCCAGATTGCGCCACTACACTCCAGCCTAGCGACAGAGCAAGATTGCGTCTAAAAAAAAATAATAAAAAAATAAAAATCTTAACAATGAATCCAGCTTGAATTTGTTTGGGAATGTGGTGTGAGATTTCTAACGTCAACATTGGGCCATATTACACTGTAACCCATAACATTTTCATTAGTAAGGCAGAGGGTAAATATTAAATTGAGCTACTGATGGCTTTCAGCCGCCCATCTGTTACCAGTGTATCATTTTTCACATTTAACCTTTTTACAAAAGAGCCACTTAAGAATCCATAAGAGCTCTCTAGGACTGTTGTGTTTGTTGACAAGTTGAAGGTAACTTATTTTGCATCTGAACAAATTAATTAAAATATTTTATAGGAGTCCTAGACAGATTGGGAGGTAGGAAGGTGGAAACAATTTCTCTATGTGTGTCTGTCTCTGTCTCTCTCTCTCTGTCATAATTCAATAATCTTAGCAAAACCATTTAATTGAATAACTACAGCAAAACCAGTTGAACAACTGGATGCCAGTCACTGGTATCTCCACACCTAGTGTCCACTACTATAAGATGACAAGCTTTAACCTGCCTATCAAGCCCTACCAGGTGCAAGAACTGGGCTAGGTGCAAATGGGATGCAGAGATGCAGACACAAATTCAATCATCCAGGAACTCACAGTCATAATCTGTATGCTTCATGATGTTCATGGTTCTCTTCATCCTTACCATGCTAATAGTCTAATTTCTTCACCATTGCTATGTGATTATATGCAGCTATTAAATACTGGTTTAAATTCTTACAGACAAGTCAGCAGCATTTTCTGTTTTATAAATTTGTCTCTTGTGAATAAGCGATACACAAAGGACAATTTTGTTAATCTATTAGATTTGAAATTGTAACAAAATAACCTATTTTTGGGTGGGGGTGTTATGTGAACAGCAAACAAAAATCAATAAGTTGGGAAAAGTACCTCAGGTCTAGTCCAGCTCTGCATGTCATGTGCTAGGTGACCATGGATCCATCATTTAGTCACTCTGGGCTGCATTTCTCATGCCTTAAGCAAAGGCACACACAAGATGATTTATAAGGCTTATAATACTAGTGTTTGATGAAAATCATTCTGGAAAACTTAAAATATTATATATGCTCTTCTGTTCATATTTATACTAGTCAGGGAGTCTGTAAGTTAAAGGCATAATTCAGACCCATTATAATACTTGCCTATTTCTTAGGTTATTAAATGCAAAGCAGCTGTGCTTTGGGAGCAGAAGCAACCCTTCTCCATTGAGGAAATAGAAGTTGCCCCACCAAAGACTAAAGAAGTTCGCATTAAGGTAAGCGTGAGCCCTAGAGAACTTAAGCCAAAAGCGTTATCAAACTTATATTGAATATAGCACTGTTGTGAGGCTGGATTCTTAAATAAGGAGATGCTTCCCATGTTTGGAGTATTAATTCCTTTACTGGCTCTTATATATTGTTAAGGATCTGGTTGTACTCGATGTGAAATTAATGAGTTCATTATCCTTTTAAAAAACAACAGTGCTAACATGCTTTATTATACCTTTGATTTGTTGAATTTTTATTCATATAGTGTCTAATTTAAAATGGTTAATAATCATAGCTAAAGACTTCTTTTAAAATCTTCTGGGAGTCAGATTGTTTTGAGGTTACTTTTTGCAAAGAATGAGGAACTCACTTGTGCCTGGAGAAATGACAACTTCGTGGAACGTTTTCCTCCCTTTCTTTGGACAGAGCTTAACCTTGGCTTTGGACACCAGTTGTTGAGTAGGCATTGCTACCAATCTTTCTTTGACCCTCTTACTGTTACCTGAGCACAACAGTAGCAGGAAGATTTTGCTCTTTGCTTACCTTCTTGCATGCCATTTCCTCTGTTCTTTGTTAAGAGAGCCCAATAAGGGCCTAGCTATAAAAATCTACTTTGGGGCCATCACATAGTAACATCTGTATTCTGGTTCCCTCACAAGAGCACCAATTTACTACAGACAGGCACCAAGATTCAACCTAGGGTATAAGGGAGCAATATTATAAGTTCCGTCAGAGAGGGATCTTGTCTGATGGTTGATTTTTGGCTCAGAATAGTCTAAGAGTAAATGTTGTTATATTAGGCAAAGATATTGATTAAACAATTATAATTTCTTCAAGAAGTTAAATATTCTCCCAACAGTGAAATGATCAGTTTGTTGATTGGTGCAATGTTTTTGTCTTTGAACACAGATTTTGGCCACAGGAATCTGTCGCACAGATGACCATGTGATAAAAGGAACAATGGTGTCCAAGTTTCCAGTGATTGTGGGACATGAGGCAACTGGGATTGTAGAGAGCATTGGAGAAGGAGTGACTACAGTGAAACCAGGTATATGCAGGTGTCAAACCACAAGTTTGAAATAATTAGGCTTTGATTAGCCTATCAAAGGAAATAGCACACACTAGGAATTATTAGAGGGATCCTTAACACAATTCAGGGAATTAAAAGGATACAAGAATGGATTTTACTGAGTAATGTTTAATTTGGCAAAACCTCAACCTTTAGAAGGCAAACCTTACGGTGTTTATAAACCTTAGAATATATTTTTAAAAGTTTTACCTATAGTATGGGCTCAATTCACATTTGTTAATTTCATATTTTAACATTAATGAACAGCATCTTATATCATGATTTTTTTCCTGTAGGTGACAAAGTCATCCCTCTCTTTCTGCCACAATGTAGAGAATGCAATGCTTGTCGCAACCCAGATGGCAACCTTTGCATTAGGAGCGAGTAGGTTTCAGTCATTTTTACTTTAATGTATTTACATTTTTCCTATGCTAATTTTTGAATTGAATTAATTAATACGTGTATTTGATGTATCAAACAGTATTACTGGTCGTGGAGTACTGGCTGATGGCACCACCAGATTTACATGCAAGGGCAAACCAGTCCACCACTTCATGAACACCAGTACATTTACCGAGTACACAGTGGTGGATGAATCTTCTGTTGCTAAGATTGATGATGCAGCTCCTCCTGAGAAAGTCTGTTTAATTGGCTGTGGGTTTTCCACTGGATATGGCGCTGCTGTTAAAACTGGCAAGGTAAGAAACAGGGTAGGCTAGTTTATTTGTTCTTCTTTCCTTTTCTTAAATGATTTGCTTGGAATCTTGAAGAGTTTTGGAAAAAAAAAAAACATTTAAAAGAATGTATTGCATATTCAGGCTGCCAAGCAACACAATGCCAAATCAACTAAAAGAAAAATAAAAAATTCAGATTAGAAATTTTATTTCTTCTTTTTACACTTGAGAATATTTATTGACTATATTTGCAAACTGCATCATTTCTCCATCTTTAAAATATACCCCTTCCCCATATGTTAAGTTTGTTAAGATAGGACAATCTCAGTATTTTAGTTACAGCAGAGGCTTTTTGTCAGAGCTTTTACTCCTAGTTTCTTGTCAGCTAAGTAAGATTTATTGTATAACTACAAAATACAGTAGTAAGTACATTACCAACTTCTCAGAAAAAAGTACAATTTTGTCAGATCACCTGTTATAGATAATATAAAGAGCAATAAAATCATTAATCATTTTGATTACCACCTATAATGCGTATCAGAAATAAAATACAGTAGTGTTTGTTGCCTATTATCAGTAATGCTGTTACTGTTCACCAAAACTGATTTCTCAGTATACATTTTTCCATCAACTGTGATGTTAGATAGGATCCCTGGAATTTTAAGTTAATCACATGAAATTTCACAAGTAAATTGGAGTTCAAGGAATTAAGAATCTTTGACCTCTTATTATTTTGAGATACGTCCCATCAATACCTAGTTTATTGAGAGTTTTTAGCATGAAGCATTGTTGAATTTTGTCAAAGGCCTTTTCTGCATCTATTGAGATAATCATGTGGTTTTTGTCTTTGGTTCTGTTTATATGCAGATTACATTTATTGATTTGCATATATTGAACCAGCCTTGCATCGCAGGTATGAAAGCCCATTTGATCATGGTGGATAAGCTTTTTGATGTGCTGTTGGATTCGGTTTGCCAGTATTTTATTGAGGATTTTTGCATCAATGTTCATCAAGGATATTGGTCTAAAATTCTCTTTTTTGGTTGTGTCTCTACCCAGCTTTGATATCAGGATGATGCTGGCCTCATAAAATGAGTTAGGGAGGATTCCCTCTTTTTCTATTGATTGGAATAGTTTCAGAAGGAATGGTACCAGTTCCTCCTTGTACCTCTTGTAGAATTCGGCTGTGAATCCATCTGGCCCCGGACTCTTTTTGGTTGGTAAGCTATTGATTATTGCCACAATTTCAGATCCTGTTATTGGTCTATTCAGAGATTCAACTTCTTCCTGGTTTAGTCTTGGGAGGGTGTATGTGTCAAGGAATTTATCCATTTCTTCTAGATTTTCTAGTTTATTTGCGTAGAGGTGTTTGTAGTATTCTCTGATGGTAGTTTGTATTTCTGTGGGATTGGTGGTGATATCCCCTTTATCATTTTTTATTGCATCTATTTGATTCTCCTCTCTTTTTTTCTTTATTAGTCTTGCTAGCGGTCTATCAATTTTGTTGATCCTTTCAAAACACCAGCTCCATGATTCATTAATTTTTTGAAGGGTTTTTTGTGTCTCTATTTCCTTCAGTTCTGCTGTGATTTTAGTTATTTCTTGCCTTCTGCTAGCTTTTGAATGTGTTTGCTCTTGTTTTTCTAGCTCTTTTAATTGTGATGTTAGGGTGTCAATTTTAGATCTTTCCTGCTTTCTCTTGTGGGCATTTAGTGCTGTAAATTTCTCTCTACACACTGCTTTGAATGTGTCCCAGAGATTCTCGAATGCTGTGTATTTGTTTTCATTGGTTTCAAAGAACATCTTTATTTCTGCCTTCATTTCGTTATGTACCCAGTAGTCATTCAGGAGCAGGTTGTTCAGTTTCCATGTAGTTGAGCGGTTTTGAGTGAGTTTCTTAATCCTGAGTTCTAGTTTGATTGCACTGTGGTCTGAGAGACAGTTTGTTATAATTTGTGTTCTTTTACATTTGCTGAGGAGAGCTTTACTTCCAACTATGTGGTCAATTTTGGAATAGGTGTGGTGTGGTGCTGAAAAAATGTATATTCTGTTGATTTGGGCTGGAGAGTTCTGTAGATGTCTATTAGGTCCACTTGGTGTGGAGCTGAGTTCAATTCCTGGATATCCTTGTTAACTTTCTGTCTCGTTGATCTGTCTAATGTTGACAGTGGGGTGTTAAAGTCTCCCATTATTATTGTGTGGGAGTCTAAGTCTCTTTGTAGGTCACTCAGGGCTTGCTTTATGAATCTGGGTGCTCCTGTATTGGGTGCATATATATTTAGGTTAGTTAGCTCTTCTTGTTGAATTGATCCCTTTACCACTATGTAATGGCCTTCTTTGTCTCTTTTGATCTTTGTTGGTTTAAAGTCTGTTTTATCAGAGACTAGGATTGCAACCCCTGCCTTTTTTTGTTTTCCATTTGCTTGGTAGATCTTCCTCCATCCTTTTATTTTGAGCCTATGTGTGTCTCTGCACGTGAGATGGGTCTCCTGAATACAGCACACTGATGGGTCTCGACTGTTTATCGAATTTACCAGTCTGTGTCTTTTAATTGGAGCATTTAGTCCATTTACATTTAAAGTTAATATTGTTATGTGTGAATTTGATCCTGTCATGATGATGTTAGCTGGTTATTTTGCTCATTAGTTGATGCAGTTTCTTCCTAGTCTCGATGGTCTTTACATTTTGGCATGATTTTGCAGCAGCTGGTACCGGTTGTTCCTTTCTATGTTTAGTTCTTCCTTCAGGAACTCTTTTAGGGCAGGCCTGGTGCTATCTATGACAAATCCACAGCCAATGTCATACTGAATGGGCAAAAACTGGAAGCATTCCCTTTGAAAAGTGGCACAAGACAGGGATACCCTCTCTCACCACTCCTATTCAACATAGTGTTGGAAGTTCTGGCCAGGGCAATTAGGCAGGAGAAGGAAATAAAGGGTATTCAATTAGGAAAAGAGGAAGTCAAATTGTCCCTGTTTGCAGATGACATGATTGTATATCTAGAAAACCCCATTGTCTCAGCCCAAAATCTCCTTAAGCTGATAAGCAACTTCAGCAAAGTCTCAGGACACAAAATCAATGTACAAAAATCACAAGCATTCTTACACACCAATAACAAACAGAGAGCCAAATCATGAGTGAACTCCCATTCACAATTGCTTCAAAGAGAATGAAACACCTAGGAATCCAACTTACAAGGGATGTGAAGGACCTCTTCAAGGAGAACTACAAACCACTGCTCAAGGAAATAAAAGAGGATACAAAGAAATGGAAGAACATTCCATGCTCATGGGTAGGAAGAATCAATATCATGAAAATGGCCATACTGCCCAAGGTAATTTATAGATTCAATGCCATCCCCATCAAGCTACCAATGACTTTCTTCACAGAATTGGAAAAAACTACTTTCAAGTTCATATGGAACCAAAAAAGAGCATGCATCGCCAAGTCAATCCTAAGCCAAAAGAACAAAGCTGGAGGCATCACGCTATGTGACTTCAAACTATACTACAAGGCTACAGTAACAAAAACAGCATGGTACTGGTACCAAAACAGAGATGTAGATCAATGGAACAGATCAGAGCCCTCAGAAATAACGCCACATATCTACAACTATCTGATCTTTGACAAACCTGAGAAAAACAAGAAATGGGGAAGGGATTCCCTATTTAATAAATGGTGCTGGGAAAACTGGCTAGCCATATGTAGAAAGCTGAAACTGGATCCCTTCCTTACACCTTATACAAAAATTAATTCAAGATGGATTAAAGACTTAAACATTAGACCTAAAACCATAAAAACCCTAGAAGAAAACCTAGGCATTACCATTCAGGACATAGGCATGGGCAAGGACTTCATGTCTAAAACACCAAAAGCAATGGCAACAAAAGCCAAAATTGACAAATGGGATCTAATTAAACTAAAGAGCTTCTGCACAGCAAAAGAAACTACCATCAGAGTGAACAGACAACCTATAAAATGGGGGAAAATTTTTGCAACCTACTCATCTGACAAAGGGCTAATATCCAGAATCTACAATGAACTCAAACAAATTTACAAGAAAAAAACAAACAACCCCATCAAAAAGTGGGCAAAGGACAGGAACAGACACTTCTGAAAAGAAGACATTTATGCAGCCAAAAAACATGTGGAAAAATGCTCACCATCACTGGCCATCAGAGAAATGCAAATCAAAACCACAATGAGATACCATCTCACACCAGTTAGAATGGCAATCATTAAAAAGTCAGGAAACAACAAGTGCTGGAGAGGATGTGGAGAAATAGGAACACTTTTACACTGTTGGTGGGACTGTAAACTAGTTCAACCATTGTGGAAGTCAGTGTGGCGATTCCTCAGGGATCTAGAGCTAGAAATACCATTTGACCCAGCCATCCCATTACTGGGTATATACCCAAAGGACTATAAATCATGCTGCTATAAAGACACATGCACACGTATGTTTATTGCGGCACTATTCACAATAGCAAAGACTTGGAACCAATCCAAATGTCCAACAATGATAGACTGGATTAAGAAAATGTGGCACATATACACCATGGAATACTATGCAGCCATAAAAAATGATGAGTTCATGTCCTTTGTAGGGACATGGATGAAGCTGGAAACCATCATTCTCAGCAAACTATCACAAGGACAAAAAAACAAACACCGCATGTTCTCACTCATAGATAGGAATTGAACAATGAGAACACATGGACACAGGAAGGGGAACATCACACTCTGGAGACTGTTGTGGGGTGGGGGGAGGGGGGAGGGATAGCATTAGGAGATATACCTAATGCTAAATGACAAGTTAATGGGTGCAGCACACCAGCATGGCACATGTATACATATGTAACTAACCTGCACATTGTGCACATGTACCCTAAAACTTAAAGTATAATAATAATAATAAATAAATAAATAAAATAGATCTATTTTATTAGAAAAAAAAATAAAATAGGTCTATTTTATTAGAAAAAAAAAAGAATCTTTGACCTAATACATTATTAAAAGAAAAACCTTTATCAAGAAATGCAATTGAAAATGAAGTTTCTAGATTTAATTTTTGTTTCTTCCACATCTCCTTCTGATTCAAATTTCTAAAATTTATATTTGTATCTAAATTTATTTACAAATGACTCAGAGTTATGATTTTTTATTTCTTCTATTAAAAAATGGGATATATGTGCAGAGCGTGCAGGTTTGTTACACAGGTATACGTGCGCCATGGTGGTTTGCTGCATCTGTTGACTCGTCCTCCAGGTTCCCTCCCCTCACCCCCCACCTCCTAACAGGCCCTGATGTGTGTTGTTCCCCTCTCTGTGTCCATGTGTTCTCATTGTTCAACTCCCACTTATGAGTGAGAACATGTGGTGTTTGGTTTTCTGTTCTTGTGTTAGTTTGCTGAGAATGATGGCTTCCAGCTTCTTCCACGTCCCTGCAAAGGACATGATCTCATTTCTTTTTATGGCTGCATAATATTCCATGGTGTATATGTACTACATTTTCTTTATCCAGTATATCATTGATGGCCATTTGGGTTAGTTCCAAGTCTTTGCTATTGTAAATAGTGCTGCAATAAACATACGTGTGCATGTGTCTTTGCAGTGGAATGATTTATATTCCTTTGGGTGTATACCCAGTAATGGGATGGCTGGGTCAAATGATATTTCTGGTTCTAGATCCTTGAGGAATTGCCATACTGTCTTCCACAATGGTTGAACTAATTTATATTCTCACCAACAGTGTAAAAAGCGTTCTTATTTCTCCATAGCATCACGAGCATCGATTGTTTCCTGACTTTTTAATAATCGCCATTCTGACTGGCATGAGATGGTATCACACGGTGGTTTTGATTTGCATTTCTCTAATGATCAGTGATGTTGAGCTTTTTTCATATGTTTATTGGCCACATAAATGTCTTCTTTTGAGAAGTGTCTGTTCATATCCTGTGACCACTTTTGGATGGGGTTCTTCATTTTTTTTCTTGTATATTTGTTTAAGTTCCTTGTAAATTCTGCATATTAGACCTTTGTCAGATGAGTAGATCACAAAAATCTCCTCCCATTCTGTAGGTTGCCTGTTCACTCTGACGATAGTTTCTTTTGCTGTGCAGAAGCTCTTTAGTTTAATTAGATCCCATTTGTCAAGTTTGGCTTTTGTTGCAATTGCTTTTGGTGTTTTTGTCATGAAGTCTTTGCCTATGTCTAAGTTCTGAATGGTATTGCCTAGGTTTTCTTCTAGGGTTTTTATGGTTTGGGGTTTTACATTTAAGTGTTTAATCCATCTTCAGTTAATTTTTGTGTAAGATGTAAGGAAGGGGTCCAGTCTGAGTTTTCTGCATATGGCTAGCCAGTTTTCCTAGCATCATTTATTAAATAGGGAATCCTTTCCCCATTGTTTGTTTTTGTCAGATTTGTTGAAGAGCAAATGATTGTAGATGTGTGGTGTTATTTCTGAGGCCTCTGTTCTGTTCCATTGGTCTATATATCTGTTTTGGTACCAGTACCATGCTGTTTTTGTTACTGTAGCCTTGTAGTATAGTTTGAAGGCTGGTAGCATGATGCCTCCAGCTTTGTTTTTTTGGCTTAGGATTGTCTTGGCTATATGGGCTCTTTTTTGGTTCTAGATGAAATTTAAAGTAGTTTTTTTCTAATTCTGTGTAGAAAGTAAATGGTAGCTTGATAGGGATAACATTGAATCTATAAATTACTTTGGGCAGTATGGCCATTTTCACGATATTGATTCTTCCTATGCATGAGCATGGAATTTTTCCATTTGTTTGTGTCCTCTCTTATTTCCTTGAGCAGTGGTTTGTAATTCTCCTTGAAGAGGTCCTTCACATCCCTTGTAAGTTGTATTCCTAGATATTTTATTCTCTTTGTAGCAATTGTGAATGGGAGTTCACTCATGATTTGTGTTTTTAACTGGAGGCCCTTTTCAGGTTTCACTTTTTGACCCTAACACCTAACATGTTCAAGAACATTCCTCTCCACAGGTCAAACCTGGTTCCACTTGCGTCGTCTTTGGCCTGGGAGGAGTTGGCCTGTCAGTCATCATGGGCTGTAAGTCAGCTGGTGCATCTAGGATCATTGGGATTGACCTCAACAAAGACAAATTTGAGAAGGCCATGGCTGTAGGTGCCACTGAGTGTATCAGTCCCAAGGACTCTACCAAACCCATCAGTGAGGTGCTGTCAGAAATGACAGGCAACAACGTGGGATACACCTTTGAAGTTATTGGGCATCTTGAAACCATGGTAAGACCCAAAATTTGAGAAGCCACAAAATACCCAAGTTATTAGACATGCACAAGGTAAATTTAATTGTCTATAACTTTATTAATAGTCAATAATGGAAATATCTCTGCGATAGTCAGTTTTACTCAGGCAAAAACTGATAATCACATAGCAATTTTGCCTAAAAAGTCAAACACTTAAGAGCAGGTTCACTGGACCAAAGTTAAATACCATATCATACCACTCTCAGCTGACTAGATGGCAAGGTAGTCAACCCTTCTAGATAATTGTTTTAAGTAGGATCTTCCTTGTATATGTAGATTTCTTGGCGAAAGCAATTCTGTCTCTTGAATGTCAGCAAAGTAAGCATCAGAAGGTGACTGAGGAGAGGTGAAAAGGGATTATTCCAAATGTTGTGGTCTATTCCCCCAAATCTGTGATCCATCGACCTTCTCACTCTTTACATCTGAGCTTTGTTTGCCCTCATCTGAATTCCCTTAGAATATGAACCTTCAATTTTCTAACCATGCCACCTGTATGGCAGCCCGCAGCACCAGACCTTCAGTTAGACCTGTAAAACAGATCTGAGATTCCTGGAACTAGAAAGCTCCAACCTGGCATAGCGTAAAGAGACTAGGAAAAATGGAATAAAGCCACTTTTGCTCAAGATTGAGTGGCAGATTAACTCACCTTAATGCTTTTGGTAATTTAAGAATAAATAGTCCTTAATTTATCATTGCTGTCATATTTCTTTCCTAGTGAATCACTTAGATTTATTTCATATCAACAAATAGCATTCTAGGTCATAAGTTTTTGAAGCCATATGTGATACTGGATATATCATTAGAGCCTACTGATTTCCAGTTGCTACTTGATGAAGGCTGGTCTCTAAAAACAATGCCATCTGTTGCTCCAATCTAGCAAGTATTAAATTATTGCTTAATAACTGGATGGGTTAATGACCAGAAAATGTGAGGTTAGTCTCAGAAATGCTCCCAAGAAAAGGGACTCTTTTGTCCCACATTTTAGTATTTTATTTAATTTTAAGACTAAACTTAAAAAAAAAACTACGCTAAATGATTTGGTATACTTAATTCAATTTAGTTTGGTTCAAATGGCTTTCTAAGGCTTATCTGAAGTGGTGATATTGGTATGAAAATATCACAAGAATTTCCCTTGTATTTTAGTGCATGGTACACTAAAAATGCCACAAACACTGACCACATTGATTGCTGTTTCTGCCTTAAAGGGCAAATGTGTATAGAAATTTAATTAAGGACTAAAGTTGCACTGAAATTTTTTTAAAGCAAGTAAAAAACAAGGTGGCTTAATTTAATTTCATGACTTTGTCATAGTACATAGGTCATTTCAGAGCTTATGTCACACTGTAAGAGACACAGGAAGCAAACGATCTCCTCCGTTTTAAACTCAGATTGATGCCCTGGCATCCTGCCACATGAACTATGGGACCAGCGTGGTTGTAGGAGTTCCTCCATCAGCCAAGATGCTCACCTATGACCCGATGTTGCTCTTCACTGGACGCACATGGAAGGGATGTGTCTTTGGAGGTCAGGAAAGCAAAGCCTCTGGATGGGGAGTGATGGCTTTCACTCTGGTGCTTGGCAAGTGGGAGAAGCCTGTTTCCTCAGGCCTTTCTTCCAAGAATGAGTATGAAGTGATCTAAAATGGAACTGTGATCATAATAACACAAAAGATAATTCTCCACTCCTCACCTTGATGTAGGACTAATATTGGTGGACGCATTTTTAATATTAACATCTGCAACTCAAGTTCCCCAAAGGCCTGAATGAGAGACACCAGTAGTGTTTCTATAGGGATGAATTATGTAACAGGAAGTTCCGATTTAATCCATTATTATTAATATACACAAGAATGTGTATTAAAGTGAATTTATTCGATTCATAATAGCACCAACAAAAATCCTGGACCCAAAGCCAAAACCAACAACAACAACAAAAGGGATTGTCACATTTTATGGGAACAGTTCAGATTCACACTGGAAGGACTTAGATTATCACTCAACAATTAATATTGTTTTAGGAGAGATGGAGCCAGGGCCACTCTGCTCAAGGTAGGTGACACAGTGAGTCCTTTTTTTTCCCTCCTTCACAAAGTCTCGTTTTCTAGTGCCTTCATACAGAGTTGTACTGGGTGCTTTGAAGGTACTCCCAATATTAGAGTCTGCTTTATACAATATAAGAGAATAGTAACTATTCAAGTACTTGTTAAGAGTATAAAAAGGAGAAAATGATTGTTCTTCACTTAGAGAAGTACATAATGTAGCGAAGGATACAAAAACAAATATAAAAGAAAGAATATAAAAATAAGTGCAGCTATAAATATTATAAAACAAATTATAAGAGGAGTTTTTTAGCATTTATTCTATGTTAAAAGTTTTACATTAATGTGTTTGAAGTTTATTTTATTTCTCAGTAACTCTCTGAGGAAGCTACTTAATGAATAATAAAACTGAGACTTGGAACTATTAAGTTTTTTGCCCCTATAGCTCTCAAGTTGAGAACTGAGATTTAAAGCTGGTCCATGGGAGAACAAAGTTTTTCCTCTTTCTGCAACATTACTTGGGGCATAAAAAAGCAAGAGGCTAGTTGGTATGGATGAGGTTTTATAGAGAAGGCTTTTCAGGGAAAATGAAACTTGAAGAACAAAACAATAAGAGATATAAGAAGTTGAACCTCCTTGCTTTGACTATTTGTGGGAAGTGGGAAGATTATAGATTATTCAGGAATATTAGAGGTAAAATTCAGTTATTCAGCAAATATTTGTTGAGTGTATACTGAGTACAGGTACCATTGTGTACATAGTGTACCATTCCAGGAGCTAGGAACGGAGAAGAGACAAAACATACCAAGTCCCTGATCTCAGGAAGTGTGAGAATCCTCTCACTTTGGTATAGAGAGACTGACAATAAATAAATGAATGCAGAATATACCATAAGGTTACAAGTGCAAAGGATAATAATAAAGGATGGGTAACGGGCAGTGCCAGAGGACTGGGGTGGAGGTGGAGGTGAATGCTATTTTATAAAGTTCAAGGAAGGCCTCCTTGATAAGGTAACATTGGAGCAAAAACATAAATAAGATATTCAGAAATCTTGGGAAAGAATATTCCAGGAAGGAGACGTAGTAAATACAACAGGGTGTTGGCAAGAACCATAAGAACGGGGAAAAGGTCAGTATGGCTACAACAGAGTGAGGACAGAAGAACAGTCACAGCTGGGGTCAGAGGACCTTAAATTATATGGGGCCTTTGGGCCATTGCAAGGTTTTAGGAGTTTATTCTGAGAGAGAAATAAAACCACAGAGGCTTCTGAGGGAGGTGTCACCTGATCTGACTTCCATTTTAACACTCTCCTTCTGGCTGCTCTATGGGGAATACTCTAAATGGGGCAAAGGGCACAAGCAGGGAGAGCATGGAAGAAGTCATTATAATGCTGGAAGGAAAGGATGCTGGCTTGGAGTGATGGGGCTGGTGAGAAGTAGTCAGCTCTTGGATACATTTTGAAGATAGAGTCAACAAAATTTGCCGAAATAGTTATTGTATGGCAAAAAGAGTAGCATCCAAGATTTTTGGGCCTAAGCAACAGGAATCATGTCACCATCATCATTTATTGAGAAGGAAGACTATAGAAGGAATAGATTGGGGGCTAGGGTGGAAGTGGTAGAAACCAGGAGTGGTTTGGGGCAGGTTACACTTGTGCAGGTACCTGTGAGATACCTGAATAAAGATGTCTATAAAATGTAGGCAATTGGCTATGAGTCTGTAGTACAGGTAGAGGTTTAGGATGGGTATAGAAACCTAAGTATTTTAAGAGGAGTATATCGAAAGCCACAAGACCAGAGGAGGTCACCCTAGAAGTAAATGTAGATAAAGAACAGAAATGGACCAAGGACCAAGCCCTAGGAATCGTTGGAGTTAGAGGTCTGGGAGATGTAGAGGACCCAGCAAAGATCTGTGGAAGAAGTAACTAGTGAGCAAGGAAAGTGACAATGATGATGACGATGTAGTATCTAGAAGCTAAGGGAACAGAGTGTTTCAGAAAAGGGGAGCCACCAACAGTATCAGTTATACCTAACAGTTCATATAAGAGGAGGACTGAGAAATGACCCCTGTCTGGGTCAAAATGGAGCTCAAAGATGACCTTGATGATATCCATTACAGGACAGTGCTGGGGGCAAGAGCGTAATCAGAGTGGGCTCAGAGAGGGTGAGAGGAAAGGAACAGGATCCAGAAACAGTGAACTGAAGACAATTCTTTCTGTAAAGTAAAGAAGTTTCTCTGCAATAGAAGCAAAGATATGGGGTGACTGGAAGGAGATGTGGGTATCAGAAGAGTTTTTTTAACCTTTGTTTCTTTTTAATTTAATTTAATTTTTATTTTACTTTAAGTTCTGGGATACATGTGCAGAACGTGCAGGTTCGTTACGTTGGAATACAAGTGCCATGGTGGTTTGCTGCACCCATCAACCCATCATCTAGGTTTTAAGCCCCGCATGCATTAGGTATTTGTCTTAATGCTCTCCCTCCCCTTGCCTGCCACCCACCGACAGGCCCTGGTATGTGTCATTCCCCTCCCTGTGTCCATGTGTTCTCATTGTTCAACTCCCACTTACGAGTGAGAACGTGCGGTGTTTGGTTTTTTGTTCCTGTGTTAGTTTGCTGAGAATGATGGTTTCCAGCTTCATCCATGTCCCTGCAAAGGACATGAACTCATTCTTTTTTATGGCTGCATAACTTTTGTTTCTTATGCTGGGACAAATACAGCTTATTTGTACACTGCTGGGAATGATCTAACACAGGGAAAGTCATAGTGCAGGAAAGAGAAGGAATAAATATAACATAATAAAAGATAAGGATTATTTAGTAATGTCTAAAGAGAAAATGTGTGCTTATTTGCAGGTTTGAAAAGCAGAGATGATGTCCCAAAACTAGTGACTGAGTTCCTGGCAAAGAAATTTGACCTGGACCAGTTGATAACTCATGTTTTACCATTTAAAAAAATCAGTGAAGGATTTGAGCTGCTCAATTCAGGACAAAGGTAACTGTTTCTTATGATGATCTTGTCTCTTCTCCACAGGCTACTTTTAAAATTTAGTACTTATAAATGTGCCTGTTTTCTTCATATTTTATTTCTAATTATTTAATCTAGCCAGATTGATACAGCTAATTACTTCTCTTTACCCACTGCATTAGTGTATTTTCATACTACTATAAAAAAAAAAAACTGCCCGAGACTGGGTCATTTATAAAGCAAACAGATTCAATTGACTCACAGTTCAGCATGGCTGGGGGCTTCAGGAAACTTATAATCATGGTGGAAGGCAAAGAGGAAGCAAGGCACCTTCTTCACAGGCTGCAGGAAGGAGAAGTGTCGAGCAAAGCGGGAAGAGCCCCTTACAAAACCATCAGATCTTGTGAAAACTCACTCACTATCATGAGAACAGCATGAGGGAAACTGCCCCATGATTCAATTACCTCCACCTGGTCTCTCCCTTGACATGTAGGGATTATAGGGATTATAATTCAAGATGAGATTTGGGTGGGGACACAAAGTCTAACCATATCACCAACTTAGTATGCCATTGTACTATATTAATCAATTTTTTAAAATCTTTTGGATTTTGTTTACCTAGTTGATTTCATTGTGGCTATTTTTATTTCATCATAAAGCTGCTATTTATTTCAAGTAAGCCACAAAATTTCCTTATTTTACAGTTTTCAAAGTGCTTTCTCAAATGTGCATTATTCAGATCCCTGTAAGCCAGGTATTATTTTTACCATTTTTAGATGAAGACCAAGGTTGTGAAAGCAAATAAATAACTGGTCAAACCTCCTGGGGTAGTGCCAGGATATAAACTAATTGCAAAACTTGTGCTCTTTTGACCATATAACAAACTTCTCTGACAGAGCTTGGCAAGCTTTGGGTAAACATGGGTGTGATGATTACTACTCTTGTTGCTTCTGAGGGTTGGGCAAGGATAGAGGTCAAGTATGAATTCATGCAAATTTTATCTACAACATCTACCTCATGGAGGTCTCAAACAGCAATCAAAAAGCCTGTCTACAAGATGAAATGACTTTCACTCATTGGGCCTATAAATAATTATTGAGCTTCCACTATGTGCCAAGGACGTGGATTTCATTAGTAAAAGGAACTGTATATTGAGATCCAAATTTTTACTAATTTTTTTTTTTACCTGAGAGATTTTTCAATGTTGTGTCTTGTCTCCACATTTGGTCTAGCCTACAGGATCATCATATTATGAACATACATTTTTTTAAGCAAGTAAACAATGGGATTTTGTAAGAAAAACTGTCAGAACCACTCAGTACTACTTTACTCAGATAAGCAAAACTAACAGCTTAGTATGGCCTGCTTGGAAAATAATTACTATTTGTTTTCCAAAGAAACATAAATTCTGCTTTCAGGAATTTTGCTTCAAATATCACCTTAAAGCAGGGACATCCAAACTAACATTTGTAAACCTAAACTCTTCAATTTCCACCTACTTCCTGCACAGCTCTATTTGAATGTCCCACTTGGAAATATTTTTTCGCCAGTAATTTTTATCTCAGTCATTATATTATGCGTTCCTCTTTTATAGATGAGAAGCCATAGCATCATGTCTGACTTCTTTTTCACTCTTGCCTACCACATACAAACCAATTCTAAGCCTTGATGATGCAACCCTTGATTTCTCCTTCAGAATCCCTCATCTCATTGCCCACGCTCATTGCTTTAATTCAGTCTAATCATTTCTGACATGGACATGGTAGTGAGATAATAGGTTTTCCACCTTCTGTATTAAAATACATTCCAGTTAGTCTTTCACTAAGCTGCCAAGCTCAAGTTTTGCCAAAATGCCAATGTCTTAGCATGGTTTTGAAAGCCTTTATTATTGAACTAAAACCTATTTTGTTTCAACAGTTAAGAATTTGGCATTCATTCTATCACCCTCTGCAGCAGGCTTTTGGGATAAAGTGAGGGAAGTAGGTCTCATCTACTTGCAGGATCTCTTGGGCACCCAGAAATCTAAACATATTGGATTACCTTTCCTGTTCACATGTTCCTAGGCTTGTTCATGCTTTCTCCTCAACCTGGAAACCACTTCCCTCTTGTTGGCATACTGAAATTATACTGATGCTTTCAGAATTAGCTCAGATACCCTTATCAGAGTTGCGTAACAAAGAAAACTAATTGTTAAGGACTTTGAGCCCAGAGGATTTCCAATAACAGAATTTACTTGAAGTTTCTATGACAGATAGAAAGGACAATTGTTTAAACTATCCTTTCTTGAAAGATATGAAAACAAGTCATTAAAAACTCTCATTTTACATTTCAGCATTCGAACGGTCCTGACGTTTTGAGATCCAAAGTGGCAGGAGGTCTGTGTTGTCATGGTGAACTGGAGTTTCTCTTGTGAGAGTTCCCTCATCTGAAATCATGTATCTGTCTCACAAATACAAGCATAAGTAGAAGATTTGTTGAAGACATAGAACCCTTATAAAGAATTATTAACCTTTATAAACATTTAAAGTCTTGTGAGCACCTGGGAATTAGTATAATAACAATGTTAATATTTTTGATTTACATTTTGTAAGGCTATAATTGTATCTTTTAAGAAAACATACACTTGGATTTCTATGTTGAAATGGAGATTTTTAAGAGTTTTAACCAGCTGCTGCAGATATATAACTCAAAACAGATATAGCGTATAAAGATATAGTAAATGCATCTCCTAGAGTAATATTCACTTAACACATTGAAACTATTATTTTTTAGATTTGAATATAAATGTATTTTTTAAACACTTGTTATGAGTTAAGTTGGATTACATTTTGAAATCAGTTCATTCCATGATGCATATTACTGGATTAGATTAAGAAAGACAGAAAAGATTAAGGGACGGGCACATTTTTCAACGATTAAGAATCATCATTACATAACTTGGTGAAACTGAAAAAGTATATCATATGGGTACACAAGGCTATTTGCCAGCATATATTAATATTTTAGAAAATATTCCTTTTGTAATACTGAATATAAACATAGAGCTAGAATCATATTATCATACTTATCATAATGTTCAATTTGATACAGTAGAATTGCAAGTCCCTAAGTCCCTATTCACTGTGCTTAGTAGTGACTCCATTTAATAAAAAGTGTTTTTAGTTTTTAACAACTACACTGATGTATCTATATATATCTATAACATGTTAAAAATTCTTAAGAAAATTAAAAATTATATAAAATGTTTTGTGGTGATATATTTTTAAACAGGCATATGTTGTTATTAAGCTTTTATTTGTTATAAACAAAGTGTTGAAGCGCCTGAAAACATAAAAATACTTTATAAGACATATAAGAAGTTGGGTGGTCATAGCAGAAATTGAGGCTTCCAATGCTAGGGCATAATATAGATTGGACACTTCTACCATGGTAAATTGCAAAATGTCCAGGTATTTATGAACCACTTTTACATGATGAATATTTCCCAGTGAAAAGTGGCATGAACTCGAGGAGTAAAATTTCCTTTTTCTTTTACCAGTTTGTCAATCTAGGCTTAATCTAGGTTTAAAAAAAATAGCTGAAAAGTGTAAATAATTATTTTGAAGTATCTTCATCATCAGCTGAGTTTAGCTATGGCAATTCTCAAAACACTATGAATATTTACAGCTTATAAGAATTATATTTTTATGTATACATATATATATCTATATTTATGTCAATAAATAGATACATAGATAGATGATAGATAGATAGATAGATAGATAGATAGATAGATAGATAGATGATAGATATAGATAAGTATAGAAAATCTCTATCCAAGAATCATTTGGAGACATTTCCTCTGTCCATTAGCAATATCTGTAGCTAGGATCTCAGAATCCATTAAGGAAGGAAAACTGCCCCCCAAAAAAGCATTTTTAACAAGAAAAATATGTAGAATGGATTAATTCCTTTATGTCTCCTGACTCAAATTTTGAAAAACATGTAAATAAGGATACTAAAAGTAATATGCAAATATAGGTACATCAAAAGAAATAAATCCAAGAAGGAATAAACACATTTATATTCTCAGATCACAGCTTTTTAAATGAAATCCACTTTATGCTTAGATAAAATTATATTTTGACAAATATGCTGCATATGTGACAATTTTATTTATTTAATATTTATTATGATACTTTGTGGAATCATTCCTCATGTCTGAGCTTGTCATGGCCAAATAATGAACAGAAAGACCTTCTACTATCTTTCTCAGGGTAACCTGCACATGAATAGCATTTTGAGTCATCAGAAAACACTGGTTCTAAGAAGAGATCAGGAAATCTGATTATTTTTGCATATTTCTTATTTCTGGTCAATGAAACCACAAAGCATTGTCAAACTGAGTTCTTGAATATAAATCAAAATATAAGTAAGCAATAAATAGCTAGAGGAATGCTAAAAGAAATATCCAGCTTCTTCTTTAAAGAATAGTCTAGACTTCTAATCATTTAACTGATATGTGGAGAACATTCATTGGGCAATTTTTTTTTTAATTTCAACCAGTATTAAGCACTGAGCTAGGTGTTTGGTATACAGTAATGAATAAAACAGAATAATGAATGTCCTTTGGAGCATATGGTCTAGTAGTGATGGCAGCTCCTCTCTGCTAGGAACTGAACACTCTTCGGGACACCCTGGCTGCAGAAAGGAGTGACCCACTGCAAGTCTCCTCTGAGCTGTTCTATCACTCAATAAAGCTCTTCTTCACCTTGCTCACTCTTCAGTTGTCTGCATACCTCATTCTTCCAGTTCGCAGGACAAGAACTTGGGGCCCACCAAATAGCCGGGCTAAAAGAGCTGTAACACCAACAGGGCTGAAACACGCCCCTTGCTCACCATGTTGTGGGTGACAAGGAGAGAAAAGAGATGGAGAGAAGAGCTGCGACCCTTTGGGGAGCCCAGACCTAGGAGCTCCCTAAGCCAGGCTGTAACACCCTCTTTGGAACTTTATGGTTCCTGATGTCTCCAAGCTTCCAGGCACCACTGCATTCTTGGTGTCAGCTGTGGAAGCTGCTTATGGTATGCCTGGTCCAGCCACAGACTTGCAGGAAGCGGGTGCTCATGCCAGCACCTGGAGCTGCCCACCCTGCTGCAGCCAGCATGCCTGGCTGTGTGCAGTGGCCAGACCCCATACTTCCTCACACACCCCTCATCACTCCATGACGGGCTCACCCTTGGCAGGTGTGGGACCCAGACCAGTAGCATGAGCTGAGCATAGCCTGCCAGGCCGAGTGGGCCGAATGAGCCCAGCAGGCCAGAGCAAAACATGAGCAAAGGCGCCACTGGCCACAGAGGTTTCTGGCTGGCAAAGTGACACCCCAAGGATCCTGTAACAGTAGGAGATTTAATAAGTAAATAAACATATAAGTATATTACTTCAATTTTTGATAAATGATAAATAAGGCAATGATCAAGGTGCTGTGTTAGAGAGAAAAAAGAGGGGAAACAGGAAGGTATTTCCAGCTTTCCATAAGGTACTTGAAGGCCTCTCTGAGGAGGTAAATTTAAGCTTACATGGAAGGATAAGCTAGAGCCAGTTCTGTGAAGAGAAGAGAAAATTATCTCAGGCAAAGGAAAAACATGGCCAAAGGCCATTAATTTGGGAAAAGCATACCCATTTATTGTTGGGAACTATAAAAGGGCCAGTGTAGCTGGTATTTGCTGCAAAACATTAATGATATTGTTTAGGTTCACGAAGCTGAAAAAGATGCTAAAACCTTGTGGACATTTTTATACATTTACCTCAATAATCAGCTTCCTTATGTATATTTCCCAAAGATAATGTGATTTGATTAGTGCCAAAATTGATATGAAATTATTTTAATTTAGAGGAAGAAAAGGACTATATAGAAATAGCATTCCCAAGAGTACCCTCTTGCCCACGACTTCAACTCCAGTCTCTGCAAAGATTTCTTTCACCAGCAATTTCTTTTTTGTTTCTCATTGCTATTTACATCTAAAATTATTTATATTTTTATGTAATAAGTAACTAACCAAGGCCCCATAAACTAGTTTATAGTATTCATCTTCTTCATGCATAGGTATTTGTCCATTTTTTTATTCCTTACTCCCTCACAGAGTTAGATTCCCTTCATTAAGGAAAATCTCGATTACCTAGGCCACCAGCTTTAGGTTCCAGTAGTTCTTTCCACCATGTATCTGACTTTGTCTGTTACCCTATAGGGTACAGAAAAGTGACGGATGCCTTCACTGAAAGTCCATTCCGTTTTACATGTAAAGTGTCAGAAGATAAGAATTATGTTCTAAGTTCTTTCTCAAAACAGTACCTAGTATTAATAGAACGTTTTGTGCCCAATGGACACTACGCAAACATTCTTAGCTGATTTAACAATTGAATTGAGAAGATTATGTATTTCTGGCTGTGTCACGTGTCCAGCTCATTAAATGCATCTTCATGTTAGCCAAAGAATTGAGTGAAATAATAAAGCATGTTTTTGGCAACAGCTCTTTCAGGTAGTCAAATTTTTAATTTTAAATTTGGATTTATTTTTCTGTTTGGTAAACCAATGAGACTTACACTTCAGATTCAAGTCAACATTTTAATTAATGTTTACTAGCATTAGGACAAATACCTAATGCATCTGGGGCTTAAAACCTAGATGACGGGTTGATAGGTGGAGCAAACCACCATGGCACATGTATACCTATGTAACAAACCTGTACGTACTGCACATGTATCCCAGAACTTAAAGTAAAATTTAAAAAAATAATAAGGCTTACTTGAATTTGCAATGGTATATTTGAAAAAAAAAATGGATATGTTGTTTTAATTTCACTAGCATTTTACAAATTTCAATGCAAGTTTTGGCAAAGAACCACATAGTTACATAACTACCTGGCATGCATCATTTTAGTACTATTTATTCAGAAAGGCCTTTTATAAAACAAACTTTCCTGCCAAAAAATAGGAAGTACAAATATTGTACTCTGATTGTGTATTACAACTTGTCAAAAGTGTGATGTGGTGACCTAATTCAGGAGGCCTGGGTTTGATTACAACTCTACCTCCAATTAAAACTCACAGTAGCTATTTTCTGAAGTCTGATATAGCATTCTCAAAGGTTCTAACTAGAATGAGGTTTCTTTTTTATTATTAATAACTTTTCTGTACCTACTATGGTTTTGAGAGGGTTTCTGAAATTGTCATAAAATTGGTTATTGGTTTTCCTTTACCTTCCAAAAGAAGACTGAGGGGTGTCTCCCTAAGGAAGAAAAGGTGCTAAAGCACTTGCAATTTGCTGCTTCAAACTAGGAGACTTATCTAGTGCATTTGTTCTAGAAAATTAGAATCATAGACATAGTCTCTCCTGGAAGACACTGAAAGTTCTAGGAAGCACTTGGCTACATTTGAAAGAAACACTCAAAAGAGATAGCTTAATCGAAGATGAAATCCCTCGGAAGAAACAAGAGAGGACTCGGTTCTAGGACCTCAGTCCCAGCACCATCAGGAAACCTTATTTTATCCCTATCTGCTTAGAGGATGCTTGGTATGGCAGAATTCTAATCCTACTTTGGGGTGTTGTCCCTTTGAAACTTAAAAGTATTGAAACAATCAATTCTCTCTTCCTCTTCCCTGCTAGCTTGTTGCCCTAGTTCATTCCTTTATCTCTTGCCCATATTCCTGCAATAACCACCGAATGCATGTCCCTGCCTACTGTAGAATGGCCTTGGAATTAATTTGAATGGCTTATTCAAATCCCCCAATCCCACCCATGGGAATGCTAAATTCAGCACTCTCTTCCTCTGTGCTTTAAATACATAAAGGATTTTTGAGAGCAAAGGAGAAAGCAGCATCACACTCATTCTCCACTGATATGGTTAGGCTTTGTGTCCCCACCCAAATCTCATCTTGAATTATAATTCCCATAATCCCCATAATCCCTATATGTCAAGGGACAGACCAGGTGGAGGTAACTGAATCATGGGGACAGTTTCCCCATGCTGTTCTCGTGATAGTGAGTGAGTTCTCATGAGATCTGATGGTTTCATAAAGGGCTCTTCCTTCTTTGCTCTTCTCCTTCCTGCTGCCTTGTGAAGAAGGTGCCTTGTTTCCACTTTGCCTTCTGCCATGATTGTAAGTTTCCAAAGCCGTGCTGAACTGTGAGTCAGTTGAATCTCTTTCCTTTATAAATTACCCATCCTTGGGCAGTTCTTTATAGCAGTGTGAGAATGAACTAATACATCCACATTCTCTCACTTCAAGCCTTAGAGCAGGATACCTCACGGTCCCAGCATGGACAGGATGTGTAGAATGTAGAGGAGATGCTCTGTTCATTGTGACCAGCTCTGCTTGAGCCCCAGCAGATTCTTGTTCATGTAGGAGAGAGGGGAATAGACCACCACCTGAAAAGGATGGAGGTAATGCCAAACACCTAGGCGTAGGTTTTATCTCTGCCCTCCTTCTTTCCATCAGAGCAGGAACTCTTTCTTATTCCTCCGTTTTCTTTAAGAAGAAGGATACTTATCTTTCATTGGCTTGTTTCTCTCTTAAAATCAAGGCAGAGGATTCAGGGTCTAATTACCATGGATTTACCTCCATTATCATTCATTGGAGACAAGCTCGGTTCTAAGCTTAGTTCTACTTTGGGAATTACGATATTCTTCTGGTGAGATTTACTGAGTTTCAAAATGTTTACTCAGTACTCACCAAAAACATGGTCTTTGTGACTTAATTTTTCATTTTTCTTTAGAAAATCACCAATACTTAAAGAGAAATTTTGCTATCTTCTTGTCTTTCTTCAGGATAATTACAAAGAGAACTTCAAGAAATTTCACATACCTTGCCTCTTGTCTTACTCCCTTCAGATATAGCTTTCCCACTGTCCCCAGACTGTAATATCCAAAAGGCAAATCTGACCATGCCACTTCTGCTTAATAAATATTCAGGGGCTTTACTTTGCCTCCAAGATTATTAATAGGCATCAAGGGCCCCTCGAGATGGGTTCCCATTGCTCCCTGCACTACCCAACATTCTCAGACAACATTAAAATGCTGCGCACACCATGCAGGGTTTTATTTTCTTTCTTGCTTTCTGTCTTGCTACTCCTCCTCCTTGAATATTCTCTCATCCTTCCCCTTTGTCTTGGCAAATTCCTGCTCATTTTTTAGGGTTTAGTTTTATCTTCACTCCTCCAGAATATCTCCTCTGATCTCAATGTGTCTGCTGTCTCTTTGTAACCTGGTATAAGTCTCTTTTCGTGTATCATGTTATCATTTAATTTTCTGTTTATGTGTTTGTTCTTTCACAGGTCTATTCATCTAACTCCAGCCGCTGGCAGAGAAGCTAACAAGAATAGAGATCCACCAGTGTTTCTTTTCTTTTCTTTCCTTTTTTTTTTTTTTTTTTTTGAGGTTCTCCATACTCGATTTTTAAAAAATAATTTTTCTCTTTCTTTTTCTTTTTCCTTTTTTTAATTTCAATAGATTTGTGGGAAACAGGTGGTGTTTGGTTACACGAATAAGTTCTTTAGTGGTGAGTTCTGAGATCTTGGAGCACCCATCACTTGAGCGGTGTACACTGTACCACCCTTCTCCCACCCTTTCCCCTGAGTCCCCAAAGTTCACTGTACCATTGTTATGCTTTTGCGTCCTCATTTGCGTTCCCACTTATGAGTGAGAACATACAGTGTTTGGTTTTCCATTCCTGAGTTACTTCACTTAGAATAATGGTCTCTAATTCCATCCAGTTTGGGCCTTTCAGGATTGGTTTCCTCTGCAGTACTTATGAGGGCAGGAAGGTGGCAGCATTTAGCTATCAGTGAGTTCATGCTGACGCTAGGAAGAGAAACAGAAATAACCACTCCTATCTTGGGACATTTTTCCAACTGCCTTGATTGCTTCTCTTTTCCAGCAGAACTGAGAAAATAAGGCCACAGTTGAGAATTTTGTGCTTGATGGAGACATCAAACCCAGAAATGCTGGACTGGCTGAGCAACTTGAGTAAAGCTCATCCTCCCACTTTTGTCATGCAGGCCCTGGGAACTGCTTTAGGAATGAGAAAAATGGACATAAAATGATCTGATCAGTATGTAAATTATTATCTTGCTTACAGTTTCATATACTAAGGGAATTATTGGGGGAGATTGCTTATATCTTCAATGTGACTTCAAGTCTATCTTTTTATACTTTATTTGCATTTATTAGTGTTTAATCCCACAGAATGATCCCATTCTCCTATTTTAAGTGTTCTAATTCCCGCACACAATTCCTCTACCTATAGGTTCTAAATTTATAATTGTAGGTTGAAAGAATGGTTTTGTTCATTCAACCCTAAGCATTCAGTGGTTGCTACATTCTTCATGTTACATTTTCTCAGTTCCTTATGTTGGTTAACGTCTTACTGATTAGGCTGAGAACTAGAATTTCCATCACAGTAGTACTCATGCTGAGTAGTCACTGCTTATTGATTTGTCTGGTGGAAAACCTGAAGGTAGGACCTGTATCAGTCAGGGTCTTAGCAGGGAACCCCTGTTTAATCAAGTTAGGGCTTAATGGGAGATAATTTTCTTTCCAGAGGTACAGGCAGGGTTAATCACTCCAATAAGGGATGTTGAAGTATCCAGGGTTTCGCTACAGTGGGAAGCTATTATTGCCCCTAGGCCTGAAGGTCGATGACAAGGAAGTTACTAGAATCTGGCAAGTGATGGAGTGGAGCTATAGCCAAGGGGCTGCCTGAGAGGAGCAGTGGCCAAATGTGATTGAGAATTGCTGGTGAAATGATTCACCAACCACAGGAAGAGGCTGACCATCATAGACCACATTTCAATGACTTATGTTTCATTAATGAGTCATCATCAATTTCTCTTTCATTTTGATAGCCCCCTCTTAGGATTCAGGTTTTGAGGTAACTCTTCTACTAGACAACATTTTAAAGTAGTAACTATTTTTCTCATTGCTATTAACCAAGCCACACATTAATGCCGAGCTTCTGTTAAGTAAAAAATAACTAGGGATACCAGACTGAGTTTTTCAGCCCAGTCAGAAGAAAAGCAATTTGACATACTGTTACCCTTTGCAGTCTTAGCAAGAGAAAGACAATGCGCTTGTTTATTGTCTAAATTAGCACTTTGCCCCTGATACTCCTCAAAGCTGAAAGACCCTCTAAGATCAAGAACTGATGAAGTAAGTCTTCAGATTTGATAAACTGGTGTTCTATAGGGAAATTAAAGCCAATGTGAAATTTGCAGTTGACTTTTGTGATGACTACCTTCCCCTTTTAAATTCTGAGTGTATTATGCATTTAAATATAAATTGGTCTTTTCAGGGCTATAGAAAAATGTGCTGCTCAAAAGGAGATTTCCATCTCGAAAAGGCAAATTACTGGGAAAAATGAATCTGTTTTCTCTGCCAAGGTAAGCTACTAATTTATGAAACACGCTGGGGACTTGAAGCAGGATATTCGGCACCACACCTTCTGATCACACCCACTCTTTGTTGAGTAGCTGGATTCTGTTTTCTCATTTAACACATGGTTTCTTTCCCTAAAAATGAGAATGAAAAATCTTGCTCTTTGAGAAACAAAGTTGGAACTTTGTGTATTTTTTATGGCATTATTTTGAGTATGAGTTTTGAGGTAACTATTTTCAGATTCCAGGAAGCTATGAGGCCATATCTAGTTTCAGAGTTGCATTGCTGTTACAGGCTCAGCATTAGGTAACATATTTTGTTTTCAGTCTGTTTCAGCTCCAGTATTGACTGGTTTCTCTCTCTTGAACTTTGCATCCACAATTCAGTTTAGGGAGAGTCAAGAACATAAGTGTTTTAATCATTAACCATTAACTTTTAAAGCACCGTTAATCCCGTGTATGATTAGCTCAGCTTTCAGAATCAGAATTCAGAAATATGGTAAAAATCACCAGGACAAACTTCTAACAGTTTTCACAAGTATTCCCAAAGTGATGATCAAAGCCTACAGTAACAGATCTTTTAAAAGAAGGGGCTTCCTTATGGGCTGGGCCCCCCCAACAGGGGTAGTTGATTAAGAAAATCTTACCACTTTCTTACAACTTTATAGAAAATAAGTCATGTTAAAGCACAGGGGTAGTGAAAGGAGTGTTTAAGAAGTGGTCTCAACTGAGGTTTTGGGGTGCCAGTGGAGCTCCTTTGCCTTGGTTCCAGCAGAAGAGTGATGCATGTGAAGCATGTGGTTATGAGTGCCCCAGGTCCTTTTGGGCTTTAGCTGCTTACCACATGGTGAAAAGGAATGGTGATAGAAATCCAAAGTGAACTTTTTAATATTATTATTATGGCTTTATATATAGTCAAAAGAGCTCACCTTCTTCTCCTAGCTCAGACATGGGTTTGGCTAAGGCAGGAGAAATGGGGTTGGGGAGGTTGGGAGCAGGGCATGCAATGCTCTTCTGAAAAAATAGGGACATAAAGGAGATATGCCCGCAACTCTCCATCAGGTTGAAGGATTCTTTCTATTAGCCTTTCAGCATTTGGATCCTTATGATTTTGGTGCTTCTCTGTAGCATTGGAGACATAGAAGGAGACTGCCTCCTGCTGGGGTCAGTATTTTCTGCATCCCATGAACGGAAGTGAGAACAGCCTTGGGAGCTAATGCCGAAGGTGGGAGAATCTGATGCCCTCAGTCTCCAGTGAACTAAAGTAAGAGTCTTACTACTTTCAGTGCTTGGGAACTGCTGCAATACATGGGCTGCTCCAACTTATTTCCTTAAACCTCCACTCACCAGATTTTCAGATGCTGCACAGGTGGAATGGTGGATCAAGTTCTAAATGTCACATGACTGTCTTGTTTAGTTATATGTTGGGTGTAGCCCGTGGAGTACTCAGGCCCTAAAGAAACCCTTTTGGATGAATAAACATCCCAGAGTCCTTATGCTAGTTCTACCTGTGAGGTGTTTGCTACGGTCTGAAAGTTTATGTAACCCCAGCACTCATATGTTAAAATTCTAAAACCCCCAATCCCCTTGATAGTATTTGGAGGCAGAGCCTTTGGAAGGTAATTAGGTCATGGGGGAAAAGGCCTTATGAATGGGGTTAGTGCTCTTATAAAAGAGGCCAGAGGCCAGGTATGAAGGCTCATGCCTGTAATCCCAGCACTTTCACAGGCTGAAAGCTAGGATCGCTTGAGCCCAGGAGTTCAAGACCAGCCTGGGCAACATAGTGAGACCCTGTCTCTACAAATAATTTTAAAATTAGCCCAACATAGTGGTGTGTGCCTGTAATCCTAGCTACTCAGGAGGCTGAAGTGGGAGGATCACATGAGCCCAAGAAGTCAAGGCTGCAGTGAGTAGGAAGGTACCTGCCTTCAAACCAGGAAGAGGGTCCTCACTAGACACCCAAACTGCCAGCACCTTGATCTTGGACTTCCCAGCCTCCAGGGCTGTGAGAAATAAATTCCTGTGATTTGTAAGCCACCCAGTCTATGGTATTTTGTTACAGCAGCCCAAATGGACTGAGGTAGTATTCCTAGTCCCATCTCACATCTTAGACTACAAGTCCTAGAGAATACATGCTGAGAGGAAAAAGCTTTTAGGTGTTTCAGGGCATCTCCTATTACCCCCATTACCCTCTTCTCCCTAAAGTCATGGAGTGAGGGGGTTCAGAATTACCTGAAGCACAGAAATTTATACTAGGAGACCATATAACACCCTTTTGTTGGCTGTCAGGCCCATGAGGTAACCTAGTGCCCAGAGCCCCCTCACTTGAGATCTTGGAGGTTCCCTGTCAAAGGCCTAGAAAAACTAGAGTTGAAGGCTGCCACTGCAGCTCAATGCAATTCCCATTTCACCTTCCAGTAAGAGCTTTCAACACCTCCCTGATCCTCCTAAAATCCTTTCATCGGTGATGGCCCAGAGGATAGTCTCTGCCTGAAGTCTCACCAGCTCAGAGTAGAGTTTCCATTATGAGAAACTCTGATGCTTCCATGCACATGGAGTGGGTAGATGGGTAGGGCAGGGCAATGGACATGTTTGGATGTACCAAGAAGGAAAGAGGAAAGGTCAGAGTCATCTTCTTCCTTATAGGCAATGCTCAATTTCCTATTTATAAAATGGGTAAAATCCCCTGCCCCATCCCCTTGCTGGAGTAATAGTGCAAAGCAGGTGAATCAGGAAGGATAATCAGGTCCTCAGTGGCATCAGTGGATTCTTACACTGTCTGAACCCTTAAGGTTAGAGGCAAGCAATATTTTTCCTAAGAGTCTGCAGAGAAGTCATGAGGAGTTTAAGTTTCTGTTATTCTACTAACTGTTTAACCTTTGGAACAGTTACTTCAAATCACTCAGCTTCAGTTTTTGCCTGTATAAAATATAATAGTAAATATCTTCTAGCATTTCCATGATAAACTATGGAGATGGTGAGGTCTGCCCAATTGCAGATGAGAGAAATTCACCCTCAAGCTTTGTTGAGCAGCTCTCCCTGTGTGGTTGCCATCCCCTCCTACTGCAATCTGCTTTCCTTGTGCAGTGGACAAATAGAATACAGATGGCTCAAGACTCAGGTCATCCCAGTATAGCAGATCCAGAAGAAAGAAAACTTCCCTCTCCTAGAATCTTTTCTTAAAAATCCCAAAGAAGAGCTCAAACAAGCATGGCTGGGGCCATGTGTTCATCCCAGAGCCAATATCTTTGAATGGAACAATGTGATGCTGTGATTGAACAGAGTTGGGTCTTGTGCTTATCTCCATGGCTGGGTTGTTGCAGTGGCAGGTTCATTGGAAAAACATGGAGTAAGGGAAGGATAATTCCCAAATGAAGAGGATTTATTATAAAAAGAAGGAAGAATCGAATGCTCTGGATTCAGTAACAACAGACATCCATGACAAATTGAGAATGTGTTAAGTCATGGAATACAAGGAAGTGTGAACAACCAAACCAAGAACAGCATAGGAAGGCACTTAGGCCTCGGCAATGCCAGAACAGAACTTGGCTTCAGCACAGGGTTCCTCTTTACTGTTATATCTACTTCTTTGTGTAAGTTTGCTTCTTTTTACTTCACTATACACTGGCTTTCTCCACATGTCATGAAACATAGTGGGTATTAGTACCACTCCCACCAACAATTCATGTCCTCCATTCCCACCAATGACTCATGTTCTTTTCATAGAAGGGTTGATATGGAAGCAGGGTGTTTAGGCAACTCTGAGACACAGAAGGCCTTCACTTTGTGATCCCCCATGTTCATCTTCTGCCCCTTTTCTTCATCTCTGGAGTCATCCATCTCCTGTGTATTAGCCAACATTGGTAAATGGCTATATAGCTCATTATCCGACCAGTACAATTTTTTTAATTTTTATTTTTTGGCGGTATATAGTAGGTATATATATTTATGGGGTATGTGAAAATTTTTGATATAGGCATGCAATGTGTAATAATCTCATCAGGATAAATGGAGTATCCATCATCTCAACCATTTATCCTTTATGTTATGAATAATCTAATTATACCCTTTCAGTTATTTTTAAATGAGCAATTAAATTATTATTGACTATAGTCACCCTGTTGTGCTGTCAATTTGTTATTCATTCCAACAATATTTTGGTACCTACCATCCCCACTTCCCCTGATCCGCCCATTACCCTTCTCAGCATCTGGTAGCCATCTTTCTACTCTATCTCCATGAATTCAATTGTTTTAATTTTTAGCTCCCACAAATAAGTGAAAACATGTGAAGTTTGGGTCTTTCGGTGACTGGCTTATTTCACTTTACATAATGATGTCCAGTTCCATCAGTGTTGTTGCAAATGACAGGATCTCATTTTTTATGGCTGAACAGTACCCCATTGTGTATATGTACCACAGTTTCTTTCTTTTCTTTTTTTTTTCTTAAAAGATGGGGTCTTGCTTTGTCACCCAGGCTGGAGTACAGTGGTGTGATCATGGCTCACTGCCACCTTGAACTCCCAGGCTCAAGGGATCCTACTGCCTCAGCATCCTGAGTAGCTGGGTCTAGAGATGTGAGCCACCATGCCTGGGTAATTAAACAACAAAAACAAAAACAAAAATGTAGAGATGGGGCCTTGCCATCTTGCCCACATTGGTCTCAAACTCCTGGACTCAAGCAGTTCTCCTGCCTTTGCCTCCCAAAGTGGTAAGATAAAAGGCATGAGCCACCACACCCAGCCTCACATTTTCTTTATCCATTCATTTGTTGATGGACACTTGGGTTGCTTCCAAATCTTGGCCACTGTGAAGAGTACCACAACAAACATGGGAATGCACATATCTCTTTGATATCCTGATTTCTTTTATTTTGGGTGTATACACAACAGTGAGACTGCTGGATCATATGGCAACTCTATTTTTAGTTTGTTTAGGAACCGACAAACTGTTCTGCTTAGGAGTTGTACTAATTTACATCCCCACTAACAGTTTACAAGGGTTCCCTTTTCTTCACATCCTTGCTAGAATTTGTTATTTCCTGCCTTTGAATAAAGCCATTTTAACTGGAGAGGGCATCTCCTTGAGGTTTTGATTTGCATTTATCTTATGATGAATGATGTTAAGCACCTTTTCATATAGCTGATTGCCATCTGTATGTCTTCTTTTGAGATATGTCTACTCAGACCTTTTGCCCATGTTTTAATTGGATTATTAAATTTTTTCCTATAGAATTGTTTGAGCTCCTCATTTATTCTGGTTATTAATCTCTTGTCAGATGGGTAGATTGCAAATATTTTCTCTCACTCTGTGGATTGACTCTTCATTTTGTTGATTGTTTCTTTTGCTGTGCAGAAGCTTTTTACCTTTTGTGTTCCCATTTGTCTGTTTTTGCTTTGGTTGCCTGTGCTTGTGGGGTATTACTCAAGAAATCTTTGCCCACTCCAACGTCTTGGAGACTTTCCTGAAAGTTTTCATTTAGTAATTCCATAATTTGAGGCCTTAGATTTACGTATTTAATACATTTTGATTTTATTTTTGTATATAGTCAGAGATAGGGGTCAAGCTTTATTCTTTTGCATATGGATATCCATTTTTCCCAGAACTATTTATTGAAGAAACTCTCCTTTCCCCAATGTATGATATTGGTGGCTTCATCAAAAATTAGTTCACTCTAGATGTATGAATTTGTTTCTGAGTTCTCTATGCTGTTCCATTGGTCTTTTTGTTTGTTTTTATGGCAGTACCATGCTGTTTTGCTTATTATAGCTCTGTGCTATAATTTAAAGTCAGGTAATGTGATTCCTTCACTTCTTTAGCTTAGGATAGCTTTGGCTATTCTGGGGCTTCTGTGGTTCAATATAAATTTCAGGATTGTTTTTTCCATTTCTGTGAAGAATGTCTGGTATTTTGATAGGGATTGCACTGAATCTGTAGACTGCTTTGGGTAGTATGAACATTTTAACAATATTGATTCTTCCAATGCATGAACATGAAATGTCTTTTCATTTTTTTGTAGCATCTTCAATTTCTTGCATCAGTGTTTTATACTTTTCATTGTAGAGATCTTTCACTTCTTTGGTTAATTCCTTGGTATTTTATTTTATTTTATTTGTTGCTTTTGTAAATAAGATTACTTTCTTGATTTCTGTTTCAGATTGTTTGCTGTTGGTGTATAGAAATGCTACTGATTTTGTATGTTTATTTTGTATCCTGAAACTTTACTGAATTTGTTTATCAGTTCTAATAGTTTCTTTGTTGGAGCCTTTAGGCTTTTCCAAATATAAGATCATATTATGGGCAAACAAGGATAAATTTGAATTCTTCCTTTCAATTTGATGCCCTTTCTTTCTTTCTTTTGTCTGATTACTCTAGCTAGGATTTCAGTACTATGTTGAATAATGGTGGTAAAAATGGGCAGCTTTATCATGTTCCTGACCTTAGAGGAAAGGCTTTCAGCTTTTCTCCATTCAGTAGGATACTAGCTATGGGTCTGTCGTATATAGCTTTTATTATGTTGAGGTACATTCCTTCTATGCCCAGTTTTTTCAGGATTTTCAACATCTCATGATGCAATATTGAATTTTATCAATGCTTTTTCAGCTTCCATGGAAACGATCATATGATTTTTGTCCTTCATTCTGTTGATATGATGTATCACATTGATTGATTTGCATATGTTGAACCATCCTTGAAGCTATGGGACAAATCTCACTTGATCATGATGAATGACCTTGTTAATGTGTTTCTGAATTCTGTTTGCTAGTATTTTGGTGATAATTTTTGCATCCGTATTCATCAGAGATATTGGCCTGTAGTTTTCTTTTTTCAATGTGTCTTTGCCTGTTTTCGGTATAAAGTATTACTGGCCTTGTACAATGAGTTTGGAAATATTCCTCCTCTATATTTAGAACAGTTTGAGTAGGATGGGTATTAGTTCTTCAAAAGTTTGATGGAATTCACCAGTGAAACCATAAGATCCTGGGCTTTTCTTTGCTGGGAAATCTTTTATTATGGCTTTGATCTCATTACTTCTTATTGGTCTGTTCAGGTTTTATATTTTTTCATAGTTCAATCTTGGTAGGTTGTATGTGTCTAGGAATTTATTCATTTCTTCTAGATTTTCCAGTTTTTGGCATACAGCTACTCATAGTAGCCACTAATGATCCTTTGAATTTCTGAAGTGTCAGTTATAATGTCTCCTTTTTCATTTCTGATTTTATTTATCTGGATCTTCCCTCTTTTTTTCTTAGTGACTTGGATAAACATTTGTCAAATTTGTTTATCTTTTCAAAAGACCAACTTTAAGTTCTCTTATATTATTCTTTTCAATAAACTTTCTACTCCTATCACTTTCTCTGCCTCCTCTTTAGGTCACTAACTCTTAAGGTTTGTCCCTCTGAGGCTTTTTTCTAGATCTTGCAAGCATGCTTTTTCAGTTTTTTTCTTTTTTCTTTTTGTCTTCTCTGTGTATTTTCAAATAGTCTGTCTTCAGTCTCACTAATTCTTTCTTCTGCTTGATCAATTCTGCTATTAAGAGACTAAGATGCATTCTTCAGCATGTCAATTACATTTTTCAAATCGAGAATTTCTGCTTGATTCTAATTATTTCAATCTCTTTGTTAAATTTATCCGTTAAAATTCTGAATTCCTTCTCTGTGTTACCTTGAATTTCTTTGAATTTCCTCAAAACAGCTATTTTGAATTCTCTTCCTGAAAGATCACATAACTCTATTTCTCCAGGATTGGTTTCTAGTGTCTTAAGTAGTTCATTTGGTGGCATCATGTTTTCCCGGATGGCCTTCATGCTTGTGAATGTTCATAAGTGTCTGTGCATTAAAGAGTTAGCTATTTATTGTAGTCTTGAGTCTGAGCTTGTTTGCACTGTCCTTCTTGAGAATGCTTTCCAGATATGAAAGGGACTTGAGTGTTGTGATCTAAGCCATATCTGCTTTAGGGATCTCCAAGTTCAGTTATGCTGTGGTTCTTGCAGACTCACAGAGGGGGTTTTTGTTCTTGCAGACTCACCTTGGTGGTCTTGGATAAAATCAAGAATAATTCTCTGGATTACCAGGCAGAGACTTATGTTCTCTTCCTTTATTTTCTTCCAAACAAGTGGAATTTTTTTCTTTGTGCTGAGTCATCTGAATCTGAGGATAGGGTGACACAGGCATCCCTGTGGCCACAACCACTGTAACCACTACCTAGCTACTAACTATGTTCATTCAAGGCCGTAAAGCTCTAAGCCAGCAAGAATACTTCAGCCTGTGACATCAAGGCTTGCTGAAACTTAAGTTTAGTCAACTGGGATGGACAGTTCCTCTCTGGCTAGAGCTGGTCTAAATGCTCCCTCAGTGGGTGGGAATTAGCTGAGTTCAGCCCAATTTTGCTTTCTGCTATGACAGGGCAGCACTGAGTTCACTTCAAAGTCCCACTATCACTGCACTCTCCCTCCCCCAAGCACACAGATTGTCTGCACCACAAAGCTGCTACCGGGGTATGATGGAGGGGTAGCATCAGTGACCCATGACTATCTTTTCTACCCTTTTCAGTGCCTCTTTCAGCTGTATGAAGCTAAAGCCTGGTACCGTGATTGCTCTCCCGATTTTTGGTTCTTACGAAGGTGCTTTTGCGTAAATAGTTGTTAAATTTGGTGCTCTTGGTGGGGGCAGGGGTGGTGATCAGTGGAGGCTTTTATTTGGCCATCTTGCTCTGCTCCTCCAACAAGTACAATTTTAAGAATGAATGGCTTCGTTATTGATAACTATGGTAAGACAGGGGACACAAGCCATCGGGGACCCAGAAAAATTAGGACATATAGTCACCCTCTGTTTAGTTTTCCACTCCTTCACTCTCCTCCTTTGTTAAGAGCTGCTCTTAGAAAGGGAATATCAGTCACTGCATGAATCAGAGTTCTTTGCCTTCCAGAGAAATTTTTAATGTTAACTCACATGGAAAAATAAATAATTTTCTTTCCCTTGTAAAGGAAGTAGTTTCTATCTTTGTTTAATGAAAATATTGTTTCAGTCCTGCAAGATAAAAAAGTTCCAGAGATCTATTTCACAATAATTTAAGTATGTTTAGTACTACTGAACATTACACTTAAAATGCTAGGGTGGTAAATTTTATGATAGGTGTTTGTTGCCACCATAAGAAAATAGATTCAAATTGAACTTTTGGACTTTTGGAATAGAAACTGGATAGAAACCATATGAATAGTTTCTATCGTTTTTTCTGTAACATATCAAACCATTTTGCCTTTTAAGTTTACAATGTTTTTAAAAGATAACTTTATGATTCATTGCCTTTAATCAAAGACTTTCCATAAGGGTTTTTTTTTTGTTTTTTTGTTTTTTTGGTTTTTGAACACAGGAAGGTAAAGCCAGCCTGGTGCCTGTTAGAAGAGTAATAACAAAAAATTACCCTGATCAATCTCATAAGGTATATGTAGGCCTTTTAAAATCTTCTTTGGTTCTAGATGCTTGATGAATCACCACACTGTCTTCCACAATAATTGGACTAATTTACACTCCCACCAACATTATAAAAGCTTTCCTATTTCTCCACAGCCTCGCCAGCATCTATTGTTTTCTGACTTTTTAATAATCGCCACTCTGACTGGCATGAGATGGTATCCCATTGTGGTTTTGATTTGCATTTCTCTAATGACCAGTGATGATGAGCTTTTCTTCATATGTTTTTTGGCTGCATAAATGTCTTCTTTTGAGAAGTGCCTGTTCATATCCTTCACCCACTTTTTGATGGGGTTGTTTGATTTTTTCTTGTAAATTTGTTTAAGTTCCTTGTAGATTCTGGATATTAGCCCTTTGTCAGATGGATAGATTGCAAAAATTTTCTCCCATTCTGTAGATTGCCTGTTCACTCTGATGGTAGTTTCTTTTGCTGTGCAGAAGCTCTTTAGTTTCTTTAGATCCCATTTGTCAATTTTGGCTTTTGTTGCCATTGCTTTTGGCAAAGTATTATAAATCATTCTGCTATAAAGACACATGAACACGTACGTTTATTGCAGCACTATTTACAATAGCAGGCTTGGAACCAAACCAAATGCCCATCAATGATAGACTGGATAAAGAAGATGTGGCACATATACATCAGGGAATACTATGCAGCCATAAAAAAAGAATGAGTTCATGTCCTTTGCAGGGACATGGATGAAACTGGAAGCTATCATTCTCAGCAAACTAACACAGGAACAGAAAATCAAATATTGCATGTTCTCACTCATAAGTGGGAGCTGAACAATGAGAACACATGGACACAGGGAGGGGAATATCACACACCAAGGCCTGTCAGGGGTGTGGGGACAAGGGGAAGGAGAGCATTAGGACAAATACCTAATGCATATAGGGCTTAAAACCTAGATGACGGGTTGATAGATGGAGCAAACCACCATGGTACATGTATACCTGTGTAAGAAACCTGCACGTTCTGTATATGTATCCTAGAAGTTAAAGTAAAATTTTTTTAAAAAGTAAAAAATAAGAAAAAATCTTCTTTGACTCGTAACTGACATACAATATACTGCACAGATATAAAGTGTACAATTTGATAACTGTTTATATATATTCACAATCAAGGTAATGAACATGTCCATTATGCCACAAAGATCTTTGTGCCACACTGTGATTCCTATTCCTGCCCCTCCCTGTCTTCCCCATCCCAACACAACTACTGATCTTATTGCTGCCACTGTCAGTTTTCCTTCTGCCTGAAGGATTTTCTTTAGTATTTTTTGTACTGTGAATCTGACGGTGATTACTTCTTTCAGCCTTTACATGCTGAAAATAGTCTTTATTTCACCTTCATTTTGGAAAGATATTCACTGGGTATAGAATTTTAGATTGAAAGGTATTTTCTTTCAATGCTTTCTACTCTGTTCTCTCTTGTGCTATTTCCAGTAATAAATCTATTGTCTTGCTTACTTGTGTCTGCTAAGCATCACCAATATTTTAAAAATTTTTCTCATTAACATTGGTTATGACTATGATGTGCCTTGACATAGTTTTCTCCTTATTGTTTGTACCTGGGGCTTATTGAGCTTCCTGAAGTTGTAAGTTTATGATTTTCATGAAATATGAAAAATGTTAACCATTATCTTCTAAAAATGTTTTCCTTTTCTTCCTAGGGCTACAATTACACATATATTAGGCCTCCTGAAGTTGTCTCACCTCGCACTGATGCTTTTTTCAGTTTTTTCCCTGTATTTAATTCTGAATGGCTTTTATCTTTTTTTCTGTGACATACAATTTGCTGTTAATCTCATCCACTGTATTTTTTATTCCAGATGTCTAAAAGTTCAACTTGAATCTATTATTGTCACAAAAAACGCCTGTCATAAAATTTACCATCTTAACAATTTTTAAGTATAATGTTTAGTAATGTTAAACATACTTAAATTATTGTGAAATAGATCTCTGAAACTTTTTTATCTTGCAGAACTGAAACAGTACTTCCATTAAACAATAACTCCTCTTTGTCTCCTCCTCCTACCCCACCAGAAACCACCATTCTACTTTTCATTTCTATGAATTTGACTACTTTAGATACCTCTTATAAGGGGAATCATACAGTATTTGTTCTTTTGTGATTATTTCGCTTAATATTATATTCCCAAGGTTCATCCATGTTGTAGCACGTGGTTAATTTTCATTTCATTTTATAGCTGTATAATATTCAACTCTATCACATTTTCTTTAACCATTCATCTGTTAGACATTTAGGTTGCTTTCACCTCTTGGCTAGTGTGAATAGTACAGCTATGAATATGGGTATGCAAATATCTCTTCAAGACCTTAATTTTAAATCTTTTTAATATGTACCCAGAAGTGGAATTGCTGAATGATATAGTAATTTAATTGTTAAATTTTGGAGGAACCACCATACTGTTATACATACTGCCATAGTGGTTGCACTATTTAAAAACCCAACCAACAGTGCATGGTGTCCCAATTTAGCCATATCTTTGCCAATACTTGTTTTTTTTTTTTTTTAATATAGTGGCCATCCTAATGGGTGTGAGGTGATGCTTCATTGTGGTTTTGGCTTGCATTTCTCTGATGATTAGTGAAGTTGAGAATTTTTTCATATCCTTGATGGCCATTTGTATAACATCTCTGGATAAATGTCTATTCGATTTCTTTGTTCATTTTTAAATTGGGTTATTTGTTTTTTTGATAATGAGTTGTAGAAGTTCTTTATACATTCTAGATATACCACTTACCAGATATATTATTTGCAAATATTTTCTTCCATTCTGTAGATTGCCCTTTCACTCTGTTGACAGTGTACTTCGATAAACAAAAGTTTTTAAGTTTGATGTAGTCCCATTTGTCTATTTTAGCTTTTGCTGCCTGTGTTTTTGCTGTCATATTCAATAAGTAATTGCCAACTCTAATGTCATGAAGATTTTCTCCTACGTTTCCTTCTAGGAGTTTTATAGTTTTGAGTATTATATTTAAGTCTTTAACCCATTTTAAGTTAATTTTTGTATGTAGTGTAAGATAAGGGTCCAACTTCATTTTTTGCCTGTGGATATCCGGTTTTCCCAATACCATTCATTGAAGAGACTCTTCTTTACCCATTGAGTGGTCTTAACACTCTTGTCAAAGATCATTTGGCCATATTTGTAAGGGTTTATTTCTGAGCTCTATATTTCATTGGTCTATATGTATGGCTTTAATGCCAATACCACACTGTTTTAATTATTATAGCTTTATGATATATTTTAAAATAGAGATGTGTGAGTTCTCCAACTTTGTTCTTTTTCAAAATTGTTTTGGCTATTCAGTTAGGACCTTTGTTATATTTGTATGTTTCTATGTAACATGTTCAGTCATTCCTCTAGCTTTTGGAACATATAGAATGATTATGGCTTAAATGTGTCCCCTCCAAAATTCGCATGTTGTGAATGTGGTAGTAATAAGAGATAAAACCTGTAAGAGGTGCTTAGGTCATGAGGGTGCCTCTCTCATGTATGGAATTAACACCCTTACAAAAGACACTGCACACAGCATTTGCTTGCCCTTCCACCTTTTTCCATGTGAGTACACAGTCTTCCTCCCCTCCAAGGGATGTAGCCTTCACCAGACAACCAAACCTGCTGGTGCTTTGGTCTTGATAATTTTCTGTTCTTTATAAATTACCCATTATCAGATATTAGAACAGCACAGACAGGCTAAGACAGCAATTGGTACCAAGATGTGGGGTTGTTGCTATAAAAAAAATCTAAAAATGAGGCCAGTTATGGTGGCTTATGTCTATAATCCCAGAACTTTGGGATGCCGAGGTGGGCAGATCACGAGGTCAGGAGATCGAGACCATCCTGGCTAACACAGTGAAACCCCATCTCTATTAAAAATACAAAAAATTAGCTGGGCGTGGTGGCAGGTGACTGTAGTCCCAGCTACTCAGAAGGCTGAGGCAGGAGAATGGCGTGAACCCAGGAGGTGGAGCTTGCAGTGAGCCGAGATCACGCCACTGTACTCCAGCCTGGGCGACAGAGCAAGACTCTGCCTCAAAAAAAAAAAAAAAAATACTAAAAATGTGGAAGCAGCTTTGGAACTGGGTAATGGGCAAAGGCTGGAAGAGTTTGGAGGAGTAGGCCAGAAAAATCATATACTGCTGTGGCTGCAGCATTAAGGGTAATTCTGGTGAGAGCCCAGAAGAGGAGAGCTGTAGAGAGAGCCTTGGTATTCTTGGAGATTACTTCAGTGGACAGGAAGAGAATATTGGTAGAAATATGGACAGAGTAGACAACTCTGATGAGATTTTAGACAGAAATAAGTAATATCTTACTGGAAACTGGAGGAAAGACCATCCTTGTTACTGAATTACATTCCTGTCCGATGACTTTATGAAAGACAGAACTTAAGAGCAATGAACTAGGATATTTGGCAAAAGAAATCTCTAAGCAGAAAAGCTTTCAGGATGCTATGTGGCTTCTTTTAACTGCTTATAGTAAAATGTAAAAGGAAAAAGAGTTTTAAGATAGAACTTATAATTAAAAAGGAAAGCAGAATGTAAAGATTTGGAAAATTTTTAGCCTGGCTATGTAAACAAAGAAAGAAAACCAAGGGTGCAGCCAAGTGACCCTTTTATAAGGAAATATGTATGGATAGTGTAAAGCCAGGTGCTACTCATCAAAAGAAGGGAAGAATGACCTCAAAGGCATTTTGGAGATCTTTGAGGCTCTTCCTCTCATCATAGACTCAGACTGCCAGGAATTTGAGGCCAGAACAATTTTGAGAGAGGTCCCAGAACTCTCATAAAGCCTTGGGATTCATGATTCAGGGCCACTCTATGTCTCTGCTACCTTCATTCCAGGACAGCACTCCTCAGCCACCCCAGCTGTGGTTCAAGTGAGCCTAAGTGCAGTTCAGGCTGCTACTCCAAAAGGCAAAACCCACAAACCTTGACAATGTCCACATGGTGCTAACTCTGCAGGGATGCAGAGTGTGCAAGCTCTATGCAGGCTGTTAAAAATGCCATCAGAATTTTAATAAAAATTGCATTGAATCTGTAGGTCACTTTGTGTAATATGAAAATTTTAACAATATTAATTCTTCCAATCCATGAACATGGGATATCTTTCCATTTATTTGTCTTTCTCAATATGTTTCATGAGTTTTTTCGTAGTTTTCAGTGTACAGATCTTTCACTTCATTATTAAATTTATTTCTTAAGTATTTTATTCCTTTTGATGCTATTTTAATAGAATTGTTTTCTCAATTTCTTTTTGAATCAGTCATTGTTCTTGTATTGAAATATGACTTTTTTAATGTTGATGTTATATTCTATAACTTCACTGAATTCATTTAACAGTTTTCTGGTGGTGTCTTTAGGGTTTTCTATATATAGGATAATGTAATTTGAAATCACAGACAATGTTACTTTCTTTCCAATTCAGATGCTTTCTATTTCTTTCTCTTGTCTAATTGTTCTGGCTAGAATTTTCAGTACTAGTTGAATAGAAGTGGTGAAAGTGGGCACCCTTGAAATCCAAACTGTTCCAAATAACATTTGAAGTAATACATTAATTAGATTCTACTTGCTTTTTAAAATTACTTCCCCTACTGCCTCCACACACTATACATCCAGCCAAAATATGCCCCATACATTGTCCCTTCTATGAAGGTATTTCTCCAGTTGGAATTATTTTTCCCTCATATGCCCACTTGTCAAAATATATAAAGCCCAGTTTAAATTACTTTATTCATGGAGATTTCTCAGTCACTCTGGTTTGACCTATGTGATAAGTCTTTTTTAAGCTTGTAATAAAACATGTATCTAACTTTTCCCTACATTAACTTTTAGAGTTTAAATTCCTTAAAAGCAGTAAGTGTCTCTAGTTCATCTTGGCATTTTTATTTCTTGCTTCAACTGAGTAATAAGAGTTGACTAAACAGAGTTAGCTAAGGAAAAGAAAGTACCCTCCTTTGTTTTGCTCTTTCCCACCCCAATCAGAATTTTTCACAAGCTTTGTTGAAACACACCTAACAACAATTCTCACCTACATTTTCTATATAGATCACTATCTCCCATAGAGACACTGCTCTCTGCTGAAGCCCAACAAGACTTGGCTCTTATTTTCACTAGCTTTATTTATTTCAACCTTCTGGCACAACCATATAATATTTTTGTATTTCCTTGTGGGAACATATGTGATTAATAGTTTTTATATTCTCTTATTCTTAAGCAAAGTATCCCAAGGGCTGGGCACCTGTTCTGACAAATATCAAACATCTACAGTAAGATAAGTGAACATATGATAAGCACACATTTATTTAAAATTCTCTCTTTGTTTAGAAAATCACACATATTTGCCTTTTATTTGTCCACACAAATTCACAAGAAATTTTTTCTTTGAATCCAAGTCAAGGCAGAAAAATATTGTGATTCTATGTCACCACAGACCCACATTATTTGCCCTCAGGAAGTAACACAAAGAATCAGACACTCTTCTCCTCCCTCATTTCTGGGAAGATCATCAGGTTGTCCCAGTGGAGGCTCATCTATAAGTACAAGTAAAACCCTTCTGCAGCCCTCTATTTAGTGAGTGGGCAATTCTAGCCTGAGCCTCAACTTTTCAGGTAATTGAAGATTTTAACCATCAAGGAGCAGCTGAACGCAGTGCAGCACTACCTGAGTAATAATTGGCTTCTAAACCAGTTTAAAGAAAAATGACAATGCCATAGGTACTTGAAGAATATTATTTACAAGCTAAGTAAATGAAAACTCAGTTGAATCAGTTTTGCCACCACGCATGTATATCTTGGACTGTCTTTTTCCACAAAACTGTCATAGGTTTTCTACTTCCTTAAGTTAAAGATCTAGGCTATAATTTTTCTTATTAAATAACTTAAGCTTTTTCCTGTTAGTACAGATGAGAGCATATTATAAACTTCAGTATATGACTTCCCAAAAAGTCCACAATTTCATTTTTAATTTATTCTGTAAAGCAATAGCTAATGAAAGTTTGTGTTTTTTTACTGGTTGGTTGGTTAATTTCTTTGTTTAAATCTGTATAATTAAATTTTAATCTAGTTTTCAGACTATATAACTTTACAATTTCTGCTCTTTGGAGTTAATAAGACTTTGTTTCCTAGGCCATCATGTATTTTGTAAGTCTTGTATAAACTTTCAAAAAAAGATATTCTTTGTATGTAGAATGTACAGCAATATAATTTTACCTCATTTAATATTATTATTCTAAATACTCTTCACATGTCAAGTATATTAGTGGTCCACAAGCTTTTTGGCACTCGGGGCTGGTTTTGTGGAAGACAATTTTTCTATGAACTGGGGTTGGAGGATAGTTTCGGGATAATTCATGCACATTGCATTTATTGTGCACTTTTTTCCTATTATTATTACATTGTAATATATAATGAAATAATTCTACAATTCACCGTAATGTAGAATGAGTGGGAGCCCTAAGCTTGATTTCCTGCAACTAGACAGTCCCATCTAGGGGTGATGGGAGACAGTGACAGATAATCAGGTATTCAACTGTCATAAGGAGTGCACATCCTGGATCTCTTGCATGTGCAGTCCACAATAGAGTTCTCACTCCTATGAGAATCTAATGCTCTGCTGATCTGTCAGAAAGCAGAACTCAAGCAGTAAAGCAAGCGCTAGGGAGCGGCTGTAAAAACTGATAACATTTTGTTAGCTCGCTCATCACTCACCTCCTGCTGTGTGGTCTGGTTCCTTAATAGTCCATGGACTGTTACTGATTGGTGGCCCTTGGGTAGGGGCCCCTGAAGTATACGACTGATTATGAATGAATAATGTGCACATGAATTACCTGGGGATCTTGTTAGAATGTAGATTGTGCTTCAGTAGGCACAGTGGGCCATGAGGTTCAACATCTCTAATAAACACCCCAGTGATGCCCACGTTGCTGGTCTGTGGACCTCACTTTGAGTAGCAAGGGCTTAAGCCACTCTTAGTTAGTATTCTGTAACTTGGAACCCAGGTATCACTATGGATGATGCCCCGACCTTTATGCATTCCTCTCCCTTAGATTAGATTGGCACTTCCAAGTTCCTTGAAGTGATGACTTCTCATTTTCTCTATGATTCTAACTTTTAAGATATTATATTATCTAATGCTAAGGTATTCCTTGACTATGCAATTTTCCTTCTGGCCATAAAAAATTATCCTCTCTGTCAGGTCTCAGGCTTCTTTGATGTTTATTAAGCCATCCTGATTTTTTGTGTTTAAATTTGCCCAATATATATGCTTAAAGACTAATGGGTACTCAAAATATTAATTAAATGAAAAACTACTACCATCTATTTTTTATATCTTTGATTTTTATTATTTTGGTTCAAGAAGTATCTTTTTGTTTTGTTGTCCTGTTCTAGGGTCTCTTGATAAGTATCTAGAAGTTGTCCAGATTGCTGATTTGACGTCAAGAGTGTCAATTCTGGTCTTTACTATTTCCATTTTGAGTTTTTATTTGTTGGCTTGTTTGCTTGCTTGTTTTTACTATTATATTCCTAGTTTATTGTGTAAGTTGTTCATTCACTGGGATTCCACTTGGAGCTCAGCCTTTACTTTAGCCGTAATGGGTCAAAGCATCCATTTCATAGAGGCTATTCTATTCATACACCTGGAGAAGACCAATGAACCAATTGCTTTCTAAAATTATGATTTGTTTCTTATAAAAAGTTATGTTCTTTTATGTTTTCGGGTGTTGTCTTCCCCCCCTTATATTGCAGTATTGTTTTATAGGCCCCATTTTAGTTTCTTCTTGTTTCCTTTTTCTTATATAAAATTGTTTCTGATACTGCATTTGTCAAAAGATAGGGTGAGTGGAACAGCCTTAAGCTTCCATTCTGTCTACTTGGGAGCTTGTTTGGTAGCTAAAGCTAAATTCTATTTTCATGCACAGCACCTAGCCATGCAATATGCAGTTCTTAATTAAGCAACATAACACATGGGACTAGACCTCCTCATTAACTGTTCCCACAGGCTAACTCCATCCACACTTGCAATACGTTTCCTTTGTTCACACTAAGCATACCAGGATGCCCTGTGCTTTCTCCAGACCGCTTTTATACAATATGTTGCATTCATAAAGAAGCCTGGATAGAGAAAGAGCAGTAGTAATGGTGCAGGATGTGTCTAGGAGAAGTAGGATAATTCCAATGGGCAAAGACAATTCTACATGGTCTGTTCAGGAATGATAACATTTCCTGATGGTCAGTAGAGCTCTTTAATCTGAAAAAGGCATAGAGAGGAGAGATAACAAAGTATTTTCATATTTCCTTTGGCATATGGTTCAAAAGCTAGAGTATGTGGTATGCCTCAAAAACTGTGCTTCTCAATACAGATGAAAAATCTATTCTGACTATGGCCTTTGAATTTATATTGTGGATACTAGCTTTTGTAGTAATTGTTGGCTTCATTGGGTGGAGGCACAGGAGGCATGATTATTCATCTATCATGTTAACCCAGTAATTTAATCCAAATACGCAATAACCTAGAGAATTAAGGAACCTGTGATCAGACCCCCATATTAGCAAGGGATATAAGAAAATACAGAATTCCCATTCTAGATATTTCACCAACTACATGTGACCTGAAAAAATTGCATAATCTCAGAGGGCCCTTAATTTTATCATGTGTGAAATAATTTAGACTAAATAATACCATCTAGCTGTAATTTTTTGTTTAAAAAATCCTCAAAGTACAATGGAAATGTTTTTATTTTTCCTACAGAGATTTAAAGTCCAAAAAGTCTTATAAAGCACAGGTTCTCATTTTCAAAAGACATAATGCTTAGAATTCATTATATTTTTTACAGAATATCATGTAATATTGATGTTACATTTAGAGTAACTAATTATGTAATTCTGAGATTATAGAATAAACATATGGAAGCAGATGTTTAAGTTTATGATAGAGAAAAAAATTATATTATTTTACTTCTGCTTCCTACTATTTTCTTGTTCTACATATTCTTTTTAATTATCTTTTTAGTTCTAGAAGACTTTTACAAATTGGCCTTACAATTAACTTTACTGAACTTTTCAGATTCTTGAGAATATTATTTGACATGAGGTGTCCAAACAGATATTAAACTTAGCTTGTATAACTTTGTCAACAAGCTATTAAATTGCTATTAAACTTCCTTGTTTAATTATTCTAATCATAACAATTCAGAAGAAAACAGGCAACTCTGACCCCATGGCTTATGCACCTGGCTTGGTCCTTTGGGTCTTTCCAATTACTGTGTGGTGTTCGAGGTAGATTTTAATCCCATAAGATTAAGAATAAACATTTCTTTCTTTATTTTCCTTTTAAAGGCAGAAGTTTTGAAATAAAGTTGAAATGTGTGGTGTCATTCTACCTGGAACATGTCCACATAGAACGAAAAGCATTTTTTTTCCTTTTCTTTTGGCTGCAGTGCAAACATGGTGCACATGCACAGGAAGCGTGACTGCGTGTTTTTACTAATGCATAACACATGTCTGGGAGTGCTTGACTCCTAAAAAACCATGAGTTTTTCACTTACTTTGCACGTGGTACCCTGAAGTTATAAGAGTGCTACAAATTATTCAGTAAACATGTAACAAAGTTCAGAAAGAGTGATGGTAGAAATGGGTGTCCAGAAAGAGAGTAAACAGATGTTTTCATTCAACAACCATGACCTTCAGCTTTGGCAATAAAAGTAAATATAAATGACATTGGAATTTTCCACCCAGATCCAAGGCTAGCCTTCTGGTTTAAACTTCTTTATATCTCTATGACATTATCTCCTTCTAAGACCTTCTTCTCAATTGACCCGAAACATTCATATGATTGGTGGCCAGAGAAATATCGATCAAGATTATTGCTATTTACTCCCCGATGTTTAAAATAGGACTTTGAAGCAAGACAATAAGCTTAAAAGCCAAGCTGTTTAGGGTAGAGAATTTTCTAAATTCCTTTTCTTTTTTTTCTTAAAGGCTGAAGAAGACTCAGATTTCTGACACAATGGTAACACCTATCCCTTCTGCCTGTGACTGCCAGGGCTTGCTGTATGATGATAAGAAGAGAATGTGACACAGAGGAAGGGGAAAAAGTCCATCCCTCTGGTAGTAGGGGGTTGTGGAATGGGAGGGAAAAAGGGAGAAGGAGAAGTAGAAAATACTCATATCTAAATGTCTTCATGTCTTCTGCTTGACTTTAGCCAGGAATGAGTGTTAGGAAAGAGGGGATGCTCTAGAAGAGGAAGCTATGGAGTCTTATTTGGGTCTATGTAAATAGCCCAACCACAGGCCCTTCTGCCCAATCTAGGGCAGACCCATACCAGAGTTTAACGTGGCAACAAAGTGTGGTTAGACAGAAGTTAGGCATGGAGTTTAGCTTTTCAAGGCAGCTTTCCATCACTACAAGGCCAAGGCAGAAATTAAATATCTCATTTCCTTTTTGCAGGGTAGAGCAAGCAGGGCAAAGGGGAATGACTGAGCAATCAGGTGACTTGAGAGCCAAATAACATTCCCATTCACAGGGTCTGAATTGGTGAAATGTATCAAGATCTTCAGCTTGAGATGGACCATCAGAGCAGGAGGCCAGAAGAGAGACATGGGGTTTGTTGTGATAACTAGAGCTAAAGTGAGCTAAGTGATCAGTAGAGCAACACTGGGCTCTGGCCAACCAAAATAAACCAGACCATGAGCTCCACCAGATAAGGCCCTCTGCTACAAGTACAGTAGGTGAGCAGCACCCAGGCAGAGAGAGGCATTGTCAGGAAGACTGAAGGAAAGAGGAGCATCACAAGTGATGAGGAGCTGATCTTCACCTAGGCAAGGAGGTGGGAAAGTCTTCCTTCCCCCAGATGCCCTGGGAGAGAATTGGGGAACAGGAAGACTCTGGGAAACTGAGCATTTCTTTTTATCAAAAGATAAAGAGCACAAGGATTATTTACATCATTGTAATAACCTACATTTTTTAGGCATAATTTTAGAAACATATCTTGGCTGCATATATGTGAGATTGCTTACATTTTTAAACATTACAATTGCTTATTAAATAAAAGAAGGACCCAAATAAGAAAGAAGAGAAAAAATAAGCAAGATGCTTAAAATGACTTATCTCCTTCAACAGTAGAGTTCTCCAGCAAGAGAAATACTAAAACCTAAGCTGTTGCTTTAGCACTAAGATTAAGGTTCCTTCCCAAGTGTTAGTCCCAGTAAAGAAGGGTATGAGAAAAAATTGTGAAGTGCATGCAATTTGTTGTTACTTCTTTCATGATTCAACATTCTACTAAGCTACCTGATTTACCCTGGTTTTGTTGTTGTTATTGTTGTTTTTAGCCATTACAAATACTTTGCTCTCAGGGAAGACTCAGATATTAATTATAAATCTCAGGGTGAGTTTATTAATGCTAAATGATGAACAGTGTTATATTGAAAGATATTTCAAAAACAACCAAATCTAGTTTCCATAGCAACTATTTTGTATATGGAAGAGACACAGAAATTAAAGAAAAAAGACCTACCACTTACTGTGTGACCTTGACCTCTTTGATAATGTTTCTTCATTTGTGAAATAATGAAAAACTAATCATTACTCTACCAACTCTCTTCCTTTTTATGAAGATTGAAACCACATTAGTGAAAGTGCTTTGTGGTCTTTGAAGAATATAGTTATAATTGTTATGTCAAAGACCAAAAGAGATATTCAGGACTCAAGGCAGGCCTTCAGGGTTTCCCTGAGATAGCACTGTGGGCATTGTTTCATGATCTTTTACTATATGAGAAGTAGAGAAAGGAAGAGAGTTCTAAATGTTCATATACTGTGGTCATAAAATGCTTAAATTACTCCCTCCTAATCCACTTCTAAGATAAATATTGGTGAGGAGCCAGGATAGGCACTTTTTTTGTTATTTACAATCGTGGGGAAGGAGTTGAGTTGAAATCAAAGCCTTTAGTAATTTAATATAATGGTGTATAGGATCTGAGTGCCCTACTGCCTCCTAGCAATAAAAAGTTTGACTTCTAGAGTCAAGAACTTCTGTTTTTGCTAGTCTCCCCAAAATTGTCACTCTGTGAATATACACATTTTCTGTTCACAGTAGTAGGGATGTGGATTTTTTGCTTATCATGCTAGTTACTCCCTTGAAAAACTGAGTGGTATTTATATGATTGATAAGCTTATATACCACATAAAACCCATGCTCCAGCTTGAACAGTTATGGATGGGTAATGATATGTCTTGGTTTGCTGAAAATATAATTACAAAGTAATTATTAATGACTTACCTTTCAGTCTCAAAAATGTTCCAGTTCCAACAATTAATTATATAATCATTTTACTTATACCTATATGCGAACCAGAATTGGGACACATGGGCACCCTCGATAAAACCCAGATTTAATCAACTGCAAAAATCTTCCTCAGAAAAAGAAAAATTCAAAGTTTCAAGAACTAGAACTTCATGTTAATTTTTAACGAATAGCTCTGACGTTGGTGACCTATTTCAGAAATATTGTAGCAATTTAAAAGAGTAATACAGAATAACAACTTTTGCTACTTTGTGGATCATACAAGCTAGTATAAGATTAGAAAGAGAAAAGATCAGTGTAATTGATTTGATAGAATCATAAAAATTACTCTTAGCAGAATTAGGGTGAATGAAGTCTATCTTCGATAACTAGATAATATTTAAATAGTAATCATTTCAGACATTTTGAGTGTCATTTTGTAAAACTGGGTCCATCTTGATGAAGGTTCCAAGTCATTTGAAAAGAATATATATCATTTCATCATTGAATATAATCTTCAGTTAACGTCAATTAGCTCAAGTTGGTTGGTAATGTTGTATTATTCAGGTCTAGTATATCCTCATTAATTTTCTTTCTACTTCTTCTATCAAGTACCGACAGAAGATATGAGAGTGTTGAATTCACTCTCATGGTATGAGACATGAGAGTGTTGAATTCATTCTCACGGTGTTGAATTCATTTGATAGAATTCAGTACTTCTATCAAGTACTGATATGAGAGTGTTCAATGAACTCTATCACCCTGCAGTGATATAGAACAATATAACTTATTCCGCCTATCTAGCTGTAATTTTGTATCCATTAATCAACCTCTCCCTATATCCCATTTTCCCCAACCCTTACCAGCCTCTAGTGAGCATTCTACTCTCCATTTTTATGAGATCAACTTATTTAGCTTCCAAAAATGAGTGAGAATATGCGATATTTATCATTTTGTATCTGGCTTATTTCACTTCATATAATATTCTTCAAACTCCTCCATGATGCCACAAATGACAGGACTCTTTTTTTAGCTTAGAGTCTATTTTATCTGATGTAAGTTTAGCTACTGATCACTTTTGGTTTTCCATTGCATGGAATATCTTTTTCCACCCCTTAACTTTAAATCTATGTGTGTTTTTAAAGGTGAAGTGAGTTTTTTATAGGAAGCATATAGTTGGGTGTTGTTTTTTTAATCCATTCATTTCAAAAAATCCATCCTTTTTTTAATCCAAATGGTTTTTTAAGCCATTTTATATCTTTTAATTGGGGAATTTAACCCATTTATATTCAAGGTTACTATTGATAGCTGAGGTCTTACTCCTCTCAATTTGTTAATTGCTTTCTTATTGTTTTGTGAATCCTTTCTTTCTTCCTCTAGTATTGTATATCCTTTTGGTTGGATGTATTTCTGTAGTGGTAAGTTAGATACCTTTCTTCTGCTCATTAGTGTATCCATTCTACCAGTGAGTTTTATATTCTCATCTGTGTTCTTATCCTTTCACTTCCAGATGTGGGATTCCCTGAAGTATTTCTTGTAAGATCTGTCTAGTGGTGATACATTTCCTGTTTTTGCTTGTCCAGGAAATACTTTATTTAGCCTTCATTTTTAAAGAATAGCTTTTCTGGGGGTAGTATTCTTGGCCAGCAAAGGTTTTTTCAGCACCTTGAATATGTTGTCCCATCCTCTCCTGGTGTGCAAGTTTTCTGCTGAGAAACAGTTGTTAGTCTAATGGAGATTTACTTATATGTGACTTAAGGCTTTTCTCTATTTTTAAAATTCTTTCTTTGTCTTTGCCTTTTGACAGTAAAATCCCAATAGGCCTTGGAGAGGAGCTTTTTGGATTAAGTATATTTGGAGACTTTGAGAGCTAGATATCCTAGATAACATGGATCTAGATATCCATTTCTCTCTGAAGACATGGGAAGTTTTCAGCTGTTATTTTCTTAAATATGGTCACTATGCCTCTTCTCATTTCTTCTACTTCTGCAACTCTCAGATTCATATATTTCATTAAAGCTACTTAATGGTGTCCCATAAATCCTATAGGCTTTGTGAAAGAAAAATAAACCTTGGGACCCTAAAATCCCTAAGCCAGAAGGAAAAGTCAATCTGGGAACTGCAAGGGCAAACATACCTTTCATTCTACTCCTAAATAAGATAGCTACATTTTTTTTTAAAGCTACATACCTCCCTCACAATTTGCCCATAAGGAAATTCCTTGCGAACAAAGGACAGATAGAACTCAAAGTCATCCCTCTGCTCATGTGGGACAAATGCCTATCTGATTGCTTCCTTTCCCTATTGTTTCACTAAGCCAGACTAAGGCATAAGTGACTATTCATGTAAATTGTGTATTTAGTAAAAGACTAATCAGAAACTCAAAATAACGCATCTATTTGTCTTTTATCTACTTATGACCTGGAAGCCGCCTCCCTGCTTCAAGTTGTCCTGCCTTTCCCGACGGAACCAATGTACATCTTACATATACTGATTGATATCTCATGTCTCCCTAAAATGTATAAAACCAAGCTGTGCCCTGACAACCTTGGGCAATGTCATCAGGCCCTCCTGAGGCTGTGTCATAGGCATGTCCTTAACCTTAGCAAAATAAACTTTCTAAATTGATTAAGACTTGTCTCAGATGCTCTTGGTTTACAACTTCTTCATTCTTTCTTATTTATTATTTTTTCTGACTGTATTATTTCTAAAGACTTGGCTTCAAGTTCAGAAATTCTCTCTTCTGCTCAACCTAGTCTATTGTTGAAGCTGTGATTGTATTTTTCATTTTATTCCTGAAATTATTTAGCCCAACTTTTTGAGTTTTGGGGGCTTTGTTTGTTTGTTTGTTTTTGAGATGGAGTCTCACTCTATTGCCCAGGCTGAAGTGTGGTGGTACGATCTTGGCTCACTGCAACCTCTGCCTCCTAGGTTCAAGTGATTCTCCTACCTCAGCCTCCTGAGTCACTAGGATTACAGGCATGCACCACCACACCTGGCTACTTTTTGTATTTTTAGTACAGAGGGCGTTTCTCCATGTTGGCCAGGCTGGTCTCGAACTCCAGACCTCAAGTGATCTGCCCACTTCAGCCTCCCAAAGTGCTGGGATAAAATTAACTTTTTAACTACAGTACTGGTTTGCTTGTGGGCTTGTTTATAATTTGTCCCAATGAACATTGTATATTAGAATATAATAATGTAAAATATAAAGAAAACTAAATATTTTAATTCCCAATATTCACATGTAATTGTAATATAACTTAGTTACTGTCATTCTTGTTTCCATTAAAAAGAAAGCCTTGGGCAATATTTTCAAAATAAAACAAACTATTAATAGCTGTCTCTAAAACCTTGATAAGCTTTTTAAGGACTCTGTACAAGATGCACGTTAGAAACAGATATAGAAATGTTACTTTCTTACTTCACTATTAAAAGGGTGAAATCAGCGGGTGCAGTAGCTCACTCTTGTAATCCCAGCACTTTGAAAGGCCAAGGAGGTGGGGTGGATCACCTGAAGTCAGGAGTTTGAGACCATCCTGACCAATATGATGAAACCCCATCTCTACTAAAAATACAAAAATTAGCAGGACGTGGTGGCATGTGCCTGGAATCCCAGCTACTCGGGAGGCTGAGACAGGAGAATTGCTTGAACCCGGGAGGCGGAGGTTGCAGTGAGCCGAGATTGTGCCATTGCACTCCAGCCTGGGCAACAAGAGCGAAACTCTGTCAAAAAAAAAAAAAAAAAAGTGAAATCAAGGTGCTAAAAGGCAGCACCCCCTCTAGTGGCTCTGGGAGATAGCCTGATGATCTAAAACAGATGGCAATTCAAAGAAGCTGAATAGTTGGAAACAAACCTAAAAACATATGTGAATTATTTGACAGATTGTTCTCTTTAACTGATGATCATGTTATTGTAGAGTTTAAAGTATTCTGGTTTATATATTTAAAAGATTAAAATAATCAGACTTTCTGGGTTAACCTGAATAGTCATAAATTTTTGCCATTCCCTCCAAGTGGTTTGTTGTCTTGGCTTCTATCTCATATTGCATTTATAGGTTCTCTTTGGGAATCTTTGCCCCCATCCTGTTCCCAGAATTCTGGAAGGTAGGCAAATATTGTCTCTTCTGTGGTAAATTCCAAACATAAAGGGCTTAAATATTGAGACATTGTGGATTCTCCAAGTAAACCTCCCAGATACCCTATAATGTATCTAGCAGTGGATAAACACCATTTATGTGCTCAGAAATTCTAAAGCAGTCTTAGATGACCACCTGTATTAGTCAGCTCTCACACTACTAATAAAGACATACCTGAGACTGGGTAATTTATAAAGAAAAAGAGGTTTAACGGACTCACAGTTCCACCTGTCTGGGAGGCCTCACAATCATGGTGGAAGGCAAGTAGGAGAAAGGCACGTCTCACATGGCAGCAGGCAAGAGGGAAATGAGAGCCAAGTGAAAGGGGAAACCCCTTATAAAACCATCAGATCTCATGAGACTTATTCACTACCAGGAGAACAGCATGGAGAAAACTGCTCCCATGATTCAGTTATCTCCTACCCATGATTCGGTTATCCCCTACCTTATCCCTTCCACAACATATGAAAATTATGAAAGCTAAAATTCAAGATGAGATGGTAGGGACACAGCCAAACCATATCACCATCTAACAATATGAAAATTTTATATATGTGAATACAATTTATATATAAATGTATAGTCTTTGTACACATATATACATATGCATACATATATATGCATTCAGAGAAACAAGAAGATGTATTTTCATGAAACAAAACAGCAGGTTATTTCATGTAAAATGCAGAAAACAAAGATGAGCTATTCACAATGATAGGAATTGTAGCATAAATTAAAAACTCAATAGAAATGATGGAAGAAAAATTCAGGAAATTTCCCAGAAAGTAGAACAAAACACAAGAGATATAAAAAAAGAGAAGGGGAAAAACAAGAAAATGAAGAATACCAAATCAAGACATTCAATATCTGAGTAGTAGAAGTTTCAAAATGAATGAATAGATAAAGCAGGGTGGGAGGGGCAGGGAGGGAAGATCATTAATATGACAACTTAAGTAAATATTTTAGAACTGAAGAAAGACAGTTTTCTTAAATCACTGAATGCCAATGAAATGGACAAAAATAGACCCACTCAAAACAGATCATTATAAAATTTCATATTACTAAGGATAAATGAAATATTTTACAAGCTTCCAAAGGCAATAGGAGGACAAAGAGGAAAAGGGATAAAGGAAGAAGGATAGGGCTGAAGTGATGTGGCCACAAGCCAAGGAATGCCAGCAGCCATAGGATCTGAAAGAGGCAAGGGACAGGTTCTCTCCCAGAGCCTCCAGAAGGAGTGCTGCCCTGCCAACATCTTGATGTCAGCCCTTGATACTGATTTCAGACTTCTGGCCTCCAGAACTGTGAGAGAATAAACTTCCATTGTTTTAAGCCACATACTTTGTAACAATTTGTTAGAGCAGTCACAGGAAACCAACAGAGCAGGTGTGCCCCAGATGTATAGCACACAGGATGTATTAGCACAAGTCAACATTGAAATACAAGAAGGTGGCTGGGTGCGGTGGCTCATTCTTATAATCCCAGCACTTTGGGAGACCGAGATGGGCGGATCACGTGGTCAAGAGATTGAGACCATCCTGGCCAACATGGTGAAACCACATCTCTACTAAAAATACAACTGGGCCTGGTGGCATGCACCTGTAATCCCAACTACTTGGGAAGCTGAGGCAGGAGAATCACTTGAACCCGGGAGGCGAAGGTTGTAGTGAGCCAAGATTGTGCCACTGCACTCCAGCCTGGCAACAGAGTAAGTAAGACTCTGTCTCAAAAAAAAAAAAAAAAAATTGCAGGATTAGAAATACAAGAAGGTTATAGAACACCAAGCAGATTTAACAGAAGACTACCTCAAGGCATTTAATAATCAAACTCCCAAAGGTCAAGGATAAAGAAAGAATCCAAAAGCAACAAGAGAAAAGTAACAAATAGCATACAATGGTGCTCAAATATGTTTGGCAGCAGACTTTTCAGTCGAAACAGGAGAGAGTGGTATGACACATTTAAAGTGCTGAAGGAAAAAAACTTCTACCCTAGAATAATATATCCAACAAAAATACTCTTTAAACATGAACGAGAAATAAAAACCTTCCCAGACAACAAAAGCTGGGGGATTTCATCAGCACCAGACCTGTCCTGCAAGAAATAATAAAGGAAGTTTTGAAATCTGAAAGAAAAGTGTGTTAATGAGCAAGAAGAAATCATCTGAAGGTACAGAACTCACTGATAATAGTAAGCACACAGAAAAACACAGAATAACATAACACTGTAATTGTGGGGTGTAAACTCTTGACATAAGTAGAAAGACTAGATGATAAACCTATCAAAAATAATAACTTCAACAAATTTTCAAGTCATAGTACAAGAAAGACATAAAAAGAAACAATGAAAAGTTAAAAAGTTGGGGGGCAAAATTAAGTGCAGACTTTCTATTAGTATTTTGCATGTTTATTTGTTTATGCATCAGTGTTACATTGTCATCAGTTTAAAATAATGGGTTATAAGGCTGGGTGTGGTGGATCACGCCTGTAATTCCAGCACTTTGGGAGGCTGAGAAAGGTGGATTGTGAGGTCAGGAGTTCAAGACCAGCCTGGCCAAGATGCTGAAACCCCGTCTCTACTAAAAATACAAAAATTAGCCGGACATGGTGGCACACACCAGTAATCCCAGCTATTCAGGAGGCTGAGGCAGGAGAATCACTTGAACCCAGGTGGCAGAAGTTGCAGTGAGCCGAGATCACACCACTGCACTCCAGTCTGAGTGACAGAGCAAGAATCTGCCTCAAAAAAAAAAGGGGGTTATAAGATGATAGTATTTGCAAGTCTCATGGTAACTTTGAATTAAAAAACACACAGTGGTACATTAAAAATAAAAAGCAAAAAATTAAAGCATACCACTAGAAAAAAAACACCTTAACTAAAAGGAAGACAAAAAAGAAGGAAAGAAAGACCAGAAAACAAATAACAAAATAGTGAAGGAACCCCTTACTTATCAATAATAACATTGAATGTGAGTGGACCAAACTCTCCAATGAAAAGACATAGAGTGGCTGAATGGATGAAAAAAACAAGACCCAATGACCTATTGCCTACAAAAAACACACTTTACCTAGAAATATACACAAAGACTGAAAATAATGAGATGGAAAAAGATATCCCATACAGTGGAAACCAAAAAAGAGCATCAGTAGCTATACTTATTAGACAAAATAGATTTCAAGACAAAAACTGTAAGAAGAGACAGAAAAGGTCACCATATATTGACAAAGGGGTCAATTCAGCAAGAGGGTATAACAATTGTAAATATGCACCCAACACTGGAGCAACCAGATATATAAAGCAAATATATGGAACCAAAGAGATAGACCCCAATACATTAGTAGCTGGAGACTCTAACACCCCACTTTCAGCATTGGACAAAACTCCCAAACAGAAAACCAAAAAAGCAACATCAGACTTATACTGCACTGTAGAACAAATGAACCTAATAGATATTTACATAACATTTTATCCAATGGCTGCAGAATACACATTTTTCTCTTTAGCACATGGATCACTCTCAAGGGTAGACCATATGTTAGGTCACAAAACAAGTCAAAACATTCAAAAAATTAAAGTAATATTAAGCATCTTCTCTGCAACAATGAAATAAAACTAGAAATCAATAGCAAGAGGAATTTTTAAAACTATACAAATATATGGAAATTAAACAATATGCTCCTGAATGACCAGTATGTCAATAAAGAAATTAAGAAGGAAATTGAAAAATTTCTTTAAACAAATGATAATAGAAACACAACATACCAAAATCTATGGAATACAGTGAAAGCAGTAGAAGAAAAACTTCAAATAAATCATCTAATTATGCATCTTAAAGAACTATACAAACAAGAGCAAAACAAACTCAAAATTAGTAGAAGAAAATAAATAATAAAGATCAGAGCATAAAATAATTTTAAATGAAGAAAACAATACATAAGATAAATGAAACAAAAAGTTGATTTTTTTGAAAAGGTAAACAAAATTGACAAATCTTTAGACTAAGAAAAAGCAAAAGAAGACTCAAATAAATAAAATCAGAGATGAATAAAAAGACATTACTGCTGAGACCAGCTTGGTCATGGAGACCTTAACCCAGCAGCACTAGAGGAATTAAGGACACACGCACAAATACAGCATCTGGAGTGGGAAATCAGAGGAATCACAGTCTTCAGACCTGAGAGTCCCAAACAGAGTTTGACCCACATATTTACTGACAGCAAGCCAGTGATAAGCATTATTTCTATAGATTATAGATTAACTAAAAGTATTCCTTATGGGAAATAAAGGGATGAGCCAAAACAAAGGGATGCACTCTGGCTAGTTATCTGCAGCAGGAACATGTCCTTAAGGCACAGATCGCTCATGCTTTGTTTGTGGTTTAGGAATGCCTTAAGTGGTTTTCCACCCTGGGTGGGCCAGGTGTTCCTTGCCCTCATTCCGGTAAACCCACAACCTTCAGCTTGGGCATCATGGCCATCATGAACATGTCACAGTGCTACAGAGATTTTTTTTATGGACAGTTTTGGGCCTGGTTTATGGACAGATTTGGGGGCCTGTTCCCAACATGTCCCCCTTTTCTGTTTTGCAAAGCAATAAAAGCAAAGGCAGCTTTGTCATGGTGAGCTACTTCTTCCAGGAGTTGGGATCCACATCTGCAGACTATATAAAGACAAACAACACAGATTAAAAGCACAATCATCATTGAAATCACAGAGCTTCCAAGTGTTTTTATCCATTTTAATGGGTTACTAGCTGCTAATCTGTCTGTAGCTCATTCAGGCACTCCAGTTCCTGGCATTAAGGTCAGGTGTGCCTGGGATGCTTTAAGTATTTGTTCTTTTAATCTTGCAATATCCAAAGACAAGTTCCTTATGTTTAGGTCCTACAGTGGGCCATATCATTTGAGGTTGAGGTGCCACTATACCATCATGTTTCCAGAAAAATAGGAACTCTTGCCATATTTCTTACTATTTCTACCATCCAACTGTTTTGTTTAGACCAGGTGAACATAGTGTGGCTGTGACACACAGACTGAGAGGTGTAATTCAAACTAAACATCCCCTTAGGGGACCAATCAATAATAATTCCATAGGAATCATTACACAGCACCTCTGCCTGTTCTGCAATGCAATCTTCCCAAACAGGTACGTTCATTAATTCTGGCCAGGTCCAATTCTGTTTACAAATAAGTTTTTGAGGGCAGTATGCCTCAATTATAGGAGCAGATTTATTACGGTAAATACTGAGATCAGAAAGCATGTGTAACTGTGTCATAGGGTGACTACATCCAGGCCATTATTGCCAGCCAAGATTGATAAATATGCCTAATAAGTATAATTGTTCTCTGTGTCAGCCCTTGTTGAAGGAATACTCATGGCAATGGTGATCACTGCTATCATAGCTATCACTAAATTACTCATTGTGACTGGTTGTCCCATTTTCCATGGTTTTCTTCTGCCATCTGTGACAGCTTCTTGATCTGTCTCCAGGTAGATGGCTGTGTTCCACGGGTGTTGCTTGTGACAGTTGGGGTCCTCCTCAGCATCAGTCTCAATGTGGCTGCAACCAAGGGGTCCTTGCGGTCCTCCCAGAATCTCTTCCTCAGCATCTGGCTCATGATAAGGCTTCAGGTGTACTGATGGTAACCAAATCGGCTGCTGGTTCTGGCCTGGAGAAACACAAGCATAACCTCTACCTCAAGTTATCATTTTACCTATTTCCCAACTTTTTGTTATTGGATCTCTCCACCAAACCAGTTGTTCCGCTTCTGTCTTTGCAGCTGGTTTCTGTAGATGCTGTTCAGCTGCTGATAGCATCTGGCCTTTAGGCAGGCTCAAAAAATTTAAAGTCAATAATGCTAGATTCAGTTAAATATGGGGTGTCCCATAGTCCCTGTTTCTCCCCTTTTGCTTTTACAACTGCTGTTTCAGGGAGAGATTCATTCTTTCTACTCTGGCTTGTCCTTGAGAATTATATGGGATGCCAGTAATGTGTTTAATATTCCATATAGAGAAAAATGTAGCTAGATCTTGGCTAGTATAGCCTGGGGAATTATCTGTTTTAATGGAAGCTGGAATGCCCATCTCCACAAAACACTGCAAAAGGTGGCATTTAACACAGGCAGAAGACTTTCCTGATTGGTATGTAGCCCAAAGTGAGAAAAGGTGTCCACACATACATGTACATAAGCTAGTCTCTCAAATAAGGGAACATGTGTGACATCCATCTGCCAAAGAGAATTAGGTTCCAATTCTCGAGGATTAACTCCTCCTGTAAAAGATGAGGAATGCACTATTTGGCAAGTTGGACATCACTGGATAATAGCTTTAGCTTCTTTCCAGGTAATGCTGTATCTGAGTTTGAGACCAGAGGCATTAACATGTGTTAAATTGTGAAAGTGTCTGGCATTAGATATTGCAGTAGCAACTAGGTGATCAGCCATTTGATTCACTGCAGTCAAAGGTCCTGGAAGAGGTGTATGAGCCCTAATGTGAGTGACATAAAAAGGGTGCATTCTACTCCTGACTCCTGTTTGCAATTGGGTAAATAAAGTCATCAGTTGTTCATCTGTATGAAATCATAACTCAGCATTTTCAATTAATTGTGTGGAATGAACCACATATGAAGAATCAGAAATCACATTAATAGGCATATCAAAAGCAGTCAATACCTCGATTACAGCTACAAGCTCTGCTTTTGAGCTGAAGTAGAGGGCGTCTGGAAAATTTTACCTTTTGAGCCAGAATAAGAAGCTTTACCATTACTAGACCCACCAGTAAAAACATTCTCAGCACCTTCAATTGGTTTGAATTTAGTTATTTTAGGGAGAATCCAATTAGTTAATTTCAAAAATTGAAACAGTTTCATTTTAGGAAAATGATTATTGAGAATACCCACAAAGTCAGCTAAATGGGTTTGCCAAGTAAGACTATTTATAAAGGCTTGCTGTATTTGTGCCTTCATGAGAGGGACAATATTTTTTCCAGGATCATATCCATGTAATTTAACAATCTGAGTTCACCCATTTCCTATCATAGTAGCAATTTGATCCAAATAAGGAGTCAAAGTCCCTGAATTAGTATGTGGAAGAGAAAGACACTGTACAAGATCTTGCTCTTGAACAATAACATCAGTAGGTGAATGCTGAGTTGAAAAAATTTGCAAATCTAGAGTCTTCTCTGGATCTATTCTATTGATTTGAGCTTTATGGACTTGCTTTTTGATGACTTGCAGCTCTGCCTCAGCTTCTTTTGTTAACTGCTGAGGGCTAGTGAGACTAGGATCTCCTCTAAGGATAGAAAATAGATTACTCAGGTAGGAATGCCTAGGGCAGGTCATGTCCAATTAATTTCTCCTAGTAATTTTTGAAAGTCATTTAATGTTTTCAATTGATCCCTACATATGGTTACTTTCTGTGGCACAATGGTGGTATCATTTACTAAGGTCCCCAAGAAAGAAGTAAGGAGTAGTAGTCTGAATTCTGTCAGGAGCTATAATTAAACCAGCATGAGAAATTAAGTTTTGCAAGAGATCATAACATTGGATTAATATTTCTCAAGTGATGGCAGCACAAAGTATATCATCCATATAATGAATAATGTAACACTGTGAAAATTTTTTACTAGTAGGTTCAATTGCTTGCCCTACATAAGTCTGGCAAATTGTTGGACTGTTTAACATGCCTTGTGGCAACACTTTCCAGTGAAAATGCTTAGCAGGCTGCAGGTTGTTTACTGCAGGAATTGTAAATGCAAACCATTCACAGTCTTGCCCAGCTAAGGGGATAGTAAAGAGTCTTTTAAATCTATGACTATTAAAGGCCAATTTTTCAGAATCATAGCAAAAGAAGGCAGTCCTGGATGCAATGTCCCCATAGGTTGTATAACTGAATTAATGGCTCTTAAGTCAGTTAACATTTTCCATTTACCTGATTTTTTCTTAATTACAAAAACTGGAGATTTCCAAGGGGAAAATGTTGGAGCTATGTGTCCTTTTTCTACTTGTTCAGTAACTAAGTCCTCTAAAGCCTCCAGTTTCTCTTTATTCAGCGACCATTGTTTTATCAGATAATTGGCTTATCTGTTAACCCTTTTAAAGGTATAGGTTCTGGAGGCTTAACAATGGCTGCCATCAAAAATGATATCCTAAATCTTGGCAAGAAGTTTGTCTTCCCACTTGAAGGGCTTCCTTCAAACCTTGCAAATTTTTTCCTAGTCCCATACCAGGGACATACCCCATTGCATGCATCATATGTTGACTTTGAGGGCTATATAATTGTTCTGGAATTAGAACTTGTGCTCCCCATTTTTGTAATAAATCCTTTCCCCATAGATTTATAGGTACAGAAGTCATAATTGGTTGAATAGTCCCAGGTTTTCCATCGGGCCCTTCACAATGCAAAATATAACTACTTTGATATACTTCAGGGACTTTACCAACTCCAACTATGTTAAATTGAGGGGGTTGAATTGGCCACATGGACAGCCAGTGCTGTAGAGAAATGATTGAAATGTCTGCTCCTGTATCTACCAAACCTTTACATTTCTTTCCCTGAATAGTTATTTTACAGGTAGGGTGTTTATCAGTAATTTGATTCACCCAAAGCTGCTTTGCCTTGTTTATTTGTGCTTCCAAATCCTCCTGTTCATTTAATTTCACTTTTCCCCATTTCCACATATGGCACAATCAGGAGCTGTGCTATACACTCTCCTGGCTCTGCTTTCCAGGGAACAGAAGTAGATATAAAAATTTCAATTTCCCTATTGTAATCTGAATCAATGACTCTGATATGTACTTGCACTCCTTTTAAATTTAAACTAGATCTACCTAGAAGTAATCCTATCATCCCCATTGGCAAGGGTCCACAGACCCGTGTTGGAACTTTTTGTGGGGGTCACAGGCAGAAGGCTCACAACTTTTGTGCAGCATAAATCTACTGCGGCACTACCGGCTGTGGCAGGGGACAGGAATTGTACAGGGGTGAGGGAAGGGCCTGAGCTGGAAATGCTCTGGTTTGGAACGGGGCCCAGGACTGGCCCCTCATGGCATTTCCCAAATTTAAAAGGAAAAGGCTCAAATGTAGCTATAATATTTCCCTGTTGATCTGGGGGGTGTATGCTAACAGGGAACTGCCAAGCCTGTATATCACCTTCTCATATAGCTTACTGGATTCCTGCCAGAATAGAACTGAGAGCAGTCACTTGAGGTACTGCTCAGTCACTGGGGCAAATACTTTTCACCCAGTGTCCTCCAGAAAAGAAAGATCTGGAGGGTCAGGCCACTCTTTTTCTTCAAAATAATGGGGGGGTGCCGAAGGGTAGGGATGAACCTCTTCCTCCTTTGCCACTTTAGCTTTAGCTGGCAAACAAACCTGCTCTGTCACCTCTTCTGTTACTTTGTTATACTTTCCTTCCTCCTCATCATCAGTGTGAAAAGGTTCCAAGGTGGAAAGAACCAGAGCCCACACTTGTCCCATTGTTACCCTGATGCTTCCGAGCTCCCCTTCTTACTCACCATGGGGACTGCTTAAGAGTACTCAGGTGTCCTCCAGTTTAGTTCCACATTCTCCAACCATTGCTCCAGTGACCATTCGACCTAGGTTCGAGCCCCCACATTGGGCACCGCTTGCCAAGACCAGCTCGGTCATGGAGCTAACCCAGTGGTGCTAGGGGAATTAAAGACACACACACAGAAATATAGAGGTGTGGAGTGGGAAATCAGGGGACTCACAGCCTTCAGACCCGAGAGCCCTGAACAGAGTTTGACCAACATATTTATTGACAGCAAGCCAGTGATAAGCATTATTTCTATAGATTATAGATTAACTAAAAGTATTCCTTACAGGAAACAAAGGGATGGGCTGAAACAAAGGGATGGGCTCTGGCTAGTTATCTGCAGCAGAAACATGTCCTTAAGGCACAGATCACTCGTGCTATTGTGTGTGGTTTAGGAATACCTTTAAGCAGTTTTCTGCCCTGGGTGGGCCAGGTGTTCCTTGCTCTTATTCTAGTAAACCCACAACCTTCAGCGTGGGTGTCATGGCCATCACGAACATGTCACAGTGCTGCAAAGATTTTGTTTATGGCCAGTTTGGGGACCAGTTTATGGCCAGATTTGGGGGCTTGTTCCCAACACATTACAACTGATACAACAGAAATTCAAATGATCATTATTAGGTACCATATGTTGATATACTGGAAAATATAGAAGAAATGGATAAATTTCTAGGAACATAAAACATGCCAAAATTGAACCAAGAGGAAATCCAAAACCTGAACAGGTCAATAAAAAGTAATGAGATTGAAGACATAATAAAAGATCTCCCAGTAAAGAAGAGCCTGGGACCCAACGGCTTCACTGCTAAACTCTACCAAACATTTAAAGAACTAATACTAATCCTACTCAAACTGTTCCAAAAAACAGAGGAGGAGGAAATACTTCCAAACTGATTCAATGAGGCTAGTATTACTCTAATACCAAAACAAGACAAAGGCATGTTAAAATAAATAAATAAAAACTACAAGCTAACATCTGTGATGAATATTGATGCAAAAATTGTCAACAAAATACTAGCAAGTGAAATTCAACAATATATTATAAAGATCATTCATCATGACCAAGTGGGATTTACTCCAGGAATGCAAGAATGGTTCAACATATGCAAATCAGTCAATGTGATACTTCATATCAACAGAATGAAGGACAAAAACCATATATTTCAATGGATGCTGAAAACTCTTTTGATAAAGATCTACATCTTTCAGGATTAAGAAAAAAACCTCAGAAAACTGGGTATAAAAGGAGCATACCTCAACATAATAAAAGCCATATATGACAGACCCCCAGCTAGTGTTATACTTTATGGGGAAAAACTGAAAGATTTTCCTCTTAAATCTGGAACACGACAAGGATGCCCACTTTCACCACTGTTATCCAACATAATACTGGAATTCTTAGCAAGAGCAATCAGGCAAGAGAAAGAAATAAGGAGAATCCAAATTGAAAAAGAAGTCAAATTTTCCTATTGGCAGATGATATAATCTTATATTTGGGAAAACCAAAAGACTCCCCCAAAAAACTACTCAAACTGATAAACAAATTCAGTAAACTTTTAGGACACAAAATCAATGTACAAAAATCAGTAGCATTTCTAAATATCAACAGTGAGCAATCTGAAAAGGAAATCAAAAAAGTAATTCCATTTATAGCCACCACAAATAAAATTAAATACCTAGGTATCAACCAGAGAAGTGAAAAATCTTCACAATGAAAACTATAAAATATTGATTAAAAAAATTGAAGAGGACACAAAAAATGGAAAGATATTCCATGTTCACGGATTGGAAGAATCAACATTATTAAAATGTCCATGCTACACAAAGCAATCTACAGAGTCAATGCAATCCCTGTCAAAATACCAATGACTTTCTTCACAGAAATAGAAAAAGAATCCTAAAATTTATATGGAATCACAAAATATTCAGAATAGCCAAAACTGTCCTGAGAAAAAGGAATAAAGCTGTAGGAATCACATGATCTGATTTCAAAATATACTACAAAGCTATAGTAACAAAAACAGCATGATACTACCATAAAAACAGACACATAGACCAATAAAACAGCATGGAAAACCCAGAAAAAAATCTTCATACCTACAGTAAACTCGTTTTCAACAAAGGCACCAAGAACATACATTGAGGAAAAAAAGTCTTTTCAATAAATGGTGCTGGGAGAATTGAATATTCATATTCAGAAGAATGAAACTTGACCCCTATCTCTCACCATATACAAAAGTCAAATCAAAATGGATTAAAGGCTTAAAATCTAAGACCCTAAAGTATGAAACTACTACAAGAAAACATTGGGGAAGCTCTCCAGGACGTTGGTCTGGGCAAAAACTTCTTGAATAATACCCTATAAGCACAGGCAACCAAAACAAAAATGGACAAATGGGGTCACATCATGTTAAAAAAAAAACTTCAGCATAGCAAAGGAAACAATGAACAAAGTGAAGAGACAACTCACAGAATGGGAGAAAATATTTGAAGAAAAACCCATTTGACAAATAATTAATAACCAGAATATATAAAGAGCTCAAACAATTCTAGGAAAGAAATCTAATAATTCAATTTTAAAATGGGCTAAAGTTTTGAATAGCTATTTCTCACAAAAAGACAAACAAATGGCAAACATGCATATGATGACGATCATTGATCATCAGAGAAAGGCAAATCAAAGCTACAATGAGATATCATCCTATCCCCATTAAATAGGCTTTTTTTTTTTTCTGAGATGGAGTCTTGCTCCATCACCAGGCCAGAATGCAGTGGCACGATCTCTGCTCACTGAAACTTCCGCCTCTTGGGTTCAAGTGATTCCTCTACCTCAGCCTCTGAAGTAGCTGGGACTACAGGCATGCACCACCATGCCCAGCTAACTTTTTATATTTTAGTAGAGACGGGGTTTCACCATGTTGGCCAGGATGGTCTCAATCTCCTGACCTCATGGTCCACCTGCCTTGGCTTCCCAAAATTCTAGGGTTAGAGGCGTGAGCCACTGCACCCAGCCTAAAATGTCTTTTATGCAAAAGTCAGGCAATAACAAATGCTGGCGAGGATGTAGAGAAAAGGGAAACCTCATACACTGTTGGTAGGAATGGAAGCCAGTACGACCACTATGGAGAACATTTTGGAGGTTCCTCAAAAAAATTAAAAATATAGCTACCATGTTATCCTGCACTCCCACTGCTGGGTATATAACCCAAGGAAGGAAATCAGTATATTAAGGAGATATCTGCACTCCCATGTTTATTGCAGCACTGTTCACAAGAGCGAAAATTTGGAAGCAACCCAAGTATCTATCAACAGATGAATGGATGAAGAAAATGTGCTTCGTATACACAATGGAGTACTATTCATCCACGAAAAAGAATGAGATCCTGTCACTTGCAACAACATGGATGGAACTAGAAGTCATTATGTTAAATAAATAAACCAGGCAGAGAAAGACAAACATCACATGTTCTCACTTATTTTTGGGATCTGAAAATCAAAACAATTGAACTTACGGAGAGAGAGAATAGAAGGATGGTTACCAGAGGCCAGCAAGGGTAGTGAGAGGGATGGAGGAAAGTGAGGATGGTTAATGGGTACAAAAAAATAGTTAGAATAAATAAGACCTAGTATTTGACAGCATAACAGGGGGACTATAATCAATAATAATTATGCACTTTAAAATAACTAAAAGAGTATAATTAGATTGTAACACAGAGAATAAATACTTACGGGGATGGATACCTACTTTTCCATGATGTGATTTTTATGCATTGCATACCTATACAAAAATATCTCATGTACCCCATAAGTATATACATCTACTGGGTAGCCATGAAAATTAAAAATTAAGATTATTTTAGTGTTCAAAAAAAGAGTTGCTTGCATTCCAAAATTCACAAAATACAAAATGAATAAAAATTGTAGAACAAAGTTCATAGCATTGTGCAAATAAGTATATATGGCTGGGGATAACATTTTCAGTGACTATATTGTATAAGAATTCTAAAGATACTACATTTCACACACCTTGGAAGTGCTCTGGAAAACTTCTACTTGAAAGCCAATGCAGGGTGTGTAGAAAATTGCAGAGCAGAGCTATATCAAGTCTATAAGAGAAGAGAGCAACTGGGGCCCATTAGTCAGCTCCACTGGCTTCCCCTTGGTTGACTCTTCTGGATCTTTTCCTCTCTTTTCACATCCCTTAAACTAACTCACTCCACTGCTTTCTATATTAGCAAATTATAATCATTAAAAAGACATCAACTCAGATATGGAAAAAAACAAAAAAAGAAAGAATAAGAAAAAAGATAGAAAGTAAATCTATGTAAACACATGTTTACTTGAGGGTCTGCTTCTGGAACCACTGCTGGGGCCAAGAACTGTATCAATGTATCCAGTTAGGAAAGGGAAAGAAAATTCTTTCAAACAAAGGTGATTTAATACAGAAAGTTGGTTATTGATGTGTTGGAAGGTGAAAAAATTACAAAGGGCAAACTGAGGTCACCCAAAACATTAAGAACATTAAGCTCCTGAGGGAGGACAAAAAAAAAAAAAGTGGTACAGTTACCAGAACTAAAACCTCAGAGGAAAGGGTATAGCCCAGTGGCTGCTCAGAAGGCAAAGCTCATACTTACACTGCCAAGAGAGTGTGGCCCAGCTGTGGCTGATCCCTGTGAGAATAAGGCAAGGCTGGTGCCAAGAGGGCCTAAAACAGCTGACCCAACCATGTGACATGGAGTGACACTAGTGGGAATTGGAAAGTAAGTCCCTTCTCCCCTCCACTGCTTTCAAATCTCTCTAGTACCTCTCATTGGCAGAAACATTAGAAAAGCCAGATGTCAAGGTAGACTAGGAAATCAGATTTGGAGAATCACAGCACTGGCAGCATAGAACAAATTATAAAAGGATAAACTGTGAGACAATAGGTAAATAAACAACATTGCATTTTTGTTTACTTCAACTCCAGCCTACACTCATACTTGCTTCCCTCCAATGGCCACATATATGACATCTCCCTTTTAGAAAATGAAACTCCTCCCTCTGATCCTTCCCAGCACTGTTTCAAGAGGTTCTCCTTTCTCCAGCATCTTCAGACACCCCTGATCTTTCCTGACTGAGATACAATTCTAAGAGGTTTTCCCCAGAGTTCAATTTCCTAACTAAGGAATAATAATGATGATAAAAACAGCTAACAATTAAGTGGCACTTAATATATGCCAGGCACTGTTCTAAGTGCTTTATGTTTACTAACGCATTTAATCCTCAGATCAATCCTATGATGTAGGTACTAATCTGATTCCTTTTCACAGGTAAGGAAACCATAGCCCAGAACCAGGGCCCCAGATCTTTCCAGACTGCCATGATCTTGTGAAACAATAGGTAAATAAATAAACTGTGTGAGACAATAGGGTAAATAATCTTTCTAGACTGCCATGGGTCTTGCACAGACAACTAACTGCTGTGAAAGAATCTCCCACTTAATCTAATTTTCCCTCCAGCTGCTCTACTGTTTCCTTCCCTTGGATGACAAACTTCCTAAAGAATAACTTGCTCCCCTTTCTGACCCTTTCTGATTCCTCAGCCTGTGGCTGCAGTTCTACCCTCCTTCCACAGTCATGAAGGACCTCTGGGAACCAATTCCAAGGCTTCCTTCAGCTTCTTTCCTCTTGACTTCCTGCTGCAGAGTTATCTTCTTTTCATGACTCTGCCTTATGTAATTTTCAGATTGCTGTCCATCTCTTCACTTTTTACTGTCAATTTTCTTGAAGACTGCTCTTCCCTCTAAAATTTCTCTCTCAAAAAATTAATTCATACTGAGAGTTAGAAATTATCACCTCTCACATTATTGGTCTCAAATCCATGTATTGAGTAATTTTATATTGCACACAACATCCCCATGCTTCCCATGACCCAGCTGGAACTTTCACTCAGCATATTTCAAAGTTACCTAAAATTTAACATGTTCAAATTAACCTCCTTTGTTAGTCAATAAAGCTACTTTCCTCCCACTCCTTCAGGCAGGAATGTTTGGAATTGTTTTGGAGTTATCATAAGTTCTTTGATTTTTTCTTTAAAATTTATTTCTTCATTCCTTCCTTGCTATTTCTACTAAGTCCTGGAACTAGAGCAGTGAGCAGATGAAAGTACAGACTTTGGAGGCAGACAGTCTGAGTTCTAACTCTGATTCAGCCACACCCTGGCTGGGGGCCCTGGTTCTGGGCTATGGTTTTCTTACCTGAAGAAAGGAATCATATTACTACCTAAATCATAGGATTGATCTGAGGATTAAATGAGTTAGTAAACATAAGGCACTTAGAACACTGCCTGGCATATATTAAGTGGCACTTAATTGTTAGCTGTTGTTATTGTGTCTGGAATTGGTGGATTCTTGGTCTCGCTGACTTCAAGAATGAAGCCACGGACCCTCGTGGTGAGTGTTACAGCTCTTAAAGATGGTGTGTCCAGAGTTTGCTCCTTCTGATGTTCGGACATGTTTGGAGTTTCTTCCTTCTGGTGGGTTCATGGTCTCGCTGGCTTCAGGAGTGAAGCTGTAGACTTTCACGGTGAGTGCTACAGCTCTTAAGGCAGCACGTCTGGAGTTGTTTGTTCCTCCAATCCGGAGTTGTTCATTCCTCCCAGTGGGTTTGTAGTCTCGCTGGCCTCAGGAGTGAAGCTGCAGACCCTTCACGGTGAGTGGTACAGCTCATAAAGGCAGTGCAGACCCAAAGAATGAGCAGCAGCAAGATTTATTGCAAACAGCAAAAGAACAAATCTTCCACAGTGTGGAAGGGGACCCAAGTGGGTTGCGGCTGCTGGTGGGCAGCCTGATTTTATTCCCTTATCTGGTCCCACCCACATCCTGCTGACTGGTCCATTTTACAGAGACCTAATTGGTCCATTTTGACAGGGTGCTGATTGGTGCGTTTATAATCCCTGAGCTAGACACAGAGTGCTGATTGGTGTATTTACAATCCTCTAGCTAGACGTAAAAGTTCTCCAAGTCCCCACTAGATTAACTAGACACAGAGCACTGATTGGTGTGTTTACAAACCTTGAGCTAGACACAGAGTGCTGATTGGTGTGTTTACAAACCTTGAGCTAGACACAGAGTGCTGATTGGTATGTTTACAAACTTTGAGCAGACACAGAGTGCTGATTGGTGTATTTACAATCCTTTAGCTAGATGTAAAAGTTCTCCAAGTCCCCACTAGATTAGCTAGACACAGAGCACTGATTGGTGCATTTACAAACCTTGAGCTAGACACAGGCTGCTGATTGGTGTGTTTACAAACCTTGAACTAGACACAGAGTGCTGATTGGTGCATTTACAATCCTTTAGCTAGACATAAAATTCTCCAAGTCCCCACCAGATTAGCTAGATACAGAGTGCTGATTGGTGCATCCACGAACCCCAAGCTAGACACAGAGTGCTGGTTGGTGAATATACAATCCTCTGCCTAGACATAAACGTTCTCCAAGTCCCCACCTGACTCAGGAGCCCAGCTGGCTTCACCTAGTGGGTCCCGTGCCAGGGCCGTGGGCAGAGCTGCCAGCCAGTCCCGCGCTGTGCGCCTGCACTTCTCAGCCCTTGGGCGGCCAATGGGACCAGGTGCAGAGCAGGGGTAGGTGCCCGTCAGGGAGGCTCGGGCCATGCCCAAGCCCACTGCGGGGGGGCTCGGGCATGGTGGGCTGCAGGTCCCGAGCCCTGCCCCATGGGGAGGTGGCTGAGGCCCGGCAAGAATTCAATCGTGGCGCAGGCAGGCCAGCAGTGCTGGGGGACCTGGCACCCCCTCTGCAGCTGCTGGCCTGGGTGCTAAGCCCCTCACTGCCTGGGGCCGGTGGTGCCGGCCAGCCGCTCCAAGTGCTCTGAGTGCAGGGCCTACCGAGCCCATGCCCACCCGGAACTCACACTGGCCCATGAGTGCCGCAGCCCTGGTTCCTGCCTGCGTCTCTCCCTCCAAACCTCCCTGCAAGCAGAGGGAGCCAGCTCCGGCCTTGGCCAGCCCAGAGAGGGGCTCCCATAGTGCTGCGGCAGGCTGAAGGGCTCCTCAAGTGTGGCCAGAGTGGACGCCGAGGCTGAAGAGGCACCCAGAGCAAGCGAGGGCTGCTAGCATGTTATCACCTCTCATTATTACCATCATTATTATTCCTTAGTTAGGAACTTGAACTCTGGGGAAAACTTCTTAGAATTGTATCTCAGGAATTTGCTTAACCTCTTTTGTCCTCAGTTTCTTTACAAAGTGTGACTTATGATACTATTTTCCTAAAGAGAATTAAGTTAAAAGATATCAGTAAAGCACTTAATAAAGTAATCACTCAATACATTTTGGCCATTGTTAGTAATATAATGTGATTATCAATGAAAATAATATGATTCTATGGGAAATCACTGTAGATTCTTCATCCTTAAAAAACTATTTTCAATATATAGACGGTTTATTAGTCTCTTCTCACACTATAAAGAAATATCTGAGACTGTGTAATTTATAAAGGAAAGAGGTTTAATTGACTCATACTTCTGCATTGCTGGGGAGGCCTCGGAAACTTACAGTCATGGTGGAAAGCAAAGGAGAAGCAGACACCTTCTTAAAAGGGTGGCAGGACAGAGTGAGTGCAGCAGGGGAAATGCCAGATGCTTATAAAACCATCAGATCTCATGAGACTCATTCATCATGAGAACAGCATGGGGGAACCACTGCCATGATCCAATTACCTCCATCTGGTCCCACCCTTGACACATGGGGATCATCGGGATTACAATTCAAGGTGAGATTTGGGTGGAATCACAGAGTCAAACCAAATCAGATGGTACCCATCATTTGTATATATTCTTTTATTGTTGAAATTGTGGAATTCATGCCATTTTTTATTATTTTAAATTATTATATAATATTTTTTCTCCATCATGTTAAAATGATTATTGGCATAGCATTTTCTTATACCAGTCTATAATATTTCACTAAACCGTTTGCTGAGCATTAAGTTTTTTTAGTTTGGTACTCAGAGGAAGCTGCCAGGAATATGTGTACAACTTTGTCTTTTGGCTTTTCTCAGATTATTTCCCAAAAACTTTCACAGGGAGAGATATGAACAAGCATTTCCAACACTCTGTATATATGTGTTTTATGAGAGAATTAGGACCAAGTTGGAAAAATATTTTCTAACCCAAGGGTAGAGGAGACAACTTTAACTCTCTCACCAACTTTGGTTTCAATGTCAAAGTGAAATGAATACTTGATTTGTGGTGTTGGATTTGGGTAGATTAAACATACGGCCCTAGAAGCTTAGACTTTTTGCTCCTCAGCCTGCCTCAACCTCACAATATTTGAAAGATGTTAGACTATGGAACTGTGAGAACAATCCTGTATTTTCCTTATCCAAATATATTTAAATAAATATTAACCACATTGTCTTGCCAAGTCATTTGGCCAATAAAATGAGGAATTTGAAGAGTATTGCTTCTGAGCTCCTTGCCAGTTACAGTGTTTTTCCTCAAGCCTTGTGCAGTGTGGAGCTATCATTCAGGGTAGATAGCCGAAAGTCGTACTCAAACTCTTTCCAGCCCCACTCCTTTTTTTTTAGTGGAAAGAATATGGGCATCAGACAGATGTGACTTGGCATTCTGCCTCTGCCATTTACTAGCTTTGTGACACCTTTGAAAATGATGTGGCTTTCTACACCTGCATAACCTCAACCCTCTGGTTTTCACTGATTGCTTCATGGCCAGACATCAGACCCAGGTTGGACCCCTGACTCAACTGTGTGATCGAGAGACTCTAGCTAAAAGATAGAAGAGTCAGGGCCAGAGTGTACTCAGAAAGAGAAAAAGAAAAAGAGAGAAGCAATGAGGAGAGACAGCCCCTGATGTCCAGTTGCTCAAGATATACCACCCACTTCTTGTCCTTTGATGTTTCTGTGACTGTCTGTTATATTATACTATAAAACTCATTAACACTAGCCTGACTGCAGTTCTGTTCTTGAAGCCAACATCTCTGACTTAAAAAGCACATTTAGAGATCTACAACTTTTGAGCTTCTCTTACCTCATCTATAAAATGAGACTAATAATAATACCTTCCTTGTATGATTGCACTAAGGATTCTGTGTAACAATGTGTGGAAAACTCTGAGTTCTGAAAACATAGTAGGTGCTCAATAAATTATGGCCATTAACTTCCTGCAAATTTATGCCTCATAAATAAACCACCAATATATTAGGAATTCAAATTATTTCTGATACCCTACCATGTCTGTCCATCACTCTGTAAACAGGCCAATCCAATGAGTCTTTCAAATTGGTTGCAACAGGTGAACTCCTTGATGTTATCCAGACTAAGTAGCTAGACTTCCTTCCTTTACACTGCTCTCCACAAAGTGGGTGAGCAGAGTGATGGCGATTTTCTAGAAGTGATGCCTACTCAATCACCATAAGACCACAATGAGGAAATGAAAAACCTTTCTCACCTCTCTGATAGGTGGAGTAGTGCACCCCTAGCAGGACTCTCTACACCTGCATAATTGGTGTAGTTAGAAACAGACAATAATGTTGTTCCTTTGACAATTCTAGAAAAATATAGTTTATGTATATATGTTGACAGACTACATCCAATTGAATAGTTAAATGCATTGTAGTCCTCAAGTCTTGGTAGAAGACTTGAGATTTATTTTTTTTAAATCAAACTCGTATTCACTTATATTCATGGCATTAAACAAAGAACAATGGAGTGCCCAAGTGAGTTTTTTGGTCTGTTTGCCAAAGTGATCACTTTTGTTTCTAAACATCTCTCTACAAAGCCTTCTTCCTCTAAGTTCTTTGATCAGAATGCCCTGTACCTGACACAGTACTACCCAGATAGGCTGACATGCCTACTGTGTGCCTTTTTCCTCCCTAGATTGAGAGCTTCCATTTATGGATAATAATTGTAGCTAATATTTGTTGAAGATTCTCCTATCTGCCATAGATGCTTTACATGGATTATTTCATTAACTCACTAAACAATCTTTTAAAGAGGTGCTACTGTGTCCAGAATTAGTTCCTTCTGGTGGGTTCTTGGTCTCGCTGACTTCAAGAATGAAGCCGTGGACCCTCGCAGTGAGTGTTACAGTTCTTAAAGATGGTGTGTCTGGAGTTTGTTCCTTCAGATGTTCAGATGTGTCTGGAGTTTCTTCCTTCTGGTGGGTTTGTGGTCTCGCTGACTTCAGGAGTGAAGCTGCAGACCTTCGCAATGAGTGTTAGAGCTCTTAAAGGTGGCACGTCCAGAGTTGTTTGTTCCTTTCTGTGGGTTTGTGGTCTCACTGACTTCAGGAGTGAAGCCGCAGACCTTCACAGTGAGTGTTACAGCTCTTAAAGGTGGCGCGTCCGGAGTTATTTTTCCTCCTGGTGGGTTCGTGGTCTTGCTGGCTTCAGGAGTGAAGCTGCAGACCTTCGTGGTGAGTGTTACAGCTCATAAAGGTAGTGTGGACCCAAAGAGTGAGCAGCAGCAAGATTTATTGCGAAGAGCAAAAGAAGAAAGCTTCCATGGCATGGAAGGGGACCAGAGCGGGTTGCTGCTGCTGTCTTGGGTGGCCAGCTTTTATTCCCTTATATGGCCCTGCCCACATCCTGCTGATTGGTCCATTTTACAGAGTGCTGATTAGTCCATTTTACAGAGTGCTTATTGGTCCATTTTTACAGAGAGCTGATTGGTGCATTTACAAACCTTTAGCTAGACACAGAGCACTGATTGGTGCATTTTTACAGAGTGCTGATTGGTGTGTTTACAAACCTTTAGCTAGACACAGAACGCAGATTGGTGCGTTTTTACAGAGTGCTGATTGGTGCATTTACAAACCTTTAGCTAGACACAGAGCACTGATCGGTGTGTTTACAATCCTTTAGCTAGACAGAAAAGTTCTCCAAGTCCCCACCTGACCCAGAAGCCCAGCTGGCTTCATCTCTCAATCCCCCATCTAAACATGACACCCCAACTGCTGTTGGGAATTGGGCGATGACTGCTCTAGCTAATTCCTGCTGGATAGGAGCGAAGAAGGGGCCCTGCAGTTGTAGTGTCCTCCAGAGGGGAACTCTTTAGGCCAGTGAAAGGGCCAGTGGGTTGGTCCAGGGGTCCTCAGTAGAAGTTGAGCTCATTTGGGGTTCCATTTGTAAGACCATCTGTAGCTTGACGGCCTCGATTCTAGAGGAAACAAATTTGACAAGGAGGTTAAAAATACAGGGCCTGAAGGCAAGTAATAGCAAATGGCAGCCACGGGACCTAGAAAGGGGAGAAGCCATGTTGCCCAACTCCAGAGGTTGGTATAAGAGTTTGAAAGGCATTGTCTGATTTCAGAAGCCTTTTCCTGTAAATGCTGGGAGGCATCTCGTACTATCCCTGATTGGTTAGTGTAAAAACAACACTCTTCCCCTAAGAAGGTGGAGAGTCCTCCTTTCTCAGCAGTGATGAGGTCTAGGCCTCAGAGGTTTTGGAGTGTCACTGCTGTCAAAGAGTCTATTTGGGATTGTAGAGTAAGGATAGATTTCACTGTTTCTTGTAAACTGAGAGATCCCTTGAGAGTGTGTGGTAGTAGGATAATACATGTTACACTGTTAACTTTTAGCAAACTTTACTTTTGTTGAAAAACTTGTAAGTTTGGGATTTCAATTATTCTTTGCTATTAATAAGACCTCGTTCAGTCCATATTAACTTAGAGTTGGTATAGATGGCTCCTTCCTGATACTGTAAGTACTTTAAGGTTTGGCTGAGTGCAAAACAACTCCCACGTTCGAACAGACCAATTATTAGGCAATTTTCCTAACTCTGCTTCTACAAGAGTTTCCTTATTACCTACTGAATACCCATTGTGTCTTTTTCCCTTAATCACCCTGGAGGAAACATCTATTGTCCTGTTCTGAGCTCCTCCTAGATCTGGTAGGAACTTTGTATGGTAATTAATTAAGATTTAGATCCCCTGTTAGGAAACTTGTTGGTTTAAAGATTTTTGATAGGAAGGCTACAGGTTGTCAGTGGCCTCAGTGCTGTCGGGCTACTCCCTTGTTTACACTGACAACAAAATGGTATTGGAGTGTTATAGGGTTACAGAGAGGACCTTCAATTATCAATTATAGGTTTTAAATTTACCCTGGCTTTTAAAGGAATAGAGTACACTATTTTTTCTTTACTACTTCTCTCTTTCTCTTTGACTTCTTCTTTGTCTCTCTCTTTCTGACTCCCTTTTTTGTCTGTCTCTCCCTCTCTGTCTTTGACTTTGTCTCTTACTTTCTTTCTCTCTGACTCCCTCTTTGTCTCTCTTCCTCTCTCTGTCTCTCTCTTTCTGACTCCCTTTTTGTCTCTGTCTCTTCCTCTCTCTCTCTTTCTGTCTATTGAGAGGTGAAGCCAGCTGGACTTCTGGGTCAGGTAGGGACTTGGAGAACTTTTCTGTCTAGCTAAAGGATTGTAAACACACCAATCAGTGCTCTGTGTCTAGCTAAAAGTTTGTAAACACAACAATCAGCACTCTGTAAAAATGCACTAATCAGTGCTCTGTGTCTAGCTAAAGGTTTGTAAACGCACCAATCAGCACTCTGTAAAAATGCACCAATCAGTGCTCTGTGTCTAGCTAAAGGTTTGTAAATGCACCAATCAGCACTCTGTAAAAACGGACCAATCAGCACTCTGTAAAATGGACCAATCAGCGCTCTGTAAAATGGACCAATCAGCAGGACATGGGGTGGGGGGGGCCAAATAAGGGAATAAAAGCTGGCCACCCAAGACAGCAGCAGCAACCCACTCAGGTCCCCTTCCATGCCATGGAAGCTTTCTTCTTTTGCTCTTCGCAATAAATCTTGCTGCTGCCCACTCTTTGGGTCCATGCTACCTTTATGAGCTGTAACACTCATGGCAAAGGTCTGCAGCTTCACTCCTGAAGCCAGCAAGGCCATGAACCCACCAGGAGGAACAAACAACTCTGGACGTGCCATGTTTAAGAGCTGTAACACTCACTGTGAAGGTCTGCAGCTTCACTCCTGAAGTCAGTGAGACCATGAAGCCACTGGGAGGAATGAACAACTCTGGACATGTCACCTTTAAGAGCTCTGACACTCACTGCGAAGGTCTGCAGCTTCTGGACACAATACTATTCATTCTCACCTTAAAGACGAGGAAACTAAGGCAAAGAACAGTCAACTAATAAGTCCAAGTATACAGAGCTGCTAAGGAATAGTCTGTCTGATCCCAAAGGCTGTGTCATAACCGCTTCCCTATACTGCCTCTCAGCAGAGGTAAGAGTCAAGTTTTATTTATCACTGCCACCCCATCAGCCCCAGCTTAGTGCCTGACACAGGGAGATGCTCAATCAATGCTGATTGTTATTGAGTGGACTAGAAATGCAAGGCACAGTGAGCCCCTTTGCTGTGACTGATGGGGTGTCTGATTTTCTGCTATAAAGAGGAGAGTGCTGTATCAAACACACTCCTCTGGCTCCTAGCTCTCTCTGTTCCACTTTGTTTATCCAATTTCCCTACTCCTCCTTCGTAACTGCACCATGTGGATTCAAAATTGCAGCTTAGTGCAGACAAAGGGAAAACGGAATTCTGAATGACCCCAAAGGGAAAACTGAACTCTGAATGACCCCTGTGGGTTTGAGAGAAGAGAAGCAGGAACTTGAGAGAGGAGGAAGAGAGAAAGTAATTAAAATGTATCGTTTTAACTTAATATTTAACCGAATGATAGCAAAATCTTATCTGAAATTGGAAAAGTCAAGGTTTTGAGTGCTGGTTCGGTGCCCATTTCTTTATGATTTGATAGTCTGAGAAGAATACGACGGGTGTGGCTTAAAAACCTAGATCACGTGTGTAGTTGGAATTGGGTGTTATATGAGCAAACAAAATAAATACCTGTGCAACATACCTGCTTTATGCACTCAAGCAGAGAAGAAATCCACAAGTACTCACCAGCCTCCTGGTCTGCAGAGAAGACAGAATCAATATGAGCACAGCAGGAAAAGTAAGCAAAAAATATATTACTGTTGATAATATATTCTCTTCAATATAACAAATAAAGGAATACAGTATTAATAATGAATAATTTAAAATTTAAAATTCATATCTAAATTAGATGATGAATAATTTAAAATTCATATCTAAATTAGAAATGATACACTGGAATATGATATGCAATATATGCTATAATATGTAATGTATACTGAACTACAGTGGAAATAAGCTATTCCTAAATACCTTCAAAAAGAATATATAGAATCTGTATCTATTGTCTTTATTTCCTACATTAAATAAATTTGCCGTAAAGTGATAGTTTATTCCAAGCTAATCATGACTGATTTGTAAACCTAAAGTTAGAAAAGTCTTTAATCAGAAGCTATCTTTATATTAAGAAAGCATAATTTAAATGTGTTATTATTTGTATTCATATTTTTTGTGAACACAAGAAGTCTGACAAAACTTTTATGAGAGGGATTTGAGAAGATTTTGAAATATACTTTTAATCTTACTATAAAATATCTTACAAAATACTCATTGATCTCACAGCATTAGAATCATCAAGGTTAAGCAAGACATCACATTCAAATTCCGTTTAAAGGGGGCCCATTATGACACAATTCAGGCAATTTCCACAGAAATCTTATGGAACAGTATCTCCCCTATATAAAAGTCAATATGATCTTACAGAAAAATAATAATGCAATTTGAATCACTTATTAGCACTCAGAACACAAATATTTGTTTTTTCTTCTATAAATTTATACTTATTTTTCAATGTGTTTACAGGTGCACAGAAATGCATGTGGTCATTCAATATAATCAATTGATATTATTAATTGCCTAATTTAAAAAAATCTGTGCAACTATTTCCAGCCATTTGTTGTGCTAGGAGTGTATCACACAATAAAACACCTCACTATGATAATTCAGTTTAAAGGTTCTGAGGCTTACCTTTATGCTGTGCGACAAAACAGGCTCATGTCAATAAGACTGGTTGGAAATCACATGAGTGGCCCATTGGTACTGTTCTTACACCACTTCACTTTACTTTACTTTCATTCATTATTGATTAATATTTACATTCCTCATAGAAAATAATTAGAAAAAAGAAAATTTAAATTTACCATTTACTAAACTCGACTTAAAAGAAATAATGAGTTCATAGAGCAAAAGTATAAACCAATCATTAATGAAAATAATAACTGATGAAATAGATAATCCTCCCCTCTTGAGTGCAACATCAATAACTTAGCTTTTTGACAGCATTTCATTTATGTTTACCCGTCCTGCATTTTATTTTCCTCAATCCTAAATTGTGACAATACTAATGTCTATTTCATAAGGTAGTTGTGAGAATTCAGTAAATTAATAGTGAAAAGCACTTAGAATAGTACCTGGTAAATAAAAATAAGTCAATAAATATTAGCCACTGTTATTATTGTTGCTTTATAACTTTTTGATATTTACTACCACGGAGTACAGAAAACGTGAGGCTACATTAATTTTTTCATTCGTTTTTTTGTTTGGAGATGGAGTATCTTTCTATTGCCCAGGTTGGAGTGCAATGGTGATCTCGGCTCACTGCAACCTCTGCCTCCCGGGTTCAAGTGATTCTCCTGCCTCAGCCTCACAAGTAGCTGAGTTTACAGGTACACGCCACCATGCTTGGCTAATTTTAGCATTTTTAGTAGAGACAGGGTTTCACCATGTTGGTCAGGCTGGTCTCCAACTCTTGACTTCAGGTGATCCGCCCACCTCGGCCTCCCAAAGTGCTGGGATTAAAGGGATGGGCAACTGCACCCGGCCTGATCTTTATTCTCTGGACAGCCAGCTTTGAGACTTCAGGAAAATTATTCAATCACTGAGTCAGTTGATCCTCAATTATTTCAGATGTAGTAAGACCAATAATTCAATAGTACTGTCCTGGTAGCATCCGTTTTAGGTTTAAAAGTAATTCATATTGTTTACAGCAGCACAATTTGCAATTGCAAAAATATGGAAACTTCCTAAATGCCCATCAACCAACGAGTGGATAAAGAGAATGTGGTATATGTACACCATGAGATACTACTCAGCCATAAAATGGAACAAAATAATGGCCTTTGCAGCCACTTGGATGAAGCTGAAGGCCATTATTTTAAGTGAAGTAACTCAGGAATGGAAAACCAAATACCATATGGTCTCACTTATAAGTGGGAGCTAAGCTATGAGGATACAAAGGCATAAGAATGATATAGAGGACTTTGGTTAGGGATAAAAGACTACACGTTGGATACAGTGTACACTGCTCGGGTGACACATGCAGCAAATCTCAAAAACCACCACTAAAGAACTTATCCATGTAATCAAAAACAACCTGCACCCCAAAAACTATTGAAATTAAAAATAAATAAATTTTAAAAATAAAAATAATGCATGTAACTCACTCAGCACAAGCCACAGTGCACCTGTCACATCATAGGCACCTGACAATCAGAAACTCCTACTATTAGAACTTTATTTCCAAGTATTCTGATATTTATTTTGGCATGGACCACATTGAAAATCCTGCAAAGTTGAAGGATTTGACAAATGAATAATGAAAATTAATTGGCAGAAGATGAAATTTCAATTGAATTTTTATTATATTTGCAATTATGTTGATTCTGTAAAGAAAGAGCTCAGTGAATTGTACATGCTTTACCACAATAAAGATGGGTTTTACAGTACACTGCCAAGCACTGGAAATATGTGATCAGCTTTTATTTTTAAGGACATCTGTGGATAAGCTTGCTAGCTAGAAACTCAAATACACAGTTTCTCCAGTTTTTAAATACATGTGTGTGGTCTGAATGCACACACACACACACACACACAGAAACACACATACACAACACCAACTCTAACCTCTGTAATTTTGGGCTCAAATCTAAGCTGGAAGGAGTCTCTGCACATAAATTAGATGAACAAAACAGGCTGCCAAAGCTAAGTTTCAAATGGGTGTTTGAGACAAGTAACACAGAAGTGGAGAGAGAAAATTAAAAGAGGACAATAGGCAAATAGAGAAAGAGACATCATCCTAAGCAGGAAGGTAAATGTATAACTGTTTTTATGGAGTCAGATCCTTTTGGCCTAAGCAGAAAATTGAGCAAGAAAGCAGTGTATTTTGGACAGACACTGACTCTGTCAGCAAAGTAAAGGTGACTTAGAACATGTACCAGCCAATAGTTGTGGGTAAACAGTTGTCTTCAGGACAGTGTTAGAAAATATCAGGATTAAACATCTTTGGAGAAAAAAAAATCAAAAGAATAAATGGTGCTGGGAAAACTGGCTAGCCATATGTAGAAAGCTGAAACTGGATCCCTTCCTTACACCTTATACAAAAATTAATTCAAGATGGATTAAAGACTTAAACGTTAGACCTAAAACCATAAAAACCCTAGAAGAAAACCTAGGCATTACCATTCAGGACATAGGCATGGGCAAGGACTTCATGTCTAAAACACCAAAAGCAATGGCAACAAAAGCCAAAATTGACAAATGGGATCTAATTAAACTCAAGAGCTTCTGCACAGCAAAAGAAACTACCATCAGAGTGAAAAGGCAACCTACAAAATGGGAGAAAATTTTCGCAACCTACTCATCTGACAAAGGGCTAATATCCAGAATCTACAATGAACTCAAACAAATTTACAAGAAAAAAACAAACAACCCCATCAAAAAGTGGGCGAAGGACATGAACAGACACTTCTCAAAAGAAGACATTTATGCAGCCAAAAAACACATGAAAAAATGTTCATCATCACTGGCCATCAGAGAAATGCAAATCAAAATCACAATGAGATACCATCTCACACCAGTTAGAATGGCAGTCATTAAAAAGTCAGGAAACAACAGGTGCTGGAGAGGATGTGGAGAAATAGGAACGCTTTTACACTGTTGGTGGGACTGTAAACTAGTTCAACCATTGTGGAAGTCAGTGTGGCGATTCCTCAGGGATCTAGAACTGGAAATACCATTTGACCCAGCCATCCCATTACTGGGTATATACCCAAAGGACTATAAATCATGCTGCTATAAAGACACATGCACACGTATGTTTATTGCCGCATTATTCACAATAGCAAAGACTTGGAACCAACCCAAATGTCCAACAATGATAGACTGGATTAAGAAAATGTGGCACATATACACCATGGAATACTATGCAGCCATAAAAAATGATGAGTTCATGTCCTTTGTAGGGACATGGATGAAGCTGGAAATCATCATTCTCAGTAAACTATCGCAAGAACAAAAAACCAAACACCGCATATTCTCACTCATAGGTGGAAATTGAACAATGAGATCACATGGACACAGGAAGGGGAATATCACACTCTGGGGACTATTGTGGGGTGGGGGGAGGGGGGAGGGATAGCATTGGGAGATATACCTAATGCTAGATGACGAGTTAGTGGGTGCAGCGCACCAGCATGGCACATATATACATATGTAACTAACCTGCACAATGTGCACATGTACCCTAAAACTTAAAGTATAATTAAAAAAACATTCAAAAAAAATAAAATAAAATAAAAAAGAATAACCTAAATGAATATATTCCATTTTATCTAAGTGCCTTATTGTACTTAACTCTGTTTATCTTTCCTTATGTTATTGCTTTTTTAAAAGATACTCTTATTCTCTTTATAAACCAGAGGACTTCATTTCTATGCAACACTTGTTAGGTGCCAGACATGGGACTCAATGTTGCATGTACAAAGATGAAAAGACACAATTTCTGACTGCAAGCGTGGGAAAACACTGGTACCATCTCTCTGTCTGATGTTCTAGGTAATCAAATGCAAAGCAGCTGTGCTATGGGAGTTAAAGAAACCCTTTTCCATTGAGGAGGTAGAGGTTGCACCTCCTAAGGCTCATGAAGTTCGCATTAAGGTGAAATACTTTTTCCATTTGTATTTAATTTTAAGTTTAAAGAATTCAGAAAATATTAAAAATAGAAACATCCAAAATCCACTAGAGGTATTTTTTATATAATTATCCAGAAAATAAAATTACATTTGTTGTCAAGGAAAGTATAAATTGTTAAATTTTTTTAAAGTGGGCAAACAGTATATGAAGGATAACTCCAGTGAAATACAAAAGAATTTATAGGTTTGTACAGAAAAAAATGCAAAGGGATATATATCAAGAGTTCACAATCAATTTGCATTAGATATTTTCTTGGTGTTAATTTGCAATTTCTACTTCTTTTTCTTTTAACTATGCATTCTTCTATATTATACAAGACAAAAATTTTAGGATCAATTATCTCACAGATTATTCTAAATTGTTAAATTCAAGGGAAAAAGAGGAAGGTTTTAGACTGGATAACCTTGGAGATAAACTGAATCTTTCATATTTGGGAATAGTAGGGATTATCAGCAAAACCCTTGAGAATATTTTTGAATAACAATTTTAGAAAATTGGGTTTGTTAAGTCCATCTGACAGTCATAATCTTTTCTGAATCTAAACATCTTCTCTTTATTCTGTAGATGGTGGCTGCAGGAATCTGTCGTTCAGATGAGCATGTGGTTAGTGGCAACCTGGTGACCCCCCTTCCTGTGATTTTAGGCCATGAGGCAGCCGGCATCGTGGAAAGTGTTGGAGAAGGGGTGACTACAGTCAAACCAGGTACAGGATTCACACTCAGGGAACATGCCTTGGTTCACCATCACAAGATTAGTCAGCCTGGATGAGGAAACCGAGGCAATGAAAGACGAAAGGACTTGCACAAGGTCACAGGGAAGCTGGGACTTCAGGGGTTTCCTCCTTCCCTCTCTGCTTGCCTGACTCAAGCATGTATGACTTCAGGCAGGCATGCGTGTATTCTACCCTTCAACCATTATGTACTACTAGATGCCAGGCACTAGGTTAGAGCCTGGAGATATATGAGGATCAAAAGAGACACAGTGCCTACCAGTGTGGAATTCATAATCTAGTAACTTCCACGTTAGTGTTAGCTGAACACTGTCTTCTGTAAGTGCCCAAAAAACTATAAATGGGAGGGGAGAAAAAAAAACATAAGTATGGACACTGTTCTGTGCTGAGTTCACAAAATGGAGGCTGCATGGTTATGGCTGAAGAAACATGACCTTTCCTTAGGTGACCTATGCAGCTCCTTTACCGATTTCCTCTTCCAACATGGTCTCTCTTCCTGAGCATGGAATCAATGAAACTGACTAGGTGAAAGAAAATGAAAGAAACATAGCAGGAGCCATCCACCATCAACAATGTCTGCCTTATTACCTTTGGCCATGCTTAAATGTGACTGATTATGGATTACTAATTATTTTATCTTCAATATTTATTTTACCTAATCTTATTATGTATTAATATAAATATTACTATATTAATTAAGGATGAATAACTAGGACATTTCCATACCATCGTTTTCATATGAACTTTACCCATAAAATGTTATGCACCAATCATTTTTCTTGGTCTTGTGAAATAGATAGCATAGGTGATTAAAAATAAAATTTGTCTTTAAAGAATCACTTTAGCCAATGGATTCGACCTGTCCACTTACCAAGTACTAATTTAGACTGTGAAAAGAAAATAATAAAATAAACTGTCCAATTTGAGTTTTAGCTCTATTTCCTTTACTCAGAAAAAAATTAATATCAAAACGACTGCCTTATTTCTCACCCCTCCTCCTTCCACCATAACAGTAAAAATAGATAATTCACAAATTACCAGCTAAAAACACTTGAAAGTCAATTCTTATCCTAAAAGAAAGTGTCTAACTTGTTGTGGAAGGTAGAAATTTTCAGACGAATTTCTGTAATTCTTCTTTGTCCTATTTTTGTTAGTTTTCCTCAAAAAAGAACTAAGATCTTTTTGAAAACATTCATTTTATAATTAAGATAAACCTAGTCTCTTTGAAAAGCCAAGACCTATGTTAAAAATCTCATTTTTGTTGTAAATCAAATTCTTACAAAATACCAGATCTTCCCAACATCTACTAGGACTAAAATAGGCTACTTTCAACTAAAATTTATATGTATACTTACAGCAAAAATATTTAGTTAAGATTTAATTAGACAAGGATTACATAAATTATATCTGCAAAGCCTCCAGGATAAATTAGTGCACTGCGTAAAATTTTATTAACACAGTTGATGGAATTTTTTTAATCCATCTTGTTTCCCACACTTGTATTTTCTCTTTAGGATTCTTCAGGCACTTATAAACCCAAACTAAAAAACAATGCCTTGGCAGGCAATGACAAATGACATAGTTGTGACTAGACCCTATTTCTTAGAAACTTTTCAGACACATAATTCTAATCTATACATGTGAGCGTTAAGTTTTTGCTCTATTAATTCCTGCATAGAAATTTAAGAAGAATTTGTTTTATTCCTCTGCAGGTGATAAAGTCATCCCGCTCTTTACTCCTCAGTGTGGAAAATGCAGAATTTGTAAAAACCCAGAAAGCAACTACTGCTTGAAAAATGAGTAAGTTTCTGATGCTTTCTTTGCACAGACTTTGAGTTTGCACATTAGTTATGGTCCTGTCTCATGCCTTTGTGTGTCTTTGTATTGCACTGCCCAGTCTAGGCAATCCTCGGGGGACCCTGCAGGATGGCACCAGGAGGTTCACCTGCAGCGGGAAGCCCATCCACCACTTCGTCGGCGTCAGCACCTTCTCCCAGTACACAGTGGTGGATGAGAATGCAGTGGCCAAAATTGATGCAGCCTCGCCCCTGGAGAAAGTCTGCCTCATTGGCTGTGGATTTTCGACTGGTTATGGGTCTGCAGTCAAAGTTGCCAAGGTAGAAATGACAATGGATGATAAAACCGGTTACACGCAGACTGTCAGGAACCAAAAGGGAAGCAATTTCTTGCAAGAATCAGAAATTATTTTTGTAGATTTGAAGTGTCGATTAAGAGTAGAAAAATGACCCAGAAAGAACTGAGAGCACAGGCTAGAAATTTCACCAATTTATTGCAGATAAAAACTTGTTAAGAAAATGTAAAGATGTCATTTTCAATAATTTTTCTTCTGAATTTGCTGTTTATGGGATCATGAAATTTTAGATCTGTGAACTAATTCATGTTGTAATTCAATCAACAATTAGAGAGCACCTATACATACCTCAGGCACCATAGGTTCTGCTAGGCTCTGACAGCAAAAGTAAATGAAATGAAGCGTTTGCCCTTGAGGACCATCTAGTCTGTGGATCCTCTCCTCCCAGAATTAGGATCAACAGTAGAGTCCAAAACCTTACCTGATGCACCTCGAAACCAAGGCTCACCCACTCTGTGGATTCTTAGACGGAAAGTAATAAAGACTCAGTGATGCATAATTCACTCATTATGACATTTCACTGCTAAAACTAACTCCCCTGGCATGAACACACATATGTATTCAGAAGTGGTAAATTTCAAGCAGAAATTCTTTAAAGGCTCCTCATCTGAGTAGACTGAAAATCTAGTAGTATGTTTTATTTTATGAAACCTAGATCGAGAGATATAAAGATATTTGCCCAAAATCTGACTTCTGCTTAATATGAGCACTAAGACTAAAATATCTTTTACAAATCTCCTGCTGAATGTCAAATCACAATCCATAATTATTAGCACTTTTAAACCACAGTCACAAACAAGCCTTGTATTTTTCTAAGTAAGGTAGAAAGTGGTGTTGTCCCCCATAGTATTGAATAACACTTGGTGAATGAATGAGTGAAATAGACACCCTTAAGGGAATATAAGAATGAGATTATTTGGAACAGGAACAGCATGTTACCCAAAACGAAGGCTGACTATGGGAGACTAGGTTTAGTAAATAACCGCTAGCCAATTTACACAATTTAGAGGACATCTTTTCCAAATTTCGGTGACTTTAGCACTTACTCCCTTGTTCAATTGCCTCATCTATTTTAATGGGTAGTCTAAGTGAGCCTACCCAAGAACAGAAGCTGAGGATACTCATAACAACAGATTTTATTTATTATTAAAATATAGACTAATGTTTCATTGCTGTGTTGTTCACAAGTGTATTTTTTAAAGGAGGGATATACTGGTCACGACTACTGAACAAAAATGAAGAAAGGAGTTAATTATTGAGAGTTAAAGTGGAATATTTTTCAGTCTCCTGGAGTAGCCTTTTCCACTTATTTTATTTTCCGAATATTGCCTTGGTGTATGTATGAGATACTGAAGCTGGCTATCAAGGGATTTCAGCAATTGAGAGTCCCTACAAGATTGTAATCACTGTCATCTGGATCTCAAAGATCATCCAGTCCCCTGGTTCCCAGCCTGACCCATTGGAGTCCCTTGAGGACTTAGTTCCACCTGCAGAGATTCTCATTTAATTGGCATGGGCTATGACCTGGACTGTGGGATGTTTTTAAAGCTCCCCAGATGAATCTAATATGCAGCAGTTTCAGAACTACTCAACTAATTCAACCCCTTGAATTTAAACATGAAGCATTTCAAGCCAAAACAGGTTTCGATAACAGATTGGACAGAAGAGTCTGAGTAGTTCTTGATAACACACAAGACATGGCACTTTATAAAGCTTAAGCAATTTCTAACAAACATTATTTAATTCATTTTTGCATTTTCTGAAAACATAGGTCACCCCAGGGTCTACCTGTGCTGTGTTTGGCCTGGGAGGGGTCGGCCTATCTGTTGTTATGGGCTGTAAAGCAGCTGGAGCAGCCAGAATCATTGCTGTGGACATCAACAAGGACAAATTTGCAAAGGCTAAAGAGTTGGGTGCCACTGAATGCATCAACCCTCAAGACTACAAGAAACCCATTCAGGAAGTGCTAAAGGAAATGACTGATGGAGGTGTGGATTTTTCGTTTGAAGTCATCGGTCGGCTTGACACCATGGTATGATCCGTGACATGCCCTGAAATTTCTGCCTCTGCAACCTGGAGGATGCATTTAGGCAGTAGAATATACGTATTATGTATAAAGGATATTTTTAATGATGAATGGAAATTTCCCGTCATCTTTTTGTTACCTGGCTTGTTTAATTTATTGTTATGAGAAGTCTTCCATTCAATCAGCTAAGCAAACCTGTCTCAAGTCATATTTCCTCGAGAAAAGAAAAAGGGCTTGTTTTTTTTAACACAGCCACTACAAATATGCTTTATTAATTTTTAGTTTAAAATGCAAACTTAAATATATATAAATAATACAAATCATTTTCTCAAATTAAAAAGTTTTATTTTTCTTTTACATTCTTAACAAAAATATTTTAACAATTTTATGTATGCTCTTAACGAATTCCAAACTTTTTGACATAGTATTCTTCGGTCAAAAGAAATGAGCAATTTTAGACCAACTATTATTTTATTAACAGAAAATATGCCCTAAGGAAAGTGACTGCTTTAATACATTGCTATATTTTATCACAGCAACTGGACAGTGCCTGACACAAAACTAGTACCCAGTATTACTTGGACTGAATGCTTTAAATAAAGTCAACAGATTTTACCACCCGCAAAAGTTAAGAGCTACATATCTCATGGCATTGTTTATGAAACGCATGAGACAATGCATGTAAAATACTTTGTGCAACACAACTCATCATGTGGTTAGCTTCCAATAAATGTCAGCAGCCCCCTTTTTTATTTTATTTTATTTATTTATTTATTTTTTTTTTTTTTTTGAGACAGGGTCTCACTCTGTCACCAGGCTGGAGTGCAGTGATATGATTATGGCTCACTGCAGCCTTAACCTCCTGGGCTTAAGTGAGTTTCCTACCTCAGCCTCCGAAAGTGCTGAGTACAGACATGAGCAACCATGCTGAGCCTCAGTTGGCATTATTGATATGAAATACTATTTCCAATCTTGCAGTGCTTATGTCATCTTTGAATTATTACATGATATTACTTTCAAACAGTTACAAATATCAAAGGCAACGGAAACATATCTCTAGCTATATTTTACCTATCCAGAATTATCTAGACTCCTACTGAAAAAGTCTCCAGAAACAAAAAAGTTTCCATTGCTGAGGTTTTCTAGAAGGTCCAGCAGTGTGGGTAACAGGGAGCAGCACCCTGAGATCAAAGTTCCCAGCAGCCTTGACCTGGGACAAATGCCACAGAGGAATAAAGTATCAAGAGAATCCAATTTTTTCCAGGGCTATAGCTTTTCTCCTTATGCTCTTTTTCTATATCTTCCTCCATTTTCTCATGTGGAACTGGAGTGTACATTATCTCAAGACACCAAATGTCTGACAGCCACATGTTCTGAGGATGTCAGTCTCCCAAAGATCAGAATCCAAAATCAAAGAACTAATCATTATATACCTAGAGGGATCCTAAACCATTTTCTAACTACAGAACATGTTCCAAAAGCTGACTGGAAAAGATTTTCTGAACTGTCTTTTGAGGTTCCCAAATAATCAGTGTAATTTAATGTAAAACCAATATACATTTGGGGAGGTAAAAACAATGTTTAAAACATGTCCACTTGAGAAATGGACATAGGAATCTGTTAAAAAGGGAGGCTATCAAGTGGACAAGAGACTAATTTTGGTGATATACTCATTTATCTTGTTCATCATCAAAATATCTGATTCAAAGTATTGGGTTCAAAATACCTATGTAATAAATCAATGAAAAAGGAACCAACTCACACATTGCCTAAGAATGATGTACACTTGTACAAGGAACAGGACTTTATATATGTTTGTAATGATGTTTGCCTCTTTATTCCTTTATTAGGAAGAACTAAGGGCACACAAATTTATTCGTCCATGCTTTCATTCAAAAACCATTTTCTGGGCATTTGCTACATCCACAGCATTATCCTATGCAAAGAAAGGGGGAATGAAGGAGCAAAAGACATGATCTCTTCCCTCTACACACTCACAATCCAGCTAAGCCTATTACATGATATTGTGCATTATGAGTATGAACTATGCCACTCCACGTTAAGGATACTAAATGTTCACTTTATTCCAGATGGCTTCCCTGTTATGTTGTCATGAGGCATGTGGCACAAGTGTCATTGTAGGGGTACCTCCTGATTCCCAGAACCTCTCAATAAACCCTATGCTGCTACTGACTGGACGCACGTGGAAAGGAGCTATTTTTGGAGGTATGTAGTTAGGCTTCAGAGCCAAATTCTCATTAACCTAAGAATTTCTCTCCTTTTATGAGTGACAAGGCAAGTTTTTGAAAAGCAATGAAATTAAAAATAAATTAAAATTTCTTTTCTATAGTCTCCAATAATGCAGAACTTTTCTTTTTTATTTTTTGGAGATGAAGTCTTGCTCTGTCACACAAGGTAGAGTGCAGTGGCGCAATCTTGACTCACTGCAACCTCCACCTCACAGGTTCAAGTGATTCTCCTATCTCAACCTCCAGAGTAGCTGGGATTACAGGCATGCACCACTGTGCCCAGCTAATTTTTTTGGGTAGAGATGAGGGTTCACTATGTTGGCCAAGGTGGTCTCGAACTCCTGACCTCAAATGATCTGCCTGCCTCGGCCTCCCAACGTGCTCGTGCTGGGATTACAGGCATGAGCCATCATGCCCAGCCCCAAGATAGACTTTTCTGATGTCACTATTAACCAGGACTTTCATCTCCACCTCTTTTTGTACTTGTGACTGCGTAAGGCAAGGAAATTTCTAGTAGGCCATGGAAATATATAACAATAAATCATATCTACACAAAAATCTAGACAACTAATAAATTTGCTCCTTAACTTTGGGCATAACATCTGTACTATAATTTCTCTGTGAGAGAGAGAATAACTAAGGACCCTTGTTTATCTGTGATTTTTTTTGTGAAAGCACTGTAAAAGCATATTGAAGTACTCTATCTCTTATTATCCTCAGTTATAGCAGTCTGGAATGCAGCACTTTTTCTAAACTTTCATTTATTTGGAAAATCTTCTCTTCAATTCTCCTACTTACCCTGGTTGAATCTATCAATGATATTTTCTTCTTTTCAGGCTTTAAGAGTAAAGAATCTGTCCCCAAACTTGTGGCTGACTTTATGGCTAAGAAGTTTTCACTGGATGCATTAATAACAAATATTTTACCTTTTGAAAAAATAAATGAAGGATTTGACCTGCTTCGCTCTGGAAAGAGGTAGATTTTAAGTTGTTTTTTTGTTTTGCTTTGTATTCTACAGTAGCGGCGGGGGGGGGGGGGGCGTTGTCTAGCAGAGAATGAAAAGGTGGAAGGATGAGAAAAAATTACAGTGCCTTGGTTTTCCATTGCCAGTTCAATCTTTGCATGGAGCACATGTAAGGTAATACTGTGAGAAGCTAAAAACAGTTGCTTTGCATTTCCTATTCTGCTGAAGGCAAATTATGTTGATTATAGCATAACTGAATGATCAGAGTCATTCAGCCTTCTTTAAAAGAGAACACTCACTTTGGCCCCCATCCCCCTCCAAAAAAAGTTTAAGCAACCAGAATTATAACATGGAATCACTGACACCTCTGCCTGTCATATAAGTAAGTGTGACATCTAATGATTGTATATTAAAATTATTTTCAGGACATCCTCAGCATATTCATTATGGGAGTAGGTGGAACTACATTGAGATTGATTTCTAAGTAGATATTACTAGATTTTCCTTTTTCTTTTCTTTTCTTTGCAGTTTAGAAAAAAAAATTTACTAAGAAAAGTTGTTGTAAAAGAGAAGGGTACTAAACCCTATTTTAAATATTTGTCTTACATTTTCTCCAAGTCTTAGAAAAATAAGCCAATTCTATTTCCTACCTCTAACACTTACACTTACAATCACCTAATATAATGAACTTTGTCACTTGCATTTATATGAGACATAACTGGAAATAGGCAGTTATATCTAATCTCTGCCTTCTAGCTCCAGAGTCTGAGATTTTTCTGCTATCCCACACTTATTTTCATGAGGTTTTCAACTTCAAATAGTGTTTCTTTGAAACTCACAAAACTATCATACTAGATACTTTATCCGACAAATATTCTTGAGGAAGGAAAGACACTAGCACCCACAGAGCACCAGCTGTTCTACTAAGTGTCTTACATGCATTTTCTCATGTGATTCCCAAACAACGCTCAGTGTCAGTCTCAATCTCATTATCTTAGAGAAGAGAAAACTAAGAAGCAGAGAAGGCATGACTTGGTCAAAATCATCAGGTGGTAGGAAGGAGAGCCAGAATTCGAAGGAAGATCTTGTTATTAGCAAATCTATTCACTTTCTATTAAACCACACCACCCCTCAAGAGTGTGTATATATATATATATATATATATATATATATATATATATATATATATATAGAAAACAGTATTCATCAAAGGTTAATTATCATTGTCATTATTATTATCATTGACATCATCATAGAATTGATAAGATGATGGCAAATAGAGATGACCAAAACCAGAAGACACTATTGAGCAACAAAAGAAGGCATGGAGCATGCCTAAATTCACTTTACAAGAATGTCATATAGTAATACGCATATGTAAATAAAATCTTATCAATAAGCAAAGAATAAAAATTGTGATATCAATATTGGTAAGAGTAAGGTGACTTGGATGCTTTCATATACTTTCATAGTAATTGATACATCCTTTTGGGAAAGCAATTTGGTAATTTGTATCAGAAACCTCCAAAAAAAACCTAGATCCTTTGTTCCAGCAATACCATTTCTAGAAATCTATTCTATAGAAATAATCAACTCAAACATACATATATGTTTAAGCATGTTTATTTACTATCAGTAATATCAATATTTAGAAACATTAGAAAAGTCCAACATTAAGAATATGATTTAATAAATTCTAAGCAACTGTTAGAAATGAAAAAGACTTCATTGGCAAATTCTTAAAATGTAATTTTAAACTCATAAAATAAATCATATAAATTGTATTTATAAGATGATCCCAAATTTTCAAAAAGGACAATAGAAAGTGTATCTGTATCTAGAAAAAGCTGATAGAATTCAAGAAAACATTGACCATGATTACTCCGAGGTCGTAAGATTACAGATTTTTTTTAGCGGCTTCTTCTGTCCTGTATTCTCTAAATTATGTGCATATATTTTTCTTATCTGTGTATATATATACACACACCACACACACACTATATATAAAATTCTCAGTCGCAAATATCTTCTTTTCTTAAAAGTGTTCATCAAAAGTTGGTTTATAGAAAAGGCATTAATTCTAGTGTAAATGTTACATTTCTAATCTTCACAAGAATGAAGTAGCTTAGAATTAATACAAATCAGCTTTATTCTCTACTTCTAAGAATCCTTAAACATCTCTGTATCAAAGGTCTATTAAACCTCCAGCATGGTCCTAACTTTATTAAATTATCAGTTCTTTCAGGCAAGGTATCTATCATTATATAATTTGTGCAAATTTGTATTTGGGTTTGAATCCCAACACCCTATACTAGATGTGCGACCAGAGCAAATTACAAATCTTTCTAAGTCTCAGTTTTTATAATCTCTAAATGGAAATAATATGGAAACCAACTTCCTATCGTCATTGTTTAGGTTGAGATTTAAGTGAAAAAAATGCATGAAGCATGTGACAAATAGCAAAAACTTATTGCATGTTATTATCTATTGTTATTTTATATTCCTTATTATACCAGGAACTTGGGCACGCCAAAATGATTTTTTGAAGATGCTAATGTAGATCTGAAGTCTAAATGACAGGCATACTCAGGAGGTTTTGAGTGAGCTTAAGATTGAAGAAAACACAAGAGAAAACCAAAAAACATGAACTTCCCTTCACTTGACTTGACCCAAATGCATAGGGATGGGAAGGGAGTGGCTGAGAACACAGAGAGATTTTCACTAAGTCACCTCAAATACTCCTTGGACTATCACATGGAAGCATGTGGGTTGTCTAAATGTTAACACAATGTCTCTTCTTTCCTATTGCAGTATCCGTACCGTCCTGACGTTTTGAAACAATACAGATGCCTTCCCTTGTAGCAGTTTTCAGCCTCCTCTACCCTACATGATCTGGAGCAACAGCTAGGAAATATCATTAATTCTGCTCTTCAGAGATGTTAAAAATAAATTACACGTGGGAGCTTTCCAAAGAAATGGAAATTGATGGGAAATTATTTGTCAAGCAAATGTTTAAAATCCAAATGAGAACTAAATAAAGTGTTGAACATCAACTGGGGAATTGAAGCCAATAAACCTTCCTTCTTAACCATTCAACTTGTGTGCCATCTTTGCCATTGAGGAAAAATATTTCCTATGACTTCTTACATTTTTGATATCTTCATAATTTTCAGTCATTGAATCCAGTGGAGGGGACCCTTCACTTGTCCTGAATATACACATGCTGGGCTATGGTGCTTGAAGTCTTCTAACTCTATCTCAATTTTCACTGTCTGCATTTTCCTTTTTTAAATAAAATGTACCAAATCCCTAAGGTAAAAACTACAGTATGGTAAAGAATAGACTCAAATTTATAAGTGAAGAAGATCCAGAAGTTCTAAATCCAGGATTTTAATTAGTAACTCAAATAAAATGCCACACATTTTCATACAATGAAGGGAAGTGTTTTTATTGCTTTTATGCTATTTGTTTACAGTGAAAATACAATTGATTTTTAAAAATAAAAGCGGATTTTGTGCTTCATGTGACAAACTTAGGTTCAGACACTAAATGTGAAAACTGAACTATTCCTAGAATCATGTTCAAAAAATCTGTAATTTTTGCTCATGAAAGTGCTTCATTAGCTAAGCAGTCTTAGTTTATGATTCCAATTGACTGAAAATGAAGTATAAAGTAATTTAAAGTATTATGGTGGCTTTATATGTAGATATTGGGTGGCAAATGCTGTGAACACAGAGTGTAAAATTGGTAACTAAAATGGCAAAAACTCCTCAAGCAATGTGTTTTCCAAGTAGACACACACACACAGATGTATATTTGTGCAAAATTGTTTTTAATCTGGAACTTTCCTATTAACTACCATGTCTTACATCGTCTATGATCCTAGAATTTGTTTAATATTTTGAATAGGTAAAGGCCTGCGGTGGCCATTTGTTAATGCTTTTCCACTCTTGGGGAAGATTTGCATTTTGAGCTTTGTCTCTAAATGTGACATGCAAATATGATTCCTGGTAAAGGAGTTACAGCTGTCTCCAAAAATGCTACTTGTTGCAATACATACAATCTATTTCATATTGTGGAAGACCCTAGACATAAAGTAAAATAGTCTATCATTTACTGTGTGACCTTCAGTAAGTCACTCAATCTCTCTGAGCTTGTTCATCCTTTGTTTTGAAAAAAGTACTCAACCAGCCCATTACAGCTTTACCGAGGCTAAATGTGATGATATTAATGAAAGAGTTTTGCCAACTGGGAAGGGCATCCTAAATGTAGAGAACATGTGATTGTTTGGTCAAAAATGCTGAAGGAGATACTCAGGGTCAAGACACTTTTCAGCATCTCCCTAAGATAACATCATGGGATACCACCTGTTGCTGGGTGCTCTGTGGCTTTTACACTGATGCTGATGGTGTGAGATCCAGAAAAACAAGAAGCAGTTCTACATGGCCACCCCACAACAGGGTCATCAAATCCTGCCAGTGACACAGAGGCTGACATCCAGCTCCCACCCTCCTTCCTCCCAGGCTAGGGGAGAAGGTAGAGTTGAGGGCATTAGGTGGGCACTGCCAGTGTTGTTATAGAGTGGCACAGTCCTCCATGGGGTGAGAGTGGCACCTGGGAGCCTTCTGCACCATGCATTGGCTCCTAGTTACATTGACAATGGTGGGTCTAAAAAGGCAAGTAAAAATCAAAACATAAACGTGGAACCCCAGAGTGGCTTGTGTCCTGGTGGACCTAAAGTGGTGCACATGATCTGGGTGACTTCCAGCAAATTTTGACTCTAGAATCAAGGACTTCTATATATGCTGATCACCCCCTCTATAATGTAACTCTGTGAATGTACATAGTTTGCACTCATTTTAGCCAGCAGCCAAAGGCTTTGTCAAAATAAAGAAACTTTTCAAACTTTAAAAAGAGAAAAGTTTATGTTGACGGTTTAATTAATAACTGTGTGAGGTGCACTGACTTAGCACCTCCAGAAAGGGCATACAAACAAAACTCTGAATTAACTTTTTTCTACTTTATAAATCATACATGCTGCCCTGGGATTAGAAAGAAAGTCATCCCGACAGAATTATTAGAAAATTGCTCACATGTTGAAGTATAGTGAGAGCAAATCTATATCTGATAAACACATGCTTAGACACCTGACTATTCATTTCTGTAACCAAATGTTCCTTGAAACTGTTAAAATAACTATTTTATTAAAGTACATTAAATTCTATTTGCCTATCAAATATCTAGCAACATTCAGGAAGTGGTCCATTGGATAAAAAGAGAAAGAAAAATTGGTGGGACAAAAGTAAAAGTGGAGCTGGTACCAAACACTGATTTAATGAGATGGATGTTTACATATATTAACTTGGTTTGCTCATTTCTTTTACTTAGATCTCAGGGTCCAGATCACCTGCACGGCACTATCACAATCACCATAGAACCCACAGGTTGCTTAACACCTTACCAATAAAACTAATAAACAAAGATAACCAGAGAGATAAAAATATCTGGTTTCCATTGTTTCCAGGCTTGCTCTTTGAGGTATTTGACACTTCAGCAAATAACTCCGTAGTTATCAGTGAAAGCAGGTCAGAGAGATCAACAGATAATTCTTATGGAAATGTATTTAAAGACTACTACTCACTCAGAAACCAATAACGTACTGTGTTTTGGAAGATATCTAATTGCCTTAAGGAGATATAACTACAGTTTTTGAGTTTTTTGTTTGTTTCTTTGGTTTTTCTATTTTTATTTTTTAAAGTTTTATTATAGATTCAGGGGTACATGTGCAGGTTAGTTATGTAGGTAAACTCATGTCATAGGCAGTTGTACAGATTATTTTATCACCCAGGTACTAGGTCTAGTATCCAATAGTTCTTTTTTCTGTTCCTCTCCCTCCCATGCTTCACCCTCATGGAGGCTCCAGTGTCCATTGTTCCCCTCTTTGTGTCCATATGTTCTCATCATTTAGTTCCCATCTCATACCAGTCAGAATGGCTAGGTCTGACAAGGTTGCAAAGAAAAGGATATACTTATACACTGTTGGTGGGAGTTTAAATTAGTTCAACCATTGTGGAAAGCAATGTGGCAATTCCTCAAAGAGCTAAAAACGGAACTACCATTTGACCCAGCAATTTCATTACTGGGTATAAACCCAGAGAAATATAAATTGTTCTGCCATAAAGACACATGCATGCTTATGTTTATTGCAGCACTATTCCCAATAGCAAAGACATGGAATCAACATAAATGCCCATCAATGGCCAACTGGATAAAAAAAAAATGTGCTACATATACACCATGAAATACTATGCAGCCATAAAAAAGGAAGATATCATGTCCTTTACAGGAACATGGATGGAGCTGGAGGCCATTATCCTTAGCAAACTAACAAAGGAACAGAAAACCAAATACCACATGTATTCACTTATAAGTGGAAGTTAAATTATAGCTACAGTATTGAAACATTTTTAGGTTATTGTAAATTTAAATAATAAACATCACTTAGATGATACCATGTTTTAGGTAGGTGGGAGAAAAGAGCTCAGAAATAACTTCAAGACTAAATACTTATTTTGAACCTTAATTAAAACCTCAGGAAATTGGAAGCAAAACAAAAGCCAGAATAAATTATTTCATTAATGGAAGGAAATTCTAAGGCTTTTGATTTAATCTTTCCAAAATCTTCAAACTGTAATGAATAGCAGAAATAATTTGGAGCAGTCAAATACTATTTATTTTACATTTGGTATCTTCTCCTTCTTCAGGGACATTTAAAGACAGAGGACATTCAAAATGTGCTAGTTGACTTCTGAGAGTCAAAGAGCTTTGTGGTTCTCTGAGCTATCTGCTCTCCATCTCTCACAATAGTTCTGAGCAAAAGGAAGAATGAGGCAGGGCAGGGATAAGTATTAGATCCAAAATGAATACCTAAAAGAGAAAATGGCAATTTTCTCTTTTAACCTGAAAGTTCCATTCTATTGATTGGTACCTAATGCAAATATTTATGCCTAAATTTAAAGAATAAGGAGGAGTTTGATGGAAGCAAAACTAGAGGAGGGCATCCAAGACCAAGGGTTCAGCAGGAAACAGCAGAGCACGTTAAGGAATTACAAGAACTTAAAATTAATGGCCTGTAAACTTCACAATGGGAAAGGTCTATGGCCAAGTAACAATGATTCCTGGATTCCTTACAAGAAGTTTAGATTTTACCCTCTAAGAACAAGAACGCTGTTAAAACTTTTTGGAGAAGATTGATGATATGATCAGATTGGCATATTAAACTCATTCTTTTGGCCTTGAGGAGGGTGTATTAGAGGTGAGGAGAAGAATAGAGAGGGTGAGGAGAAGAATAGAGAGAATGAGGAGGTTTTAGCTGTGAACAAGACAGAATGGATTCTGTTTCAAGTAGTGACAAAGGAAAAGCAGGGAACCAGATAAATGAGACATTCTTAGAACATATCAGTGACATGTCATCAATATCAAGAGTGTGTGGTAAAAAAGGAAGAGGAAGAAAGCTAATTCCAAAGCATCAGCCTAACAACTTGATGTGGTTGTCCAAAGGTTGTCCAAATTTACCAACTTAGGATCTAAAGACAGTATCAGGTATTTGTGGGGAAGCTGGTTGTCTTAGTCCATTTTCTGCTGCTATAACAGAATACCTGAGACTGGGTGATTTATGATGAACAGAGAAATGTATTGGCTCACAGTTCTGAAGGCTGGGAAGTTCAATATCAAGGTGCCAACATCTGTTGAAGGCCTTCTTGCTAGATCATCACATGGTAGAAGGTGAGAGAGTGAGACAGAGCAAGAAAAAGCTAAATCTACCTTTTTGTAATGTAGTTAACCTCACCCATAATGGCAGAGCCTTTTGCCCTACTTTGTATGTATGTATGTATGTATGTATGTATGTATGTATGTATGTATGTATGTATTATGAGACAGTGTCTCACTCTGTCACCCAGGCTGGAGTGCATGGCATGATCTCGGCTCACTGCAACCTTTGCCTCCCAGGTTCAACTGATTCTCCTACCTCAACCTCCTGAGTACAGGATTCCATCACCACACCCGGCTAATTTTTGTATTTTTTGGTACAGACAGTTTCACTATGTTGCCCAGGCTGGTCTCGAACTCCTGACTTCAAGTGATCTGCCCACCTCAGCCTCCCAAAGTCCTGGGATTACAGGCATGAGCCACTGGGCCTGGCTAGCCTACTTCCTTCTTTAGGAATGGCACCTCCTAATACTATTACAATGGCAAGTAAATTTCAAATTGAGATTTGAAGGACTAATATTCAAACCATCACAATGGTAAAGTTTGGGAAATGGACTTGATGAGTTTGAAGGCCCTCTAGGATTTTCAAATGCAGTTTTTTATGCAAAGTCTACCTCCCGTTCAGAATGGGAGGTGCATGCCTGTAATCCCAGCACTTTGGGAGGCCGAGGCAGGAGGATCACAAGGTCAAGAGATGAAGACCATCCAGGCCAACATGGTGAAACCACGCCTCTACTAAAAAAATACAAAAATTAGCTGGGTGTGGTGGCACACGCCTATAGTCCCAGCTACTCGGAAGGCTGAGGCAGAAGAATCACTTGAACCCAGGAGGCAGAGGTTACAGGGAGCCAAGATTGCACCACTGCACTCTGGCCTGGTGACAGAGCGAGACTCCATCTCAAAAAAATAAAAATAAAAAAAATAAGAAAAGAAAATAATGGGAGGTACAGTTGTTGTAGGGCCAACTCTTAGTCATTTTTGTGGGGCAAGAATCTCTGACCTCAATTAATAATGGAGTCCTTACAGTCTCTTTGTTACTTTTTCACAACTACAAAAATTGTTGGCTAAACCCTCCACTTAAAACTCCTTATGTGAATATCAGAAGCAGAAATAAAAGCAATTTTATCATTTAGCCAGTATATAGAATTTTTAAAATTATGTTATACTATGTTTCAATTCTTACATCATAATCTTTCATAAATTATGCTAAATCTTGTCTCTATTCTATAATTTTTTTCTATTTGAAGCTGAATTTTTTATTTTTAAACACTTTTAGTAAGTTACATTATCTTGTCAGTTTCTCCCATGCCTTCCTACAAGTGAAAATCTTATCCCAAGTGACACTGGCATCTCTACTCACCAGTCTTTTTTATATCATGAAAAAGTTTGTCCAAATTCTCTCCTCTTTCTGAAGGCTTTCCTGGAAGAGATCCCTTTCTAAACATCTCCCTTAATTACACATAAAAGTTTACTCTAAAGTTTTTGAAAACGTGCTTGAAAAAATAACCAGAGTTGAAAGTGATTAATTATATAAAACATTTATTCACGTGTATATTAGTTTTCTATTTCTGAGTAACAAATTACCACACAATTATTGGCTTGAATGAACACCATTTATTATCTCATGGTTTCTGCAAGTCAAAAATCTGGAAACAGCTTAACTAGTTGCTCCAATTGCAGTCTCAATGGTATAGGCTGGCCTGTGTTCCTTTTTGGAGCTTGAGGCCCTCTTTCTGGCTCACATTGCTGGTCCCAGAATTCAGTTCCTAGTGGCTGTGGGACTGAGGCTTCCAGTTTCTTGCTGGCTGTTGACCAGGGAACAATCTCAGCATGGTTCCCTCCGCACATCCTCTCATGCTCCCAAACTCCTGACTCCAAAACCCCTCAAGTCTAACACAACAGAGTCTCCTATAATGTCAGATGATCACACACCTGACTATTCCATCAGCACTTGCTCTGTAACACAACCTAATCCATGGAGTGGCTGTCCCATCATATTCAAAGGTTCCATCCCCAAGCCATGTAAGCATAAGGGATCATACAAGGCATGTACACCAGGGAGCTGGAATCTTGGGAGTCAGCTTAGAATTCCGTCTATCATCATGTTCAATAAGCTTGGGCTGCTATACCAAACATAACAGACTGGGTGGCTTAAACAACAGACATTTATTTCTCACAGTTATGGAGGCTGGGGAGTACAAGACCAAGGGGCCAACAGAACTGGTGCCTGGTGAAGGGCAACTTCCTGGCCTGTAGACAGCCACCTTCCCTCTGTATCCTCACATGACTGAATGAATTATCACCTTGTGTCTCTTCCTATAATGGCACTAACCCCATTCAAGAGAGTGAAATCATCTCCCAAAAGCCCCACCTCCAAATACAATCACACTGGGGATTAGACTTCAACACGTGAATTTTGGTGGAACACGAAACTTCAGTCCATAGCACACAACATGGCAATAGAATTCATGAGGATGCTCTCGATGTCAAGTTCCTATAAATTATTAAAGAATGTGATTGACATTCTTTAAAAAGTTATTAAAGAAATTTGATTGGCCTGCTTCTATTTAAGACTTTCAAGAATATTATGTAAAGGAATTTGTACTATAGGGCAGATAGTTTACATAGTTAAGGGATTGTATTTATATATAAATATGTATTCCAGCGTAGAAATTATTGGCTAGGTCTGTAATCAAGTATTCCACAGAAGTGACTTTATAAGTGCTGAAACAGGATGATAGACACAAGGCTGAAGAGGATGGGGAGAAAATGCGTATGGTTGTGAGAATATATTGCTTTGATTCTTTGACTTCTCATGATATATAAAAACAAAGTGGGAAGTTGACTCCAATAATTTCATAAAAGTATTTCAAATCAAATTCTGAGCATGGATAAAATTTTCAAATTTTGGTATAAACAAATAAACTATGAAAGAAAATAATAGACAAGAAAAAATATTTTCAACATATATGATTGACAAAAAATGATATCTCTAGTATCCAAGTGCTTTTTTATTTAAAAATAGATAATAGGAAAATGGACAATGATGGAAATTCACAGAAGAGGAAATTAAAATGTCCAGCAGCCATACTAAATGGCACTGGGCCTTGGAAGTGGTCAAAAAATACAAAATGAAGCAAAATGAGATATTACTGCTTATCTATTAGCTTACACTGTTGGTAGAAATGTGCATTGTCTTAGGTTTCTGACAAGCAATTTGTGATATTTATTAAAATTTCCAACATGCACGCCCCAAGCAATATCACACTTGGGAATCAACTCCATAAAAATAAAAGTATATTTGTGTAAGAATATAGAGACAAGGCTACTTACTGCAGCCTTATTTGTAGAAGAAAAAAGAATTTTAAACTTACTGATTGGCAAAATAAGGAATGATAACTCCCTATTTTGAATGGTAAGTGAATCTTTTAAAAACTAGGGAGTCGGATGTCAGGCACACCTGTGATTCCAGCATTCTAGGAGGCTGTGGCAGGGAGATCCCTTGAGCTCAGGAGTTAAAGACCAGCATGGGCAACATGGCAAAGCCCTGTCTGTTGGGAACAGGCCCCCAAAATCTGGCCATAAACTGGCCCCAAAACTGGCCATAAACAAAATCTCTGCAGCACTGTGACATGTTCATGATGGCCATGATGCCCATGCTGGAAGGCTGTGGGTTTACTGGAATGAGGGCAAGGAACACCTGGCCCATCCAGGGCAGCAAACCGCTTAAAGGCTTTCTTAAACCACAAACAATAGCATGAGCAATCTGTGCCTTAAGGACATGCTCCTGCTGCAGATAACTAGCCAAACCCATCTCTTTATTTCAGCTCATCCCCTTGTTTCCCATAAGGAATACTTTTAGTTAATCTATAATCTATCAAAACAATGCCTATCACTGGCTTGCTGTTAATAAATACATGGGTAAATCTCTGTTTGAGGCTGTCAGCTCTGGAGGCTGTGAGACCCCTGATTTCCCACTCCACACCTCTATATTTCTGTGTGTGTGTCTTTAATTCCTCTAACGCTCAGGCCCGCTCGGTTAGGGTCTCCCTGACCAAGCTGGTCTCGGCACCTGTCTCTACAGAAAAACACAAAAATTAGCCAGGCATAGTGGTATGCAACTGTAGTCCCAGCTATTTGGGAGGCTGAGGTGAGACAATCACTGCAGCCTGGAAGGCAGAGGCAGAGCCATGATCGTGCCGCTGCACTCCAGCTTGGGCAACAGAGCAAGTCCTCATGTCAAAAAAAATTATATCTTAAAATCCGGAGGGATTAATATAATGCATCACTAAGTATAAAAAGCAAGTTACACAGTAATGTGTACTATATGATCCAATTTTTGTGAAAGACAAAACAAATTAAAATTTGTAATTATATATAGGTTTGTATGAGCATAGAGAAAGATATAGAAATATACAGAACAGGCTGTTCATCTCAGAAACAAGGATCTGAAAAGAGTTGAAGAACTAAAGTTAACTTTTTAACCATAACTGTTTGGTTTTACTAGTTAGGATGAGATTTATAATTTTATTACTTTTTTAACTTATAAAGAAACTATAAAGAAAGACTCCAGCTGCCAACATGTACATGTAATTGTAAAATAAAGGTATTGTAATTGTAATTTTTATTATTTAAAAAAAGTCTGACCAAATAATTGTCAAAATAATATAAACTGTCTCGGTCACCTCTAAAGCCTTAAGAAGATGTTATGCATTATGGAGTAATAGAGTCATAGAAATGTTTTCTTACTGGATCATTCAGGAATCTAAGATTATCAATGGCAGACATTTAAGTCTGGATATAAGAAAATTCTCGCAGGCCTAAATAGAAAACTTTTAGAACTATTAAAGATGAGATTATTATAAGGTCCAATAGATTTTTGGCTATAGTCTTGCAAGATTAATGCGAACAAGCTTTTGGAATTACCTGGGTAGTCCTGGGTTTTGCCTTTTTTCTCCCAAGTGGCTTATATTTGAATTTTCAATTGCCCTCTTGGGCCCCAGAGTGCTGGCAGCTGGGCATGTGTCTTCTACATGGAAACTTCCAAAATCATCCTTTGAAAAATCTGACCAGCCCAAGAGAAAATACCTACTCTTACTGACATTATATCCCCCAGCAATTAATCCCGCCAGATAGTTCTGTAGCAAATCTCACATGACACAGATGCCACCCTTGTATTCAGAGCTTCCCAATAGCTCATTAGTGCCCCATCCTGCAACAGAAGACAACCGAGATCATCAGAAATGTGGAGTGATTCTAGCTTTGTAATAGGAAAGATAGAAACAGGCAAAGAAAAAAGAAGTTGGAAGAAATAATCCATGAAATAAAAAAATTCAAAATTTTTTTAAAAGCTGTTATTAATATTTGTAAAAAGATATTACATACATGAAAAAAGAATATGTTGCCATAAAAAACTCTTGAGAATTAAAACTCATCACAGCACAGTAGAAATCCAATAGAAAGAAAAGATCTCAATAAATTCACCCCTTGGTGTAACTTTTTCTCCAGAAGATTACTAATGAAGTGCCCCAAAACTGATAAATTAATTCAAAGAAAGATGTGGTATCTGAGAAGCTGATGCTCTCACCCTGAGAAGAGGGAAGGGATTCCCCAGGATGAGGGTGAGGAGGCTCCAGGATGGCAGGTGTGGCCTGATGCAAAGCACCTCCTGCCCACATGGAAGTAAGTCAAAGACTCCAGGGAGATACACAGCTGGGAATAAAATTTTCAGGGACTATGTCATCATCTCATATCTCAAGCAATTTAAATGGAAATAAAATTGACATGTTCTGGGAAAATATGCTAAAAAATTCAAAAGTGGCTTTAAGGCTGACGAAGACATACAAAATACATATTTTGTATGTATTATACCATTTTGTATAAAATGGTAATAACAGTAGAATCTGCCTAATAGTATTATTGTGAGGATTACATGATCTGTTAATTGTAAAGCATTTAGAACAGTAAGTGGCACATACTTACAGTGACAAGGATATTAGCTATTTTATTGATATTTAGGTTATTAAACTCGAGTTAGGCTTCCTGGGATCCTGGCTCCACCACTAGATGTGTTACATTGGGAAATTTATACAATCTCTCTAAACCTCAGTGTCTTCATCTGTAAAATGTGCATGGCAATGGTATCTACCTGATAAGTTAATGCTAAACATTGCTATAAGTAAGGCAATGTGTGCACAGAGATTAGCAAAGTCAGCACTCCATGGATGTTACATACTGATACTAATCAGTTGTAATTTTTACAACAAAATATATTTTTAATTTTCAAAAGGAAAAAATTCTCCACCATTAAAGAACTCTTTAGCTTTTAGATATTTTTATATTGTGACAACCATACCATTTGTATTACTTTGTATTGTTTTAATAAACACTTGGTATTCCCACATCATCTCAGTAAATGTACTTTTAAGCATATGCCAAGCACATCATCAGAATAACTTAAAATGCATCAATAACTCATTTAAAATACATCAGTAAATCATTCGTGGAGCATTCAGATCGTTTGCAGTTTGGCTATCACAGAGAAGGCTGGATGGAACATCTCTGTTTTTGGATTGGGCTTCTTAGATTATTTCCCAACTGCCTTCACAGGAGGAATGTAAACAAACATTTTGTTCTCTCACACACGCTCTTCATGGAAGAATTCCAGGCTCCACAGCCACAGCCAGTCCAGCAAGCATTTCAGTTCCCTCAACATCTTTGGCTTCAGTACCAAAATCAAAATGAAATGCTAATTGAGTAAGAATTCATGGTTTTGAATGTGGGTATTTTCAAAAATTCCTCTAGGAACTTAAAATTTACTCTACTTATTGTAATATTCTATAGATTATTTATGTAACTATTCCATTCTCAAGTTCTATTTATTGCTACTAAAGTCCCTCTCCCACTCTTCATTTTGCATCTCATCCCCAAAAATGCTTTAAAGTCTGTTATTTATGCACATACTTGAAATGTTACAATTTTTTTCTAGCAATCATCTTTACAATAATATTAATCTTACCATTTTGCCAAATGATTTAACCCCAAAAATGAAGAATTTGTACTGAAGGTACTTTCTGCCAGTTACAATATTATTTCTTAGATCCAGGTAAATTATTGGCCCATGGGGAAAAGGAGACAGTTGGATCTCTTACAGAGATGCTAGTCTGTCCTTCTCGAGGCTTTGGAGTCACATCTCTGCACTACTCATCATTACATGCATAATTATATTAGAGATGCCAGTCCTTGCCTTCCACTAACCTTCCAAGAGAGCTTGTGGTAATTTGTTACATCAGCAATAGAAAATTAACACACCCTTCTTGCAAACATGGCCATCTACAGGCTGTGGGTAGACACATCTCCCTCTTTGACCACAACCTGGAAAAGCTCTCCAATTTTAAGAAGCCATAAGATTAGATTAGGTTCACCTGGATAATCCAAGCTAGTCTTCCCATCTCAAGACCTTTAACGGAATCACACCTACAAAATTCGTTTTTTTCCATGTAAAGCAATATATTCCTAGATTCCAGGGATTAGGAGTGGACCTCTTTGAGGGCCATTATTCTGCCTAGCACACCGGGGATCGCTGACCCAAACTGAAGCAAGCATATCATCTCTCTGGATAAGCTGCATTTATAATATAGTAGTTGGTGGAAATGTAATATAGAATCGGGCTGGCTTACAGAGACACACACAGAGAGAGAAACAGAGGAAAGTGATGCCCTGTGACCCCTAGAGAGTGACAGGGTTACCTTTGGACATTCCAGATGTTGCTACAGGCCTGCCATGGCCCTCTGATACTAGAACACTGACACTCAATCATGTGACAACTGCTCTTCCCCTCCATTTAAACTTTTAGAAGGTGGGGCAAAGAGTAAGCACAGAGTAGTTGCCAGATGGTATTAAGAAAGATCTCTTGACTCTATGAAGTTTGTGCCAAAGTTCTTTTGGCAGTTCATGGAGCCATGTGTTCACAAAGTGATGCAAGCTCATAAGTGGATATCACATTTCCAAATTCATTAGGGCCTTGAAAACAAGGTGGTAGTGGCTATAATTCCCTGAAATGCTATGTCTACAGGTGTGAGAGAGGATTAAACAGAAAAATGTATAAAAGGGGGTATTAGGGGAGAAAAATGTTTTCAAGATTCTTTGTCCATATGCTGACTGCATCTATACCTCTCAACTGCAACTCATCTTTCTTAATAAATCTTAATAAAATATCTTTCTTTCAAGGCTTCCTCATTCTCAAATTAGATGTCATTCATTTAATTTAGTCAACAAATATCTGAGCACTCACCCTGTGCCACTCATTGAGTTAAGAGCTGAGAATTCACAATGAAAAGACGGAGTAGGGTCTTCCTCTTTTGATTCCACGTTGAACTTTCTCCTGGCACTCACCACTTCCTGCTTCACAGGAGGGTTCTCTGTCTTCTCTACCTGACCACAGCCAATCCCACTGCTAATCTGTAATCCCTTAAAGAGGAGACACCAGATCTTCTGGATTATGGGACTGCTCATAGAACAGTGCGTGTCCTAACATAAAGGAGCACAAGAATTCAACAATCTTTCATTAAACACCTATTGTACACATGAAACTAGGTACAGTTGAAGATTTAAATGAAATTCAAGAACATCTCTGACCAGAAATTTCCAGTAGAACTTAGGAGACTGATCTCTACACTAAATATAAAGGCCACAAAAGAGAATGGGCCCTAAAACCACAGGAGGGATGCTAGTATGACAGGGATGGAAAGAAGTGAAGCATGACTGTGAGATGGCGTTAACATATCTCCACAAGGGCGACCTTGTCCTAGATCTCAAAGTTTGGGGAGGATTTGAATGGGCCAGAGGGACAGAAAAGAAGAGAAAAAGCATGATGAGCAAGAGCTTGAATGAGGAATGGATTCCTCTTTGGAGGACCACAGAGATACATGCTTCTAAAGAGCATAGGCCCTGTATTGGAGAATGGTGAGGAATAGTTGGATGAGAAGGCTAAAGCCAGGTTATCTGGGGCTATCTTCTTTCCGTCATACCTTTCCAAACTAGAAGCAACTAAAATCATAGGACCTCCTTTGCTTTCTATTGGGTGAATGTTTCTCAGTCTTGGTGTGAGTCTCAGTGCCTACATAATTAAAGCTTACTGAAATGTTCCCTTGGCAATTTTAGAGAAATATGTCCTCTATGCTAACATGTTCATATTGACAGACTATATCTAATTAAATAGTTGCCTGTATAGTTTTATGACGCCTCCAAGTGTGGATAAAAGAAAAATCAAACTCCTATGCTTGGAAAGCCATGAGGATACTAGCTACATTGATCAAAGGGTAATGGAAATGATCCAGTGAGGATTTTGCTCCATTTCTCACAATTATTTAAAATCTGCCACAAATGCCTGTTCCTCTACAATGCCTCCCCTGAGTCCTTCATTCTGAATAGCAACTCTGTCTCTGTTCCCAAAGCATTAACTGACCCCTGTGATAGGGCACTTCCCAGCCAGGCTGATATGTAGACTTGGTTTCCTGCGTGTCTTTTCACTATAAACTGTGAGCTTTCTTTCATGAATAATAATTGTAGCTAACATTTAGGAGGGTGCTCCTATCTGCAAAACTCCATGATGAGTGCTTTACAAGGATTATTTCATTTATTCACAAACAGTCCTTTAAAATGACGCCATTATTCATCTTCATCTCACAGATAAGGAAATTAAGGCAAAAAAAATTCAGTGAAATAATAAGTCCAAGTACACAGAACAAGTAAGGAACTGGGTTGGCCTGGTCCCACAAGCCATGCCATCACCGCTGCCCCATACTGCCTCTTGGCACAGGCAGAGGTCATGTCTTATTCATCACTGCTACTCCACTGGACCCAGCTTAGTGCCTGACACAGGGAGGTGTTCAGTCCATACATACTAGTTTTGAGTGGAGCAGAATTGCCAGGCACAGTGATCCCCTTTGCTGTGACTAATTGGGTGTCTGATTCTCTGCTGTAAAGACAAAGAGGCTGCTCTCTCTATCCTACTTCGTTTTTCCTGTTTTCTTACTCTTCTTCCTTCCTCGCCACCCCATGTGCATTCAAAGTTGCAGCTTAGTGCAGACAAAGGGAATACAAGGCAGAACGACCTATGTGGGATTGAAAGAAGAGAAACAAGGAATTCCAGAGGCCGGGGGGGGGTGGGAAGTGAGGAAAAGAGAAAGTGATTACAATTTATCACTTTAACTTAATATTTAAACTAATGAAAACAAAATCTTATCTAGAATTTGGAAGTCAATATTTTGATTGCTGGTTCAGTACCCTTTTATCTGTTTTGACAGTCTGGGAATAATCCAGTGGGTGTGGCTTAAAGACATAGATCACGTGTGGAATTGGAATTGGATGTTACACAAGCAAACAAAATAAATATCTGTGCAATATATCTGCTTTATGCACTCAAGCAGAGAAGAAATCCACAAAGACTCACAGTCTGCTGGTGGGCAGAGAAGACAGAAACGACATGAGCACAGCAGGAAAAGTAAGCAAAAAATATATTACTGTTGGTAATATATTCTCATCAATATAACAAAGAAAGGAATACAGTATTTGATGAATAATTTAAAATTCATATCTAAATTAGAAATGATATGCTGAAATATGATATGCAATATACACCTCAATATGTAATGTATACTGAACTGCAGTGGAAATAAGCTATTCTTAAGTACCTTTAACAGGAATGTATAGAACCTGTGTCTATTAGTCTTTATTTCCTACATTAAATAAATTTACAGTAAAATGATAGTTTATTCCAAGCTAATCATGACTGATTTGTAAATCTAAAGTTAGAAAAGTCTTTAATGGCAAGTTATCTTTATAATAAGAAACCATAATTCAAATGTGTTATTATTTTTATTCAAATTTTTTATGAACACAGGAAAGTTGTCTGACAGAAGTTTGATGAGAGGAATTTGACTCAGAAGACTGAAATATCCTTTAACCTTACTATAAAATATCTTACAAAATACTCATTGATTTCACAGCATTAGAATCATCAAGGTTAAGCAAGACATCAACATGCAAATTCTGATTAAAAGGGGTCCATTATGATACAATTCAGGGAATTTCCACAAAAATCCTATGGAACAGTATCTTCCCCATTTAAAAGTTAATATGGTTTTACAGAAAATCAATGATACAATTTGAATAATAATACAATTTGAATCACTTAGCACTAGGAATACAGATATTTGGTTTTTTCTTCTATAAATTTGTACTTATTTGCTCAATGTGTTTACAGGTGCATGTGGTCATTCAATATAATCAATTGATTTTTTTAATTGTTTAATTACATAAACCTGTGCAACTATGTCCAGTCCTTTTTTTGTGTTAGGAGTGTACCACACTGTAAAATATCTCACTATGATAATTCAATTTAAAGGTTCTGAGGCTTCTCTCTGCATTGTGTGACAAACAGGCTCATATCAATAAGACTGGTTGATGGAGCTAGAGGACGTTATTCTAAGTAAAGTAACTCATGAATGGAACACCAAATATCCAATGTTCTCACTTAAAAGTGGTAGCTAAACTATGAGGACACAAAGGATGAGAATGATATAATGGACTTTGGGGACTGAGGGAAAAGGGCAGTAGGAGGAATAAGACATAAAAGACTACATATTGGGTTCAGTCTACACTGCTTGTGTGAGGGGTGCACCAAAATATCAGAAATCACCACTAAAGAACTTATCCGTGTAACCAAAAACCATCTGCACCCCAAAAACTATTGAAATTAAAAATTAATCAATGAATAAATTTTAAGATAAAAATAATGCATGTAATTTACCCAGCACAGGTCACAATGTGCCTGTCACATCATAAGCACCTCATAATAAGAATCTTCCTACTATTAGTACCTTCTGTCTAAGTATTCTGGTATTTATTTTGGCATTGACCATGTTGAACATCCTACAAAGTTGAAAATTTTGACAAATAAATAATGAAAATGAATTGGCAGAAAAATAAATCTCAATTGAATTTTTAAATTATATTTGCAATTATGTTGGTTCTTTCTAGAAAGGGCTCTGCGAATTATACATGCTTTACCACAACGAAGATGGGTTTTACAGTACACTGCCAAGCACTAGAAATATATGCTGAACTTTATTTTTAAGAACATCTATGGATAAGCTCTGCTAAACAGAAATCCAAGCACACTGTTTCTCCAGTTTTAAAATATACATGCGTGGGTCTGAGTGTATACACACACACACACGTGCACACACACACACCACCAACTCTAATCTCTATAATATTTGGCTCAAATCTAAGCTGAAAGAAGTCTCTACACATAAATTAGATTACAAAACAGGCTGCCAAAGCTAAGTTTCAAATGAGTAGGAAACAAGTAGCACACAGAAGTAGTGGAGAGAGAAAATTAAAAGAGGACAATAAGCAAATAGGGAGAGAAAGAAATGTCATTGTGCGCAGGAAGGTAAATGTATAATTGCTCTTATAGAGTCAGATCCTTTTGGCCTAAGCAGAAAATTGAGCAATAAAGCAGTGTATTTTATGTAGACAGACACTGACTCTGTCAGCAAAATAAAGGTGACTTCTAACTTCATATATCAGCTAATAGTTGTGGGTAGACGAGCATTTTCAGGACGGCATTAGGAAATACCAGGAATAAACACCTTCAGAGAAAAAACAACAACATAAGAATGGCCTAAATAAATATATTCCATTTTTCTCAATGTCTTATTATACTTTGTTTATCTTTCCTTATGTTATTGCTTTTTAAAAGATACTTTTATTCTCTTTATAAACCAGAGTACTTCATTTCCATGGAGCACTTGTTAGGTACCAGACATGGGACGCAATATTACATGTACAAAGATGAAAAGACACAACTTATGACTTCAAGAGTGGGAAAACACTGTCACCATCTCTCTGTTTGATTTTCTAGGTAATCAAATGCAAAGCAGCTGTGCTATGGGAGGTAAAGAAACCCTTTTCCATTGAGGATGTGGAGGTTGCACCTCCTAAGGCTTATGAAGTTCGCATTAAGGTGAAATATTTTTCCATTTATATTTCATTTTACATTTAAAAAACTCAGAGAACATTAAAAATGGAAACATCCAAAAATCCACTAAGAGGCATATCTTATATGATCACCCAGAAGATAAAATTACATTTGTTGTCAAGGAAAGGTATAAATATAAATTTTAAATTTTTAAAAAATGATCAAAGAGTACATACAGTATAATTCCAGTAAAATACAAAAGAATTTATGTTTGTACAGAAAAAAATTCCAAAGGATATATATCAAGACTTCAAAATCAATTAATATTAGATATTTTCCATGTGTTACTTTGCTATTTCTACTTCTATTTTTTAAAGCGTGCATTCTTACATAAGACTTAAATATTTCAGAATCAATTATTTCACAGATTATTCTAAATTGTTTAATTCAAGAAGGGAAGGTAGAGAAGGGCTTTAGACTGAATAACCTTGGGGATAAACTGAATCTTTCATATTTAGGAATAGTAGGGATTAGTAGCAAAACCCTCAAATACATTTTAGAAACACAATTTCAGGAATTTGGGTATGTTAAATTCATCTAGTTACAATCTTTTCTGAATCTGAACAGCTTCTCTTTATTCTGTAGATGGTGGCTGTAGGAATCTGTCACACAGATGACCACGTGGTTAGTGGCAACCTGGTGACCCCCCTTCCTGTGATTTTAGGCCATGAGGCAGCCGGCATCGTGGAGAGTGTTGGAGAAGGGGTGACTACAGTCAAACCAGGTACAGGATTCACACTCAGGGAACACGTGTGGTTCACCATCCAGGATTTCCCAGCCTGGATAAGGAAACCAAGGCAATGAGAGACGAAAGTGCTTGCACAAGGTCACCGCGCAGCCAGGACTTCAGGAGTTTCCTCTTTCCCTCTCTGCCTGCCTGACCCAAGCATGTATGCATTCAGGCACTCATGTATTGTACCCTTCAACCATTATGTACCGAGTATCTACTAGAAGCCAGGCACCAGGTTAGAGCCTGGAGATATGTGAGGATCAAAAGAGACACAGTGCCTACCAGTGTGGCATTCATAGTCCAGTAATTCTGTGTTAGTGTTGGCTGAACACTGTCTTCTGTCAGGGCCCAGATAGAAGTAGAAACGGGAGGAGGGAAAAAAAGTAAATGTGGAAACTGTTCTGTGCTGAGTTCACAAAATGGAGGCTACATGGCTACGGATGAATAAACATGACCTTTTCTTAGGTGACCTATGCAGCTCCTTCACCAATTTCCTCTTCCAACATGGTGTCTCTTCCTGAGCATGGAATCAATGAAACAGGCTAGGTGAAAGGAAATGAAAGAAACGTAGAAGGAACCATCCCACCATCAACAATGTCTGCCTTGTTACCTTCAGCCATGCTTAAATGCAACTGGTTACAGATTACTAATTATTTCATCTTCAATATTTATTTTACCCTAAACTTATGTATTAATGTAAATACTTTTAGAAGTAAAGGGTTAATAACTAGGACATTGCCATACCATCATTTTCACATAAACTTTACCTATAAAATGTTAATGCACCAACAATTTTTCTTGATCATGTGGAATGTATAGCATAGGTGATTAGAAATAAAAATTATGTTTAATTTTAAAAAGTTGCTTTAGCCTGTAGATTCACCCTGCCCCCTTACCAAATACCAATTTAAACTGTGAACAGAAAATAATAAAATAAACTATCCAAAGTATGTTTTAGCTCTATTTTCTTTAGTTAGAAATAAATTAACAACAAAATGACAGCCTTACTTTTTACCCCTACTCCCTCCACCATAACAGGAAAAGTAGATAATTCGCAAATTATCAGCTAAAAATATTTGTTAAGTCCATTCTTATCCTAAAAGAAAGTGCCTAACTTGTTGTGAAGAGCTGAAGTTTTCAGAGAAATTTCTGGAATTCTTCTTTGTCCCATTTTTGTTTTTCTCAAAAAAAAAAGACCTAGGATTTTTTAAAGCATTCATTTCATAAAAAAAGATAAGCATAGTCACTTTGAAAAGTCAAGAATTGGTTAAAAATTCTCATATTTATTGTAAATCAATCTTTTACAAAATACCAGATCATCCCAATATCTACAGGCACTATAATAGATCACTTTCAACTAAAATTTATATTTATACTTATAGTAAGAATATTTAAGATTTAATTAGTTAAAGTTTAAATAAAAAGATGTTTGCAAAGCCTCCAGGAGAAATCAGTACACTGTGTAAAAGTTAACTATTAGTACAGTGGAAGTAATTTTTTTAATCTGTGTGGTCTCCCACATTTGCGATTTCTCAGTAGGAATCCTCAGGCACTTATAAACTCAAACTGAAAACAATGCTGTGGCAGGCATTGAAAGATGACATAGTTATTATTGAACTCTATTCCTTAAAGACTTTTAAAGAAACATGCTTCTAATCAATACATGTGAGCTTTAAGTCTTTGCTCTATTAATTACTGCATAGAAATTTAAGAAGAACTTGTTTTATTCCTCTCCAGGTGATAAAGTCATCCCGCTCTTTACTCCTCAGTGTGGAAAATGCAGAGTTTGTAAAAACCCGGAGAGCAACTACTGCTTGAAAAATGAGTAGGTTTCTGATGCTCTCTTTGCACAGACTTTGAGTTTGCACATTACTTATGCTCCTGTCTCATGCCTTTGTGTGTCTGTGTATTGCACTGCCCAGTCTAGGCAATCCTCGGGGGACCCTGCAGGATGGCACCAGGAGGTTCACCTGCAGGGGGAAGCCCATTCACCACTTCCTTGGCACCAGCACCTTCTCCCAGTACACGGTGGTGGATGAGAATGCAGTGGCCAAAATTGATGCAGCCTCGCCCCTGGAGAAAGTCTGCCTCATTGGCTGTGGATTCTCGACTGGTTATGGGTCTGCAGTTAACGTTGCCAAGGTGAGAATGACAATGGGTGATAAAACTGCTTACATGCAGACTGTCGGAAACCAAAAGGGAAGCAATTTCTTGCAAGAATCAGAAATTATTTTTGTAGATTTAAAGTGTCGATTATGAGTAGAAAAATGGCCCAGAAAGAATTGAGTACACATGCTAGAAATTTCACCAATTTATTGCAGATAAAAAGTTGTTACGAATAAAGATGTCATTTACAATAATTTTTCTTCTGAATTTGCTGTTTATGGGATCATGAAATTTTAGACCTAAGAATTCATTTAGTAATTCATTCAACGATTAGAGAGCACCTATAAATGCCTCAGGCACCATAGGTTCTGCTAGGCTCTGACAGCAAAAGTAAATGAAATGAAGCGTTTGCCCTTGAGGACCATCTAGTCTGTGGATCCTCTCCTCCCAGAAATAGGATCAACAGTAGAGTCCAAAACCTTACCTGATGCACCTCCAAACCAAGGCTCACCCACTCTGTGGATTCTTAGACGGAAAGTAATAAAGACTCAGTGATGCATAATTCACTCATTATGGGATTTCACTGCTAAAACTAACTCCCCTGGCATGAACACACACATATACTTCAGAAGTGGTAAATTTCAAGCAGAAATTCTTTAAAGGCTCCTCATCTGAGTAGGCTGAAAATCTAGTAGTATGCTTTATTTTATGAAACCGAGGTTCAGATATATAAAGATATTTGCCCAAAGCCTCAGTGCTGAGACTAAAATATATTTTTAATATGAGAGCTGAGACTAAAATATCTTTTTCAAATCTCCTGCTGAATCTTAGCTCGCAATACATAATTATTAGTGTTTTTAAATCACAGTCACAAGTCTTGTGTTTTTCTAAGTAAGGTAGAAAATGGTGTTGTCCCCCATAGTATGAATAATATTTGGTGAATGAATGAGTGAATAGACACCCTTAAGGGAATATAAGGATGAGATTACTTGGGACAGGAAAGCATGTTACCCACAATGAAGACTGACTATGGGAGACTAGGTTTAATAAATAGCCCCTAGCCAACCACAAAGAAAAAATTCAGAAGGCATCTTTTCCAAATTTCTGTGACTTTAGCACTTAGCCCCTTGTTCAGTTGCCTCATACGTGTTAGCAGATGGTCAAAGTGATCCTACCCAAGAACAGAAGATGAGGATACTCATAACAATAGATTGTATTTGTTATTGAAATATAGACAAACATTTCATTGCTGTGTTGTTCGCTAGTGTATTTTTAAAGCAGGGATATACTGGTCACAACTACCGAACATAAATGAACCAATGAGTTAATTACTGAGGGCTTAAGTGGAATATTTTTCAGTCTCCTGGAGTAGCCTTTTCCACTTATTTTGTTTTCCAAATATTGCCGTTGTGTATGTATGAGTTACTGAAGCTGGCTATCAAGGGATTTCAGCAATTGACAGTCCCTTCAAGATTGTAATCACTGCCATCTGGATCTCAAAGATCATCCAGTCCCCTGGTTCCCAGCCTGACCTTCCCATTGGAGTCACCTGGGGACTGAGTCCACCTGCAGAGATTCCTCATTTAATTGACATGGGCTGTGACCTGGACTGTGGGATATTTTGTAAAGCTCCCCAGATGAATCTAATATGCATCAGTTTGAAAACCACTCAACTAGTTCATCCCCTTGAATTTAAAAATAAAGCAACTGAAGCCAAAAGAGGTTTTGATAAACGGTTGGACAAAAGAGTCTGAGTAGTTCTTGATAAACACCTACGCATGGCACTTTATGAAGCTTAGGCACTTTCTAACAATCATCACTTAATCTATTTTTGCATTTTCTGAAAACACAGGTCACCCCAGGCTCTACCTGTGCTGTGTTTGGCCTGGGAGGGGTCGGCCTATCTGCTGTTATGGGCTGTAAAGCAGCTGGAGCAGCCAGAATCATTGCGGTGGACATCAACAAGGACAAATTTGCAAAGGCCAAAGAGTTGGGTGCCACTGAATGCATCAACCCTCAAGACTACAAGAAACCCATTCAGGAAGTGCTAAAGGAAATGACTGATGGAGGTGTGGATTTTTCGTTTGAAGTCATCGGTCGGCTTGACACCATGGTATGTACCATGACATGCCCTGAGATTTCTGCCTCTGCAACCTGGAAGATGCATTTAGGCAGCAAAATATATGTTTTATGTATAAAGGATATTTTTAATGATGAATGGAAATTTCCCATCATCTGTTTGTTATGTGGCTTGTTTAATTTTTGTTATGAGAAATCTTCTCTTCCATCAATTACCCAAACCTGTCTCAAGTCATATTTCCTCTAGAGGAAAAGAAAAGGGTTTGTTTTTCTTAACTGAGCAATTATAGATTTACTTTATTAATTTTTAGTTAAAAAATATAAGTTCAAGTAAACATAAATAATATAAATTCTGTTCTCAAATTGGAATGTTTTATTTTTCTCCTACATTCTTAACAAAAATGGTTTAACAATTTTGCCTATGTTCTTAATAAATTTCAGATTTTTAACATGTTAGTATTTGGCCAAAGGAAATGAGCAATTTTAGGCCAACTGCTGTTTTATTAACAAAAATATGCCCTAAGGAAATTGACTGCTTTAAGACATCACTGTATTTTATCACAGAAACTGGACAGTGCCTGGCACATAGCTAGTACCCAATATTAGTTGGACTGAATACTTTGAAAAGTCAGCAGTCTCTACTAAAAATACAAAAATTAGCCAGGTATGGTGGTGTAGTGCATACCTGTAATCCCAGCTACTCCGGAGGCTGAGGCAAGAGAATCACTTGAACCCAGGAGGCGGAGGTTGCAGTGAGCCAAGATCGCGCCATTGCACTCCAGCCTGGGTGACATAGTGAAACTCTGTCTCAAAAAAAAAAAAGAAAAAAGAAAAAAAAGAAAAGTCAACAGACTTTACCAACCCCCAGAATTTAAAAGCTACGTATCTCATAGCATTGCTTATAGATTACATGAGACAACGCATGTGATATACTTAGCACAGTGCCGCCTGTCATATGGTAAGCTCCCAATAAATGTCAGCTGACTTTTTTTTCTTTTTTTTGAGACAGGGTCTCACTCTGTCACCAAGGCTGAAGTGAAGTGGCATAATTATAACTCGCTGCAGCCTCAACCTCCTGGGCTCAAGTGATTCTCCTACCTCAGCCTCCAAAAATGCTGAGAGTATAGGCACAAGCCACCACACTCAGCCTCAGTTGGCATTATTGATATGAAATACTATTTCCAATCTTGCAGTGCTTACATCATCTTTGGCTTATTACATGGTATTTCTTCCAAACAGTTACAAATATCAATTGCAATGGGAAACACATCTCTAGCTATATTTCACCTACCCAGAATTCTCTAGAATCCTACTGAAAATGTCTCCAGAAACCAACAAGTTTCCATTGCTGAGGTTTTCTAGAAGGTCCAGCAGTGTGGGTAACAGGGAGTGGCACCCTAAGATCAAAGCTCTCGGCAGCCTTGACCTAGGACAGATGCCACAGAGGAATAAAATGTCAAGAGAATTCAACTTTTTCCAGGGCTACAGCTTTTCTCTTTATGCTCCTTTTCTATATTTTCATCCATTTTCTCATGTGGAACTGGAGTGTACCTTATCTTAAGATACCAAGTGTCTGACAGCCACATGTTCTGAGGATGTCTGGTCTCCCAAAGGTCAGAATCCAAAATCAAAGAACTAATCATTATATTCCTACGGGGATCTTTAACCATTTTCTAACTACAGAACATGTTCCAAGAACTGACTGGAAAACATTTTCTGAACTGTTTCTTGAGGTTCCCAAATGATCAGTGTATTTTAATGTAAAATCAATATATATTTGGGGAGGTAAAAAAACAATGTTTAAAACATGTCCGTTTGAGAAATGGACAGTAGAATAGGAATCCACTTAAGAGGGAGACCGTCAAGTGGACAGGAGACAAATTTCGGTGATATAATTGTTTATCTTGTTCACCGTCAAAATATCTGGTTGAAAGTACTGGGTTCAAAATACCTTTATTAGGAAGAATTAAGCACACTCCAATTTATTCATCCATTCTTTCATTAAAAAACCATTTTCTGGGCATTTCCTGAATCCACAGCACTATCCCGTGCAAAAAAGGGGAATGAAGGATCAAAAGACATGATCTCTTCCCTCTACACACTCACAATCCAGTTAAGCCTATTACATGATATTGTGCATTATGAGTAGGAACTATGCGACTCCACGTTAAGGATGCTAAATATTCACTTTATTCCAGATGGCTTCCCTGTTATGTTGTCATGAGGCATGTGGCACAAGCGTCATCGTAGGGGTACCTCCTGCTTCCCAGAACCTCTCAATAAACCCTATGCTGCTACTGACTGGACGCACCTGGAAGGGGGCTGTTTATGGTGGTATGTAGTTGGGCTCAAGTGCCAAATTCTCATTAATCTCAATATATCTCATTAATCTCAATATAATCTCAATATATATGCCCTTTTACAATTGACAAGGCAAGATTTTGAAAACAAATCAAAAATAAATTTAAATTCCTTTTCTATCTACAGTCTCCAAATCAACTAGATATGGAACTAATGCAGACAGAAGGTCCCAATATAGACTTTTTTCTGTTGTCACCATAACCCAGGACCTTTAATCTCCATCTGTTTTTGTACTTGTGACTGTGTAAGGCATGGAAATTTTTAGTAGAACATGCAAATCTACAACAATATTTCATATCTACACCCAAATTTAGACAACTGATAAATTTGCTCCTCTACCTTGGGCATAAACTTCTGTACTATTATTTCTATGGGAGAGACAAAATAACTAAGAACCTTCGTTTATCTGTGATTTTTTTTAAGTCAAGACACTGTAAAAGCATATTGAAGTACTGTATCTCTTCTTATCCTCAGTTATAGCAGTCTGGAATGGAGCACCTTTTCTAAACTTTGATTTATTTGGAAAATCTTCTCTTCAATTCTCCTACTTACCCTAGCTGAATCCAACAATGATACTGTCTTCTTTTCAGGCTTTAAGAGTAAAGAAGGTATCCCAAAACTTGTGGCTGATTTTATGGCTAAGAAGTTTTCACTGGATGCGTTAATAACCCATGTTTTACCTTTTGAAAAAATAAATGAAGGATTTGACCTGCTTCACTCTGGGAAAAGGTAGATTTTAAGTTAGTTTTCTGTTTTGCTTTTTTTTCTACCATAGGGGATTGTCTAGCAGAGAATGAAAAAGGTGGAAAGATGAGAAAATATAGAGTCCCTTGGTTTTCCATTACCAGTTCAGTCTTTGCATGGAGCGTATGTAGGATCATACTGTGAGAAGTTGAAAACAGTTGCTTTGCATTTCCTATTCTGCTGGAGTCAAATTACGTTGATTACTGCAAATCTGAATGATCAGAGCCACTCAGCCTTCCTGAAAAGAGAACACTCACATTTGCCCAAAAAAAACCCCACAAAAAAACAAAAGTCTATTTAAACAGCCATAATTATAACATGGTGTCTTTGAAGCCTCTTCCTTCTACCTATATAAAGCTGACACTAAGTGTCTGCATATTTAAATAATTTTCAGGACATCCTCAACATTTTCATTACAGGAGTAGGTGGAACTACATTGGGATTGTTTTCTAGGTAGATATTACTAGTTTTTCTCTTTTTCTTTTTCTTTTGTAGTTTAAGAAAAAATTTTTTACCACTGAAAGTTATCATAAAAGAGTAGTAAATACTATTTTAAATGTTTGTCTTACATTTTCTCTGAAGCTTAGAAAAATAAGCCAATTCTATTTCCTACCTCTAACATTTAACACTTACAACCAGCTATTAAAATGAATTTTGTCACCTGCATTTACATGAGGCACAACTGGAAACAGGCAGTTATATCTAACCTTTGCCTTCTAGCTCCAGAGTCTTAGATTCTTCTGCTATCCCACACTTACTTTCATGAGGTTTTCAACTTTAAATAGTGTTTCTTTGGCACTCACAAAATCATTATACTAGGTACTTTAACCGACAACATTCTTGAGGAAGGAAAGAAACTAGCACCCACCGAGCACCAGCTGTTCTATTAAGTGTCTTACCTGCATTATCTCCTGTGATTCCCAAACAATGCTCAGTGTCAGTCTCAATCTCACTATCTTAGAGAACAGAAACTGAGACTCGGAGAAGACATGACTTTGCCAAAATCATCAAGTGGTAGGAAGGGGAGGCAGAATTCAAAAGTAGATCTTGTTTTTAGCAAATCGATTCACTTTCTATTAAACCACACCGCCCCTCAAGAGTGCATGTACATATGGAAAACAGTAGTCATCAAAGGTTAGTTATCAGTCATTATTATTACCATTGACATCATCATTGGGATCATCATCATCATAGGATTGAAAAGATGATGGCAAATATAGAGATGAACAAAACCAGAGGACAGTGTTGAGCAACATAAGAAGTCATGAAGCATGCCTAAATTCACTTTATGAGAATGTCATATAGTAATATGCATATGTAAATATAATTAATCCTATCAATAAGCAAAGATTAAAAATTATAATATTCAATATTGGTAAGAATAAGGTGAGTTGGGCACTTTCATGTACTTTCAGTAGTAATTGATACATACTTTTGGAAAAGCAATTTGGTAATATATATCAGAAACCTTTAAAAAATAACTGAATCCTTTGCCCCAGCAATTCCATTTCTAGAAATCTATTCTACAGAAATAATCAACTAGTCAAACATGCATATATGTTTACTTGTTAGAACTTTAGAAACATTCTAAAGTTCAACACAAGGAAAATAATTTCATAAATTCCAGTCATCTATTAGAAATAAATGAAACCATCAAAAAGAAATGACTTCATTGGGATATTCTCATGATGTAATTTTAGACTCATTTAATGAAGAATATAAATTGTATATGTTGTATATGCAATGTCTCAAATTTTCTTTTTTTATATTTATTTTATTATTATTATACTTTAAGTTTTAGGGTACATGTGCACAATGTGCAGGTTAGTTACATATGTATACATGTGCCATGCTGGTGTGCTGCACCCATTAACTCGTCATCAAAAACAGTAAAACATGCACAGATTTCTAGAAAAAAGTTCATAGAAATTCAAGAAAACATTGAGAATGATTATTTCTAGGTTGTGGGATTATGGATTTCTTTTACTTTCTTCTTCCTGCTGTCTTGTATTCTCTGAATTATGTGCATATATATTTCTCATATATGCATATGCATATACATATATATGTTAAAAATTATTAAAGAGTCACAAAGACCATCATTTTCTAAAAATATGTATTCATGAGAAGTTGGTTTATAGAAAGGGCATTAGTTCTAGTGTAAATGTTCCATTTGTAATCTTCACAAGAATGAACTATCTTAGAATTAATACAAATCAACTTTATTCTCTACTTCTACAAATCCTTAAACATCCGTATCAAAGGTCTTTTAAACTTCCAGCATAGTCTTAACTTTGTTAAATTATCAATTCTTTCAGGCAAGTTATCCATCATCTTATAATTTTTGCAAATTTGTATTTGGGTTTGAATCCCAACACTCCATACTAGATGTGCTACCAGAGCAAGTTACAAATCTTTCTAAGTCTCAGTTTTTATAATCTCTAAAATGGACATAATATGGGAACCTACCTCTTAGTGTTGATGTTTAGGTTGAAGTTTAAGAAAATGCACGAAGAATGTGACAAATAGTAAGAACTTACTGCAAGTTATTATCCACTGTTGTTTTATATTCCTTATTATACCAGGAACGTGGGCACACAAAAATGATTTTTTGAAGATGCTAATGTAGAATTAATGTAGAATTGAAATGACAGGCATACTCAGGATGTTGTGAGTGAGATTAAGATTGGAGAAAAAAAGAAAAGAAAAGAAAACCAAAAAAGATGAACTTCCTTTTTCTTGAACCAAATGTATGGGGATGGAAATAGGGTAGCTGGGATCACAGACAGATTTTCACTAAGACACCTCAGATGCTCCTTGGACTCTCACAACAAGCATGTGGGTTGTCTAAATGTTAACACAATGTCTCTTCTTTCCTATTGCAGTATCCGTACCGTCCTGACGTTTTGAGGCAATAGAGATGCCTTCCCCTGTAGCAGTCTTCAGCCTCCTCTACCCTACAAGATCTGGAGCAACAGCTAGGAAATATCATTAATTCAGCTCTTCAGAGATGTTATCAATAAATTACACATGGGGGCTTTCCAAAGAAATGGAAATTGATGGGAAATTATTTTTCAGGAAAATTTAAAATTCAAGTGAGAAGTAAATAAAGTGTTGAACATCAGCTGGGGAATTGAAGCCAACAAACCTTCCTTCTTAACCATTCTACTGTGTCACCTTTGCCATTGAGGAAAAATATTCCTGTGACTTCTTGCATTTTTGGTATCTTCATAATCTTTAGTCATCGAATCCCAGTGGAGGGGACCCTTTTACTTGCCCTGAACATACACATGCTGGGCCATTGTGATTGAAGTCTTCTAACTCTGTCTCAGTTTTCACTGTCGACATTTTCCTTTTTCTAATAAAAATGTACCAAATCCCTGGGGTAAAAGCTAGGGTAAGGTAAAGGATAGACTCACATTTACAAGTAGTGAAGGTCCAAGAGTTCTAAATACAGGAAATTTCTTAGGAACTCAAATAAAATGCCCCACATTTTACTACAGTAAATGGCAGTGTTTTTATGACTTTTATACTATTTCTTTATGGTCGATATACAATTGATTTTTTAAAATAATAGCAGATTTCTTGCTTCATATGACAAAGCCTCAATTACTAATTGTAAAAACTGAACTATTCCCAGAATCATGTTCAAAAAATCTGTAATTTTTGCTGATGAAAGTGCTTCATTGACTAAACAGTATTAGTTTGTGGCTATAAATGATTATTTAGATGATGACTGAAAATGTGTATAAAGTAATTAAAAGTAATATGGTGGCTTTAAGTGTAGAGATGGGATGGCAAATGCTGTGAATGCAGAATGTAAAATTGGTAACTAAGAAATGGCACAAACACCTTAAGCAATATATTTTCCTAGTAGATATATATATACACATACATATATACACATATACAAATGTATATTTTTGCAAAATTGTTTTCAATCTAGAACTTTTCTATTAACTACCATGTCTTAAAATCAAGTCTATAATCCTAGCATTAGTTTAATATTTTGAATATGTAAAGACCTGTGTTAATGCTTTGTTAATGCTTTTCCCACTCTCATTTGTTAATGCTTTCCCACTCTCAGGGGAAGGATTTGCATTTTGAGCTTTATCTCTAAATGTGACATGCAAAGATTATTCCTGGTAAAGGAGGTAGCTGTCTCCAAAAATGCTATTGTTGCAATATCTACATTCTATTTCATATTATGAAAGACCTTAGACATAAAGTAAAATAGTTTATCATTTACTGTGTGATCTTCAGTAAGTCTCTCAGGCTCTCTGAGCTTGTTCATCCTTTGTTTTGAAAAAATTACTCAACCAATCCATTACAGCTTAACCAAGATTAAATGGGATGATGTTAATGAAAGAGCTTCGCCAATTAAGAAGGGCCATGTAAATGTGGGTAACCTGATTGTTTTGTCAAAAATGCTAAAGCGGGGTGGGGGGTGGCGCAGTGGCTTATCCCTGTAATCCCAGCACTTTGGGAGGTCAAGACGGGTGGATGACCTGAGGTCAGGAGTTTGAGACCAGCCTGGTCAACATGGTGAAACCCCATCTCTACTAAAAATACAAAAATTTGCCAGGCATGGTGGCAGGTGGCTGTAATCCCAGCTACTCAGGAGGCTGAGGCAAGAGAATCGCTGGAGCCTGGGAGGCGGAGGTTGCAGTGAGCAGAAATCTTGCCACTGCACAGCAGCCTAGGCGACAAGAGCAAAACTCTGTCAAAAGAAAAGAAAAGAAAATGCTGAAGGAGTTACTCAGGGTCAAGAAAGTTTTCAGAATGTCCGTAAGATAACATCATCATGGGACACTACCTGTTGCTGGGTGCTCTGCGGCTTTTACACTGATGCTGATTGTGTGAGATCCAGAAAAAGAAAATGGAGTTCTACATGCCCATCTCACAGCAGGGTCATCAAATCCTGCTAGTGACACAGAAGCTGACATCCAGCTCCCACCCGCCTTCCTCCCAGGTTCGGGGAGCAGGTAGAGTGGGAGCCATTAGGTGGGCTCTGCCAGTGTTGTCATAGAGTGGCAAGTCCTCCATGGGATGGGAGTGGCATGTGGGAGCCTTCTGCATCATGCACTATGAAAAAAGAAAATTTACTATGGGGCAAGTGGTTCATATAGTTAAGTGATTGTATATATATATATATATATATATATATATATATATATATATATATATACACTATGGGGCAAGTGGTTCATATAGTTAAGTGATTGTATATATATATATATATATATATGTATTCCAGTGTAGAAAGTATTGGCTGGGTCTGTAATCAAGTATTCCACAGAAGTGCCTTCATAGGTGCTGAAACAGGATTATGAGAGTGACAGACACAGGACTGAAGACAGGGAGAAAATGTGCATGGCTGTGAGAATATATTGCTTTGATTCTTTGACTTCTCATGATATATGAAAACAAATAAAGTGGGGGGGGGTGACTTCAATAATATCACGAACATATTTAAAATGAAATTCTGAGCATGGAGAAAAATTTCAAATTCTGGTATAAACAAATAATCTAAAAATATAGATAAGGAAAAAATGTTTTCATTTTTTTGGTCATATTGATTTGGGTCATATATGATTGACCAAAAAAAAAGATATTTCTAAAATCCTGGTGCTTTTTCATTTAAAAATAGACAACCAAAGAGGAAAATGAACAATGATGGAAATTCGTGGAAGAGGAAACTAAAATGGCAAAATAGCATATTAAATGGCACTGAGCCTTGGTGTGATCAAAAAAAAAAATAAAGCAAAATGAGATATTACTGCTTACCTATTAGCTTATGCTGTTGGTAGAAATAAATGTGCATTGTCATAGGTTTCTGACAAACAATTTGTGATTTTTATTAAAATTTTAAACATGCATATCCCAAGCAATATCACACTTGGGAATTGACTCCATAATTATAATTATCTGTGTATAAGAATATAGAAACAAGACTATTAGCAGCAGCCTTACTTGTAGAAGAAACAAAAATTTTTAAACTCTCTGATTGATTGACAGAATAAGGAATGATAACGGAATGATAACTCCCTATTTTGAATGGGAATTTTTTTTTTTTTTTTTTTTGAGACGGAGTCTCGCTGTCGCCCAGGCTGGAGAGCAGTGGCGCGATTTCGGCTCACTGCAGGCTCCGCCCCCCGGGGTTCACGCCATTCTCCTGCCTCAGCCTCCCGAGTAGCTGGGACTACAGGCGCCCGCCACCTCACCCTGCTAATTTTTTGTATTTTTAGTAGAGACGGGGTTTCACAGTATTAGCCAGGATGGTCTCGATCTCCTGACCTCGTGATCCGCTCGCCTCGGCCTCCGAAAGTGCTGGGATTACAAGCGTGAGCCACCGCGCCCGGCCTTGAATGGGAATCTTATTAAAAAAAAAAAAATAGGGGACTGGGCATTGTGGCTCATACCTGTAACCCCGGTGCTTTGGGAGGCCGAGGCAGGTGGATCACTTGAGCTCAGGAGTTCCAGACTAGCCTGGACAACATGGCAAAAACCTGTCTTTACAAAAAAACACAAAAATTAGCCAGGCATAGTGGCATGCAACTGTATTCCCAGCTACTTGGGAGGCTGAGGTGGGAGGATCGCTGGAGCCCAGGAGGCACAGGTTGCAGTGAGCCATGATGGCACCATTGCACTCCAGCTTGGGCAACAAAGCAAGTCCTCATTTCAAAAAAAAAATTTTATCTAAAAATCTGGAGAAATTAATATGAAGCATCAGAAAGTATAAAAAGCAAGGTACAGAATAATGTGTATTACATGATCCAATTTTTGTGAAAGAAAAAACAAAACAAATTAAAATTCCTATTTATTAGTATATAGGTTCATATGAGCATGGAGAAAGACATAGAAATGTATAAAACAGGCTGTTCCCCTCAGAAACCTGGATCTGAAAAGAGTTGAAAAACTAAAGTTAACTTTTGAGCCATAACTGTTTTGAACTAATATTATGTAATTTCTTTACATACTATTTTTGAAAGTCTTGAATAGAGGCAGGACAATGAACTTTAACAATTTCTTCAAGAATGTCAATCGCATTCTTTAATCATTTGTAGGAGCTTGACATCAATATTGTCAGTTATGATGAGATTTATGACTTTATTACTTTTTTACCTCATAAAGAAACAGTAATGAAAGATTCTAGCTGCCAACATGTATATGTAATTGTGAACTAATTTAAAGGTACTGTAATTGAGATTTTAATCACTTAAAAAAAAAAACTGACCACATAAAGGTCAAAATAATATAAACTATCACAGCCACCTCTAAAGCCTTGGGATGATATTACTCATAGAGTCATAGAAATGTTTTTCTTACGGTGAAACCCCGTCTCTACTAAAAATACAAAAAATTAGCCGGGCGTAGTGGCGGGCGCCTGTAGTCCCAGCTACTTGGGTGGCTGAGGCAGGAGAATGGCGTGAACCCGGGAGGCGGAGCTTGCAGTGAGCCGAGATCCCGCCACTGCACTCCAGCCTGGGCGACAGAGCGAGACTCCGTCTCAAAAAAAAAAAAAAAAAAAAAAGAAATGTTTTTCTTACTGGATCATTCAGGAACCTAAGATTATCAATGGCAGACATATAAGTCTGGATATAAGAAAATTCTCCTAGGCCTTAATAGAAAACTTTCAGAGCTATTAAACATGAAATTATTATAAGGTCAAATAGATTTTTGGCTATAGACTCGCAAGATTAATGCAAACAAGCTTTTGGAGTTACTTGGTTACCTGGGTAGTCCTGGATTTTGCCTTTTTTCTCCCAAGACGCTTATAATTGGATTTTTTTTTTGAGACGGAATCTCGCTCTGGCCCAGGCTGGAGTGCAGTGGCGCGATATCTCGTCTCACTGCAAGCTCCACCTCCCGGGTTCACGCCATTCTCCTGCCTCAGCCTCCCGAGCAGCTGGGACTACAGGCGCGCGCCACCATGCCCGGCTAATTTTTTGTGTGTGTATTTTTAGTAGAGGCGGGGTTTCACCGTGTTAACCAGGATGGTTTCGATTACCTAACCTCGTGATCCGCCCGCCTCGGCCTCCCAAAGCGCTGGGATTACAGGCGTGAGCCACCGCGCCTGCGCTCAATTCTCAAGAGATTTTTTTTTTTTTTTTATGATATCATAGTCTTCTTTCATGCATATATCTTTTCTCTTTGTAAATAATAACAGCTTTTAAAAACATTTTGTATTTTTTCACTTCATGGATTATTTCTTCTAACTTCTTTTTTCTTTGCTTTGTTTCTATCTTTCCTATTACAAAGCTGGAATCACTCCACATTTCTGATGATCTTGGTTGTCTTCTGTTGCAGGATGGGGCACTAACGAGCTATCGGGAAGCTCTGAATACATGGGTGGCATCTGTGTCATGTGAGATTTGCTATAGAACTCTCTGGTGGGATTAATTGCTGGGGAATATAATGTCAGTAAGGGTGGGTATTTTCTCTTGGGCTGGTCAGATTTTTCAAAGGATGATTTTGGAAGTTTCCGTGCAGAAGACACATGCCCAGCTGCCAGCACTCTGGGGCCCAAGAGGGCAATTGAGAATTGAAAATCATCACAGCAGAGTAGAAATCCAATAGAAACATAAAAGATCTCAATAAATTTATGCCGTGGTGTACCTTTTCTCCAGACGATAACTAATGAAGTGCCCCCAAACTGATGATTCAAAGAAAGGTGTGATATCTGACAAGCTGATGCTCTCACCCTGGGGAGAGGGAAGGGATTCCCCAGGACTAGGGTGAGGAGGCTCCAGGATGGCAGGTGTGGCCAGAGGCAAAGCACCTCCCGCCCACATGGGAGTAAGTCAAAGGCTCCAGAGAGATACGCAGCTGGGAATAAAATTTCCAGAGACTGTATCAACAATCATGGTGTGTCTCAAGCAATTTAAACGGAAATAAAGTTGACGTGTTCTCAAAAATATGCTAAAAAACTCAAAAGTGGCTTTAAAGCTGACATAGACATATAAAATATGTGTCTATGAAAATAATAGTAGAACCTACCTCATAGAGTTATTCTGAGGTTTACATGAGTACATAATTTGAACCAACCATTTGGAACAGCAACTGGCACATGCTGAGAGTGGCAAGGATATTACCTATTATTCTTTAGGTTATTAAACTCTAGAGTTAGGCTTCGTGGAATCCTGGCCCCACCACTAGCTGTGTTACATTGGGAAATTGATGCAATCTCTCTAAACCTCAATGTCTTCATCTGTACAATGTGCATGGCAATGGCATTTACCTCATAAGTTAATGCTAAACATTGCACTAAATGAGGCAATGTATGCTCAAAAATGAGCATAGTCAGCACTCCATAAATGTTAGCTATAAATAGTAATAATTTGTGCTTTTTACAAAAATTTATATTTTAACTTCAAAAAGGAAAACAATCTCCACCATTAAAGAACTCTTTAATTTTTAGATACTTTTATATTGCGACAAACATACCATTTGTATTACTCTGTATTGTTTTAATAAACACTTGGTATTTCTACATCATCTCAGTAATTACATGTTTAAGCATCTGCCAAGAACATTTTCAGGATAATTTAAAATACATCAATACATCATCAAAACACTTTTGGAACATTCAGATGGTTTGTAGTTTGGTTCTCACAGAGAAGACTGGATGGTACATCTTTGTTTTTGGATTGGGCTTCTTAGGTTATTTCCCAACTCCCTTCACAGGAGGAATGTAAGCAAACATTTTGATCTCTCACACATGCTCTTCTTGGCAGGATTCCAGGCTCCACAGCCGCTGCAAGACCAGCAAGTATTTCCGCTCCCTCGACATCTTGGGCTTCAGTACCAAAATCAAAATGAAATGCTAATTGAGTAGGGATTGATGGCTTTGAATGTGGCATTTTCAAAAATTTCTCTAGGAACTTAAAATGTATTCTATTTATTGCAGTGTGCTATAGAGTATGCATCTATTCCATTCTCAAGTTCTGTTTACTGCTACTAAAGTCCCTCTCCCAATTTTCATTTTGCACCTCATCCCAAAACATGCTTTAAGGTTGTTATTTATGCACATACATGAACTGTTACAATTCTTTCTAGCAATCTTTACAATAATATTAATCTCATTATCTTACCAAGTTATTTAACCCCCAAAATGAAGGATTTGAACTGAAGATAATTTCTGCAAGTTACAGTATTCTTTGTCAGGCCCATGTAAATTATGGACCTCTGCGGAAAAGAAGACAGTTGGATCTCTTGCAGGGATGCTGGTCTGTCCTTCTCCAGGCTTTGGAGTCACATCTTCGCACTGCTCATCATTACCTGTATAATTATATTAGAGATGCCAATCCTTGCCTTCCACTAACCTTCCAAGAGAGCTTGTGGTAATTTGTTACGTCAGCAATAGAAAATTAACACACCTCTGTTGCAAACATGGCCATCTAGGATCTGCGGGTAGGCACATCTCCGTCTTTGATCTCAGCCTGGAAAAGCTCATCAATTTTAAGAAGCCATAAGATTAGATTAGGTTCACCTGGATAATCCAAGCTAATCTTCCCATCCCAAGACCTTTAACTGAATCATATCTACAAAATCCATTTTTGCCCTGTAAAGCAACATATTTCTAGATTCCAGGGATTGGGAGCGGACTTCTTTGAGGGCCATTATTCTGCCTACCAGGCAGAGGATCACTCCCCCAAAGTGAATCAAGTATATCATCTCCCTGGATAAGCTAAATTTAGAATATGGTACTTTGTGAAAATGTAATATAGAATCAGGTTGGCTTGCAGAGACACACATAGAGAGAGAAGTAGAGGAAAGTGATGCCCTGTGATCCCCAGAGATTGACAGGGTTACCTGTGGACATTCCAGATGTTGCTCCAGAGGGCCTGCTATGGCCCTCTGATACTAGAACACTGGCTTTCAATAATGTGGCAACTGCTCTTCCCACCTGCCCATCTAAACGTTTAGAAGGTGGGACAAAGAGTAAGCACAGAGTAGTTGCCAGATGGTATTAAGAAAGATCTCCTGACTGTATGGAGTTTATCCCAAAGTGCTTTCGGTATTTCATGGAGCCATATGCTCAAAATGTGATGGAAGCTCATAAGTGGATACCACATTTCCAAATTCATTATGGCCTTGAAAACAAGGTGGTAGTGGCTATAATTCCCTTAAATGCTAGGTCTCCATATGCGAGAGATGATTAAACAGAAAAATGAATAAAAGGGTGTATGAAAGGGAAAAAATGTATTCAATATTATTTGTCCATACTGTTGATTGCATATATACCTTTCAATTCCATCTCATCTTTCTTGATAAATCCTTTTTGGGGGGTAACTGATAATTTTATTTTGGGATTGATAACAGGTTTTTTACTTTTATTTATTTATTTTTTCTATTTCAATAGGTTTTGGGGGAACAGGTGGTGTTTGGTCACATGAATAAGTTCTTTGGTGGTGATTTCTGAGATTTTGGTGCACCCATAACTTGAGCAATGTACACTGTACATAGTGACTAGGTTTTATCCCTGACCTCCCTCCCACCCTTATCACTGAATCCTCAAAGTCCATTGTATCATTCTTTTGCCTTTGTGTCCTCATAGCTCATCTCCTACTTATGAGTGAGAAAATATGATATTTGGTTTTTCATTCCTGAGTTACTTCACTTAGAATAATGGTCTCCAATTCCACCCATCTTGCTGCCAGTGCCATTATTTAGTTCCTTTTTATGGCTGAGTAGTATTCCATAGTGTTTGTGTGTGTATGTGTTTTATCTAGTCAATGATCGGTGGGCATTTGGGCTGACTCTATATTCTTGCAATTGTGAATTGTGCTACTATAAACATGCGTGTGCAAGTATCTCTTTCTTATAATGACTTCTTTTCCTCTGGGTAGATACCAAGTAATGGAATTGCCGGATCAAATGGTAGATTTTCTTTTAGTTCTTTAAGGAATCCCCTCACTTTTTTCCATAGTGGTTGCACTAGTTTACATTCCAACCAACGGTGTCAAAGTGTTCCCTGTTTACTGTATCCACACCAACAAGTATTATTTTTTGATTTTTTGATTATGGCCATTCTTGAAGTAGTAGGAAGGCATCACATTGTGGTTTTGATTTGCATTTCCCTGATCATTAGCGATATTGAGCATTTTTTCATATGTTTGTTGGCCATTTGTTTATTTTCATTTGAGAATTGCCTACTCACATCCTTAGCCCACTTTTGAATGGGATTGTTTGTTTTTCTCTTGCTGATTTGTTTGAGTTCTTTGTAGATTATTGATATTAGTCCTTTGTCAGATGTATAGATTGCCAAGATTTTCTCCCACTCTGTGGGTTGTCTGCTTAATCTGCTAATTATTTCTCTTGCTGTGCAGAAGCTTTTTAGTTTAATTAAGTCTCATCTATTTATCGTTGTTTTTGTTGCATTTGCTTTTGGGTTTTTGGTCATAAGTCTCTGCCTGAACCAATGTCTAGAAGGGTTTTTCCAATGTTATCTTCTAGAGTTTTTATGATTTCAGGTATTTGATATAAGTCTTTGATCCAGCTTGAGTTGATTTTTGTGTAAGTTAAGAGATGAGGATCCTGTTTCATTCTTCTACATGTGGCTTGCCAACCATCCCAGCACCATTTGTTGAATAGGGTGTCCTTTCCCCACTTTACGTTTTTGTTTGCTTTGTCAAAGATCAGTTGGCTGTAAGTATCTGGGTTTATTTCTGAGTTCTCTATTCTGTTCCATTGGTCTACAAGCCTGTTTTTATACGAGTACCATGCTGTTTTAGTGACTATAGCATTATAGTATAATTTGAAGTTGGGTAATGTAATGCTTCCAGGTTTGTTCTTTTCCCTTAGTCTTGCTTTTGCTATGTGGGGACTTTTTGGTTCCATATGCATTTTAGATTGTTTTTACTAGTTCTGTGAAGAATGACAGTGCTATTTTGATGGGAATTTCAATAAATTTGCAGATTGCTTGTGGCAGTATGTTCATTTTCACAATATTGATTCTACCCATTCATGAGCAGGAGATGTGTTTCCATTTGTTTGTGTCATCTATGATTTTTTCAGCAGTGTTTTGTAGTTTTCCTTGTAGAAGTATTTCACCTCCTTTGTTAGGAATATTCTAAAGTATTTAAATTTTTTTTGCAGCTATTGTAAAAGGGGTTGAGTTCTTGATTTGATTCTCAGCTTGGTCACTGTTGGTATATAGCAGGGCTACTGATTTGTGTACATCCTGAAACTTTGCTGAATTCATTTACCAGTTCTAGGAGCTTTATGGATGAGTCTTTAGGGTTTTCTATGTATACGATCATGTCATCAGCAAACAGTAGCAGTTTGACTTCCTCTTTACTGGTTTGGATGCCCTTTATTTCTTTCTCTTATCCGATTGCTCTAAGACTTGCAGTACTGTATTGAATAAAAGTGGTGAAAGTGGGCACCCTTGTCTTGTTCCATTTCTCAGGGGAAGGCTTTCAAATTTCCCCATTCAGTATTATGTTGGCTGTGGGTTTGTTGTCAATGGCTTTTATTACCTTAAGGTATATCCCTTTTATGCCGATTTTGCTGAGGGTTTTAATCAGAAAGCATGCTAGATTTTGTCAAATGCTTTTTCTGCATCTATTGACATGATCATGTGATTTTTGTTTTTAATTCTGTTTATGACTGGTCTCACATTTATTGACTTGTATATGTTAAACCTTCCCTGCGTCCCTGGTATGAAACCCACTTTTCATGGTGGATTATCTTTTGGATATACTGTTGGATTCACGTCACTAGTATTTTTTTGAGAATTTTTGTATCTATGTTCATCAGAGATACTGGTCTGTAGTTTTCTTTTTTTGTTATGTCCTTTCCTGGTTTGGTATTAGGGTGACACTGGCTTCATAGAATGACTTAAGGAAGATTCTCTCTTTCTCTATCATTTGGAATAGTGTCGATAGGATTGGTACCAATTCTTCTTTGAATGTTTCATAGAATTCAGCTGTGAATCCGTCTGGTCCAGGGCTGTTATTGGTCTCTTCAGAGTTTCTATTACTTCCTGGTTTAATCTAGGCCAGGTGTATCTTTCCAAGAATTTATCCATCTCCTCTAGGTTTCCTAGTTTATGCACAAAAACTTGTTCATAGTAGCCTTGAATGATCTTTTGTATTTTTGTGGTATTGGTTGTAATTCTTCCCATTTCATTTCTAATTGAGCTTATTTGGATCGTCCGTCTTCTTTTCATGGTTAATCTTGTCAATGGTCTATCAATATTATTTTTCAAAGAAACAGCTTTTTAAAATTTATCTTTTGTATTTTTTTGTTTCAATTTCATTTAGTTCTGCTCTGATCTTGGTTATTTCTTTTCTGCTGGGTTTGGGTTTGGTTTGTTACTGTTTCTCTAGCTCCTTGAGGTGTGACTTGAGATTGTCTGTCTATTTGTGCTCTTTCAATCTTTTTGATGTGGACATTTAATGAATGCTATGAACTTTCCTCCTGGTATCACTTTGCTGTATCCCAGAGGTTGTGATAGGTTGTAACACTATTATCATTCAGTTCAAATAACTTTTTAATTTCCATCTTGATTTCACTGTTGGCCCAGTGACCATTCAGGAGCAGATAATTTAATTTTCATGTATTTGCGTGGTTTTGAGGGTTCCTTTTGGAGTTTATTTCAAATTTTATTCCACTGTGGTCTGAGAGAGTACTTGCCATAATTTCAATTTTCTTAAATTTATTGAGACTTGTTTTTTCACCTATCGTATGGTCTACCTTAGAGAATGTTCCATGTGCTGATGAACAGAATGTATATTCTGCAGTTGTTGGGTAGAATGTTCTATAAATATCCAGTAAGTCCATTTGTTGTAGGCTGTAGTTTAAATCCATTGGTTCTTTGTTGACTTTCTGTCTTGATGACCTGTCTAGTGCTGTCAGTGGAGTATTGAAGTCTCCTACTATTGTTGTATTGCTGTCTATCTCATTTCTTAGGTCTAGTAGTAATTGTTTTGTAAATTTGGGACCTCCAGCGTTAGGTGCTTATATATTTAGGATTGTGATATTTTCCTGTTGAAATAGTTCTTTCTTTTATCATTATATAATGTACCTCCTTGTCTTTTTTAACTTCTGTTGCTTTCAAGTTTGTTTTGTCTGATATAAGAATAGCTACTCTTGCTTGCTTTTGGTTTTCATTTGCATGGAATATCTTTTTCCACCCCTTTACCTTAAGTTTATGTGAGTCCTTATGTGTCAGGTGAGTCTCTTGAAGACAGTAGGTACTTTGTTGGTGAATTCTTATCCATTCTGCCATTCTATATATTTTAAGTGGAGTATTTAGGCCATTTACATTCAACGTTAGTATTCAGATGTGAGGCGCAATTCTATTCATCGTGCCATTGTTGCCTGTATACTTTGTTTTTTTTTTCATTGTGTTGTTGTTGTATAGGTCCTGTAAGATTTATGCTTTAAAGAGGTTCTGTTTTAATGTGTTTCCAGGATTTGTTTCAAGATTTGGAGCTCCTTTTAGCAGTTCTTTTAGTGCTGGCTTAATAATGATGAATTCTCTCAGCATTTGTCTGAAAAAGACTGTAACTTTCCTTCATTTATGAAGCTTAGTTTTGCTGGACACAAAATTCTTGGCTGGTAATTGTTTTGTTTAAGGAGACTAAAGAAAGGACCCCAATCCCTTCTAGCTTGTAGGGTTTCTGCTGAGAAATCTGCTGTTAATCTGACAGGTTTTCCTTCATAGGTTACTTGATGCTTTTGCCTCACGGCTCTTACGATTCTTCCCTTTGTCTTGACTTTAGATAACCTGATGACTATGTGCCTAGGCGGTGATCTTTTTGTGATGAATTTCTCAGGTGTTCTTTGAGCTTCTGATATTTGGATATCTAGGTCTCTAGCAAGGCCAGGGACGTTTCTCTTGTTTATTCCCTCAAATATGTTTTGCAACTTTTAGATTTCTCTTCTTCTCCAGTAACACCAATTATTCTGAGGTTTGGTCATTTAACATAATCACAAATTTCATGCAGGCTTTGTCCTTTTTTAAATATTCTTTTTTCTTTGTATTTGTTTAATTGTGTTAATTTAAAAGCCTTGTTTTTTAGAAGTTCTTTTTTCTACTTGTTTGACTCTATTGCTGAGACTTTCCAATGCATTTTGCAATTCTCTCTGTCCTTCGTTTTCAGAAGTTTTGATTGTTTTTCTCTTATGTTATCTATTTCACTAGATATTTTCTCATTCACACCCTGTATTGTTTTTTTGATTACTATAAGTTGGACTTCACCTTTCTCTGGTGCCTCCTTGATTGGTTTGATAATCAACCTTCTGATTTCTTTTTATGGCAATTCAGAGATTTCATCTTGGTTTGGATCCACGGCTGGTAATCTAGCGGGATCTTTTGGGGGTGTTGAAGAATCTTATTTTGTCATATTACCAGAATTGTTTTTCTGGTTTCTTCTCATTTAGGTAGATTACATCAGAGGGAAGATCTAGGACTCAAGGGCTGCTGTTCAAATTCTTTTGTCCTATAGGATGCTCCCTTGATGTGGTGCTCTCCCCTTTTCCCAAGAGATGGAGCTTCCTGAGAGCTGAACTGTAGTTATTGCTTTTTCTCTTCTAGATCTAGCAACCCAGTGGAGCTACCTGGCTTTGGACTGGTACTGGGGAGTGTATTCAGAGTCCTGTGATGTGATCCATCTTCAGGTTTCTTGGCCATGGATACCAGCACCTTCTCCAGTGGAGGTAGCAGGAGAGTGGAGTGGATTCTGTGAGGGTCCTTGGATGTATTTTTGTTAAGCGTGCTGGTTTTGTGTTCGTTGGCCTCCAGCCAGGAGGTGACGATTTCAAGAGCACCTCAGCTACGGTAGTCTAGGGAGGATCAGGTCGTGGGCAGGACCATAGCACCCCCAATAGATTATGTCCTTTTCTTCAGCTACCAGGCTGGGTAGAGAAAGACCATCAACTAGGGGCAGGGCTAGACATGTCTGAGCTTAGACTCTCCTTGGTCAGGGCTTGCTGTGGCTGATTTGGGAGATGAGGGTGTAGTTCCCAGGCCAATGGAGTTATGTTCCCAGTGGGATTACAGCTGTCTCTGCCGTGTCACACAGGTCATCAGGGGAGTGGGGGAAAGCTGGCAGCCACAGGCCTCACACAGCTCCCATGCAGCCCAGAGTCTGAGGGCCGGTCTCACTCCCACCATGAGCCCTCAACAAAAATGTGTTTATTTCCTTCCAGTCAGCTGGTGAGCAGAGCTGAGAAATTGCCCCAGGCTATAAGCCCCGCAACTGAGAAAGCAAGCTGGCTCACGTTTCTTCTGCTGTCCCACAGAGGCTGGAGCAGCAGTCCACCGCCTTCAAAGGGTCTGTGGATTCTCTCTGCTTTCCTGGTATGTCCCTGCAGTAGTTCTTGGAGCAAAAGTTCACAATGTGGGTCTCCATGAACTGCTCTGTTCATCCAAGTAGCAGGTGCAAGTTAGTCCTGCCTCCTATCCTCCTCCATTTTGCCTCCTGATGACCCACTTTTCTTGATACATCTTAATAAAATACCTTTCTTTCAAGGTTTCCTCACCCTAAAAGTAGAAGTCATTTCTTTAATTTAATCAACAAATATCTGAGCACTCACTCTGTGCCAGACATTGAGTTAAGAGCTGAGAATCCATAATGAAAAGATGGAGTAGGATCTTCCTCCTTTGAATTCCACGTTGAACTCTTCTCCTGGCACGACCACTTCCTGCTTCACAGGAGGGTTCTCTGTCTTGTCTACCTGACCACAGCCAATCCCACTGCTAATCTGTAAACCCTTAAAGAGGAGACATCGGATCTTCTGGATTATGGGACTGCTCATAGAACAGTGCCTGTCCTAACATAAATGAGCATAAGAATTCAACAATCACTCATTAAACACCTACAGTATACATGGAGCTAGGTATAGTTGATGATATAAATGAAATTTAAGAACATCCCTGACTAGAAATTTCCAGTAGAAATTAGGAGACTGATCTCTACACTAAATATAGAGGGCGACAAAAGGGAACAGACCCAAAACCACAGGAGAGATGCTAGCATGACAGGGATGCAGAGACATAAAGCACAACAGTGAGATGGAGTTAATATACCTCCACGAGGGTGACCTTGTCCTGCATCTCAAATTTTGGGTAGGATTTGAATGGGCCAGAGGGACAGAAAAGAAGAGAAAGAGCATGATGAGCAAGGGCTTGAATGTTAAATAGATTCCTCTTTGGGGGACCAGGGAGATACAAGCTTCTAAAGCACATACGCCCTGTATTGGAGAATGGGGAGGAGTAGATAGATGAGAAGGTTGAAGCCATATTACGAAGCCTTGAATGCTGAACATCAGATCTGGGGCTATATTCTTACCTTGATACATTTCAGAAGCAACTGAAATCGTAGGACCTTCCTTGCTTCTCTATTGGGTGAATGTTTCTCAGTCTTGGTGTGAGTCTCAGTGCCTACGTAGTTAAAGCTTACTGAAATGTTCCCTTTACAATTCTAGAGAGATATGTCCTTTATGTTGACATGTTCATGTTGACAGACTGCATCTGATTAAACAGCTGCCTGTGCAATGCCTCCAAGTGTGGATAAAAGAAAAATTAAACTCATAATCTTGGACAGCCATGTGTAGACTAGTTACATTGATCAAAGGGCAATAGAAATGATCCAGTGAGGATTTGTCTGAATTTCCCACAATTATTTAAAATCTACCTCAAATACCTGTTCATCTATAATGCCTCCCCTGAGGCCTTCATTCTGAATAGTACCTCTGTCTCTGTCCCCAAAGCACTAACTGATCCCTGTGATAGCGCACTTCCCAGCCAGGCTGATATGTAGACTTGGCTGCCTGTGTATCTTTTCCCCATAGACTGTGAGCTTCCTTTTATGAATAATAATTGTAGCTAGCATTTAGTAGGGTGCTCCTACCTGTTAAACTCTATGATGAGTGCTTTACATAGATTATATCATTTATTCACTAAACAGTCCTTTAAAATGGTGCTATATTCACTAAACAGTCCTTTAAAATGGTGCTATATTCACTAAACAGTCATTTAAAATGGTATTATTCTTCTTCATCTTACAGGTAAACAAACTAAGGCAAAAAAAAAAGTGAAATAATAAGTGCCAGTACACAGAGCTAGTAAGGAATAGGGTCTGCCAGGTCCCAAAAAGCATGCCATCACCTTTGCCCCATACTGCCTCTGGTACAGATAGAGGTAATGTCTTATTTATCACTGCCATCCACTGGACCCAGCTTAGTGCCTGACACACAGAGGGGCTCAGTCAATGCTGATTGGTTTGAGGTGGAGCAAAAATGCTTAGCAGGGTGAGCACCTTTGCTGTGATTGAGTATCTGATTCTCTATGAAGAGAAGGGGAGTCCTGAGCCAAACACATTCCTCTGGCTCCTGGCTGTCATCTTTATTTGCCCGGCTTCTTTGCTCTTCCTCCTTCCTAACTGCACCGTTTGGATTCAAAGCTGGAGCTTAATGCAGATAAAGGGAAAACAGAACTTTGAATGACCACTGTGGGACTAAGAGAGGAGAAACAAGAAATTTGACAGATGAGGAATAAAGTGAGGAGAAGAGAAAATGATTAAGCTTTATCACTTTAACTTAATATTTAACCTAATGAAAACAAAATCTTATTTGAAATTGGAAAAATCAATGTATTGATTGCTGGTTCATTGCCCTCTTCTTTATGATTTGACAGTCTGTGAATAATCTAATGGGTGTGGCTTAAAGACCTAGATCATGTGTGGAACTGGAATCGGGTGTTATTCAAGCAAAAAAAATAAATAAATACCTATGCAATACACCTGCTTTATGCACTTGAGCAGGGAAGAAATCCACAAGGACTCACCAGTCTCCTGGTCTGCAGAGAAGACAGAATCAACATGAGCACAGCAGGAAAAGTAAGCAAAAAATATATTACTGTTGGAACTATATTCTCATCAATATAACAAAGAAAGTAATACAGTATTTGATGAATCATTTAAAATTCATATCTAAATTAGAAATGATACACTGAAATATGATATGCAATATATGCTATAATATGTAATGTATACTGAACTACAGTGGAAATAAGCTATTCCTAAATACCTTCAAAAAGAATGTATAGAATCTGTATCTATGAAGTGTTTATTTCCCACATTAAAGACATTTGCGGTAAAGCGATAATTTATTCCAAGCTAATCATGATTAATTTGTAAAGCCAAAGTTAGAAATGTCTTTCATCAAGAAGTTTTCTTTATATTAAGGTACCATAATTTAAATGTATTACTATTTGTATTTATATTTTTTGTGAATACAAGAAAGTTAAGTCTGATGAAAGTTTTATGAGAGGATTTGATTTAGAAGACTTTGAAATACCCTTTTAACCTTAACATAAAATAGTTTACAAAATGCTCATTGGTCTCACAGCATTAGAATCATCAAGGTTAATCAAGACAACATCAACATTCAAATTCTGATTTAAAAGGGTCTAGTAGGACACAATTCAGGCAATTTCCAGAGTAATCCTATGGAACAGTATCTTCCCCATATAAAAGTCAATATGGTTTTACAGAAAATTAATAATACAATTTGAATCACTTATTAGCACTAGGAACACAGATATTTGGTTTTGCCTTCCATAAATATCTTAATTGTTCAATGTGTTTATAGGTGCACAAAAATACATGTGGTAATACAATATAATCAATTGATATTTTAATTGCCTAATTACAAAAATTTGTGCAACTATTTCCAGTCCTTTTTTGTGTTAGGAGTGTATTACACAGTAAAATATCTCACTATGATAACTCAGTTTAAAGGCTCTGAGGCTTCTCTATACACTCTGTGACAAAACAGGTTCATATCAATAAGACTGGTTGGAAATCACATGGGTGGCCCATTGTTACTGTTCTTATTCCACCTCACTTTACTTTCATTCATTACTGATTAATATGTACATTCCACATAGAAAACAATTAGCAAAAAAATTAAATTTACCAAACTCAACTTAAAAGAAATAATGAGTTCCTACAGCAAAAGTATAAACCAATCATATTAATGAAAATAATAACTGATGAAATAGACAATTGCCTCCCCTCTTGGGCACAACATCAATAACTTAGTTTGTTGTCAGCATTTCATTTATGTTTATACATCCTGCATTATATTTTCCTCAAATGCTAAATAGTGACAATACTAACATCTATTTCATAAAGTAGTTGTGTTGTGATAATTCAATAAATGAATACTATAAAGAACTTAAAATTGTATTTGGGATGTAGAAATAAGTCAATAACTATTAGCCACTATTATTATTGTTGCTATTTAACTTTTTGCTAACTTTTTACTGACACCGAGTAGTGAAAACATAAGGCTAGATTCATCTTTATTCTCTGGAAAGCCAGCTTTGAGACTTTAGAGAAATTAGTTAATCACTGAGTCAATGGATCCTCAATTATTTCAGCTGTAAAATAAAGCCAATAATTCAATAGTACTGTCCTGGTAGCATCCTTATGAGATTTTAAAATAATGCATGTTGTTTATAGCAGCACAATTTGCAATTACAAAATACAGAACTGACCTAAATGCCCATCGACAAACGAGTAGATAAAGAAAATATGGTGTGCATATACCATGGAATACTACTCAGCCATTAAACAGAATAAAATAAAATAATGGCCTTTGCAGCAACTTGGATGGAGCTGGAGACCATTATTCTAAGTAATTCAGAAATGGAGAACCAAACATCATATGTTCTCATTTATAAGAGAGAGTTAGGCTATGAGGATGCAAAGGCATGAGAATGATATCATGAACTTTGGGAACTCGAGGGGGAAGGTTGAAAGGGGAGGTGAGGGATAAAAGACTACATATTGGGTGCAATGTACACTGCTTGAGTGAAGGGTGCACCAAAATCTCAGAAATCACCACTAAAGAACTTACCCAGGTAACCAGAAAACACCTGCACCCCAAAAACTATTGAAATTAAAAATAAATTTTATAAATAAATATAATGCAAATAACTCACCGAGCACAGGCCACAATGTGCCTGTCACATCATAGGCACCTGATAATCAGGAACTCCTACTATTAGTACTTTACTTCCAAGTATTCTGATATTTATTTGGCATTGATCATGTTGAACATCCTGCAAAGTTGAATAATTTGACAAATAAATAATGACAACGAATTATCAGAAGAACAAATTTCAATTGAATTTTTATCATAATTGCAATTTTGTTGATTCTCTCTGGAAAGAGTTTTGTGAATTGTACATGCTTAACCACAATGAAGACAGATATTACAGTTCACTGCCAAGCACTGGAAATTATGTGTACATCTTTTATTTTTAAGAACATCTATGGATAAGATCTGCTAGCTAGAAATTCAAACACACAGTGTCTCCAATTTTGAAATATGTATGTGTAGGTCTGAGTGTATACACACACACACATACACACACACACACACACACACCCAACTCTAACCTTTGTAATTTGGGGCTCAAATCAAAGCTGGAAGGAGTCTCTACACATAGATCAGATAACAGTACAGCCTCTCAAAGCTAAGTTGCAAATGGGTGTTGGAACAAGTAACACACAGAAGTGGTGGAGAGAGAAAATTAAAAGAGGAGAATAGGAAAAGAGAGAGAAAGAGATGTCATCCCAGGCAGGAAGGTAAATATATCCTTATAAACTCAGATCCTTTTGGCCTAAGCAGAAAATTGAGAAAGAAAACAGTGTATTTTATGTGAACAGACACTGACTCTGTCAGCAAAATGAAGGTGACTTAGAATTTGATGTACCAGCCAATAATTGTGGGTGAAGAGACATTTTCAGCATAGCATTAGGAAATGTCAGGATTAAACAACTTTGGAGAAAAACAACAACAACATAAGGATGGCCTTAATGAATATATTCCATTTTATCTCAGTGTGTTGTTATAGTTAACTGTTTATCTTTCCTTATGTTATTGCTTTTTTAAAATATATTTTTTTCTCTTTATAAATCAGAGGTGATCATTTCTATAGAGCACTTGTTAGGTACCAGACATGGGATTAGATGTTGTATGTACAAAGATGAAATGACACAATATCTGACTGCAAGCGTGGGAGAACACTGGTGCCATCTCTCTGTTTGCTTTTCTAGGTAATCAAATGCAAAGCAGCTGTGCTATGGGAGTTAAAGAAACCCTTTTCCATTGAGGAGGTGGAGGTTGCACCTCCTAAGGCCCATGAAGTTCGTATTAAGGTGAAATACATTTTTCCATTTGTATTTAAGTTTTAAAAACTCAGAAAAGTTAAAAAACGGAAACAACCAAATTTTTATATGATCATCCAGAAAATAGAATATACTTGTTGTCAAGGAAAGGTATAAATATAAATTTTTAAATTTTAAAAAAGTGCACACAGTGTAATTCCAGTAAAATACAAAAGAATTTATGTGTTTGTACAGAAAGAAAATTTCAAAGTGATATATATCAAGACTTCAAAATCAATTAGCATTAGATATTTTTATGTATTAATTTGCAACTTCTACTTCTATTTTTTAAAGGCATGCATTCTTTTATATTATTTAAGACTTAACTATTTCAGGATCAGTTACTTCACAGATTATTCTAAACTGTTTACTTCAAGAATGGAAGGTAGAGGAGGGTTTCAGCCTGGTCAACCTTGAGGATAAACTGAATCTTTCATACTTGGGATAGTAGGGATTATTAGCAAAACCCTTGAAAACATTTTGGAAGCGCAATTTCAGGGAACTGGGATTTTTAAATTCACCTGAGACTCACAATCTTTTATAAACATCTTCTCTTCACTCTGTAGATGGTGGCTGTAGGAATCTGTGGCACAGATGACCACGTGGTTAGTGGTACCATGGTGACCCCACTTCCTGTGATTTTAGGCCATGAGGCAGCCGGCATCGTGGAGAGTGTTGGAGAAGGGGTGACTACAGTCAAACCAGGTACAGGATTCACATTCAGGAAACATGATGGTTCACCATCCTAAGATTTCCCAGCCTGAATGAGGAAACAGAGGCAAAGAGGGACGAAAGGGCTTGACCAAGGTCACCGCGCAGCCAGGACTTCAGGGATTTCCTCTTTCCCTCTCTTCCTGCCTGACTCAAGCATGTATGTCTTTAGGCACGCATGTATTCTACCCTTCAACAATTATGTACTGAGCATCTGCTAGATGCCAGTCACCAGGTTGGAGCCTGGAGATATGTGAGGATCAAAAGGGACACAGTGCCTACTAGTGTGGCATTCATAATCTAGTAACTTCCGTGTTAGTGTTGGTGAACACGGTCTTCTGTCAGGGCCCAGACACCTAGAAATGGGAGGAGGGAAAAAACATAAGTATGGACATTGTTCTGTGCTGAGTTCACAAAATGGACGCTACATGGCTACGGCTGAATGAGCATGACCTTTTCTTAGGTGACCTATGCAGCCCCTTCACCAATTTCCTCTTGCAACGTGGTCTCTCTTCCTGAGCAAGGAATCAATGAAGCAGACTAGGTGAAAGGAAATGAAAGAAACATAGAAAGAGCCATCCACCATCAACAATGTCTGCCTTATTACTTTCAGCCATGCTTAAATGTAACTGGTTACGGATTACTAATTATAAAGGGAGAATAACTAGGACACTTCCATACTATCATTTTCACATAAATTTTACCTATAAAATGTTATGGGCCAACCATTTTTCTTGGTCTTGTGGAATAGACAGCATAGGTAATTTAAAATAAAAATTATGTTTAATTCTAAAAAAATCACTTTTTTTTTTTTTTTTTTTTGAGACGGAGTCTCGCTCTGTCGCCCAGGCTGGAGTGCAGTGGCGCGATCTCAGCTCACTGCAACCTCCACCTCCCGGGTTCACGCCATTCTCCTGCCTCAGCCTACCGGGTATCTGGGGCCACAGGTGCCCGCCACCACACCCAGCTAATTTTTTCTGTTTTTAGTAGAGACAGGGTTTCACCATATTAGCCAGGATGGTCTCGATCTCCTGACCTCGTGATCTGCCTGCCTCGGCCTCCCAAAGTGCTGGGATTACAGTCTAAAAAATCACTTTAGGCACTAGATTGGACCTGCCACTTTACCAAATACTTATTTGAACTGTGAACAGAAAAATAAAATGAACTGTCCAATTTGGGTTTCAGCTCCTACTAATTTCTTTAGTAGTAATAAATTAATAACTACTGAATAATAACTAATAACTACTAAACTACTAATAATAACTACTAAATAATACTAATAGTAACTAATTAGTTAGTAATAAGTTAATAACAAAATGACACCCTTACTTTTTACCCATGCTCCCTCCACTGTAACAGGAAAAGTAGATAATTCACAAATTATCAGCTAAAAACATTTCAAAGTCAGTTCTTATCCTAAAAGTGCCTAACTTATTGTGGAGGGTTGAAATTTCCAGAGGAATTTCTGGAATTGTTCTTTGTCCCATTTTTGATAGTTTTCCTCAAAAAAAGAACTGAGATCATTTTAAAAGCATTCATTTCATAATAAAGATAAACCTAGTTACTTTGAAAAGAATTAGTTCAAAATTCTCATTTTTATTGTAAATCAAACTATAACAAAAAACAGGTCTTACCAACATCTAGTGGAACTATTATACCCTACTTTCAACTAAAATTTATATTTATACTTACAGTAAGATTTATATAGTTAAGGATTAAATTAAATGTTTGTAAAGCCTCCAGGAGAAATTGGTACACCACATGAAAGTAACTGTTAATACAGTGGAAGCAATTTTTCTAATCCATGTTGTTTCCCATATTTGCATGTCCTCTTTAGGAATCTTCAGGCACTTATAAACCCAAACTGGAAACAAGGCTGTGGCAGGCAATGACAAATGACATATTTGTGATTGGACTGTATTTCTTGGAGACTTTTAAAGACACATGTTTCTAATGTTTTAAAGACATGTGAGCTTTATGTTTTTGCTCTATTAATACCTGGATAGAAATTGTAAAAGAATTTGTTTTATCCCTCTCCAGGTGATAAAGTCATCCCACTCGCTATTCCTCAGTGTGGAAAATGCAGAATTTGTAAAAACCCGGAGAGCAACTACTGCTTGAAAAACGAGTAGGTTTCTGATGCTCTCCCTGCGCAGACATTGAGTTTGCACATTAGTTATGGTCCTGTCTCATGCCTTTGTGTGTCTTTGTATTGCACTGTCCAGTGTAAGCAATCCTCAGGGGACCCTGCAGGATGGCACCAGCAGGTTCACCTGCAGGAGGAAGCCCATCCACCACTTCCTTGGCATCAGCACCTTCTCACAGTACACAGTGGTGGATGAAAATGCAGTAGCCAAAATTGATGCAGCCTCGCCTCTAGAGAAAGTCTGTCTCATTGGCTGTGGATTTTCAACTGGTTATGGGTCTGCAGTCAATGTTGCCAAGGTAAGAATGGCAATGGGTGATAAAAACAGTTACACGCAGACTGTCAGGAACCCAAAGGGAAGGAATGTCTCACAAGAATCGAAGATTATTTTTGTAGATTTTGAATGTCGACTAAGAATAGAAACACAATCCAGAAAGAATTGAGAGCACATGCTAGAAGTTTCACCTGTTTATCAGATTAAAAAGTTGTTGAGAGTTTAGAAAATGTAAAGATTTCATTTTCAATAATTACTCTTCTGTATTTGCTCTTTATGAGCTCATGAAATATTAGGCCTGAGAACTCATTTAGTAATTCATTCTACAATTAGAGAGCACCTACACATGCTTCAGGCACCATAGGTTCTGCTAGGCTCTGACAGCAAAAGTAAATGAAATGAAGCGTTTGCCCTTGAGGAGCAGCTAGTCTGTGGATCCTCTACTCCCAGAATTAGGATCAACAACAGTAGAGTCCAAAACCTTACCTGATGCACCTCCAAACCAAGGCTCACCCACTCTGTGGATTCTTAGACTGAAAGTAATGACGCTTCAGTGATGCGTAATTCACTCATTATGACATTTCACTGCTAAAACTAACTCCCCTGGCATGAACACACACATATATTCAGAAGTGGTAAATTTCAAGCAGAAATTCTTTAAAGGCTTCTTATCTGAGTAGGCTGAAAATCTAGTAGTATGCTTTATTTTATGAAACCGAGGCCCAGAGATATAAAGATATTTGCCCAAAGTCTCACTGCTGGTTAATATGAGAGCTGAGACTAAAATATCTTTTACTAATCTCCTGCTGAATCTTAGATCATGATACATAATTATTAGCACTTTTAAATCACAGTCACAAGCCTTGTATTTTTCTAAGTAAGTTAGAAAATGGTGTTGTCCCCCATAGTATTGCATACCACTTGGTGAATGAATGAATGAATGAATGAATAGACACCCTTAAGGGAATATAAGAATGAGATTATTTGGAACAGGAAGAGCATGTTACGCAAAATGAAGGCGGACTATGGGAGACTAGGTTTAATAAATATCCCCTGGCCAATTAAAAAAATGTAGATGGCATCTTTTCCAAATTTCTGTGACTTTAGCTCTTAGTCCCTTGTTCAATTGCCTCGTCTATTTTAACAGGTGATCTAAGTGAGCCTACCCAAGAACAGAAGATGAGGATACTCATAACAATATATTTTATTATTAAAATATAGACTAATGTTTCATTACTGTGTTATTCACTAGTGTATTTTTTAAAGCAGGGATATACTGGTCATGACTACTGAACATAAATGAACCAAGGAGTTCATTACTGAGGGTTTAAGTGGAATATTTTTCAGTCTCCTGGAGTAGCCTTTTCCACTTATTTTGTTTTCCAAATATTGCCTTTGTGTATATATGAGTTACTGAAGCTGGCTATCAAGGGATTTCAGCAATCGAGAGTCCCTTCAAGATTGTAATCACTGCCATCTGGATCTCAAAGATCATCCAGTCGCCTGGTTCCCAGCCTGACCTTCCCATTGGAGTCACCTGGGGACTAAGTTCCACCTGCAGAGCTTCTCATTTAATTGGCATGGGCTGTGACCTGGACAGTGGGATATTTTTAAACCTGCCCAGATGAATCCAATATGCAGCAGTTTGAGAACCACTCAACTAGTTCAACTCCATGAATTTAAAAATAAAGCAACTGAAGCCAAAAGAGGTTTTGATAACAGATTGAACAGAAGAGTTTGAGCAGCTTTTGATAAACACTAAGCATGGCACTTTATAAAGTTTTTATAATCCATTTTTGCATTTTCTGAAAACACAGGTCACCCCAGGCTCTACCTGTGCTGTGTTTGGCCTGGGAGGGGTCGGCCTATCTGCTATTATGGGCTGTAAAGCAGCTGGGGCAGCCAGAATCATTGCGGTGGACATCAACAAGGACAAATTTGCAAAGGCCAAAGAGTTGGGTGCCACTGAATGCATCAACCCTCAAGACTACAAGAAACCCATCCAGGAGGTGCTAAAGGAAATGACTGATGGAGGTGTGGATTTTTCATTTGAAGTCATCGGTCGGCTTGACACCATGGTATGTACCATGACATGCCCTGAGATTTCTGCCTCTACAACTTGGAGGATGCATTTAGGCTGCAGAATATATGTTTTCTGTATAAAGGATATTTTTAATGATGAATGGAAATTTCCCATCATCTGTTTGTTACCTGGCTTGTTTAATTTATTGTTATGAGGAATCTTTTATTCTATCAACTATGCAAACGTGTCTCAAGTCATATTTCCTCTAGAGGAAAAGCAAAGGGCTTGTTTTTCTTAACTGAGTGATAATAGATTACTTTGTTAATTTTTAGTTAAAAACTGTAAGTTAAAGTAAACATAAATAATACAAGTTCTGTTCTCAAATTGGAATGTTTTATTTTTCTGCCACATTCTTAACAAAAATGATTTAATAATTTTGCATATGTTCTTAATAAATTCCAATTTTTTTAAACATATTAGTATTTGGCCAAAAGAAGTAAGCAATTTTAGGCCAACTATTGTTTTATTAACAAAAACATGCCCTAAGGAAAGTGAAGCTCAAATGCATTACTATATTTTATCACAGAAACTGGACAGTACCTGGCACAAAACTAGAGCCCAATACTAGTAGGACTGAATACTTTGAAAAGTCAACAGATTTTTATCACCCCCCAAATTTCAAAGCTATATACTCATGGCATTGTTTATAGATTGCATGAGACAATGCATGTAATATACTTAGCACAGTGCAGCCTGTCATATGGTAAGCTCCCAATAAATGTCTTCTTTTTATTTGAGACAGGGTCTCACTCTGTCACTTAGGCTGAAGTACAGTGGCATAATTATAACTCACTACAGCCTCAACCTCCTGGGCTCAAGCAAATCTCCTACCTCACCCTCCAAAAATGCTGAGAATATAGGAACGAGCTACCACGCCCGGCCTCAGTTGGCGTTATTGATATGAAATACTATTTCCAATCTTGCAGTACTTACATCATCTTTGGCTTATTACATGATATTGCTTTCAAACAGTTACAAATATCAAAGGCAATGGGAAACACATCTCTAGCTATATTTCACCTACCCAGAATTCTCTAGAATCCTACTGAAAAAGTCTCCAGAGACCAACACGTTTCCATTGCCAAGATTTTCTAGAAGGTCCAGCAGTGTGGGTAATGGGGAGCAGCACCCTGAGATCAATGCTCTCAGCAGCCTTGCCCTGGGACAAATGCCACAGATGAATGAAGTGTCAAGAGATTCCACTTTTTCCAGGGCTATAGCTTTTCTCCTAATGTTCTTTTCCTGTATCTTCCTCCATTTTCTCATGTGGAACGGGAGTGTACCTTATCTCAAGATACCAAATATCTGACAGCCACATGTTCTGAGGATGTCTGGTCTCCCAAAGGTCAGAATCCAAAATCAAAGAACTAATCATTACATATCTTGGGGCAATCCTAAACCATTTTCTAACTATAGAACGTGTTCAGAAAGCTCACTGGAAAAGACTTTCTGAACGGTCTTTTGAGGTTCCCTAATAATCAGGGTATTTTAATGTAAAACCTATATATATTTGGGGAGATAAAAACAATGTTTAAAACATGTCCATTTGAGAAATGGACAGTAGAACAGGAATCCATTACAAAAGGAGACCATCAAGTGGACAAGAGACTACTTTGGTGATATAATCATTTATCTTGTTTCCCATTAAAATATGTGGTTGAAAGTAATGGGTTCAAAATACCTATGTAATAAATCAATGAAAAATGAATTAACCAACTCACAGATTGCCTAAGAATTATGTGATGATGAAATTGTATGCTTATATAAGGAACTGGACTTAATATATATTTGTGATGATATCTACCACTTTATTCCTTTATTAGGAAAAATTAAGTGCACTCCAATTTATTCATCCATTCTTTCATTAAAAAACCGTTTTCTGGGCATTTCCTAAATCCACAGCACTATCCCGTGCAAAAAAGGGGACTGAAGGAGCAAAAGACATAATCTCTTCCCTCTACACACTCACAATCCAGTTAAGCCTATTACATGATATTGTGCATTATGAATAGGAACTATGCGACTCCATGTTAAGAATGCTAAGTGTTCACTTTATTCCAGATGGCTTCCCTGTTATGTTGTCATGAGGCATGTGGCACAAGTGTCATCGTAGGGGTACCTCCTGATTCCCAAAACCTCTCAATGAACCCTATGCTGCTACTGACTGGACGTACCTGGAAGGGAGCTATTCTTGGTGGTATGTAGTTAGGCTTCAGAGCCAAATTCTCATTAACCTCAGCATATCTCCCCTTTTACAAGTGACAAGGCAAGGTTTTGAAAAGCAGATCAAAAACAAATTAAAATTCCTTTTCTATCTACAGTCTCCAAATCAACTAGATATGGAACTAATGCAGGCAGAAGGTCCCAAAATCGACATTTCTGATGCCACCATTAACAAAGTCTGTTCCTCTTCATCTGTTTTCGTACTTGTAACTGTGTAAGGCATGGGAATTTCTAGTAAGACACAGAAATCTACAACAATATTTCATATCTACACCCAAATTTAGACAACTGTTAAACTTGTTCCTTTGGGCATAACATCTGTACTATGATTTCTCTGTGGGAGAGAGAATAACCAGGGACCCTTGTTTATCTGTGATTTTTTTTTAAGTCTGAGCCTGTAAAAGCTTATTGAGGTACTGTATCTCTTATTAACCTCAGTCGTTGCAGTCTGGAAGCAGCATCTTTTCTAAACTTTCATTTATTTGGAAAATCTTCTCTTCAATTCTCCTACTTACCCTGGTTGAATCTAACAATGATACCATCTTCTTTTCAGGCTTTAAAAGTAAAGAATGTGTCCCAAAACTTGTGGCTGATTTTATGGCTAAGAAGTTTTCATTGGATGCATTAATAACCCATGTTTTACCTTTTGAAAAAATAAATGAAGGATTTGACCTGCTTCACTCTGGGAAAAGGTAGATTTTTTAGTTAGTTTTCTGTTTTGCTTTTTTTTCTACCATAGGGGATTGTCTAGCAGAAAATGAAAAGGTGGAAGGATGAGAAAAATTAGAGTGCCTTGGTTCTTCCATTACCAGTTCAGTCTTTACATGGAGAGCTTGTAAGAGAAGTTTAAAACCTCTGTGAGATGCTAAAAACAGTTGCTTTGCATTTCCTATTGTGCTGAAGCCAAATTATGTTGATTACAGCAAATCCGAATGATCAGAGACACTCAGCCTTCTTTAAAAGAGAACAATCACCTTTGCCAAAAAAAAAAAAGTCTTTTTAAATAACCATAATTATAACATGGTGTCATTGAAGCCTCTGCCTACCACCTATATAAAACTGACATTAGGTGGCTGTATATTTAAATAATTTTCAGGACATCCTCAACATTTTCATTATTGGAGTATGTGAAACTATATTTAGTTTGTTTTCTAAGTAGATATTACTAGTTTTTTCTTTTTCCTTTTTTTTCTTTTGCAGTTTACAAAAATTTTTTTATCAATAAAAGTTATTATAAAAGAGAAGTATACTAAACACTATTGTAAATGTTTGGCTTACTTTTTGTCTGAAGCTTAGAAAACTAAGCCAATTCTATTTCCTGTCTCTAACACTTAACTCTCACAACCAGCTAATAAAATGAATTTTGTCACCTGCATTTACATGAGGCACAACTGGAAACAGGCAGTTATATCTAACTTCTGCCTTCTAGCTCCAGAGTCTGAGACTTTTCTGCTATCCCATTCTTATTTTCACGAGATTTTCAACTTTTAATAGTGTTTCTTTGGCACTCACAAAATTATTATAGTAGATACTTTAACCGACAACATTCTTGAGGAGGGAAAGAAACTAGCACCCACAGAGCACCAGCTGTTCTACTAAGTGTCTTACCTGCATTATCTTATGTGATTCCCAGGCAATGCTCGGTGTCAGTCTCAATCTCACTATCTTAGAGAAGAGAAAACTGAGACTCAGAGAAGGCATGACTTGGTCAAAATCATCAGATGGTAGGAAGGAGAGCCAGAATTCAAAGGTAGATCTTGTTGTTAGCAAATATCTCACTTCTATTAAACCACACCGCCCCTCAAGAGCGCATGGATATATGGAACACAGTAGCCATCAAAGGTTAGTTATCATTGTCATCATTATCATTGACATCATCATCGTGATCATCATCATCATCATAGGATTGAAAAGATGATGGCAAATATAGAGATGAACAAAACCAGAAGATAGTGTTGAGCAACATAAGAAGTCATGAAGCATGCCTAAATTCACTTTATGAGAATGTCATATAGTAATATGCATATGTAAATATAATTAATCCTATCAATAAGATTAAAAATTGTAACACTCAATATTGGTAAGACTAAGGTGACTAGGCACTTTCATGTACTTTCAGTAGTAATTGATACATCCTTTTGGGAAAGCAATTTGGTAATATGTATCAGAAACCCTTAAAAAAAATGGATCTTTTGTTCCAGCAATTCCATTTCTAGAAATCTATTCTACAGAAATAATCAACTATTCAAACACACATATGTGTTTCAGCATGTTTACTTGTTTCTGTAATATCAAACATTAGAAACATTCTAAATTTCAACATGAGGAAAATGATTTAATAAATTCCAATCATCTATTAGAAATGAATGAAGCCATCAAAAAGAAATGACATTATTGGGAAATTCTCATGATATAATTTAGGCTCATATAATAAAGAATATAAATTTTATATACAATATCGCACATTTTCAACAACAGCAGTAAAACTTGTACATATGCCTAGTAAGAAGTTGATAGAAATTCAAGTAAACATTGAGAATGATTGTTTCTAGGTTGGGGGATTATGGATTACCTTTACTTTCTTCTTTCTGCTGTCTTGTATTCTCTGAATTATGTGCATATATTTTTCTTATATATGCATATGCAAATACATATATATTTTAAAAATTATTAAAGAGTCACAAAGACCATCATTTTCTAAAAATATTTATTCATGAGAAGTTGGTTTATAGAAAGGGCATTAGTTCTAGTGTAAATGTTCCTTTTGTAATCTTCACAAGAATGAAGTATCTTAGAATTAATACAAATCGACTTTATTCTCTACTTCTAAAAATCCTTAAACATATCTGTATCAAAGGTCTTTTAAACTTCCAGCATGGTTTTAACTTTGTTAAATTATCAGTTCTTTCAGGCAAGTTATTTATCATCTTATAATTTGTGCAAATTTGTATTTGAGTTTTAATCCCAAAACTCTATACTAGATATGCGACCAGACCAAGTTACAAATCTTTCTAAGTCTCAGTGTTTATAATCTCTAAAATCAAAATAATATGAAAATCTACCTCCTAGTGTTGATGTTTAGGTTGAAGTTTAAGACAGAAAATGCATGAAGAATGTGACAAATAGCAAAAACTTATCACAAGTTATTATCCATTGTTGTTTTATATTCCTTATTATAACAGGAACGTGGGCACACAACAATGATTTTTTGAAGATGCTAACGTAGTATTGAAGTCTAAATGACAGGCATACTCAGAATGTTGTGAGTGAGCTTAAAGTTGAAGAAAACACAAGAGAAAACCAAAAAAGATGAGCTTTCCTTTGACTTCACTTGACCCGAATGCATGGGGGTGGGATTAGAGTGGCTGAGAACAGACAGATTTTCACTAAGTCATTTCAAATGCTCCTTGGACTCTCACATGGAAGCATGTCTAAATGCTAATACAATGTCTCTTCTTTCCTATTGCAGTATCCGTACCATTCTGATGTTTTGAGACAATACAGATGTTTTCCCTTGTGGCAGTCTTCAGCCTCCTCTACCCTACATGATCTGGAGCAACAGCTGGGAAATATCATTAATTCTGCTCATCACAGATTTTATCAATAAATTACATTTGGGGGCTTTCCAAAGAAATGGAAATTGATGTAAAATTATTTTTCAAGCAAATGTTTAAAATCCAAATGAGAACTAAATAAAGTGTTGAACATCAGCTGGGGAATTGAAGCCAATAAACCTTCCTTCTTAACCATTCTACTTGTGTCATCTTTGCCATTGAGAAAAGCTATTTCCTATGACTTCCTGCATTTTTGGTATCTTCATAATCTTTAGTCATGGAATCCCAGTGGAGGGGACCCTTCACTTGCCCTGAATATACACATGCTGGGCTATTGTGCTTGTAGTCTCCTGCATCTATCTCAATTTTCACTGTCGGCATTTTCGCCTTTTTTTTTTTTTAATAAAATATACCGAATTCCTAGGGTAAAAGCTGTAGTAGGGTAAAGGATATACTCATATTTACAAGTGGTGAAAGTCCAAGAGTTGTAAATCCAGGAAATTTCTTAGGAACTCAAATAAAATGTCACATGTTTTCTTACAGTGAAGGAGAATGTTTTTCTGACATTTATACTATGTCTTTATGGTCAATATACAATTGATTTTTAAAAATAATAGCTGATTTCATGCTTCATATGACTAAGGTACAATTACTAATTGCAAAAACTGAACTATTCCTGGAATTATGTTCAAAAAATCTATAATTTTTGCTCATGAAAGTGCTTCATTGGCTAAACAGTATTAGTTTATGGCTATAAACGATTATTTAGATAATTGAAAATGGGTATAAAGTGATTCAAAATAATATGGTGGCTTTAAGTGTAGAGATGGGATGGCAAAAGCTGTGAACACAGAATGTAAAATTGGTAACTAAGAAATGGCACAAACACCTTAAGCAATATATTTTCCTAGTAGATAGACATATAGACATATATATACACACATATACAAATGTATATTTTTGCAAAATTGTTTTCAGTCTAGAACTTTTCTATTAACTACCATGTCTTAAATCAAGTATACAATCCTAGAATTAGTTTAATATTTTGAATATGTAAAGACTTGTGGTGCCTATTTGTTAATGCTTTCCCACTCTCAGGGGAAAGATTTGCATTTTGAGCTTTATCTCTAAATGTGACATGCAAAGGTTATTCCTGGTAAAGGAGTTACAGCTGTCTCCAAAAATGCTACTTGTTGCAATATCTACATTCTATTTCATATTATGAAAGACCTTAGATATAAAGTAAAATAGCCAAAATCGCGCCACCACACTCCAGCCTGGGCAACAGAGCGAAACTCCGTCTCAGATAAAAAAAGAGACAGAGAGAGAGAGAGAGAGAGACAAGGGATAGGGAGGAGGCTAATTCCAAAATGTTGGCCTGACAACTTGGTGTGGATGGTTGGTCCTTTCACCAACTTGTGATCTCAAGACATTATCAGGTATTTGTGGTGAAGATGGTTGACTTATTCCGTTTTGTGCTGCTATAACAGAATGCCTGAGACTGAGACTGGGTGATTTACAATGAAGAAATTTATTAGTTCACAGTTCTGGACGCTGGGAATTTCAATATGGAGGTGCCAACATGTGTTGAGAGGCTTCTTGCTACATCATCACATTGTAGAAGATAAGAGAGAGAACAAAAAGAGGCTGAATTCATCTTTTTGCAATGTAATTAACCCCACCCATAATGGTAGAGCCTCCTGGCCTACTTCTTTCTTAAGTTGTTCCACCTCTTAATACTATTACAATGGCAACCAAATTTCAACATGAGTTTTGAAGGAGAAAGACATTCAAGCCATAGCAATGGTTAAGTAGGAAAATGGACTTGAGTTTGAAGTTCCTCTAGGATTTTCAAATGCAGTTGTTTATACAGTCTGGAGCTAAAAATGGGAGGTACAATTGTTGCAGGACCAATGCTTAGTCATCTTTGTGGAACAAAGATATGTGATGCCAATTAATAATGGAGTTCTTACAGTCTCTTTGTTAACTTTTCATAACTGCCATAACTGTTGGTTAAATTTTCTACTTAAAACTCCTTAATGTTCATATCCGGAGTAGAAATAAACATAATTTTAGGCAATATCTGGTATATAGGACTTTTTAAATTATATTATACCATGTTTAAATGATACATCATAATCTTTCATAAATTATGCTAGACCTTGTTTCTATTCTATAATCTTTTCGATTTGAAACTGAATTGTTCATTTTTAAATAATTTTAGCATGTAGTATCACATTTTCAGTTTCTTCCATGCCTTCCTACAAGTCAAAATCTTATCCCAAGTGACATTCCCATCTCTACTCACCCGTCTTCTTCAAATCATGGAAAAGGTTCCCCAAATTCTCTCTCCTTTCTGAAGCGTCTCTTCGAAGATAACCCTTTCTAAACATCTCCCTTGAGTACACATAAAAGTTTACTCCAAATTTGTGAAATGTACTTGAAAAAATAAACACAGTTGAAGGGAGTTAATTGTATAAAACATTTCTTCACACGTATGTTAGCTTTCTATTTCTGAGTAACAAACTACCACACAATTATTGGCTTGAATGAACACCATTTATTCTCTCACAGTTTCTACAGGTCAAAAATCTGGAAAGAGCTGAACTAGTTGCTCCAACTGGAGTGTCAACAGTATTAGCTGGCCTGTGTTCCTTTCTGGAGCTTGGGGCCCTCTTTCTGGCTCACATTGCTGTTGCCAGAATTCAGTTCCCAGTAGCTGTGGGACTGAGGCTTCTGGTTTCTTGCTGACCGTCAACCTGGGAACAATCTCAGCATGGCTCCCTCAGCACACCCTCTCATGCTCCCAACATATTGACTCACAAACCCCTCAAGTCTAACACAACAGAGTCTTATATAATGTCAGATAATCACAAATGTGACTATTCCATCAGCACTTGTTCTGTAACACAACCTAATCCATGGAGTGGCTTTCCCATCATATTCAAAGGTTTCATACTCATTTAAGCATAAGGGATCATATAAGGCATGTATACCAGGGAGCTGGAATCTTGGGAGTCAGCTTAGAATTCTGTCTACCATCATGTTTCAATAAGTTTGGGCTGCTATACTAAACATAACAGACTGGGTGGCTTAAACAACAGACATTTATTTCTCACCATTATGGAGGCTGGAGAGTACAAGACCAAGGGGCCAAAAGAACTGGTGGCTGGTGAAGGCCAACTTCCTGGCCTGTAGACAGACGCCTTCCCTCTGTATCTTCACATGACTGACTGAATGATCACCTTGTGTCTCTTCTTATAAGGGCACTAACCCCATTCATGAGGGTGGAATCACCTCCCAAAAGCCCCACCTCCAGATACCATCACATTGGGAATTAGAGTTCAACATGTGAATTTTGGTGGAATACAAACACAACATGACAATAGAATTCATGAGGAAGCTCTCAATGTCAAATTCCTATAAATTATTAAAGAATGTAATTGACATTCTTTAAAGAGTTATTAAAGAAATTTGATTGTCCTGCCTCTATTCAAGACTTTAACAAATATTAGGTAAAGAAATTTTTACTATGGGGCAAGTGGTTTATAAAGTTAAGTGAATGTGTATATATATATAGGTCTGTAATCAAGTATTCCACAGAAGTGCCTTCATAGTTGCTGAAACAGGATTATGGGAGTGACAGACACAGGGCTGAAGAGGACAGGGAGAAAATGTGCATGGTTGTGAGAATATATTGCTTTGATTCTTTGAGTTTTCATGATATATAAATACAAATACACAGTGGCTCACCCCTGTAATCCCAGCACTTTGGGAGGCTGAGGCAGGTGTATCACCTGATATTGGGAGTTAGAGACCAGCCTGGCCAACATGGTGAAACCCCGTCTCTACTAAAAATATAAAAATTAGCTGGGTATGGTGGCACACACCTGTGGTCCCAGCTACTAGGGAGGCTGAGGCAGGAGAATCGCTCCAACTTGGGAGGCGGAGGTTGCAGTGAGCTGAGATCATTCCACTGCACTCCAGCCTCGGTGAGAGAGTGAGACTCCATCTCAAAAAAATAAAAATAAATAAATAAATAAATAAAGTAGGGGATTGACTTCAATAGTATCATGAAAGTATTTAAAATGAAATTCTGAGCTTGGAGAAAATTTTCAAATTTTGGTATAAACACATAAACTAAAAATATAGATAAGGAAAAAATATTTTCACATATATGATTGACCAAAAAAAGATCTTTCTAAAATCCTAGTGTTTTTGTTTGTTTGTTTCTTTGTTTTGAGATGGAGTCTCACTCTGTCACCAGGCTGGAGTGCAATGGCACAATCTCGGCTCACTGCAACCTCCACCTCCCAGGTTCAAGTGATTGTCCTGCCTCAGCCTCCTGAGTAGCTGGGATTACAGTCGTGCACCACCACACCCAGCTAATTTTTTTGTATTTTTAGTAGAGATGGGGTTTCACCATATTGGCCAGGATGCTCTCGATCTCCTGACCTCATGATCTGCCTGTCTCAGCCTCCCAAAGTGCTGGGATTACAAGCGTGAGCCACCATGCCCAGCCAAATCCTAATGCTTTTCTATTTAAAAATAGACGACTCAAAGAGAAAATGAACAATGATGGAAATTCATAGGAGGAGAAATTAAAATGGCCAAAAAGCATATTAAATGCCATTGAGCCTTGGTAGTGGTCAAAAAATACAAAATAAAGCAAAATGAGATATTACTGCTTACCTATTAGCTTACACTGTTGGTAGAAATGTGCACTGTCCTAGGTTTCTGACAAGAAATTTGTGATATTTATTAAAATTTACAAAATGCATGTCCCAAGCAATATCACACTTGGGAATCAACTCCATAATTATAAGTATCTATGTGAAAGGATACAGAAACAAGGCTACTTACCGCAGCCTTACTTGTAGAAGAAACAAAAATTTTTAAACTATCTGTTTGATTGACAGAATAAGGAATGATAACTCCCTATTTTGAATGGTAAGTGGATCTTATTAAAAAAAAAAAAACAGGGGGCCAGGCGTGGTGGCTCATGCCCATTATCCCAACACTTTGGAAAGCCAAGGCAGGTGGATCCCTTGAGCTAGGGAGTTCAAGACCAGCCTGGGCAACATGGCAAAAACCTGTCTCTACAAAAAAACACAAAAATTAGCCAGGCATAGTGGCACCCAACTGTTGTCCCAGCTACTTGGGAGGCTGAAGCGGGAGGATTGCTGGCATCCAGAAGGCACAGGTTGCAGTGAACCATGATGGCACCACTGCACTCCAGCTTGGGCAACAAAGCAAGTCCTCATGTCAAAAACAAAAGCAAAAACAAATTATATCTTAAAACCTAGAGAAATTAATATGATACATTAGAAAGTATAAACAGCAAGGTAAAGAATAATGTGTATTATATGATCCAATTTTGTGAAAGACAAAATGAAACAAATTAAAATTCTTATTTATTGGTATATAGGTCGATATGAGCATAGAGAAAGATATAGAAATGTACAAAACAGGCTGTTCACCTCAGAAACCTGGATCTGAAAAGAGTTGAAGAACTAAAGTTAATTTTTGAACCATAACTGTTTCAAACTAACATTATGTAATTTCTTTACATACTATTCTTGAAAGTCTTGAATAGAGGCAGGAAAATCAAATTTATTTAATAATTTCTTCAACAATGCCAATCACATTCTTTAACAATTTATAGAAACCTGAAATCGAGATTGTCAGTTATGATGAGATTTATGATTTTATTACTTTTTTACCTTATAAAAAATTGTAATGAAAGATTCGAGCTGCCAACATGTATATGTAATTGTGAAATAATTTAAAGGTACTATAATTGAGATTTTAATTACTTTAAAAAACTTCTGGAGGAGGTTCCAAGATGGCCAAATAGGAACAGCTCCAATCTACAGCTCGCAGCGTGAGTGACGCAGAAAATGGGTGATTTCTGCATTTCCAACTGAGGTACCGGGTTCATCTCACTGGGGCTTGTCAGACAGTGGGTGCAGCCCATGGAGCAGGGTGGGGCATCGCCTCACCAGGGAAGCACAAGGGGTTGGGGAATTCCCTTTCCTAGCCAAGGGAAGCTGTGACAGATGGTACCTGGAAAATCGGGACACTCCCACCCTAATACTGCGCTTTTCCAATGGTCTTAGCAAATGGCACACCAGGAGATTATATCCCGCACATGGCTTGGAGGGTCCCATGCCAACGGAGCCTCACTCATTGCTAGCACAACAGTCTGAGATCGAACTGCAAGGCAGCAGCGAGGCTGGGGGAGGGGCACCTGCCATTGCTGAGGCTTGAGTAGGTAAACAAAGTGGCCAGGGAGCTTGAACTGGGTGGAGCCCAACGCAGCTCAAGGAGCCCTGCCTGACTCTGTAGACTCCACCTCTGGGGGCTGGGCATAGCTGAACAAAAGGCAGCAGAAACTTCTGCAGACTTAAACGTCCCTGTCTGATAGCTTTGAAGAGAGTAGTGGTTCTCCCAGCATGGAGTTTGAGATCTGAGAACAGAGAGACTGCCTCCTCAAGTAGGTACCTGACCCCTGAGTAGCCTATCTGGGAGACACCTCCCAGTAGGAGCCGACTGACACCTCATACAGCCATGTGCCCCTCTGAGATGAAGCTTCCAGAGGAAGAATCAGGCAGCAACTTTCCTGTTCTGCAATATTCGCTGTTCTGCAGCCTCCACTGGTGATACCCAAGCAAACAGGGTCTGGAGTGGACCTCCGGCAAAGTCCAACAGACCTGCAGCTGAGGGTCCTTACTGTTAGAAGGAAAACTAACAGACAGAAAGGACATCCACACCAAAACCCCATCTGTATGTCACCATGACAAAAGACCAAAGGTAGATAAAACCACAAAGATGGGGAGAAACCAGAGCAGAAAAGCTGAAAATTCTAAAAATCAGAGTGCCTCTTCTCCTCCAAAGGAACAGAGCTCCTCACCCGCAATGGAACAAAGCTGGATGGAGAATGACTTTGACAAGTTGAGAGAAGAAGGTTTCAGATGATCTGTAACAAGAAATTTCTCCAAGCTAAAGGAGGATGTTTGAACCCATCACAAAGAAGCTAAAAACCTTGAAAAAAGATTAGATGAATGGCTAACTAGAATAAAGACTATAGAGAAGGCCTTAAATGACCTGATGGAGCTGAAACCCATGGCATGAGAACTACATGACGCATGCACAAGCTTCAGTAGCCAATTTGATCAACTGGAAGAAAGGGTATCAGTGATGGAAGATCAAATGAATGAAATGAAGTGAGAAGACAAGTTTAATGAAAAAAGAGTAAAAAGAAATGAACAAAGCCTCCAAGAAATATGGGACTATGTGAAAAGACCAAATCTACATCTGATTGGTGTACCTGAAAGTGACAGGGAGAATGGAACCAAGTTGGAAAACACGCTGCAGGATATTATCCAGGAGAACTTCCCCAACCTAGCAAGACAGGCCAACATTCAAATGCAGGAAATACAGAGAATGCTACAAAGATACTCCTCGAGAAGAGCAACTCCAAGACACATAATTGTCAGATTCACCAAAGTTGAAATGAAGGAAAAAATGTTAAGTGCAGCCAGAGAGAACGGTCAGGTTACCCACAAAGGGAAGCCCATCAGACTAACAGCTGATCTCTTGGCAGAAACTCTACAAGCCAGAAGAGAGTGGGGGCCAATATTCAACGTTCTTAAAGAAAAGAATTTTCAACCCAGAATTTCATATCCAGCCAAACTAAGCTTCATAAGTGAAGGAGAAATAAAATACTTTACAGAAAAGCCAACGCTGAGAGATTTTGTCACCACCAGGCCTGCCCTAAAAGAGCTACTGATGGAAAGATAACTCCCTATTTTGAATGCTAAGTGGATCTTTCTTTAAAAACAGGGGGCTGGGTGTGGTGGCTCATGCCTGTAATCCCATCACTTTGGGAGGCCACTGTGTGAGGACTGACTTAGCTCAGGAATTCAAGACCAGCCTGGGCAGCATGGCAAAAAGTCGTCTGTACAAAATTAGCCAGGCATAGTGGCATGTGACTGTAGTCCCAGCTATTTGGGAAGCTGAGGTGGGAGAATCACTGGATCCCAGGAAGCAGAGGTTGCACGGAGCCATGATTGTGCACTGCACTCCAGCTTGGGCAACAGAGAAAGACCCTGTCTTAAAAAAAAAATTATATCTTAAAACCTGGCAGTATTAATATCATAAATCACTAACTATAAAAAGCAAGCTACACAGTAATTTGTATTATATGATCCAGTTTTTGTGAAAGACAAAACAAGTTTTATGCCTGTTCCTCTACCATGCCTCCCCAAGTCCTTCATTCCAAATAGCACCTCTGTCTCTACTCTTAAAGCACTAACTGACCCCTGTGATAGGACACTTCCCAGCCAGGCTGATAGGTAGACTTGACTGCCTGTGTGTCTTTTCTTCAGAGACAGTGAGCTTCCTTTTGTGAATAATAATTGTAGCTAACATTTAGGAGGGTGCTTCTACCTGCTAAACTCTGTGATCAGTACTCTAAATGGATTATTTCATTTATTCACTAAACAGTCCTTTAAAATGGTGCTGTTATTCCTCTTCATCTTACAGATGAAGAAACTAAGGAAAAAAAAAAAAACAATGAAATAATAAGTGCAAGCACACAGAACTAGTAAGGAATAGGGTCTGCCAGGTCCCAAAAGTCATGCCATCACCACAGCCCCATACTGCTTCTGGCATGGGTAGAGGTCATATCTTATAACTGCCACTCCACTGGACCCAGCTTAGTACCTGACCTAGGGAGATGCTCAGTCAATGCTGATTAATTTTAGGTAGAATAGAAATGTCAGGCACAGTGAGCACCTTTGCTGTGATTGATTGGGTGTCGATTCTCTGCTATGAAGAGAAGGGGTGTGCTGGATCAAACACATCCCTCTGGTGACTAGCTCTCTGCTTTATTTGTCCTGCTTTCTTGCTCCTCCTTGTTAACTGCACCACTTGGATTCAAAGCTGGAGCTTAGTCCAGTCAAAGGAAAAACAGAACTGTGAATGACCTGAGTGAGCCTGAAAGACACATAGAAAGTCTAGCAAGTAAAAAAAGAGAGATTAAAATTTATATATTGGGAAATATTTAATCTAATCAAGATATTATCTGAAATTGGTAATTTGCAAACAATGTCCAGATTTCAAGTGCTGATTTAGTGCCCATTCATTCTGAAATGATGTTGATTGAATAATACATGATGTATGTGGTTTAAAGACTCCAGATAACATGTGTAGAAATAAGTAATATTTCTGCTTTGCTGATCAAGGCAAATAATTCATTGAAATCTCCTGGAATGCAGAGAGGAACTAAATCACATATGTGCAGCAGGAAAAGTACATGCAAGAGTTTCATGTGGAATAATATTCTCCATAAGTGTAACAGATAAAGTAATACAGAGTTAAAGAATGGCTTAATATTTTTATTTAAGTAAGAAATAACACATATTATGTTGACTTATTTTGGTAAAAAAGCTTACCTAAATGTCTTACAATGTATGGCTTCTTATCATCATCTTTCTTCTGTGTCTATAAAAATAATTTTATTGTGGGTTTATGCAATAAATTAATATTGCATGTTTATGGAATAAATTAAATATAACTGTCCTGGTAAATCTAAGATTATTAAAGTCTCTAATCATGAATTTATCTTTATATGAAGAAGTTGAAATTTACAAGAACTATAGTTTGAGGTCTTATACACCTGAAAGTTCAAACTGACAAATGGTTTTATATAAGGACTTAGAATCAGAGGGCTTTGAATTATTTCTCCAAAATTTCATATCAAATTACTAAAGCACAACAAATCAAAGCATTAGAAATGGCATAATTAAGTAAGCCAAATAAGTATAAAAAGTTTTATTACACATATTTTAACGTAGTTAATAAAATTTCCACAGAACTTATATATATATAGCAATATTCTCATTCTTAAAAGTCATCATAGTTCTTATAGCATGTGAATAGTAATACAATTTTGAAAACTTATTAGCATTAAAAACATATGCTTCAATTTCATGTAGACAGGTACTTATAAAATATATAGCTACACACGTACATAGATTATACACATTCAATTAATAAAATATGTTACTAAGCTCCAAGAGCCTTGAAGCTCTTTCTAGTATATTTGTTGTATTGAAAGTTGATCACATAGCAATAACAATTCAAGTCAAAGAGTTCCTATAGTTTTTAAGCAGACACAAAGGCACAGCAAGGTAGTTAGAAACAGCTAACAAGTGACCAGTTTTCAATTGTTTTATTCCAACTCTATTTAAGTATTCATTGCTGATTAGCATTTATAGTTGACTAGTGAATTCCAAATGAGGTAGAAAAATAACTGGCAAAAAGAAAAACTAAATACACCAAAGCCTAGATGAAAAAAGTATCAATAAAGAACTAAAAAAGGTTAAGCATAAATGTTGATAAGGAGAACAGAGGAATAAATAGGTGCTAAATCCTCCCCACCTATAAACCGCATCAGACATTAGTAATCTTTGTTTAACCCTTTCATAACTGCTTGCCTTCACAAGGCCTCTACTCCTTCAAAAGTTAATAATAACTCATAGAGTTACTATGAGGATTAAATGATTGAATAGAATAAAGCATAAGGTGCTTGGCATATTGTAAGAGATAAATAAACGTTAGCTATTAGCATTGTCATTATTATTTAACTTTTCAATACAGTGTTTAAACAGATCATGGGATAAAGGAAATAATAGAACTTTGGATCGAGATAATGCTGAATTCTATCTCAGATCTGTAAATTATCAGCCATGTGATCATGGGAAAATTGCTCATTCATTCTAAGCCTCAGTCTTTTCATCTATAAAATAAGACTTATGATTATTTTTATTATTTCCAATGTATATGACAGGGAAAACACTGAAGGCTATATTATAAAAATGAATTGTAAAAAAAATGCATTTCAATTGAATATGTCTTAGCATATTTTAGTGTATGTCAATTTCACTATCAAAATGTTTTGATTGGCAGTACTTTACAACAGTGAAATAGAAATTGATATGAATCAACACCAATGTAATTCAGCACTGAAATCAAGACTAAAAATATATTAGTGAATTTAATTCCTAAGAATAACTATTAAGATGCTGAGGTAAAGATTCAAAACCGGCTAGGCGTGGTGGGTCATGCCCATAATCCCAGCACTCTGGGAGGCCAAGGAGGGTGGATCACCTGAGGTCAGGAGTTAAAGACCAGCCTGGCCAACATGGAAAAACCCCATCTCTACTAAAATTGCAAAAATTAGCCAGGCATGGTGGCATGCCCCTGTAATCCCAGCTACTTGGGAGAGAAGAGAAAGAGAAGAAAAAAAAAGAAGAAAGCTTCACTCTTCAATTTTGACTTCTGCATTTCTTGACTCAAATCTAACCTAGAAAGCAGTCTCTGCATATAAAACAGAGAACAAAACAGGATGTGCATGCTAAGTTCCAAATGAGTTACATAAACAAGAAGCACCACATTAGTAATGTGGAGAGAGAGCTAAAGGACAGTGGAGCAGACACATAAAGAGTGGAGAAGAAGCACTCCCACTAAGTCAGGAGAGAGAAGAGAATCAAGGAAATGGGAAGATACAGGGAATGATAAACACAGATTCTGTATTTGTTTTCTAGTGCTACTGTAACAAATTACCATAGACTGAGTGGCTTAAAACAACAGAAATTTATTCTTTGACAGTTCTGGAGGCTAGAAGCCCAAAGTGAAGGAGTCAGCAGATGTTTCAATGAAGGGCTGGAGGTGTCTAATAGAATGGCAGCATGGAGAAGTGAGAGGGAGGTGAGGAAAAGGATGCAATGAGTATAAAGGATCTTTTCTTAAACTGTGTCTTTTCTTAAACAATATGACCCTGGTTTATTGCTGGCTTTGCAGTCACAGCCAGACATCTCTTGAAACTTCCAGAAGCTACAAAATCCCAATTACAAAATCAAAATATATATTGGCCCTTGACTCAAATTATAAAGTCAAATTCAAATTATTCCCATTTGTAAGTCAATTTATAAGTTAGTCAAATTACAAAATCCCAATTACTTCAGGATATTACAATTTCTCAAGGCCCACCAATGGAAGCCCAAATTTGGCCTAGAAGTGGTATTACTACTTCTAGTACACTAGAGGTAGTATTTGGCCTAGAGCTCTCAACCCTCAATTCAGAGAGCATGTAAATATCCCTCTTGACTCTCCCAATGGTAGTTGGAAAGATGTGGGGCAATGGGGAGTTTGTTGTTGGTTTCTATGTTTTCCTTTTTAATAAGAGAGAGATGAATATGTTAAAAAGATGACAAATCGACAGCGGCTGGCAAGATGGCTGAATAGGAACAGCTCTGGTCTGCTACTCCCAGGGAGATCAACGCAGAAGGCGGGTGATTTCTGCATTTTCAACTGAGGTACACTGCTCATCTCATTGGGACTGGTTAGACAGTGGGTGCAGCACACGGGGGACAAGCCAAAGCAGGGTGGGGCGTCGCCTCACCTGGGAAGTGCAAGAAGTCAGGGAACTCCCTCCCTTACCCAAGGGAAGCAGAGAAGGGCCATGCCCTGAGGGATGGTGCACTCTGGCCCAGATACTATTCTTTTCCCACGGTCTTCACAACCTGCAAACCAGGAGATTCCCTCGGGTGCCTGTGCCACCAGGGCCCAGGGTTTCAAGCACAAAACTGGGTGACCATTTGGGCAGACACCAAGCTAGCTGCAACAGCTTTTTTTTCACACCCCAGTGGCACCTGGAATGCCAGCGAGACAGAACCATTCACTCACCTGAAAAGAAGGCTTAAGCCAGGGAGCCAAGTGGTTTATCTCAGTGGATCCCACCCCCATGGAGCCCAGCAAGCTGAGATCCACGGGCTTGAAATTCTCACAGCCAGCACAACAGTCTGAAGTAAACAGTTACACTTGACCTTAGAGAGAGGAGCGTCTGCCATTACTGAGGCTTAAGTAGATGGTTTTCCCCTCACAGTGTAAACAAAGCTGCCAGGAGGTTCAAACTGGGTAGAGCCCACTGTAGCTCGGCAAAGCCACTGTAGCCAGATTGCCTCTCTAGATTCCTCCTCTCCGGGCAGGGCATCTCTGAAAGAAAGGCAGAAACCCCAGTCAGGGGCTTATAGATAAAACTCCCATCTTCCTGGGACAGAGCACCTGGGGGAAGGGGTTACTGTGGGTACAGCTTCAGCAGACTTCAACGTTCCTGCCTGACAGCTCTGAAGAGAGCAGCAGATCTCCCAGCACACCGCTCAAGCTCTGCTAAGGGACAGACTGCCTCTTCAAGTGGGTCCCTGACCCCTGTGCCTCCTGACTGAGAGACACCTCCCAGTAGGGGCCAACAGATACCTCATACAGGAGAGCTCCAGCTGACATCTGGTGGGTGCCTCTCTGGGATGAAACTTCCAGAGGAAGGAACACGCAGCAATCTTTGCTGTTCTGCAACCTCCACTGGTGATACCCAGGCAAACAGGGTCTTGACTGGACTTCCAGCAAAGTCCAGCAGACCTGCACCAGAGGGCCCTGACTGTAAGAAGGAAAACTAACAGACAGAAAGGAATAGCATCAACATCAAAAAAAAAAAAAAAAAAAAAAAAAAGAGACTTCCATACAGGAACCCCATCTGAAGGTCACCAACATCAAAGACCAAAGGTAGATAAATCCACGAAGTTGAGGAAAAACCAGTGCAAAAAGGCTGAGAATTCCAAAAACCAGAAAGGCTCTTCTCCTCCAAAGGATCAAAACTCCTCGCCAGCAAGGGAACAAAACCAGATGGAGAATGAGTTTGATGAATTGACAGAAGTAGGCTTCAGAAGGTGGGTAATAACAAGTAAGCTAAAGGAGCATGTTCTAACCCAATGCAAGGAAGTTAAGAACCTTGAAAAAAGGTTAGAGGAATTTCTAACTAGAATAACCAGTTTAGAGAAGAACGTAAATGACTGATGGAGCTGAAAAACACAGCATGAGAACTTTGTGAAGCATACACAAGTATCAATAGCCAAATGGATCAAGCAGAAGAAAGGATATCAGAGACTGAAGATCAACTTAATGAAATAAAGCATGAAGACAACATTAGAGAAAAAAGAATGAAAAGGAACTAACAAAGCCTCCAAGAAATATAGGACTATATGAAAAGACCAAACCTACATTTGATTGGTGTACCTGAAAGTGGCGGGGAGAATGGAACCGAATTGGAAAACACTTTTCAGGATATTATCCAGCAGAACCTCTCCAACCTAGCAAGACAGGCCAACATTCAAATCCAGGAAATACAGAGAACACCACTAAGATACTCCTCGAGAAGAGAAACACCAAGATAGACAATCATCGTATTCACCAAGGTTGAAATGAAGGAAAAAATGTTAAGGGCAGCCAGAGAGAAAGGTCGGATTACCCACAAAGGGAAGCCCATCAGACAACAGTGGATCTTTTGGCTGAAACCCTATAAGCCAGAAGAGAGTGGGGGACAATATTCAACATTCTTAAAGAAAAGAATTTTCAACCCACAATTTCATATCTAACCAAATAAGCTTCATAAGTGAAGGAGAAATAAAATCCTTTCCCAACAAGCAAATGCTGAGGGATTTGGTCACCATCAGACCTGCCTTACAAGAACTCCTGAAGGAAGCACTAAATATGGAAAGGAAAAAACGATACCGGCCACTGCAAAAACATACCAAATTGTAAAGACCTTCGACACTATGAAGAAACTGCATCAACTAATGGGTGAAATAACCAGCTAGCGTCATAATGACAGAATCAAATTCACACATAACAATATTAACCTTAAATGTAAATGATCTAAATGCCCCAATTAAAAGAACAGACTGGCAAATTGGATACAGAGTCAAGACCCATTGGTTTGCTGTTTTGAGGAGACAGATTTCATGTACAAAGTCACACATAGGCTCAAAATAAAGTGATGGAGAAATACTTACCAAGCAAATAGAAAGAAAAAAAAAAGCAGGGGTTGTAATCCTAGTCTCTGATGAAACAGACTTTAAACCAACAAAGATAAAAAAAGACAAAGAAGGCCTTTACATAATGGTAAAGGGATCAATTTAACAAGAAGAACTAACTATTCTAAATATATATGCACCCAATACAGGAGCACCCAGATTCATAAAGCAAGTTCTTAGAGACCTACAAAGAGACTTAGATTCCCACACAATAATAGTGGGAGACTTTAAAACCCCACCGTCAATATTACACAGATCAACAAGACAGAAAACTAAGAAGAATATTCAGGGCTTGAACTCAGCTCTGGAACAAGTGGACCTAACAGACATCTATGGAACTCTCCACCCCAAATCAACAGAATATACATTCTTCTCAGCACCACATAGCACTTATTTTAAAATTGGCCACATAATTGGAAGTAAAACACTCCTCAGCAAATGCAAAGGAACACAAATCATAACAAACAGTCTCTCAGACCACAGAGCAATCAAATTATAATTCACGATGAAGAAACTCACTCAAAACCACACAACTACATGGAAACTGAAGAACTTGCTCCTGAATGAATACTGGGTAAATAAATAAATTAAGGCAGAAATAAATAAGCTATTTGAAACCAATGAGAATGAAGACACAACATACCAGAATCTCTGAGACACAGCTAAAGCAGTGTTTAGAGGGAAATTTATAGCACTAAATGCCCACAGGAGAAAGCAGAAATGATCAAAAATCGACACCCTAACATCACAATTAAAAGAAATAGAGATTGGCTGGGCGTGGTGGTTCACGCCTGTAATCCCAACACTATGAGAGGCTGAGGCAGGTGAATCATGATGTCAGGAGACTGAGACAATACTGGCCAACACGGTGAAACCCTGTTTCTACTAAAAAAAAAAAATACAAAGAATTTTCTGGGCATGGTGGCATGCACCCATACTCCCAGTTATCCGGCAGGATGAGGAAGGAGAATTGCTTCAACCTGGGAGGCAGAGGTTGCAGTGAGCCAAGATCATGCCAATGCACTCCAGCCTGGGTGACAAACTGCGACCCCATCTCAAAAAAAAAAAAAAAGAAAAAAAGGACTAGAGAAGCAAGAGCAAACACATTCACACACGAGCAGAAGACAAGAAATAACTAAGATCAGAGCAGAAATGAAGGAGATAGAGACATGAAAAGCCCTTCAAAAAATCAGTGAATCCAGGAGTTGGCTTTTTGAAAAGATCAACAAAATAGACCACTAGCCAGACTAATAAAGAAGAAAAGAGAGAAGAATCAAATAGACACAATAAAAAATGATAAAGGGAAAATCACCACTGATCCCACAGAAATACAAACTACCATCTGAGAATACTATAAACACCTCCATACAAATAAACTAGAAAACCTAGAAGAAATAGATAAATTCCTGGATACATACACTCTCCTAGGACTAAACCAGGAAGAAGAAGTTGAATCCCTGAATAGACCAATAACAACTTCAGAAATTGAGGCAGGAATTAATAGTCTACCAATCAAAAAAGAGCCCAGGACCAAATGGATTCACAGACTAATTTTACCAGAGGTACAAAGAGGAGATGGTAACATTCCTTCTGAAACTATTCCAAACAATAGAAAAAGAGAGAGGTCCTCCCTAACTCATTTTATGAGGCCAGCATCATCCTGATACCAAAACCTGGCAGAGACACAACAAAAAAAGAAAAGATCAGGCCAATATCCCCGATGAACATTGATGTGAAAATCCTCAATAAAATACTGGCAAACTGAATCCAGCAGCACACTGAAAAGTTTATCCAGCATAATCAAGTCAGCTTCATCCCTTGGATGCAAGGCTGGTTCAAAATACACAAATCAATAAACAAATTCCATCACATAAACAGAAACAATGAAAAAAAAACACATGATTATCTCAATAGATGCAAAAAAGGCCCTCAATAAAATTCAACAGTGCTTCATGCTAAAAACTCTCAATAAACTAGGTATTGATGGAACGTATTTCAAAATAATAAGAGCTATTTATGACAAACCCACAGCCAATATCATACTGATGGGCAAAGGCTGGAAGCATTCCCTTTGAAAACCAACACCAGACAAGGATGCCCTGTCTCACCACTCCTAATCAACATTGTATTGGAAGTTCTGGCCAGGACAATCAGGCAAGAGAAAGAAATAAAGGTATTCAAATAGGAAGAGAGGAAGTCAAATTGTCTCTGTTTTCAGAGGATATGATTGTAAATTTAGAAAACCCCATCATCTCAGCCCAAAATTTCCTTAAGCTGATTAGCAACTTCAGCAAAGTTTCTGGATACAAAATCAATGTGCAAAACTCACAAGCATTCCTATATACCAATAATAGCCAGAGAGCCAAATTATGAGTGAACTCCCATTCACAATTGCTACAAGGAGAATAAAATACCTAGGAGTAAAACTTACAAGGGGTGTGAAGGACCTCTTCAAGGAGAACTACAAACAACTGCTCAAGGAAATAAGAGAATACACAAACAAATGGAAAAACATTCCAAGCTCATGGATAGAAAGAATCAATATCATGAAAATGGTCATACCGTCCAAAGTAATTTATAAATTCAATGCTATTCCAATCAAGCTACCACTGACTTTCTTCACAGAATTAGAAAAATAAATGCTTTAAATTTCGTATGGAACCAAAAGAGAGCCCATATAACCAATATAATCCTAAGAAAAAAAAACAAAAACAAAAACAAAAAACAAATCTGCAGGCATCATGCTACCTGACTACAAACTATACTACAAGGCTACAGTTACCAAAACAGCATGGTATTGGTACCAAAACAGATATATAGACCAATAGAACAGAACAGAGGCCTCAGAAATAACACTACACACCTACAGTAATCTGATCTTTGACAAACCTGACAAAAACAAGCAATTGGGAAGGATTCCCTATTTAATAAATAGTGTTGGGGAAAACTGACTAGCCATATGCAGAAAACTGAAACTGGACTCCTTACTTACACCTTATACAAAAATTAACTCAAGATGGATTAAAAACTTAAACGTAAGACCTAAAACCATAAAAACCCTAGAAGAAAACATAGGCAATACCATTCAGGACAAAGGCATGGGCAAGGACTTCATGACTAAAACACCAAAGCAATGGCAACAAAAGCCAAAATAGACAAATGGGATCTAATCAAACTAAAGAGCTTCTGCATGGCAAAAGAAACTACCATCAGAGTGAAGAGGCAACCTACAGAATGGAAGAAGATTTTTGCAATCTACCCATCTGACAAAGGGCTAATATCCAGAATCTACAAAGAACTTAAACAAATTTACAAGAAAAAAACAAACAACCCCATCACAAAGTGGGCAAGGGATATGAACAGACACTTCTCAAAAGAAGACATCAATGCAGCCAACAGACACATGAAAAAATGCTCATCATCACTGGTCATCAGAGAAATGCAAATCAAAACCACAATGAGATACCATCTCACACCAGTTAGAATGGCAATCATTAAAAAGTCAGGAAACAACAGATGCCAAAGAGGATGTGGAGAAATAGGAACGCTTTTACATTGTTGGGAGTGTAAATTAGTTCAACCATTGTGAAAGACAGTGTGGTGATTCCTCAAGGATCTAGAACTAGAAATACCATTTGACCCCACCATCCCATTACTGGGTATATACCCAAAGGATTATAAATCATGCCACTATAAAGACACATGCACATGTATGTTTATTGCGGCACTATTCACAACAGGAAAGACTTGGAACCAACCCAAATGTCCATTAACGATAGACTAGATTAAGAAAATATGGCACATACACACCATGGAATACTATGCAGCCATAATAAAGGACGAGTTCATGTCCTTTGCAGAGATAGGGATGAAGCTGGAAACCGGCATTCTCAGCAAACTAACACAAGGACTGAAAACCAAACACTGCATGCTCTCACTCATAGGTGGGAATTGAACAATGAGATCACTTGGACACAGGGGGGTGTACATCACACACCAGGGCCTGGCATGAGGTGGGGGCTGGGGGAGGGATAGCATTAGGAGAAATACGTAATGTAAATGATGAGTTGATGAGTGCAGCAAACCAACATGACACATGTATACCTATATATCAAACCTGCACGTTGTGCACATGTACCCTAGAACTTAAAGTATTAAAAAAAAAAAAAACTAAAGCCCTTACAATGGTCTAGAAGTACCTGCACAATCTGTCCTGCAATGATCTAGAAGTACCTGAACAATCTGGCCCCCATTCCTCTCTCAGCTCATCTGATGCTTTCTTCTATTTTGCTCCCTCCTCTCCAATCACACTGGCTTCCCTGGTATTCTTCAAATACATTTCTCATTCTTTTATCTTAGTGCCTTTGCCTGGAATATTATTTTCCTACATATTCACATATGTAGAAAATTTTAAATCATCCTAATTAAAATGGAGGCTCCTAACCTATTTCTCCTTATATATCTTACTATTGCTTTTATTTTAAAAAATACTATATGGTTTATATTTATGGTTTAAGTCCCTTCCTCAATAATATAAAACTTCATGAGTCTGGAGACATTTTTATTTGTTCATGTATTCCCAAAGCAAAGAACAGTGCTTGGCACACATAGTAGCTTCTCTTTCTGTCTCTATGTACGTATGTGAGTGCCTGTGTGCATGCACACATGTTATTTATGTGTTTGTGTTTAGTTGTTATTTTTGTTGAATGGATGAATGAAGGAATGGATGAAATACCACCTACCCACCCCCTTGCTCACGTAACTTACACTTACTTGTCTTCTTCCTGTTCCTTAAACATGCTCAGTTCTTTCTTTCTTTAAGGCCTTTATATTTTTTTCCATTCATTCTGGTATACTCAACTCCTCACTCTTCAAAATTTGCACTAAGCTTTTAATGTGAATCCTTCAGTCTCAGTTTAAATATAATTTCTTTTGAGAGCTCTTACCGGAAAATTCTATCAAAAAGACGTCTCACTCATTGCTCTTTGCTCCAGCTTTCTGTTTGTTTCCTTTAGAGTACTTCTTATGCTCTTAAATTGTTTTGTTTATAAATGTGATAACCCGCTTATTGTCCATATATTAAAACATTTAGTCCCCACAAAAAAAAAAAGTGGGCCAAAGATATGAACAGAAACTTCTCAAAAGAAGACATTTATGCAGCCAACGAACATATGAAAAAAGGCTCATCATCACTGGTCATTAGAGAAATGCAAATAAAAACTACAATGAGATACCACATTCTAACGCCAGTTAGAATGGTGATCATTAAAAAGTCAGGAAACAAAAGATGCTGGAGAGGATGTGGAGAAATAGGAACACTTTTACACTGTTGGTGGGAGTGTAAATTAATTCAAACATTGTGAAAGACAGTGTGGAGATTCATCAAGGATCTAGAACCAGAAATACCATTTAAGCCAGCAATCCCATTAATGGATATACACCTAACGGATTACAAATCATTCTATATAAAGACACATGCACATGTATGTTTATTGCGGCTTTATTCACAATAGCAAAGACTTGGAACCAACCCGAATGCTCATCAGTGATAGACTGGATAAAGAAAATATGGCACACATACACCATGGAATACTATGCAGCCATAATAAGGGATGAGTTCATTTCCTTTGCAGGTACATGGATGAAGCTGGAAACCATCATTTTCAGCAAACTAACAAAAGAACAGAAAACCAGACACTGCATGTTCTCACTCATAAGTGGGAGATGAACAATGAGAACACATGGACACAGGGAAGGGAACATCACACACCAGGGCCTGTCAAGGGGTTGGGGGCTAGGGGAGGGATGGCATTAGGAGAGATACCTAATGTAGATGACAGGTTGATGGGTTGCCGCAAATCACCATGGCACGTGTATACCTGTGTAACAAACCTGCATGTTCTGCACATGTACTGCAGAACTTAATGTGTTAAGAAAAAAAAAGGAAACAGCAGACGCTGGAAAGGATGTGGAGAAATAGGAAGGCTTTTATACTGTTGGTGGGAGTGTAAATTAGTTCAAACATTGCGGAAGACAGTGTGGCGATTCCTCAAGGATCTAGAACCAGAAATACCATTTGACCCAGCAATCCCATTACTAGGTATATACCCAAAGGATTATAAATCATTCTACTATAAAGACACATGCACACGTATGTTTATTGCAGAACTATTCACAATAGCAAAGACTTGGAACCAACCCAAATGCCCATCAATTATAAACTGGATAAAGAAAATGTGGCACATATACACCATGGAATACTATGCAGCCACAAAAAAGGATGAGTTCATGTCCTTTGCAGGGACATGGATGATGCTGGAAACCATCATTCTCAGCAAACTAACACAGGAACAGAAAACCAAAAACCACATGTTCTTACTCATAAGTGGGAGTTGAACAATGAGAACACATGGACACAGGGAGGGGTACATCACACACTGGGGCCTGTCAGGGGGTGGGGAGCTAGGGGAGAGATAGCATTAGTAGAAATACCTAATGTAGATGACGGGTTGATGGGTGCAGCAAACCACCATGGCACGTGTATACCTATGTAAAAACCCTGCATGTGTATACCTATGTAACAAACCTGCAGGTTCTGCAAATGTATCCCAGAACTTAAAGTATAATTTAAAAAAGAAAGCTCACAAATCATATTGTGAAGAAGCAAAAATAAATAACAGTGAGTTTCCTTAAGAGATGTAGATGATGGAGAAGGAGAGTAGAATGAGTGTGGGTGCTGAAGTAATAGGAAGCTGAGGGAGTTTCTGTCTACCTTCTATTTTAATTTATTTATTCAATACTTACTGACTTTCTACTATGTATCAAGCACTTAAGGTAGAGAAAAATAAGAGACCTAAGGTCCCTACTCTCATAGAAATTCAATTCTAGAGAAGGCATTTAGACATTAAGCACTAAAAACTTTAAGATATACTTTGGAGGCAAAGCTGGCAGGGCTTCTTAATGAATTGGACATGGAGAGGGGAAAGACTTTTCTCTAGAGGGTGAATTTTCTGTGTACAGTAAGTTCATCACCTGAGGCAAAGGAGATGGAGGAAAATAGGATGATGATGTTCAGAGGTTTGACATGAGTGTTCAAAGATTAAGATAGCTATTTCAGGAAACTGGGCAGCAAGCTGGCTAGGAAAATGTCATTGGATTGCCAGGCAATGTTGAGGCTTCATTTGATCTTACTGATCAAGTATAGTCAGTCCTCCATATCTGCAGGTTCTGGGGTTCTGCATCCATGGACTCAATCAACTATGAATCAAAAATATTTTTTAAAAAATTTAAAAAATACAACATTTAAAAAATACAAATTTTAAAATACAGTGTAACAACTATTTACATAGCATTTATATTTTACTAGGTATTATAAGTAATCTAGAGATTATTTAAAATATACAGGAGGGTGTGCATAGATTATATGCAAATACTATGCAATTTATATCAGGGACTTGCGCATCTGCAGATTTTGGTGTCTGCAGGGGTTCTGGAACAAATCCCTCAGGTTCCAAGAGACACTGTATATACAATGGAACCAATCTGCCCTGTGACTTTCCCCACCCACCTTCAGCTGCTCAAGGATGTCCACATGACTGCCATAGTAGCTGTCAAACTCTTCCCAAACTCCACAAATTTGGTGAGATTTCATTGGCTGAGGAGTGAGCACCAGACTCATGCTAGCAAAGAGAGCCTCCCTTACATCTTTGGACTTAAGATGAGGGAAAGATCAGAATTCTCCTGTTGCAGTTAGACTTACGAATCAAACATTTTTATTGGCCATATTTCCTAACTCTATAACAAAAGCAAGTCAATGGTGAACAACTGAAATCAATGTTCTCAGAGATACCATAATAATAACAGGTAGCACTTATACATAGGTCCCGCTATGTGCTAGGCACAAATTCAAACGTTTGTCATATGATAACTCTCTTAATGCTCATAATAAATGTATGAGGTGGGTACTACTATTATCATACCTTATTGATAGGTAAACTGGGGCACAGAAGTTTTGGGCTTCTTGCCTTATGTCACAGAAGAGAAATAAAGCTAAGATTTGAACCCAGATCTATTAGGGCTAGCATCTCTGCTCTTAACCACTATGCTACATACACCACTTCACATAAGAGAGAGGGAAAGTCTTCTTTAAGTTGAATGGTTTCAAGTTTCTGCTCCCAGTTGTATTTCTGCCCACTTTCTTTGTTTTGTTTTTCGCTCATTTCATGGTTTCTATCAGTCAAAATGTTCCCTTTTTTCTCTAAGGTTATGCATGCTAGGTTTTTGTAACTTGGAAGCAAGAGCCCATGGATACCAAGGTTATTCATGTTGGGTTTTTGTAAGTTGCAAACAAGTAGACCATAGTGATACACTTCACTGATATCCCTCAAATATGTAACTCACTGAGTGAAGTGGGTCAGGGAATCAGTAAAGATTCCACCACCTTCGATTCCACCTATACATAGATTCTATAGTAAAGCAAATAATTAGTTAATTATCACCTGTAATCTCTTAAAACTCAGACCACAGGAAGCTCTACATTTAGATAACTTGGCAGGGAAAAAAAGTGGCTACTGTTGCAGGGTTTAGTAAAATACTACAAGAGATGCAAGCCCAGGCTGGTCCTTCTGAGCAGGATCGTTCAAACAAGAACACTCCTTCATTTCAAGTAACAGTCAGTCTCCTCAGGCTGTTGGGTATTCATCCAAACTCTGCTGAACAGGAACAATGTATAGATTGCAAGAGTAGGCACGTGGGTACAGAAAGCATGGGAACCAGGATACTGCGGGAGAAGGTTACCTAAGGAGCGAGAGGAATGAACAAGCCTCAGTCCCTTTAGCCCCATCCAAGTACCCATCTTCTTAAACCATCTTGCCCATAAATGTAATACATTGCTATATAAAGCATAATTATCTGGGATGCCTCCTAAATGCATTCTCTTGGCCAGATTTCAGAACAACTGAGGCAAGTCTCTTCACCCTAGCCCAGGTTCTGATTCAAGTCTTAAAGCAAAAGTCTGAAAAAGTCCTAAGAGAAAGAGCAGGTCCCCATACCGTATGCTAAGACAGAAGCAGTGTAAGGGGCCAGGACCCTGAGAGACTTACTGAATTACCTGCAGATATAAAATCCTTCACATGAAATGTAAACAACTGACTAAGGGATTGCTGTTGCCAGAAAAGCTCCAAATGTAGAGGCCTGCAATTGCTGAACCTTGTCCCAAATTACTATCTCACCCCCTCCTTCCCAAACTACCCTCCCCTTACAGTAGCTGTAAACTGTGAAGGTGACAGTCCTCAGCAGAGAAACTGCTTCACTGTCTCCCTCCATGGAGGCTGTGAAGGATGCTAGACAAATGATGTCTAATGAGGCGAATTGGGGCAAAGTGACAATATTGTAACAAAAGCCTCAAAAATGTGACCTGAAAATTTATCCAACAAAATGCAGACATCCCCAACTTAAGATGGTCCAACCTACAATCTTTTGACTTTACAATGGTGCAAAAGGTGTATGCATTCAGTGGAAATCATACTTCAAATTTTGAAATTTGATCTTTTCCTGGGCTAGTTGTATGCAGTATGATACTCTCTTGCAATGCTAGGCACCAGCAGCCAGAGCAGCTCCCAGTCAGCCATGCAAGGGTAAACAGCCAGGACTTTACAATGTACTGTATTGCAAGATGATTTTATCCAAATATAGGGTAATATAAATGTTCTGAGCACGTTTAAGGAAGGCTAGGCTGAGCTATGATGTTTCATAGGTTAGGTGTATTAAATCCATTTTCAACTTGCAATGGGTTTATCAGGACATAACTCCATTGTATGGAGGAGCATTTGTAATTATGTATATTTTTATAAACAGATTAACTGTAGCATTATTTTTAAGAAAAGAACACTGAAAGCAATATATGACAAGTACTAGTAAACTGATTAAATAAAATATGATATATTAGCCAATAAAATCCCAAGTGATCTTAACAAATTACTTGCAATGCATTCATAATGTTAAGTAGAAGAACAATGATATGGTTTGGGTCTATGTCCCCAAATCTCATGTCAAATTGTAATCCCCAATGTTGGAGGTGGGGTCTGGTGGGAGGTGATTGGATCATGAGGCAGATTTCCTCTTTTGTGTTATTCTCTTGATAATGAGTTATCACAAGATCTGGTTGTTTAAAAACATGTAGCACTTCCCCCACCCCCTTCCTCCTGCTCCAGTCGTATAAGACATGCCTGCTTCCCCTTCACCTTCCTCCATGATTGAAAGTTTTCTGAGGCTTCCCCAGCCATGCTTACTGTACAGCCTGAGGAACCATGAGCTAATTAAATTACCCAGTCTCTATAAATTACCCAGTCTCAGGTATTTCTTTACAGAAGTGGAAGAATGAACTAATACAAACAGGCTGTAAAACAGCACGCTCAGTATGATCATACTGACACACATAAACATGCATGTTGACTGGAAGGACTCATCCTGAATTGTTAACAGTGATAATAGGTGGATGCCTTTTGTCACAGTTGATTTCCCTTTACATTTCTCTGAGTTTTCTAAGATTTTTGTGTTGAGTGTGTACTATTTTTGAAATTAGGAAAATTTTTTCATGAAATTTTTTTTCAGGTATACATTTTATATTTTTATTTTTAATTTATATAAGTATATAATAGCTGCATATACTTATGTGGTACATAAGATATTTTGATACAGTCATATGATGCACAATAATCACATCAGGGTAAATGGGGTATCCATTCCCTCAAGCATTTATCCTTTGTTTTACCTACAATCCAATTATACTCCTTTAGTTATTTTAAAATGTACAATTTAATTATCATTGATTATAATCACCCTGTTGTATTATCAAATACTAGATCTTATTCATTCTAACTATCTTTTGTATGCATTAACCAACCCCAATTCCCCCAATCCCCTCACCACCCTTTCCAGTCTCTGGTAACCATCATTCTACTCTCCACCTCCATGAGTTCAACATGAAGCATATTTTTTATATGAGCTTGGCAGGTGAAATCAAAACTATTTTATCCTCAGAAACAAGTAATATTTTCTTTATCATTTTATTTGAACTTCTCTTGTGACATTTGTCCCTTTTTCTTGTATGGCAAGACATGTATTATCTCCTCCATTGGAGTCTGAATTTCTTGATAACACAACAGATTTTCTCAGCTCAGTATACTTTACAATTACTAGTGCAACAATAATACCCTGCAAATGGAACATAAATAAATTATGAAGAGAATTAGTATCACCATATATTAAGGTATATGGAAAAGATAAAGCATTTAAATCATTGAGGTGCTGCTGCAAGAACAGACAGAAAGACACACAGAACAATAGACACAGTCTCCAAGAAAGAAACTGTAAATATAAGAACTTCTTACCGAAGGTGCTAATTAACACAGAAAAAGAAACAACTAATCACCAGTTCATGCTGGGACAATTTGTTTAGCTTCTTACTTCACACAAAATAATTTTCAGCTGAATTTAAGAGTTGAATGTTTAAAAATCAAACTATAAAAATCTAGAAGGGGCCAAGTGCGATGGCTCATGCCTATAATCCCAGCATTTAGGGAGGCTGAGGCAGGCAGATCGCCTGAGGTCAGGAGTTTGAGACCAGCCTAGCTAACATGGTGAAACCCTGTCTCTACTAAAAATACAAAAATTAGATGGGCATGGTGGCAGGTACTCAGCTGTAATCCCAGCTACTCAGGAGCCTGAGGAGGGAGAATCGTTTGAACCCGGGAGGCATAGGTTGCAGTAAGCCGAGATTGCGCCATTGCACTCCAGACTGGATGACTAGAGCAAAACTCTGTCTCAAAACAGAAACAAAAAAAATTTAGAAAGAAAGATAGAAAATGTATTTGGTCTCTATATGAAGAGAATTTTCAAAGAATGGAAACAATAACAAAGAAAAAGATATTTTTATGAACCAAAATTTTTAAACATATATATATATAACTTCATACAAAATTAAAGGTCAAAAATTAACAAAGGAAAAACATGTCTGACAATGTGACAATAATAGGTCACTCCTTTAACATATAAAGAACTCAAATGCATTAATCAGAAAAACACCAAGTTGCTAGTAGATACTTACACAAACTATATGATCAAATACTTCACAAAAGGAGAAAATACAAATGACTAAAACAAACATAGAAAATATTCAACATCACTAGCGCTGAAAGAAATACTAACGAAAGGCCAATCACAGTGGCTCTAGCCTGTAATCTCAGCACTTTGGGAGGCCGAGGCTGGCAGATCACCTGAGGTCAGGAGTTCAAGACCAGCCTGACCAACATGGTGAAACCCCATCTCTACTAAAAATACAAAAAATTAGGTGGGCGTGGTGGCAGGCACCTGTAATCCCAGCTACTTGGGAGGCCGAGGCAGGAGAATCACTTGAACCCAGGGGGCGGAGGTTGCAGTGAGCCGAGGTCATGCCATTGCACTCCAGCCTGGGCAACAAGAGTGAAATTCAGTCTAAAAAAAAGAGAGAGAGAGAAGGGAAAAAAGAAAGAAATACTAATGAAAAGAAATATTAGGTTGGTGCAAAAGTTATTTGCCATTACTTTTAATGGCAAAAACTGCAATCACTTTTGCACCAACGTAATAGTTAGCTTTTTATGCCTGTCAAGATATTTTGTGTTTAATAGCTACAGTCAGTGCTAATGTGGGTGGAGTAAATAATGATATAGACATTCTATTTTACTTCTAGGCAGCATGCCAAATGATTCAGCCTTTCTGTAAAGAGGTATGGAAGTCAATTTAACCCAAATAATGTCTTTATCCTTTCCCAAGTAATTCTCAAGGAAACCAAGCAAGTAAAAATTATGAACAAGAGTGTTCATCACAATATAATTTATAATAGCCAAAACAATAGAAATAATTCTATGTCTAGGTAATTACTGATTAAGCAAATCAGAACACATTCAAATGATAGACTGCAGGGGAGAGCTGGGCAAGATGGCCGAATAGGAACAGTTCCCGTCTGCAGCTCCCAGCGAGACAAACACAGAAGGCAGGTGATTTCTGGATTTCCAACTGAGGTACCCAGTTCAACTCATTGGGACTGGTTAGAGAGTGGGTCCAGCCCACAGAAGGCCAGCAGAAGCAGGGTGGGGTGTCACCTCAAGGAGAAGCACAAGGGGTCAGAGAACTCCTTCCCCTAGCCAAGGGAAGCCATGAGGGACTGTGCCATGAGGGACAGTGCTATCCAGCCCAGACATTACGCTTTTCCCATGGTTTTTGCAAACCACAGACCAGAAGATTTTCTCAGGTGCCTACACAACCAGGGCCCTGGGTTTCAAGCACAAAACTGGGTGGCCATTTGGCAGACACCGAGCTAGCTGCAGGAGATTTTTTTTCATAACCCAATGGTGCCTGGAACCCCAGCCAGACAGAACCGTTCACTCCCCTGGAACAAACCGTGGGGTCTGAAACCAGGGAGCCAAGTGGTCTGGCTTAGCAGGTCCCACTCCCACGGAGCCCAGCAAGCTAAGATCCACTGGCTGGAAATTCTTGCTGCCAGGAAAGCAGTCTGAAGTCAACCTGGGACACTCAAGCTTGGTCGGGGGAGGGTCGTCCGCCATTACTGAGGCTTGAGTAGGTGGTTTTTCCCTCACATTGTAAACAAAGCTGCCAGGAAGTTCGGACTGGGCAGAGCCCACTGCACCACAGCACAGCAAAGCCACTGTAGCCAGACTACCTCTATGGGCAGGGCATCTCTGAAAGAAAGGCAGCAGGCCCAGTCAGGGGCTTATAGAAAAAACTCCCATCTCTCTGGGACACAGCAGCTGGGGGGAGGGGCAACTGTGGGAGCAGCTTCAGCAGACTTAAACATTGCTGCCTACTGGCTCTGAAGAGAGCAGCAGATCTCCCAGCACAGTGCTCAAGCTCTGCTAAGGAACAGACTGACTCCTTAAATGGGTCCCTGACCCCCGTGCCTCCTAACTAGGAGACACCTCCCAGCAGGGGCCGACAGACATCTCATACAGGAGAGCTCCAGCTGGCATCTGGTGGGTGTCCTTCTGGGACAAATCTTCCAGAGGAAGGAGCAAGCAGCAATCTTTGCTGTTCTGCAGCCTCCACTGGTGATATCCAGGCAAACAGTGTCTAAAGTGGACCTCCAGCAAACTCCAGCAGACCTGCACCAGAGAGGCCTGACAGAAGGAAAACTAACAAAGAGAAAACAAAAACATCAGCATCAAAAGAAAAGTATGCCCACAGAAAAACCCCATCCAAAGTGCCTCAGCATCAAAGATCAAAGGTACATAAATCCACAAAGCTGAGGGGAAAAAAGCACAAAAATGCTGAAAATTTCAAAAACCAGAATGCCTCTTCTCCTCCAAAGGACCACAACTCCTCACCAGAAAGGGAACAAAACTGGATGGAAAATGAGTTTGATGAATTGAACAGAAGTACACTACAGAAAGTAGGTAATAACAAACGCCTCCAAGCTAAATAAGCATGTTCTGCCCCAAAGAAAGGAAGGTAAGAACCTGGATAAAAGGTTACGGGAACTGCACACTAGAATAACCAGTTTAGAGAAGAACAGAAATGACCTAATAGAGCTGAAAAACACAGCATGAGAACTTCGTGAAGCATACACAAGTATCAATAGCTGAATCAATCAAGCAGAAAAAAGGATATCAGAGATTGAAGATCAACTTAATGAAATAAAGCATGAAGACAAGATTAGAGAAAAAAAAAGAAGGAAAAGGAAATAACAAATCCTCCAAGAAATATGGGACTATGTGAAAAGACCAAACCTATGACAGATTGGTACACCTGAAAGTGAAGGGGAGCATGGAACCACGTTGAAAAACACACTTCAGGATATTATCCAGGAGAACTTCCCCAACCTAGCAAGACTGGCCAACATTCAAATTCAGGAAACACAGAGAACACCACTAAGATACTCCTCGAGAAGAGCAACCCCAAGACACATAATCATCAGACTCTCCAAGGTTGAAATGAAGGAAAAAATGTTAAGGGCAGCCAGAGAGAAAGGTCAGGTTACCCACAAAGGGAAGCCCATCAGACTAACAGCAGATCTCTCTGCAGAAGCCAGAAGAGAGTGGGGGACAATATTCAACATTCTTAAAGAAAACAATTTTCAACCCACAATTTCATATCCAGCCAAAATAAGTTTCATAAGCAAAAGAAAATAAAATCCTTTACAGACAAGAAAATGCTGAGGGGTTTTGTCACCACCAGGCCTGCCTTACGAGAACTCCTGAAGAAAGCACTAAATATAGAAAGGAAAAACTGGTACCAGCCACTGTAAAAACATACCAAAATATAAAGATGAACAAAACTGCATGAACTAATGTGGAAAATAACCAGCTAGAATCATGATGACAGGATCAAACTCACACATAATAATATTAACCTTAAATGTAAATAGGTTAAATGCTCCCAGTTCAAAGACACAGACTGGCAAATTGGATAAAGAGTGAAGACCCATTGGTGTGCTGTATTCAGGAGACCTATCTCATGTGCAAACACAGACATAGGCTCAAAACAAAGGGATGGAGGACAACTTACCAAGCAAATGGAAAGCAAACAAAAAAGGCATGGGTTGCCATCCTAGTCTCCGATAAGACAGACTTTAAAACAAGAAAGATCAAAAAAGACAAAGAAGGCCATTACATAATGGTAAACGGATCAATGCAACAAGAAGAGCTAACTATCCTAAATATATATGCACCCAATATAAGAGCACCCAGTTTCATAAAACAAGTTCTTACAAACCTACAAAGAGACTTAGACTCCCACACAATAATATTGGGAGATTTTAACACCTCACTATCAATATTACACAGATCAACAAGACAGAAAATTGACAAGGATATTCAGACTTGAACTCAGCTCTGGACCAAGCAAACCTAATAGACATCTACAGAACTCTCCACCCCAAAACAACAAAATATACGTTTTTCTCAGCTCCTCATAGCACTTATTCTAAAACTGACCACATAATTGGAAGTAAAACACTCCTCAGCAAATGTAAATGAACAGAAATCATAACAGTCTCTCAGATCACAGTGCAATCAAATTAGAGCTCAGGATTAAGAAACTCACTCAGAACTCACAACTACATGGAAACTGAACAACCTGCTCCTGAATGACTGCTGGATAAATAATGAAATTAAGGCAGAAATAAATAAGTTCTTTAAAAACAATGAGAGCAAACACACAATATACCAGAATCTCTGGGATACAGCTAAAGCAGTGTTTAGAGGAAAATTTATAGCACTAAATCCCCACAGCAGAAAGTAGGAAAGATCTAAAATGACACCCTATCATCACAATTAAAAGAACTAGAGAAGCAAGAGCAAAAAAATTCGAAACGTAGCAGAAGACAAGAAATAACTAAGATCAAAGCAGAATTGAAGGAGATAGAGACACCAAAAACCCTTCCAAAAATCAATGAATCCAGGAGTTGGTTTTTTGAAAAGATCAACAAAATAGATAGACCACCAGCCAGACTAATAAAGAAGAAAAGAGAGAAGAATCAATAGACACGATAAAAAATGATAAAGGGAAAATCACCACTGATCCCACAGAAATAGAAACTACCATCAGAGAATATATAAACACCACCACACAAATAAACTAGAAAACCTGGAAGAAATGGATACATTCCTGGATACATACACTCCCTAAACACTAAACCAGGAAGAAGTTGAATCCCTGAATAGACCAATAACAACTTCAGAAATTGAGGCAGGAATTAATACTCTACCAACCAAAAAAAAACCCAGGTCCAGATAGATTCACAGCCTAATTCTACCAGAGGTACAAAGAGAAGCTTATACCATTCCTTCTAAAACTATTCCAAACAATAGAAAAAGAGGGAGTCCTCCATAACTCATCTTATGAGGCCAGCATCATCCTGATACCAAAACCTGGCAGAAACACAACAACAAAAAAAAGAAAATATCAGGCCAATATCCCTGATGAATATCGATGTGAAAATCTTCAATAAAATACTGGCAAACCAAATCCAGCAACACATCAAAAGGCTTATCTACCACAATCAAGTCAGCTTCATCCCTGGGATGCAAGTCTGGTTCAACATACACCAATCAACAAACGTAATCCATCACATAAACAGAACCAATGACAAAAACCACATGATTATCTCAATAGATGCAGAAAAGACTTTCGATAAAATTCAACACCGCTTCATGCTAAAAACACTCAAAAAACTAGATATTAACACAATATATCTCAAAAAATAGGAGATATTTATGACAAACCCACAGCCAATATCATACTGAATGGGCAAAAGCTGGAAGCATTCCCTTTGAAATTCAGCATAGGACAAGGATGCCCTCTCTCACCACTCCTATTTAACATAGTATTGGAAGTTCTGGCCAGGGCAATCAGGCAAGAGAAAGAAATAAAATGTATTCAAATAGGAAGAAAGGAAGTCAAATTGTCTCTGTTTGCAGATGACATGATTGTATATTTAGAAAGCCCCATCATCTCAGCCCAAAACCTCCTTAAGCTGATAAGCAACTTCAGCAAAGTTTCTGGATACAAAATCATTGTGCAAAAATCACAAGCATTCCTATACATCAATATCAGACAAACAAAGAGCCAAATCATGGGTGAACTCCCATTCACAATTGCTACAAACAGAATAAAATACCTATGAATACAACTTAAAGGGGATGTGAAGAACCTCTTCAAGGAGAACTACAAATCACTGCTCAAGGAAATAGGAGAATACACAAACAAATAGAAAAACATTCTGTGCTCATGGATAGGAAGAATCAATATCATGAAAATGGTCATACTGCCCAAAGTAATATATAGATTCAATGCTATTCCCATCAAGCTCCACTGACTTTCTTCACAGAATTAGAAAAACTACCTTAAATTTTATATGGAACCACAAAAGAGTCTGTATAGCCAAGACAATCCTAAGCACAAAGAACAAAGCTGGAGGCATCATGCTACCTGACTTCGAACTATACTACAAGGCTACAGCAACCAAAACAGCATGGTACTGGTACCAAAACAGACATATAGACCAATGGAACAGAAAAGAGACCTCAGAAATAACACCACACATCTACAACCATCTGATCATCAACAAACCTGACAAAAACAAGCAATGGGGAAAGGATTCCCTATTTAATAAAGGGTGCTGAAAAAACTGGCTAGCCATATGCAGAAAACTGAAACTGGACCCCTTACTTACACCTTATACAAAAATTAACTTGAGATGAATTTAATACTTAAATGTAAAACCTAAAACCATAAAAACCTTAGAAGAAAACCTAGGCAATACCATTCAGGACATAGGCATGGGCAAAGACTTCATGACTAAAACACCAAAAACAATTGCAACAAAAGCCAACATTGACTAATGGGATCTAATTAAACTAAAGAGCTTCTTCACAGCAAAGAAACTATTATCAGAATGAACAGGCAACCTACAGAATGGGAGAAAATTTTGCAATCTATCCATCTGACAAAGGTCTAATATTCAGAATCTACAAGGAACTTAAACAAATTTACAAGAAAAAAAAACAAACAACCCCATCAAAAAGTAGGCAAAGGATATGAACAGACACTTCTCAAAAGAATACATTTATGCAGCCAAAAAACATGAAAAAAAGCTCATCATCACTGGTCATTAGAGAAATGCAAGTCAAAACCACAGCAAATTACCATCTCACACCAGTTAGAATGGCAATCATTAAAAAGTCAGCAAACAACAGATGCTGGTGAGAATGTGGAGAAATAGGAATGATTTTATGCTGTTGGTGGGAGTGTAAATTAGTTCAAACATTGCAGAAGACCGTGTGGCAATCCCTCAAGGATCTAGGACCAGAAATATCATTTCAGCCAGCAATCCCATTACTGGGTATCTATCCAAAGGATTACAAACCATTCTACTATAAAGACACATTCACACATATGTTTATTGCAGTACTATTCACAATAGCAAAGACTTGGAACCAACCCAAATGCCCATCAATGATAGACGGGATAAAGAAAATGTGGCACATATACACCATGGAATACTATGCAGCCATAAAAAAATGAGTTCACGTCCTTTGCAGGGACATGTGTGAAGCTGGAAACCATCATTCTCAGCAAACTAACACAGGAACAGAAAACCAAACACCACATGTTCTCACTCATAATTGGTAGTTGAAGAATGAGAACTACATGGACAAAGGGAGGGGAACATCACACACCAGGGCCCGTTGGGGAGTGAAGGGCAAGGGGAAGAATAGCATTAAGAGAAATACTTAATGTAGATGACAGGTTGATGGGTGCAGCAAACCACCATGGAACGTGTATACCTATGTAACAAACCTGCATGTTCTGCACATGTATGCCAGAACTTAAAGTATAATAAAAAAAGATAGAGTACTAAAAGTAGCCATTTACAATTATGATTAGAAAGCATTTCAAAGTCATGAGAAAATTCATATGAACAAGTAAACGGTAACTGTTCAATAAATGGTGACTGTTATTAGCAAAAAAATAGAGTATAAAAAAAGATCTCTTCAATACATGGTGTTAGGATAACTGTATATCCATAAGCAGAAGAATGAAGCTTGACCTCTGTCTCTCATCATATACAAAAATCAAATCAAAATGGATTAATGACTTAAATCTAAGACCTCAAACTATTAAACTACTAAAAGAAAACATTGTGGAAACTCTCTGGCACATTGGTCTGGGCAAAAATTTCCTTATTAATACCCTACAAGCACAGACAACCAAAGCAAACATGGACAAATGAGATCACATGAAGTTCAAGAGCTTCTGTATAGTAAAACAAACAGTCAACAAAGTGAAGAGACAACCCACAGAATGGGAGAAAATATTTGCAAACTACCCATCTGACAATGAATTAATAACCAAAATATATAAGGAGCTCAAACAACCCTATAGGAAAAAAACTCTAATTATCCAATTTAAAAATGGGCAAACTATTTTAATAAACATTTCTCAAAGGAAGATATACAAATGGTAAACAGGCATATGTAAAGGTTCTCAACATCATTGATCATCAAAGAAAGGCAAATCAAAGCTACAATGAGATATTATATCACCCCAGTTAAGTTGGCTTATATCCAAAAGACAGGCAATAACAAATGCTGGCAAGAATGTGAAAAAAGGGAAACTTCATACACTATTGATGGGAGTGTAAATTAGTACAACCACTACAGAGAACAATTTGGAGGTTCCTCAAAAAACCAAAAATAGAGCTACCACATAATCCAGCAATCCCACTGCTGGGTATATACACAAAAGAAAGGAAATGAGTGAATCAAAGAAATATCTGCACTCCCATGTTTGTTGCAGCACTGTTCACAATAGCAAAAATTTGGTGGCAACCTAAGTGTCCATGAACAGATGACTGAAAAAAGAAAATATGGTACTTATACACAATGGAGTACTATTCAGCCATAAAAAAAGGAATGATATCCTGTCATTTGCAGCAACATGGATGGAACTGGAGGTCCTTATGCTAACTGATATAAGCCAGGCACAGAAAGAGAAACTTTACATGTTCTCATTTATTTGTGGAATCTGAAAATCAAAACAATTGAACTTATGGAGAAAGAGAATAGAAGGATGGTTATCAGAGGCTGGCAAAGGGAGTACAGAGGTGGGAGGGAAGCTGGCAAGTGTTAATCGGTACAAAAAAAGTAGTTAGAAAGAATAAGACCTAGTATTTGATAGCCCAACAGGGTGACTATAGTCAATAATAATTTGATTGCACATTTTAAAATAAATAAAAAGGTATAAATGCATAGCTTGCAACACAAAGGATAAATGTTTTAGAAGACGGATACCCCACTTACATGATTTGATTATTATGCATTGCATGGTTATACAAAACAGCTAATGTTCTCATAAAAATATACACCTACTATGTACTCACAAAAGCTAAAATTAAAAAAATTTTTTAATAAGCAGAATATAAAATTGCTTGTATGACATCTCAACTATATAAAAATTACACTGAAAGACTGGAAGGAAATATGCTAAAATTTCAGCAGCTTGCACCTGAAATTGCATGTGATCTTTTTTAATGATTTTTTTTGCATTTTTACAAATTATAACAAGTAACAGTCATTTGTGTAATCAGAAAAAAAGATAAATTAATATGGTCTCGATTTTTGTTCCTACCCATAACTCATGTTGAATTGTAATCTCCAGTGTTGGAGGTAGGACCTGATGAGAAGAGATTAGCTCACAGGAGTGGATCTTTCATCAGTGGTTTAGCACCATCACTTTGGTGCTGCTCTCATGACAGAGTTCTCATGAGATCTGTTTGTTTAAAAGTTTGTATCACCTCCCCCCTCACTCCCTTCCTCCTACTCCAGGCATGTAAGATGTTCCTGCTTCCTATTTGCCTCCACCATGATTGTAAGTTCCCTGAGCCCTCTCCAGAAGCCAAGCAGAAGCCACTATGCTTGCTATTCAGCCTGAAGAACTGTGAGCTAATTAAACCTCTCTTCTTTATAAATTACTCAGTCTCAGGTATTTCTTTATAGCACTGTAAGAATGAACTAATACATAAATGTTATTGTTAAATAATGTCATTTCGTTTTCCTTGTATCTGCAGACAACCACATGCCAGGCAGCCAGTTCTCTTTCAATTGAAGAAATGCAAGTTGAGCCTCTAAAGGCTGGGGGAGTTTGTATTAAGGTAAATTTAAGTGGTTTAGCCTTTCCTTTTTAAGGCAAAAAAAAAGGAAATCCTGTTTCATTAAAAAGATTTATATACATATATTCAAGTGAGTTATATATATTTTATTTACATTTTTAGTCTGTCCACTTTGCTTAGTAAAAGAAGAATTTTTAAAACTAAGATAAATGAGGGGATCTATTCCAAGATGGTGGAATAGGAACAGCTCTGGTCTGCAGCTCCCAGCATGATTGACGCAGAAGATGGGTGATTTCTGCATTTCCAACTGAGATACCTGGTTCACCACATTGGGACTGGTTGAACAGTGGGTGTAGCCCATGGAGGGCAAGCCAAAGCAGGGTGGGCCATCGCCTCACCCAGGAAGCACAAGCAGTCCAGGGATTTCCCTTTCCTAGCTGAGGGAAGCCATGATAGACTGTACTGGGAAAATCGGGACACTGCCACCTAAATACTGTGCTTTTCCAATGGTCTTAGCAAACAGCACACCAGGAGATTATATTCCATGCCTGGCTCAGAGGGTCCCACACCCACGGAGCCTTGCTCAATGCTAGCGCAGCAGTCCAAGATTGAACTGCTAGGTGGCAGCCTGGCTGCAGGAGGGCCATCCACCATTGCTGAGGCTTGAGGGGGTAAACAAAGCAGCCTGGAAGCTCAAACTGGTTGGAGCCCACTGCAGCTCAACAAGGCCCACCTGCCTCTGTAGACTCCATCTCTGGGGGAAGGGCATAGCTGAACAAAAGGCAGCAGAAACTTCTGCAGATATAAACATCCCTGTCTGACACCTCTGAAGAGAGCAGTGGTTCTCCCAGCACTGTGTGTGAGCTCTGAGAACAGACAGACTGCCTCCTCAAGTGGGTCCCTGAGCCCCAGTAGCCTAACTGGGAGACACCTCCCAGTAGGGGCCAACTGACACCTCATACAGCCACATGCCCCTCTGAGACGAAGCTTCCAGAAGAAGGACCAGGCAGCAATATTTGCTGTTCTGCAATATTTGCTGCTCTGCAGTCTCCACTGGTGATATTCAGGCAAACAGGGTCTGGAGTGGACCTCCAGCAAATTCCAATAGACCTGCATCTGAGGGACCTGACTATTAGAAGGAAAACTAACAAACAGAAAGGAATAGCATCAACATCAACAAAAAGGACATCCACACCAAAACCACATCTGTAGGTCACCATCATCAAAGACCAAAGGTAGATAAAAACCACAAAGATGGGGAGAAACCAGAGCAGAAAAGCTGAAAATTCTAAAAACCAGGGTGCCACTTCTCCTCCAAAGGATCGCAGTTCCTTGCCAGCAACAGAACAAAGCTGGACAGAGAATGACTTTGATGAGTTGGCAAAAGTAGGCTTCAGAAGGTAGGTAATAACAAACTTCTCCAAGCTAAAGGAGGTAATTCAAACCCATTGCAAGTAAGCTAAAAACCTTGAAAAAAGATTAGATGAATGGCTAACTAGAATAAACAGTGTAAAGAAGAGCTTACATGACCTGATGGAACCGAAAACCATGGCACGAGAACTACGTGATACATGCACAAGCTTCAGTAACTGATTCAATCAAGTGGAAGAAAGGGTATCAGCAATTGAAGATCACATTAATGAAATGAAGTGAGAAGAGAAGATTAGAGAAAAAAGAGTAAAAAGAAATGAATAAAGCCTCCAAGAAATATGGGACTATGTGAAAAGACCAAATCTACTTTTGATTGGCATACCTGAAAGTGATGGGGAGAATGGAACCAAACTGGAAAAACACTCTTCAGGATATTATCCAGGAAAACCTCCCCAACCTAGCAAGGCAAGCCAACATTCAAATTCAGGAAATACAGAGGACACCACAAAGATACTCCTTGAGAAGAGGAATGCCTAGACACATAATTGTAAGATTCACCAAGGTTGAAATGAAAGAAAAAATGTTAAGGGCAGCCAGAGAGAAAGGTCGGGTTACCTATGAAGGGAAGCCCATCAGACTAACAGCTGATCTCTCAGCAGAAACTCTTCAAGCCAGAAGAGAGTGGGGGCCAATATTCTACATTCTTAAAGAAAGAATTTTCAACCCAGAATTTCATATCCAGTCAAACTAAGTTTCATAAGTGAAGGAGAAATAAAATCCTTTACAGACAAATACTGAGAGATTTTGTCACCACCAGGCCTGCCTTACAAGACCTCCAGAAGAAAGAGCTAAACATGGAAAGGAACAACCAGTACCAGCCATTGTATAAACATGCCAAACTGTAAAGACCACTGATGCTAGGAAGAAACTGCATCAACTAATGAGCAAAATAACCAGCTAACATCAAAATGAAAGGATCAGATTCACACCTAACAATATTAACCTTAAATGTAAATGGGCTAAATGCACCAATTAAAAGACACAGACTTGCAAATTGGATAAAGAGTCAAGACCCATCAGTGTGCTGTATTCAGGAGACTCATCTCACGTGCAGAGACACACATAGGCTCAAAATAAAGGGATGGAGGAAGATCTACCAAGCAATGGAAAGCAAAAAAAAAAAAAAAAAAAAAAAAGCAGGGGTTGCAATTCTAGTCTCTGATAAAACAGACTTTAAACCAACAAAGATCAAAAGAGACAAAGAAGGCCATTACATAATGGTAAAGGGATCAATTCACCAAGAAGACCTAACTATCCTAAATATATATGCACCCAATACAGGAGCACCCAGATTCATAAAGCAAGTCCTTAGAGACCTACAAAGAGACTTAGACCTTCCCCCATTAAGCAAATTATGCTATTCTAAGTCCCATATCTCAGGAAGGGATATTGTAATTGAAACAGTGGTAAAAGAAATTCTTCTCTTGGCTTTTGTGTTTCAAAAGCTGAAGAATTGAGAATGGAAATGACCTAAGATAGAGATAAAAAAAAAATGAGAAAAAAAGCAGGATAAGAGGAGCTAAGTTTTTCCCAATCTCCCAACCCCAAATGAGGTAATGATTATAACAGTTTGGTGAAGACAAAAGGCTTGAAAGGAAATAATGGCATTGTGCCTGGGAGACAGCAAGACTCCATCTCCAAAAAAAAAAGAAATAGTAATATGTAAATAACTTAATATATAAATATTCCTTACAAATTAATAAAAATGTGATAAATACCCCAATACAAATTGGAAAATGACATTAATAGTAATTCACCAAAAAAGAAATGTAAATCAAATAATGAGATAATAATTCTGTATATCAGGTTGGCAAAACATAAAATAACACTCAATATATGCCAAGATGTAGAGAAACTTGTGCTTCTATTTGGAGGCAATTTGATGTAACATAACAAAAGTCTTAAGCATTCCCTATCCCAGCAACTTTTCTTCTGGCAATGTATCCTAAGCACACAACAAATTAATAAATGTCTCCATTTTGTTCAATACATACTTTCAAGAACCTTCTATATGCCATGCATGGCTGTAGATGTGGGGGATCAGCAGTGAAAAAAAATGCTGTGCTCCCCATCCTCAGCTCTCATGGAGTTACAAGCAAGAAGAGACTTTGGGCTACATATTCAGTTATAATGACGCCTAGGTAGGTCAGGGTTCTCCTGCAGTATGTAGTTACACCATTAGCTAGTGTAACTCAAAGAATCCAACAAATTTCCCAGAGGAAAGGATCTAAGTAGAGTAAAGATTAGCCTGGCAGTGAGAGATTAGGAAGAGTATTCTGAGGAAATGGAATAACGTGCAAATGCTCAGAGGGAGGAGAATGCATGGTACCTAAAAGGAATTGTAGTTCATTATGATATGCATATAAAGAACAGGTGGGGAAGTACAATAAATGAGACTAGAGAGGCAGGAAGGAGACAGAGCATGAAGAACTTTCCATACATGTTTGTTTAAGGATAGTCATGTAAACATGGTTTATAAAAGTAAAAACTTGAAACAACCTAAATTTCCAACAGTTGCAATCAACTAAATAAATATTTATCTATATAATGTTATACCACACAGCTTTTTTAAATGATGAAAAAAGCTCTCCCTTTGTTGATATGGAAACATACCTACAATACATTGTTAAGTTTAAAAACAAATCCAGGCATCTAAGGCAGTTTGCAAAACAACACATATGTTATGATCTTGTTTTGGTATGTATAAATAAACAAACAAATAAATCTGGGAGTCTTTGTTCCAAATGTTGAAGTGGCTATCTCTGACTAGTAGGATTATGTTGATTTGTGAGAAGATACTTAAGTGTTTTTAAAATATCTTGATGAAGAATGTTACAGAAACCCTTTCCCTATCCAATTATATATCTGCTATGATAGATCCAGGTGAACAACACTTCTATGGATCTTCCAGAAATAAACTGGCAAAGAATGACTTAAGGACATTTAGTTATTTTATAAACAGAGGATTTAATTGCCTCTGAGGGTGTCTGTTGGTTAGAAGAGTAAAGGAACAAAAATAAAAACAAGACTCTTATATAAGAGACAGGTGAGAGAGGAAAGAATTTCTGCAGAAAACAAAATCTGGGAAGACTGAATAGTGTTCACACATTGGTAGGAAGGTAAGGAAACTGACTAGCAGGCAGCTAGAGAAGAGGTTAGTTCTGTCTTTAAATAAGCTTACTTGTACTGTCAAAGAAAACAATTTCAGTTGACGAATTCTCCAGAAGCCCTGAGGATTTCGCTATGGAGCACATGAATCAGGTTTTCTCTGTAATGTCTGCCAGTTTCCTTCCATAGCACCACCCTATTAGTTAGGCCAATACAAGGTGTGCATCATTTCTTCCCTTAAAATTTCTCACCAGGTAAATGCTCCCACCAGACCAAAATTCTCATGTTGCTTCTACCCTAGTCCATAGAGCCTAACTTGCCTTTCCATTAATCACTTAGCACAGAAAGTCCAAGACCCTGATTACTAATCCTGGTATTGAAGGCCCCCAGTGATTTGGCCCTGTCCTCCCTGGCCTTAATGTGCATTCCCTACAAGCACCCTGTGCTGTAGTTCAGTGTTTCTCAAAGTATGGTCCTGGGGCTACTGTCTTCCTACTGAAACAGAAATGCCCAAGGTGAAACCTGAAAATATGCACTTTAAGTCTGCTCCCTGAGTCATTCTTGTACATACTAAAGTTGGTGAACTACTCCTAGTAACCTGGGGTTGGGGAGACCAGCAAGGGCACTGGTGCAAGAGTCCAAGGGAGGGTGTGGTAATGAATGAGGGTCTAGCCCAGGATACTTTCCATCCAAATGCATTCCTACTGAATGCACACGGACAGAGTGGAGAGAGTCACTTCCAAAAACCCAGGCCAGGAAGGAGGGAAAGAAGTTGCTTTTTACCCCCATGGCATGTGGAATTTTGCTGATGATTTATTGGAATTCTTCCCAAAGCTGGAATGACCCAAATAACTCACTGAAGCCATTCAGAAGGGATCTGATACTGGAGTTTGCTTTAAGAAGTCAATCGGCAGAGAGTACATGGAAGTAATTTGTTGTGGTTGGAAAGACAGATAAACACATTTTCCAAAATTTTATTCTGGAGTGGAATGCATTAGTGCTGAGCAGGCCCATAAAACTGGTATAGATCATTCTCCTCATTTAACAGATGTGGAGACCAAGATTAGGAGTGGAGAAGTAGTTCATCTGAGGTTGGAAGGAAAAATAGAAAAAATAGATTCCCAAAGTGCTGGAATTACCGGCATGAGCCACCGCACCGGCCCTGGTTAAAGCTCTTTTAATTCTAATAAAATGTTTAAACACAAATATATTAAATATAACTATAATCAAAAAGTATGTTACAGATACATGTATGAATATATGTAAATTATAATACCAATAACAAAAAGTGTATGGGGGTAGTTAAAGTATAGAGTCTTTAAATGCAATGAAACTAATTGTTAGCAACTAAAAATAGACTGTTATAATAAGATAGTTTAAGTAAGCCCAAGGTAACCACTATATATATATATATAAATTACACTGAAGAAAGGAGAAAGGAATCACAGCACATCAATATAAAATGTCACCAAAAACAAGGAAAACAACAATAGATAAAAACACAGATGAAAGATAAGTTTAACAGCAAACAACTAATAAAATGGCTATAGTAAATCCTTGCTTGTCAATAATTACCTTAAATGCAAGTGGATTAAAATCACTACTTCACTGCGTTTGCTCTAGACAAAGAGTGTCTCAATAGTTTCTTAAAGAAAAAAAAGACCCAACTGCATGCTGTCTACAAGAAAGCTTACTTTACATTTAAAGATACATATAGGCTATTAATAAAGGTATAGAAAAAGATATTCTATGAAAATGGTAACCAGAATAGAGCAGGAGTAGCTATACTTACGCAAGACAAAATAGACTTTGATTCAAATCTGTTATAAGAGTCAAAGAAGGGCTGGGCACAGTGACTCATGCCTGTAATCCCAGCACTTTGGGAGGCAGAGGCAGGTGGATGACCTGAGATCAGGAGTTTGAGACCAGCCTGGCCAGCATGGCGAAACCCCATCTCTACTAAAAATAAAAATAAAAAATAGCCAGGCATGGTGGCAGGTGCCTGTAATCCCAGCTACTCAGGAGGCTGAGGCAGGAGAATCACTTGAACCCAGGAGGCAGAGGTTTCAGTGACCCGACATCACAACACTGCACTCCAGCCTGGGCAACAAGAGTGAAACTCCATCTAAAAAAAAAAAATAGTCAAAGAAGAACATAATATAATGATAAAATGATCACTATAGTAGAATATGTAACAATTATAACTATATATGCACCCAACACCAGAGCACACTAACATTGATATATTTGAAGCTAGAAATAGACAACAATACAGTAACAGTAGTAGAATCAAACATCCCACTCTCTATAATGGATAGGCCATCCAGACATAAAGTCCATAAGTAAACAGCAGAACTGAACAATTCTACAGATCAAATGATCCTAACAGATATATACAAAACACTTCACCTAACAGAGAAGCAGAATACTCATTCTTTGCCAGGGAACATTGATGGTTCTCCAGGATAGATCACATGTTAGGTTTGAAACAGAATTTAACAAATTTAAGAAGATTGAAATTATATCAAGTATCTTTTCTGACCACAATGGAATGAAATTTAAAATTAATGATAAAAGAAAGCTGGAAAATTCACAAATATGTAAAAATTAAATAGTATTCTCTTGACCAAACATTTAGTCAAAGAAGAAATTGAAAAGAAAATTTTAAAGTTTCATGACATATCAGAAATTGAAGATCAACTTACTAAAATAAACCATGAAGACAAGATTAGAGAAAAAAGAATGGAAAGGAATGAAAAAAGCCTCCAAGAATTATGGGACTATGTGAAATGACCAAACCTATGATTGATTGGTATACCTGAAAGTGACAGGGAGAATAGAACCAAGTTGGAAAACACACTTCAGGATAATCCAGGAGAACTTCCCCAACTCAGCAAGAGAGGTCAAGTTTCAAATTCAGGAAATACAGAGAACACCACAAAGATACTCCTCAAGGATCTGGCCAGCAGCTCGCAATGCAGGGACTCTCTCTTTCTTCCCAGGTGGATTAGCAGGTCGAGAAATAATAGACAAACACAAGATAGTGAAAGCTGGGTCCAGGGGGTCACCGCCATCTGGTCCCGTGGTGCCAACAATGCACTGGATATACCAGAATTTATTATTAAGTTTAGTGAGGGCAGGGGTAGGTTAGTGAGGGATTTAGGGTCATTTGATTATGAGGTGAGATGGTCACATGGGGATGAAGTAGTTCTTTAACATAACATCCGTATGCTGAAGTACACTATACAGGGATAAGAATTTACAATATAGTGTGTGCTTCAGTAATTTCTAACAGAGCCTTAAAATAGAAACACAGTCTTTCCGTAACCTATGATTAGCAAGATATTAATCAGCAGTAACAGTTGCAGCAAAAGCTGGTTACAAACAATCCATAGAAACAGGACGTGAAGCTAGACAACTGGTTAGACCAGAAATTCTCAGAAGGGAGTATGCCTTAACCCTAAAGAGGCCTAGAAGAGCCATGGCAAGATGAGGGTGTTTATAGCCCTATCTTATCCATATGGACAGGCACCCCCCATGTGTCCATTTATAGGCTCTCCACAACGGTTGTATTCCATTCCCAGAGCTATGAACATCTGCTTTTCTGGGATAGGAATCTTGGTAATGTGAAGCCTCCCTGACTGCACGTCCATTCATAGGCTCTCTGCAGGGGGAAGCACATCACACACTGTTGGCTCATTCTGGCAGTCCAACCTGGCACTGTCTTTACACAATCCTGCATGCAATTTTGTATTTACAATAATCAGGAGCATTTCATCTTTTATTGCGTAGCAATAGTTTCAGGGGGTCTCCCTAAAAAGAGCAACCCCAAGACACACAATCATCAGATTCACCAAGGTTGAAATGAAGGAAAAAATGTTAAGGGCAGCCAGAAAGAAAGGCCAGGTTACCTAGAAAGGGAACCCCATCAGACTAACAGTGGGTCTCCCTGCAGAAACCCTATAAGTCAGATGAGATTAGGGGCCAATATTCAAAATACTTGAAGAAAAGTATTTTCAACCCACAATTTCATATCCAGCCAAATTAACTTTCATAAGCAAAAGAGAAATAAAATCCTTTACAGACAAGAAAATGCTGAGGAATTTTGTCACCACCAGACCTGCCTTACAAGAGGTACTATGAAAGCACTAACTATGGAAAGGAAAAACTGGTACCAGCCACTGCAAAACCACACCAAAATGTAAAGACCAATGACACTATGAAGAAACCACTTCAACTAATATACAAAATAACCAGCTAGCATCATGATGATGGATCAAATTCACACATAACAATATTCACCTTAAATGTAAATGATCTAAATTTCCCAATTAAAAGACACAGACTGGCAAATTAGATAAAGAGTCAAGACCCATTGGTGTGCTATATTCAGGAGACCCATCTCATGTGCAAAGATGCATATAGGCTCAAAATAAAGGGATAAAGAAATATTTACCAAGCAATGGAAAGCAAAAAAAAGCAGAGGCTACCATTCTAGTTTCTGATAAGGCAGACTTTAAGAAAACAAAGATCAAAAAAGACAAAGAAGGGCATTACATAATGGTAAAGGGATCAATGTAACAAGAAAAGCTAACTATCCTAAATATATATGCTCCCAATACAAGAACACCCAGATTCATAAAACAAGTTCTTAGAGACCCACAAAGAGACTTAGACACCCACACAATAATGTGGGAGACTTTAACACCCCACTGTCAATATTAGACAGATCAATGAGACAGAAAATTAACAAGGATGTTCAGGACTTGAACTGAGCTCTGGACCAAGCAGACCTAATAGACATCTACAGAACTCTCTATCCAAAATCAGCAAAATATACATTATTCTTAGCCCCACATAGCACTTATTCTAAAATCAACCACAAATTGAAAGTAAAACACTCCTCAGCAAATGCAAAAGAATGGGAATCATAACAAACAGTCTTTCAGACCACAGTGCAAACAAATTAGAACTCAGAGTTAAGAAACTCAATCAAAACTGCACAACTACATGGAAACAGAACAACCTGCTCCTGATTGACTACTAGGTAAATAACAAAATGAAGGAAGAAATAAAGATGTTCTTTGAAACCAATGACAACAAAGATACAATGTACCAGAATCTCTGAGGCACATTTAAAGCAGTGTGTAGAGGGAAATTTATAGTACCAAATGCCCACAAGAGGAAACAGGAAATATCTAAAATCAACACCCTAACATCACAATTAAAAGAACTAGAGAAGCAAGAGCAAACAAACTCAAAAGCTAGCAGAAGACAAGAAATAACTAAGATCAAAGCAGAACTGAAGGAGATAGAGACACAAAAAAAAAAACCCTTCAAAAAACCAATGAATCCAGGAGTTGGTTTTTTGAAAAGATTAACAAAATAGATAGACCACTAGCTAGACTAATAAAGGAGAAAAGAGAGAAGAATCAAATAGATGTAATAAAAAAATGATAAAGGGGATATCACCACTGATCCCATAGAAATACAAACTACCATCAGAGAATACAATAAACACCTCTATGCAAATAAACTAGAAAATCTAGAAGAAATGGATAAATTCCTGGACACATACAACCTCCCAAGACTAAACCAGGAAAAAGTCAAATTCCTGAATAGACCAATAACAAGTTCTGAAATTGAGGCAGTAATTAATAGCCTACCAACCAAAAAAAGTCCAGGACCAGATGGATTCACAGCCAAATTATACCAGAGGTACAAAGAGGAGCTTCTGAAACCATTCCAAACAATAGAAAAAGAAGGAATTCTCCTTAACTCATTTTTTTGAGACGAGCAACATCCTGATACCAAAATCTGGCAGAGACACAACAAAAAAAGAAAATTTCAAGCCAATATCCCTGATGAACATCAGTGCAAAAATCCTAAATAAAATACTGGCAAACTGAACCCAGCAGCACATCAAAAAGCTTATCAACCATGATCAAGTTGGCCTCATCCCTGGGATGCAAGGGCTGGTTCAACATATGCGAATCAATAGACATAATCCATCACATAAACAGAACCAGTGACAAGGACCACATGATTATCTCAATAGATGCAGAAAAAGACCTTCAATAAAATTCAACATCCCTTCATGCTAAAATCTCTCAATAAACTAGATATTGATGGAACATATCCCAAAATAATAAGAGCTACTTATAACAAACCCCATAGCCAATATCATACTGAATGGGCAAAAGCTGGAAGCACTCCCTTTGAAAACCAGCACAAGACAAGGATGCCCTCTCTCACCACTCCTATTCAACATAGTATTGGAAGTTCTGGCCAGGACAATCAGGCAAGAGAAAGAAATAAAGGTATTCAAATAGGAAGAGAGGAAGTCAAATTGCCTCTGTTTGAAGATTACATGATTGTATATTCAGAAAACCCCATTATCTCAGCCCAAAATCTCCTTAAGCAGTTAAGCAACTTCAGCAAAGTCTCAGGATACAAAGTCAATGTGCAAAAATCACAAGCATTCCTCTACATCAACAATAGACAAGCAGAGAGCCAAATCATGAGTGAACTCCCATTTAAATTGCTACAAAGAGAATAAAATACCGAGGAATGCAACTTACAAGGGACATGACAGATTCTTCAAGTAGAACTACACACCACTGCTCAAGGAAATAAGAGAGGACACAAACAAAAGGAAAAATATTTCATGCTCATGGATAGGAAGAATCAATATTATGAAAGTGGCCATACTACCCAAAGTAATATATAAACTCAATGCTATCCCCATCAAGCTACCATTGACTTTCTTCACAGAATTGGAAAAAACAACTTTAAATTTCATATGTAACCAAAAAAGAGCCCACATAGCCAAAACAATCCTAAGCAAACAGAACAAAGCTGGAGGCATCATGCTACCTGACTTCAAACTATACTACAAGGCTACAGTAATCAATACAGCATGGTACTGCTACCAAAACAGACATATAGACCAATGGGACAGAACAGAGGCTTCAGGAATAACACCACACATCTACAACCATCTGATCTTTGACAAAAACAGCAATGGGAAAGGATTCCCTATTTAATAAATGCTGCTGAAAAAACTGGCTAGCCATATGCAGAAAGCTGAAACTGAATCCCTTACTTACACCTTATACAAAAGTTAACTCAAGATGGATTAAAGACTTAAATGTAAAACCTAAAACCATAAAAACCCTAGAAGAAAACCTAGGCAATACCATTCAGGACACAGGCATGGGCAAAGACTTCATGACCAAAACACCAAAAGCAAGGGCAACGAAAGCCAAAATTGACAAATGGGATCTGATTAAACTAAAGAGTTTCTGCACAGCAAAAGACACTATCTTCAGAGTGAACAGGCAACCTACAGAATGGGAGAAAATGTTTGCAATCTATCCATTCGATAACAGGCTAATATCCAGAATCTACAAGGAACTTAAATTTAAATTTACAAGAAAAAAATACCATTAAAAAGTGGGCAAAGGATATGACAGACACTTCTCAAAAGAAGACATTTATGCAGCCAACAAACATAGGAAAAAAAGCTCATCTCTTGTCATTAGAGAAGTGCAAATCAAAACCACAATGAGATACTATCTCATGCCAGTTAGAACAGCGATATCAAAAAGTCAGGAAACAACAGACGCTGGAGAGGATGTGGAGAAATAGGAACGCTTTTACACTGTTGGTGAGAGTGTAAATTAGTTCAACCACTGTGGAAGTCAATGTGGCAATTCCTCAAGGATCTAGAACTAGAAATACCATTTGATCCAGCAATTTCATTACTAGGTATCTACCCAAAGGATTGTAAATTATTCTACTGTAAAGACACATGCACACATATGTTTATTGTGACTCTATTCACAATAGCAAAGACTTGGAACTAACCCAATGTCCACCAATGACCGACTGGATAAAGAAAATGTGGCACATATACACCATGGAATACTATGCAGCCATAAAAAAGGATGAGTTCATGTCCTTTGCAGGGACATGAATTGTGCTGGAAACCATCATTCTCAGCAAACTAACACAAGAACAGAAAACCAAACACCGCATGTTCTCACTCATAAGCAGGAGTTGAACAATCAGAACTACACAGACACAGGGAGGGGAACATCACACACTGAGGCCTGTCATGTGCGGGGAGGCTAGGGGAGGGATAGCATTAGGAGAAACACCTAATGTAGATGATGGGTTTATGGGTGCAGCAAACCACCATGGCATGTGTATACCTATGTAACAAACTTGCACGTTCTGAACATGTACCCCGGAACTTAAAGTATAATTTAAAAAAAATCAGTCACATTTATATACACTAACAATGAACTATCTAAAAAGGAAATTAGAAAATAATCCCATTTATTCCCATTTATGACACTAAAAAGAATCAAATACCTAGAAATAAACTTAACTAAGGAGGTGAAGATTTGAACACCATTCACTACAAAACACTGAAGAAAAACAAACAAGATACAAACAAATGGAAAGATACCCCATGTTCATGAATTGGAAGAATTAATATTGGTAAGGTCTCCACACTACCCTAAGAGATCTAGAGATTCAATACAATCTCTATCAAAATTCCAATTGGATTTTTTAAATAGAAAGAAATTCTAAATTTCATATAGAAGCACAAAAGACTACAAATAGTAAAGCAATACTGAAAAAGGACAACACTGGAGGTATCACACTTCCTAATTTTGAAACATATTACAAAGCTACAGAAATCATAACAGAATGTTACTGGCTTAAAAACAGACATATAAACCAATGGAACAGAATAAAGAGTCCAGAAATAAAACTCTGTATATATAATCAACTGAACTTTGACAAGGGTGTCAAGAATGTACAATGCAGAAAAGATAATCTATTTAATAAACAGTGTAGGGAAAATTGAATATCCACACTTAAAAGAATAAAATTGGACTCTTATCCCACACCACACACACAAAAATCTACTCAAAATGGATTAAAAACATAAACATAAGACTTAAAACTTGTAAAACTACTAAAACCACTAGAAAAAAAACACAGAGGGGAAGCTCCACAATTTTTGTCTAGGAAATGATTCCCTGGATATGACCCCAAAACACAGGCAACAAAAGCAAAATAGACAAATGGGATTATATCAAACTGAAAAGTTCCTGCCCAGAAAATAAAACAATTGACAGACTGAAGACACAATCTATGGAATGGGAGAAAATATTTGCAAACCGTACACCTAAGGGGTTAACATCCAAAATGTATAAGGAACTCAAACAGCTCAATAGCAAGAAAGCAAATAAACCAACTTAAAAATGGGCAAAGAACCTGAACAGACATTCCTTCAAAGAAGACATACAAACAGCCAACATGTATATGAAAAAAATTCTTAATATCACTAATTATCAAGGAAATGAAAATCAAAACCACAATGAGCTATCACGCACACCTATTAGGTCACAATTATGAAAAACCAAAGATAACAAGTGTTAGTGAGGATACAGAGAAACAGGAATCTTTGCACACTGTTGGTAGTAATTTTTTTTTTTTTTTGAGATGGAGCCTTGCTCTGTCACCCAGGCTGTAGTGCTGGAGTGCAGTAGCGTGATCTCAGCTCACTGCAAGCTCTGCCTCCTGGGTTCTCGCCATTCTCCTGCCTCAGCCTCCTGAGTAGCTGGGACTACAGGCACCTGCCACCACGCTCGGATAAATTTTTGTATTTTTAGTAGAGACGGGGTTTCACCATGTTAGCCAGGATGGTCTTGATCTCCTTTCCTCATGATCCGCCCGCCTTGGCCTCCCAAAGTGCTGGGATTACAGGCGGGTAGTAATTTTAAATGTTACAGCCATATAGAAATAGTATAGAAAGTAGGCCAGCATCATCCTGAAACCAAAGCCTGGCAGACAGACAACAAAAAAGAGAATTTTAGACCAATATCCCTGATGAACATCAATGCAAAAATCCTCAATAAAATACTGGCAAACCGAATCCAGCAGCACATCAAAAAGCTTATCCACCATGATCAAGTGAGCTTCATCCCTGGGATGCAAGGCTGGTTCAACATACACAAATCAATAAACATAATCCAGCATATAAACCGAACCAATGACAAAAACCACATGATTATCTCAATAGATGCACAGAAGGCCTTTGACAAAATTCAACACTCCTTCATGCTAAAAACTCTCAATAAATTAGGTATTGATGGGATGTATCTCAAAATAATAAGAGCTATCTATGACAAACCCACAGCCAATATCATACTGAATGGGCAAAAACTGGAAGCATTCCCTTTGAAAACTGGCACAAGACAGGGATGCCCTCTCTCACCACTCCTATTCAACATAGTGTTGGAAGTTCTGGCCAGGGCAATCAGGCAAGAGAAGGAAATAAAGGGTATTCAATTAGGAAAAGAGGAAGTCAAATTGTCCCTGTTTGCAGATGACATGATTGTATATCTATAAAACCCCATTGTCTCAGTCCAAAATCTCCTTAAGCTGATAGGCAATTTCAGCAAAGTCTCAGGATACAAAATCAATGTGCAAAAATCACAAGCATTCTTACACACCAATAACAGACAAACAGAGAGCCAAATCATGAGTGAACTCCCATTCACAATTGCCTTCAAAGAGAATAAAATACCTAGCAATCCAACTCACAAGGGACGTGAAGAACCTCTTCAAAGAGAACTACAAACCACTGCTCAATGAAATAAAAGAGGATACAAACAAATGGAAGAACATTCCATGCTCATGGATAGGAAGAATCAACATCGTGAAAATGGCCATACTGCCCAAGGTAATTTATAGATTCAATGCCATCCCCATCAAGCTACCAATGACTTTCTTCACAGAATTGGAAAAAACTACTTTCGAGTTCATATGGAACCAAAAAAGAGCGTGCATCGCCAAGTCAATCCTAAGCCAAAAGAATAAAGCTGGAGGCATCCCACTACCTGACTTCAAACTATACTACAAGGCTACAGTAACCAAAACAGCATGGTACTGGTACCAAAACAGAGATATAGACCAATGGAACAGAACAGAGCCCTCAGAAATAATGCCACATATCTACAACCATCTGATCTCTGACAAACCTGAGAAAAACAAGCAATGGGGAAAGGATTCCCTATTTAATAAATGCTGCTGGGAAAACTGGCTAGTCATATGTAGAAAGCTGAAACTGGATCCCTTCCTTACACCTTATACAAAAATCAATTCAAGATGGATTAAAGACTTAAACGTTAGACCTAAAACCATAAAAACCCTAGAAGAAAACCTAGGCATCACCATTCAGGACATAGGCATGGGCAAGGACTTCATGTCTAAAACACCAAAAGCAATGGCAACAAAAGCCAAAATTGACAAATGGGATCTAATTAAACTCAAGAGCTTCTGCACAGCAAAAGAAACTACCATCAGAGTGAACAGGCAACCCACAAAATGGGAGAAAATTTTCGCAACCTACTCATCTGACAAAGGGCTAATATCCAGAATCTACAATGAACTCAAACAAATTTACACGAAAAAAACAAACAACCCCATCAACAAGTGGGCGAAGCACATGAACACACACTTCTCAAAAGAAGACATTTATACAGCCAAAAAACACATGAAAAAATGCTCACCATCACTGGCCATCAGAGAAATGCAAATCAAAACCACAGTGAGATATCATCTCACACCAGTTAGAATGGCAATCATTAAAAAGTCAGGAAACAACAAGTGCTGCAGAGGATGTGGAGAAATAGGAACACTTTTACACTGTTGGTGGGACTGTAAACTAGTTCAACCATTGTGGAAGGCAGTGTGGCGATTCCTCAGGGATCTAGAACTAGAAATACCATTTGACTCAGCCATCGCATTACTGGGTATATATCCAAAGGACTATAAATCATGCTGCTATAAAGACACATGCACACGTATGTTTATTGCGGCACTATTCACAATAGCAAAGACTTGGAACCAACCCAAATGTCCAACAATGATAGACTGGATTAAGAAAATGTGGCACATATACACCATGGAATACTATGCAGCCATAAAAAATGATGAGTTCATGTCCTTTGTAGGAACATGGATGAAATTGGAAATCATCATTCTCAGTAAACTATCGCAAGAACAAAAAACCAAACACTGCATATTCTCACTCATAGGTGGGAACTGAACAATGAGAACACATGGACACAGGAAGGGGAACATCACACTCTGAGGACTGTTGTGGGGTGGGGGGAGGGGGGAGGGATAGCATTAGGAGATATACCTAATGCTAGATGACGAGTTAGTGGGTGCAGCGCACCAGCATGTCACATTTATACATATGTAACTAACCTGCACATTGTGCACATGTACCCTAAAACTTAAAGTATAATAATAAAAAAACAATGTAATCAAATAGATTTATAGAATTTTTAAATTTACCTTTAATTAGCTATCTTTAAAAATCTTTAACTAAATATTTGACTCCTATACCCAGGCGGTATTCAAATGGGTGCATTCCATCAGTCACCAACAGCGAGGGAGTATTGAAATCCATCCATCACTAGTCCTAGAAAAGCAAAAGACACCCCTACATTGCTAACAGTGGATTAGAAGCTTCACCTTTATAGAAAAAACAAACACGCTGAGAATTTAGCAAAATTGCAGGTATTCATATTCAAAGCATCAGGCTAACACAATGTTTCATACAACAGTGTTTGTGAGAAAAACTAAGCTGAAGGTTAGAAAACACAGAGTTATCGTGCATTTTTAAAATTAATTCTCAAAAATACTTAAAGATCAAAGTCACCAAAGTTTTGGGGTAAATGCAAAGAGTAAATCTAATTATCTGAGGAGATGAGATAGGCATTGATAACAATTTGACGGAAAGCATGCTTTTATTTATGGAATGGCCACTTGTGCAAAGTTGAGAAGCAATAAAAAGAACAGAAAATCTGCCATTTCTGCCACTCACATTAACTATGACTAATAGGTAATGACTACTAATGAGCCCTAGAAATTTATTTTAAACAGTATTATCCCTACCTTGAAACTTAATTCCAGAACTTAACCCAGGAAGAAGGCTTTTTTCATTAACTTATTCACAAAGACCTCATGCAATTTACATTGCTGAAATAGCTATCAGGAAATACTACTTCTGTTTAAATACACTTTATTGGAATTGACTTGATAATTCTTTTTTTTATGACTTAGGAGCATTTGATGTTGGCACCAGTGGTAAAACATTAATATTGCCTTTGTAACATTAGCACGATGTGTGGTAACAGAATAAAATGTGCTATAGAGGATCTGGGATAAACTTCCCTGAGAGGAAAAAAAATGCAGGCCAAGCCTCCAGAGCTTATGCAAAGACTCTTAGGCAAGAATGGTATTAACCCATTCCACCCCACAAACAGAAGCCATTTGTTAGAGGAACCTCTTGAACTTAGCATTTACAGGATATGAGCTGATGTAAGCTCTGACATCACTTGACTGTCTCTTTCATTTATGGAGAGGGAAATCAAGACCCAAAGAAGTACAGTGAACTTCCAGAATTACATAGCCAGTTACCAATTGAGTAGATTCTCCTGGATTCTCAACTACTCCTTTCTTTTTTTTGAAATAGAGTCTCACTCTGTCGCCCAGGCTAGAGTGCAATGGCATGATCTTGACTCACTGCAGCCTCTGCCTCCCGAGTTCAAGCAATTCTTATGCCTCAGCCTCCCAAATAGCTGGGATTATAGGGGTGCACCACCACATCTGGCTAATTTTTGTATTTTTTTTGTAGAGACAGGGTTTCACCATGTTGGCCAGGCTGGTCTCAAACTCCTGACCTCAGGTGATCCCCCCACCTAGGCCTCCCAAAGTGCTGGGATTACAGGTGTGAGCCACTGCACCCAGCCTGCGACTCCTTTCTCTACATCAACCTTCCATGTTATTCTCACATTTTGTCATTTCACCCCTTGAATTCAATGCCTCAATCACACTGAGGTCCTTTCAATGCTTCCCCCAAAGTCTGCCCCTCAAAGAATGATCTCAGGCTCTCTTGTCTCTGAGCCTTCACACTTGCAGTTCTTTGTTTTGGAACCCACCCATGCCATACCCCAACCCCACCAAACTCCATGTCTCATTATCTCCTAGCCATTGTCCAAATCACAGTTTAGCAAGGCCTCTAAGTTCTCAGAAATCTAGGTTATATACATTTTCTCTCAGTTCCCAGACAGAAATAAACAAAAGAAATAAAGCAAAACAAACCCAAAACAAACAGAAGAAACGAAATAAGAAAAATAAGAACAGAAATTAATGAAACAGAAGAGAAAAATGGAAGAAACAAGAGCGCTGAAAAGTTCAACAAAATTAATAAACTAAGAAAAAAAGAAGACACAAATAACTAATATTAAGAATAAAATGGCCTGGCGTGGTGGCTCATGCCTGTAATCCCAGCACTTTGGGAGGCCAAGGCGGGTGGATCACCTGCAGTCAAGAGTTCAAGACCAGCCTGGTCAACATAACAAAACCCCGCCTCTACTAAAAAAATACAAAAACTAGCTGGTCATGGTGGCGGACGCCTGTTATCCCACCTACTCGGGAGGCTGAGGCAGGAAAATCACTTGAACCCGGGAGGCGGAGGTTGCAGTGAGCAGAGATCACAGCACTGCACTGCAGCCTGGGCGACAAGAGTGAAACTCTACCTCAAAAAAAAAGAATAAAACAATATGGCTGCAGACACTGCAGACATCAAAAAGATAATAAGGGAATAACACTATTAACAACTCTACACAGATAAATTTGACAATTTAGGTAAAGTTGATCAATTCCTCAAAATTGCAAAGTATGAAAACTCATGAAATAAGAAATAGATTATTTGTATAACCTTATAATTATTAAGGTAATTTAATTTATAACTTAAGACATCTCAAAAAGGAGATTCTACCAAACATTTAAAGAATTAACATAGGTTGGGAATGGTGGCACATGCCTGTAATCCCAGCACTTTGGAAGGCCAAGGTGGGTGGATCACTTGAGCCCAGAAGCTCCAGACCAGTCTGGGCAACATAATGAGACCCCACCTCTACAAAAAATACAACAATTAGCTGGGCTTAGTGACACACATGTGTAGTTCCAGCTACTCAGGAGGCTGAGGTGGGAGGATCAGTTGAAGCTGGGAAGTTGAGACTGCAATGAGCTATGATCACACCACTGCACTTCAGCCTAGGTGACAAAGCAAGAACCTATCTTTAAAAAGAAAAAATGAAAATGAATAACAGTTCTACACAATCTCCTCCATAAAATAGAAGAGGTGAAAATACTTCCAAGTTCATTTTATAAAATTAATATTACTGTGACACCAAAACCAAAGATGGTGCCAAAAAAAGAAGAAAACTAACATTAATAACTCTCATGAATATAGACACAAAAATCTTTAACAGAATGTTAGCAAAGTGAATCCAGTGACTGATATATAAAAAAGAATTATACATCAAGTGTGATTTTTTTCCAGGTATGCAAGGCTGGTTCAACATTTGAAAATTAATCAATGTAATCTACCATATCAACATGCTAAAAATGAAAAATCATATGATTGTATCATTTGACACAGAACAAGCATTTACTTATTCTCTCTTGTCTTCTAGCTAAACCCTGCCCACTGGTGTTGCCTTTTATTGGAAATGTATTTTATCTCCATTCTTCATCAAGATCCTTGGGCCTTGGGTCAAGACCCAGGTCCACACACGGAGATTTTCTAGGGTCCAAATCCAAGTTGGTAGGCCCTGTATGCAAATTAGTTTCACTTCCTCTGAGTAACCAGCTCTGCAAACCAAAGAGTGAGGAGCTCTTGATAAACTACTAGAGAAAATCTGACACCATCCTTATCTGTCAACAAGGGGCCTACATTCAGAAACCTGAAAGAATTACTCAAGTTTAGAGACAAATATGACCATTTTTGTATTTTGAAAACAACAGAAAAGAAATACTTTTGTACACTCTGTTAGAAATTTTAAGTTTGGACATTTAAAAGTCCAAATTTAAAACTCAAAAAAATGGATAATAAGAGGGGACCTGTTTGATTAAGGGAGAAAAAAATAGTTTGCATTTTCACCTTTTGTGCTCTTTCACTGAGATGAGCCTATTTCAGATTACACTTAGGAACTTCCATCAAGCAGCGGGAGAGCCTACTTTTCCTGTTTAATAATTACCAGACTACAGAGAAAGCTCAGGACCCAGCCTTCTGATCTACCAGTCGCCTGTGTACCTTTGTACTTTCTACAGTGAAAGTTGCTACAGGATCTCCCTTTCTCAATAAATTCATCTGCGGTGGAGAAAATCAGCATGAGTACTACAGGCCAAGTAGGTGCAGTCTTATTCTTTATGTTGTGTCATATCTTTGTCAGTTTGTGTGCTCATCTCTTTACCAACATCTCATCACCCAGCTAGTCTCTGGGCTCCTAAAGGTGAGAGGCTGTCATAATCATAGTATCTCTCCTCCTCCTCTCCTTTTTCCTTAATTCCCTTTTGACTTCCCTCAGTTCTTTCATCTCTTCAATAAGTAATGTCCAAGCCCTTTATCAGAATTTCCAGAGTCAAAGATATATCCCCTTCTCCAAGGATCTCACAGAGAGACAATAATTATAAAAGAGCAATTATAAAGCAATATACAAGGATAGTAAAGTAGAAAGAGAATGGGAGCCTCAAGGAAAAGCTCATAACCCAGCTTGGCTTCCCAGAGGTGATACCGAAGGGGAAATCACTGGAGAAATATGAATTCACCAGGTAAAGGAGAAGTGTGTGCAGGCAGATAAAACAACATAAGGAGTAATACAGAGACTGAGAAAATATCCCATGCAAGAAGCTTCAGAATATGTTTGGGGGCTGAAAGGTAAAGCCTGAAACACAAAGTGACAGGAAATAAGGTTGGAGAGACTGACAGAGAGAAAATCCTGATGTCAGCGGATCCAGGTAAGCAAATGGTAACAACATCATTTTTAGATAGGAGATTGGTGTGATTAGGATTATATTTCAAATGGCAATGGTATAAAGGTGATTTCGAAGGTGGTAAAAGCAAGAAAGAGATAAAGCAGAAAGCTTTTTTAGTACTAGCAGCAGTGGAGAAAAGACACATATCCTAGAAAAATTTAGACTGTGAAGATTGAGGGACAGAAAAATTGAGGCTACTTCCCAGGTTTCTACTTGGGTGAGTGAACACATCGCATGGCTGCTAGTTGAATAGAGGTAGCAGAGGGAGGAATATATTGAGTGTTTTGTCCACTAGAGCGTGGTGGAAGGTGGAGATGGGAAGAAGAAATAATGATATGTTCATGTTTTAACATGTTGAGTTTGAGATACCTCCAGTACCTTCAAACAGCAAATGAATACATTAGCCTATAACTTAGGGAGAAATATGTCCCATAAATATAGTTTACTCACATAAAGGTAGTGGTTGAATCTGCAAAAATAGATAAGACCACACAGAAAGAGAATTTATAGTGACAACAGTGGTGGCCTGAAATCAGAACCTTTAAGAACTACCTTGCCACCAACAACTTCTCCAACCTCAATCTGCCAAGAGACACCATTTGATGATTGCCTCCATTCGTTGCTCCATAACTCACCCTTCCACCCCAAAACTGATTTTTCCCATGCTTAGGATCACAAATAACTCCCACACTGTAATGCCATTCCTACCCTGAAACAGCCACCAGGCCACTTTATTCATAGTAATATAAAAAGTATGACACCTGCAATCCCACTACTGGGTACCTACCCACAGGAAAATAGTATATTAAAGGTATACCTGAACTTGCCTGTTTATTGCAGCACTATTAACAATAGCAAAGATATAGAATCAACGTTAAGTATCCATCAACAGATGAATGGATAAACAAAATGCGGTACATATACACAATGGAGTACTATTCAGCCGTAAAAAAGAATGAGATCCTGTCATCTGCAGCAACAGGGATAGAACTGAAGATCATTATCTTAAGTGAAATAAGCCAGGCACAAAAAGACAAATATCACATGTTCTTACGCATACGTGGGAGCTAAAAATTTGAACACATGGAGGTAGAGAGTGGGAAAATAGATAACAGAGACTGGGAAGGGTGAGTGGAGAGGATGATGAGAAGTGGGTGAAAAGGTACAAACATGGCCGGGCGTGGTGGCTCACGCCTGTAATCCCAGCACTTTGGGAGGCCAAGGTGGGCGGATCACGAGGTCAGGAGATCAAGAACATCCTGGCTAACACAGTGAAACCCCGTCTCTACTAAAAATACAAAAAAATTAGCCAGGCGTGGTGGTGGGCGCCTGTAGTCCCAGCTACTCAGGAGGCTGAGGCAGGAGAATGGCATGAACCCGGAAGGCGGAGCTTGCAGTGAGCCGAGATCGTGCTACTGCACTCCAGCCTGGGCAACAGAGTGAGACTCCATCTCAAAAACAAAAACAAAATAAAGTACAAACATACAATAAGATAGAAGGAATAAATTCAATGTTTGATACCAGAGTAGGGTCACTATGCTCAACAAAAATGTATTATACTCAGATAATGGACACCCTGAATACCCTTACTTGGTCACTACACATTATATACATTTAACAAAATTTTTCATGTACCCCATAAATAGGCACAATTTTTTTTTTTTGAGATGGAGTCTCGCTCTGTTGACAGACTGGAGTACAGTGGCATGATCTCAGCTCATTGCAACTTCCGTCTCCCAGGTTCAAGCGATTCTCCTGCCTCAGCCTCCTGAGTAGCTGGGATTACAGGTGCAGGCCACCACACCTGGCTAATTTTTGTATTTTTAGTAGAGATAGGGTTTCACCATGTTGGTCAGGCTGGTCTCAAACTCCCGACCTTGTGATCCGCCCGCCTCGACCTCCCAAAGTGCTGGAATTACAGGCGTGAGCCACCGTGCCTGGCCAATAGGCACAATTTTTTTAATTAAAATCTTTAAAAGTATGACATCTATCCTCTTGGTCATGTTACATTTTGTAAATATAGTTGGTATTTTCAAAACTAATTTGAATACAGAGGCTGATAGTACAAGAAAACTTAAATTGGGGTCAGAAAGACTACCTTCAGCATATATTTATTCTTTTTTTTTTCTGCAGTGCGGAAAGTTGGACTAATCCAATTTAATGATTCTATAATCACTAATATAGCAATCTTCCAACTCCCAAGCTTAAGGAGCTTCTCTTTCTGCCCCTGTATTCTATTTCCCAGGTCATCAGATGCAAAGCAGCCATACTCTGGAAGCCTGGTGCACCATTTTCTATTGAAGAGGTAGAAGTGGCCCCACCAAAGGCAAAGGAAGTTCGCATAAAGGTAAAAAAAAAAAAAAAAAAAAAAATCACACCAAAAGCCAAAAGCCAGAGCTTCTTACTGTAAGTTACATATTCTTATCCGGATATTCAACTCAGAAAAAAAAATAATAAAACTACATATCTTTGTATTTCTTTTTCATTAAACATTTCCATCAATTTTTAAATCCAGCCAGATAAAAGGTTAGGGAGGTAAAGCATAGGCTAACTGCCCAAAGGATAAAACTCAGGCTTATTTACAGCTATTGTACTAATTATTAATTTAAAAAAATTCTACCTTCAAACCCTATTTTAATCTGTACTTGTAAATTTTTATGGCATCCTTCATAATACTTGTCTTGAAATATTTTGAATAAAAATTGATTACAGACAAATCATCTCTGAATCTGGAAACTCAAGTTAGAGCTGGAAGGGCCTTAGGGATACCTGATATTTTACAGATGCGAAGACTGAAGCCAGCTGCGGTTTAGTGACTGGTCACACAGCTAGTAGAGTAAAAATAAAGACTAATTTTTCTCGGCTGAGCATGATAGCTCATCCCTGTAATCCCAGCACTCTGGGAGGCAGAGGCAGGAAGATTGCTTGAGTGCAGGAGATGAGAACAGTTTTTCTCAACCTTGGTTACCTATTTGGAATCAGCTGGAAGCTTTGAAAAATGCTGATAACCAAGTCCCATCTCCAGAAATTCTGCAATTGTGATTTAATTAGTCTGGGGTGCAGCCTGGACATGGAAAGTTTTTAAATTGCCTTCAGATGGTTCTATAGGCCTCCTCCAAACTAGAAAATAGTTTACCTGACTTGCAGTTCAGAGTCCTTTGTTATTATTTTAATTATAACAATAAAGAATAAGTACAGTTTAATGATAGATTACAAAGAGACAGTCATTTTCTAAGTCATCTCATCTGCACAGTTCATGCCTTCTTCTCAGAGAGCCTTCTCCATCCTACATCCCCTATGGAGTAAGCAGTGGGCTATTGGGTTGTTCGCATCCACTCCCCACCCACAGGGTCACAACTCATGCAACCAGGTTTGGACCCTCACTCAAAGACATTCAACCATTATCAGACAAGCTACACATCTGAATGTCTCACCAGTGAATTTGAACCAAGATATGGGCACTATAGCAGAGTAAGTGATGGTAGGCAATGGTGAGGTTGGGCAGACTCATCACTGGTTAACTGTTTTTAACCACGATCAGCAAAATAAATGGAGAAAGCCAATCTGCAGAGAATAATAGGTGAATGCAACTATGCCCATATTGAATCAAAGTAAAGAGATAAAGAGAATGACTATTTGGTAAATGTCTAGGTCTATGAGGTCTGACAGCACTTTCTACAGTTGGGTTGCAGGCAATTCAGGCAATTTTATGGTATTGTTCCAATAATCCTCCTTTTACATGCACAAATTTCAATATATTTCATTTCTTGACTAAGGAGTATGTGCATGTGAATGTGTGGCTATGTGTATGCAAACTTCATATTTGTTTTAGAAATGAAGAAACTGAGACCCAGAAAGAAAAATTTACCCCCAAGTTCACACAGCTGAGAAGGGGGAGAGCCAGTATTTCATCCCTGAACACTTAACCACTGTTCTGGAGTGTCTTCATTTTAAACTGTCTGGCTAACTTACAATAAAGTGGGATTATGACTTGTACAAATAACAAAACTATAAAGCTCACTTGTAAAATAAATTAAGGTTTTAATTAAATTATAATAGGAAACATTATTCCTTTGCCTCCTGTGTTCCAATTTCTTTATTTCATTTCATTTTAGAGACAGGGTCTCACTCTGTCACCCAGACTGGAGTGCAGTGGTACAAAATCATAGCTCACTGCAGCCTCGAACTACTGGGCTCAAGTGATCCTCCCACTTCAGCCTCCCAAGCAGCTTGGACTACAGGTGCATGCAACCATGCCTGGCTAATTTGTTTATTTATTGTAGAGATGGAGGTCTCACTATTTTGCCCAGGCTGATCTCAAACTCCTGCCCTTGAGTGACTCTCCTGCCTCAGCCTCCTGAGATGCTGGGATTTTAAGCATAAGCCACTGCACTCAGCTCAATTCCTTTATTTTTATAGTCGTTCTTTCTCCTCCACACTTCCATCTACAAGATCAATGAAGCCAATTGAGACCTCAGACATCAAGTCACACTGCAATTTTACAGCTTCTCTTCTGACCCCATTCTACCCACACTCCCCAGTAAATTTTCAATCATCTTGATTCTGAAATCAGCTAATGAAAAACATTTCATTGCTTTAACAAATTATTATTGACCCTTCCCTAGAATTAAAACTGATAAGAAATGAATGCAGTGTATAAATGGAGAATATCAAACTAGCAAAAAGCCTTACAGTCAACAACTCTAAAACACCATTATCTGAAACAGCGGGAACTGCAGTACCCTTTGCCTTCCATACAGGTTGTGGCCACCGGACTGTGTGGTACAGAGATGAAAGTGTTGGGGAGTAAACACTTGGACCTCTTGTATCCCACCATCTTGGGCCATGAAGGGGCTGGAATCGTTGAGAGTATTGGAGAAGGAGTAAGCACAGTGAAACCAGGTAGGAATTAGCACCTGGTAATAGGAAACAGCAACAACTTGGAACCAACTCGAGAAAATGATAAGCACCCCTTAAGTATGTCAGGATCAAGTGAAATGAAAGGTGAAATGTTTCCAACTTCTTAGAAAAGTAGGGATAAATTACTTGTAAGTTACATAAAATACTAAATATATTGTATTCTTTGCATTTACATTTTGAAAATAAGAAAAAACAAGAAGTAGAATGCACTGAAACTGGACTTGAAAGTACAAATGAGACAAAAATTTATGAAAAAAAGGTTGACTGAGGTAAACTATTGAACAATTATTTAAATGAGGCATATGATAAATAATCAAACACATTAGTGGAACCAAATAAAGAAGCAGTCCAGAATTGAATCCAAATAAACATAAGAAGTTAATGCAGCATGAGGTTTGTCTTTCAAACTTAAGAATAGAAACAGATTATTCCACAAATTGTGTTGAAACAACTAGATAGTTATCCGGGCTAAAAAAGTAAATTGGGTTGCCATCTCATTCTTTATATAAAAAAATTATACATGCATCTAAAAATTAAATGTGAAAAGCAAAACCATAGAAGTACTATAAAATAACATGGGAGAACACTGTATTATCTTGGAGGAGGGAAGGAAATTTTAATCAATACAAAAAAATACCCAGCAGATATAAAATAGATATTTATATAGATAAATTTGACAATGTAAAAATTACATAGATTCTGCATGTTTAAAAAAAACCCCAAAAGTCAAAACCCAGTATGACAATGGACCAATTTTCTTAATATAGAAATAATTTCTTTAAAAGCAATTTTTAAATAAAAAAAGGCAAACAAAATACATGTCTAATTTAAAGAAATATATATATACACATATATGTGTGTGTATATATATATATGAATGCTTTAAACACATTAAAATATGCCCAACCTCAGACATATTAAAAATAAAAAACATTTTAAAAGGCTGGGGGTGGGAAAAATGGAGAGATGTGGTCAAATGGTATAAAATTTCTGCTAGATAGGAAAAATAAGTTTTTTGAGATCTATTGAACAGCATGGTGATCACAGTTGATAATAATGAATTATACTATATTTCAAAATTGCTAAGAGTATACATTTCAAATGTTCTTACCACAAAATATAAGTCTTCAAGTGTTTAACATGTTAATTACTTTGATTTAATCATCCCATATTATATACACATAATATCACATTGTACCCCATAAATATATAATTTGTCAATTTACGATAAAATTTTAAAATGCAATGAAAAAACACTTTTTCCCTAGCAGATCGGCAAAGATTAAGAAGTTTGATAATATATAGAGTTCACAAGAATATAGGCAGACAGCTCCCTCATATCTTATTGTTTGGAACGTAGATTTGCTCGACTCTAAATGCAGCAATATGTAATATCATTTAAATTTATATATTCTTGGACACAACAGTTTCAATTCTAGAAACTTATTCCATAGATATATGTTCATGTACTCATTTTCTATTGCTGCTGGAAAAAATCACCACAAATATAACAGTTTAAAACAACACAAGTTTATTATCTCAGTTTCTATAGGTCAGAAATCTGAGTGGGCTTGGCTGAGTTTTCTGCTCACGTTTCAAGGTCAAAATCAAGCGAGTAGCCAGCTGGGTCCTTATCTGGAGCCTCTGGAGAAAAATCCACTTCCAAGTTCATTCAAGTAGTTTTCAGAATCCAATTCCTTGAGGCTATAGGACTGAGATCCTTATTTCCTCACCAGTGGTCGGCTCCCTGAAATTGCTCACATTTCTTCTTCTGTGGCACCTTCCAGCCTCGAAGCAGCCATGGCCCACTAAATCCTTCCACAGGTGTTAAGTCACTTTTACTTCCTCTTCTGCCTTCATCTGCTCTTCTTCTTTTGATGGCTCATGTGATTACCTTGGGTCCACCTGGATAATTCAGTATAATCTCCCTATCTTAATGACAACTGATTAGTGAACTTAGTTACATCTACAGAGTACCCCTTGCCATGTAGCATAACATACTCACAGGCATGACACCACAACATAGTCACAGTTTCTAGGGATTTGTGCAGGATATCTTTCGGAGGGCATTTTAGAACTCTGTCTACAATAAGATACTCATTGCATTACTGGTTTTAGTGTTGGGGTGTAGAGAAACAAAGAACAACCTAAATATCTATCAGTGTTCATGGCACTGGTTAATGATGGAGCACTATATGTACTAAAATAGAAAGCTCCATGATACAGTGTTAAGTAAAAAAGCTAGGCCCAAACCAGGGTAGATAGCATGCTTACCTTTGCATTTTTAAAGGGGTTACAGTGCTGAAAAATATCGTGGTTACTGGTCAGAGTACCTGTCTCTAAGATGGGGAACTGGGGAATAGAGTAATAATTTTCACTTTTGTGCAGTTTAAATTTTTACCATATGTATGTGTTACTTTTTAAAAAAATAAAAATAAATAAAATAGAAGAAACTAAATCTTCATAAGGTTTTTAACTAAAAGTATAAAACAAATTTCTCTGGTTTACAGTGTTAGACCATGGGGGCAGCCAGTAAAATACATCACAGGCAAGCTCTTCTAATCATGTCCTGATACTTTGACCACTACTAGAGAAATCTGCCTACCTTTGATCTCTAAGGTCAAGAAGAAAGGGTTGATGTCAAACACAGAGAACAGCATAGAAGCAATTTTTTTTCTCCCTAATCCAGAGCTTACTCTGTTAGTATGTGGTATCCATACTATTTTAAATTCAATCCCTGAGAGAGGAAATTAGTGTTGAAAATGTTGAGAAGAGATAAGACTTGACTGAATGGATATATGACAAAAAACTATTTCATACTTGAAAAGGAGCTTACAAAAGAGGCAAATCTGGGGCCAGTTCCTCAAGATTCAGCCACTGAGCCCAGGGCTGGGCCCAGATGCTAAAGACATTCTCTCTTTTTGTAAGTATTTGATATTCTTTGTGGTATCAAGCACAACTGAATGTGGAAATAATTTTCAGCTGTCATTTCTTCTTGGGTGCCTTGCTGTCAAAATCCTGAAAGACAGCTATGTCTTTACTTTAAAAAATAATATGTTAATAAGACATGATTTTGCTCTTTTAGGTGACAAAGTTATCACACTCTTTCTGCCACAGTGTGGAGAATGTACCTCTTGCCTGAATTCTGAGGGCAATTTTTGTATACAATTCAAGTAAGTTTTTACTAATATTTTCTTTTTGAAAACTTAATTCACTTTCATTGGAGAAGATCTAAGCTTTCTAATTCAAAATAAACTTTGTGTTTTGTTTTTTGTTTTGTCTATAAAAGACAGTCAAAAACCCAACTGATGTCTGATGGTACCAGCAGGTTTACCTGCAAGGGAAAATCAATATATCACTTTGGTAATACCAGCACCTTCTGTGAATACACAGTGATAAAGGAAATCTCAGTTGCCAAGATTGATGCAGTCGCTCCTCTAGAGAAAGTATGCCTAATTAGCTGTGGCTTTTCCACTGGGTTTGGTGCTGCAATCAATACTGCCAAGGTGAGGGGCATTTATACCCATTTGGAAGGGAATTATTGGGATATGGAGTTGAAAGGCCTCTTGCATCTTTGTCATCTCTTATCATACCAAAGGAAAAATCCCAAGCCTGACTCCAAACATCCTTGAGTTCTCTGCTATCTACCTAGTCATCCCACACCCCCTTCAACATTTTTCCCATTCCCTCTTGGTGAGTAGTAAAAGACAGATTAAGTCTGGATGCCATTCACAAGTGGAAAGATCAGGAATTACTGGAAATTAAATCTAACATAGTTACAACATGACTCTGTGGCCTTTCATATTCCAGTTTATCCTTTCTTTCCTTAGACAAATATTTTCGGAGCCATTCACTGTCCCAGGTGCTAGAATTCAGCAGCTAACAAAACTCATGAAGCTAATATTATATTGCATGATATATTAGGTAGTGATAAATGCTAATAAAAAGAAAAGGAGAGTAAAGGAACCAAGTGATGAAGTAGGTGTTACTACATTAGACAGATTGACCAGGGGATCCCACTCTGGCTGAATGGGCTGCTATTGAACTCTTATTTCTAAAACATCACTCAAACCTTCCCGGCTCCCTTCCTAAAGGTGCTGTTGAATTTTAGAACTTTGCATTTTCCAGTGTCCATCAGTCCCAATACTATACAGAGAGATAGAATGGAAAAAAATTATTTAAATTAGTCCTATGTAGGACAGTACTCAATAAAAAAAAAGCCTTTGCCTTCACAAGGTATTGACCCGATAAGTTATGAAAAATTTACAGATACCGAGAGAGAGAGAGAGAGACAGAGAGAAATGGTTGTAGGAAGATAGAGATAATTTTAAAGAACTCAAAAATATCTGGAATTAAATACACTGTCAAGTAAGTCTTAATATTCAATGCAAATTCATTTAAACTACTACTCAGACTAATTCCTGGGACTTGAAACTCTACTTTCAGGCAGTTTTTTGTTCCTGTGCCAAGAGTATTCCATATCTAGAAATATTTTTGAAAAATCAAAACTTTGTAGTTATAATATGTTATGTATGTAAACATCATTTGCTTATGACTCGTTAAAAAATACATGCATATAGACTTAGCCTTCCCAACTGAGTAAAGGTGTATGTTCTCTTTGCTTTTTGTTTTCTGAGTTTTCTGCCTGTATGTGTTTAGGTGACTCCAGGTTCTACCTGTGCTGTGTTTGGCCTGGGAGGAGTCGGCTTGTCTGTTGTCATGGGTTGTAAAGCAGCAGGAGCAGCCAGGATCATTGGAGTGGATGTCAACAAGGAGAAATTTAAGAAGGCACAGGAATTGGGTGCTACTGAGTGCCTCAACCCTCAGGACTTAAAGAAACCCATTCAAGAAGTTTTATTTGATATGACAGATGCTGGTATAGACTTCTGCTTTGAGGCCATTGGAAATCTGGACGTTCTGGTATGTAATCCTCTGGAGTGAAAATTACCAATACTTTTACCAGTCATCGTTTAGATTATAGTTGAATGAGCTTTCTAAAATTCCCTCCACTTTGCTCTATTTAATTTTCCTTGTGTTCCATGACATCTCAGCTGGTGCCGTCTGTGTACTCTTACAAATTTGTTCACTATCCCAGATACTAAATCTAGAACTTTCATATAATTTCAAAGCCAGAAGTTTTAAGCAAGATAAGATTAAAATTTGATTAATGACCTTATAAATCAATGTGCTTTTCACTTTCAGTCGTCTTTCATGTCAGATCTGAGATAAGTTTCCAAGAAAAATATTTACTAGTCACGATTAAACGGGTTCATTTCAAAAATGAAGGGGAAAAAAAGTGGTGGTTTTTCTGGCTAAACGTGGTTTATATAAAAGAATAGAAAGTGAGGGGAAGTTACTTAAAAATCTAAGGCTTGTTTTCTTTGGGGATTTGAAGAAATAATGTATTATTAGGTTGCATGGCTCTATCGTCTAGTCAGCTGTATGGAAACTCAACAACTGCCTCTTCCAACTTGGGCCCTTTTCCCAGCATAAAAAATCTTTTCATGATTCACCATACATAAATTCCTTTATCTGTAAGAAGAAACAGCAAAACCTTTCTCACACTCTTACTCTGAGAAATAGCCTTTGAACATAACGAATGTAACGGTATCTGTTTCTCACTTTGCTATCATCTTATTATATAAATATCTGTCTTCTTAGATGTCTAAAAGAAAAATGTCAATTCTTACCAGCCACCTGCATCAGTAATAATTTTTATAAAAATTATTTTTATTATTATCACTACTGTGGATGTTTTTACTATTTTCATTTTTGTTATTTCCATTTATTGAGTCCTAAAGTGCCAGGTACTATACTAAGCAACATACAACGTCTTATATGTGTTTCATAGCATCCTTACAAGATAAATGTTACTTCAAATGAGAATAGGGAGAATCAGAAAAGAAAGTCATAGACCATTTAGGAGTTAAGCTGAAATTAAGATGTAGGCTCAATCCTCACATACATCTTTTAACCCCTATACTGTATTGCATCACTTTCTAACAGGCAGCTGCCCTCGCCTCCTGCAATGAGAGCTATGGGGTCTGTGTGGTTGTTGGGGTGTTGCCTGCCAGTGTTCAACTCAAAATCAGTGGCCAGTTGTTCTTCTCAGGACGTTCTTTGAAGGGTTCTGTTTTTGGAGGTATGGATGAAGCAGGGAAAGGTGGAAATGCCTGAGGAGGTGAAGGTGGGAAATAGAAAAATGTACCATAAACGCTTAAGAAAGGACATAAAACAACAGCTTTATATTACAGATTTTTTTTTTCAACATATGAATACCCAATATAAAGGGATGGATAGTGGGTGTATCTAGTGCCTCTTGGAAAGCTTTTTCTCATGCAAAGATAGAGAAGAGGTTTCTTAATTGATTGGTAAAGAATCCAGTGTCCAACATTTAAAGCAAACTCTAAATTGAAAAGAAGGCAATATTGTAATCTATAACTACACTTCAGCGAAATTATACACCTGCCAGCTGGGATTCTTTGGAGAATATACTTAGCCATTAGTTGTCATTGTTCAACTCATGTAAAATCTTATCCCAAACAAATGAGTTGTCACGCTACCAACTCAAATATATTAAACACAATGGATTCTTGATTTAAAAGAAATACTATTGATTAAAAAAAATAAGAATTATTTTACCCAGAGGAAAAATATCTTATAGAATCCTTTGATTTTCTGTTTTTTACCTGTCCTGGAACATTTTTATAGACTTTAGAAGACTATTTTATTGAAAAAGTAGAAGACAAACTAAATTAAATAAATCTGCTTAAGATTCTGGGCTCATAAGCAAGAAATCTGAAATTTACGAAGAAATGTATTTATCCAGAAACTCTGGGCAATCTGAATGCCTGGGCAAAAAGAGATGAGAATTAGAGGAGTGCCTGAATTACTTGCACAAGTGAGCTGTCTGTAGTCCCCAAGTAAGCTATGGCAGCATGTTATTACAGATATTAGAAGCCTTACCTAATTCATTTATAAAGAGTAGATACATGGCAGGACCAGCAAAAAAAAAAAAGTAATAATCCAGTTATATATATAATCTATTAAATAGAAGAACTGTAATTTCAGTTCTTCTATTTAAGATCATTGAATACATCCATTGCCATTTCTCTCTATTGTATTTATAGATGATAATGTTAATTCAAAATACACATACTCAGCTAAGTCTTATAAAAATAAGATTACCAATATTCTTAAAACCCTCAGTGAATGAAACTAATTCACTGGCCACTCTAGCACTCATATAGTGATCATTAATGTAAATTAGTTTATTCCACAAATAGTATAGTCCTCTGGTTCAATGATTTTCAATCAACAATAGCATTTAACAGGTGTTGGACAGTCCTGCTAAACCTCCCACAATGTGCAAAAGAAAGAATGTTCCCCACCCAAAATGCCAGTAGTGCCCTTGTTGAGAAACACTGCCTAGTCCCGTCTGTGGTCCTAGAATTTTCTTTCCTATGTCATTTGGTTGAAATAAGAAAAAAAGTGGAGGGTTGACATAGATGTAAAAATGTTTTATCAGATCACCAATCAAAATATAAAAACAAATAGAAATATACACTGGCCCTTCATGTCATGACATAGAACAGTAATTAGTATTCTTGGTTACACATAACAGAAACAAACTTAAATTAAAAATAAATCTATTAGAAGAGTTTGTGGTAGTTTGGAGAAGAAGTTGGGGAGCCTAACCTAAGCTAGAACCAAGAAAAGCAAGTAATTGTCAAGATCCTATCACAGAATAATCCGCATAGAACACTAAGCAGATTACGCCACATTATACTTTGCACAATTACACCACACCCACCCTTTCTAGCAATGAGCAGACTGCCAAAGTCTGTGTGGTAACTCACTGAGCGTGGCACTTAGCACAGTGCTAAATTTAATGTGTTTCTTGAAAATCACGGGAATAGAGAAAATACAATGCTAAACTACATCTTACCTTAGCTAACTCCATCTTTGCTTGTTCAATTCTTACTTCCAGAAAGCACATTTTATTCTTATATTGCTTTGTACACATTCTTTTCCCAAGAGCTTTCACTGGGACTGCTGCCACAGTGAGAGTTCTTCTTTTCCTTTAAGCTATTTGACTCTTTTATGAAGTGGCAGATCAAAACATACACATGAGGGAATGCACACACAAAAAAATGTGCTATATTTAACATTTGAATTGCTTCTTTCCATGATTCCCAAGACCTTGGCCTTTGTTATACATTAGATATAGATTCACTGCTCCCCAGAGATTGCAACATGACACCAGGAACACTCAAGGCAAGGTCCACATTCTATCTGCTTTGAATTAATTCTCCTCTGTAGTACCAGAAGTCTCCTTTAGGAACACAGCCCTCTATATAATGTGTGTGGTTGGGGTAGGCATTCTCCTGATGATTGAGGCAAGTAAACGGGACAGGCTTAGATTTTCTCAGTCAAAGCCAACAACTTCAGCAGTTACTTTGAATGACCTTTCCTTTATAATGAAGCCTCATGTGTAAAATTCATCATTAATCTGTATTTCCAGGCTGGAAGAGCAGACAGCACATCCCTAAACTGGTTGCTGATTATATGGCAGAGAAGTTGAATCTAGATCCACTAATTACTCATACTCTGAATCTTGATAAAATCAATGAAGCAGTTGAATTAATGAAAACTGGAAAATGGTAAACTGCCCACATAAATTTTATGTCTGTGTGTTTGAGACCAAGAGAAAGGGTGTATTGGCTTGGGAGTAGAAGAAGGGTCGTCCCTGCTGCAGAAGCTGTATACTGATAATTGAAGAGGCTTTCAGGAATTTGTAAAGCATCTCCTTCCCCTCTGCATTTTGTTTTATTTCTAGCTAATAAAATACATAATCCTGAAAGTATTTAAGTGTTCACCTACCGTTACTTTTGCCATTAGCATTGTATTTCCAATATGGATTTTTTTTTTACATGACATATTAATGGAAGTCAGCTTATAAAATTGTAGCTCAAGTTTAAAAACATAAGAAGGTAGTTCACAAATAGGCCATTGTTGTATTTGTTGTTCTACTTTGGGGGAGAAGAGGAATTATTCATAGGATTCCTAATTCTGAATCCTATCTTTGACCCAAAAAACAGAAACCAGCCATAACCCAGAAACTGGCATTCCCCACACGAGTATAAGCTTGCTTACCTACTTTTTACCCTTGGAGTTTCATGTCATTTTAAAAAATCTTCCCATGGCTTATTTAATCTTCTCATTTTTCACCTAAAGAGAAAAAAAATCTAGTTTACTGCTCTACAAAGTGAGAATTTGAAATCCAAAACACAAATGTTGCTCTAAAAATGTTCCAACCTTTTTTCTCTTCTTCTTTTTTTCAGTATCCGCTGTATCCTGTTACTTTAAGTACAATGTAATACATGCAAGACCCAAAGGATATTTCACCAACTCAATGGCATTTGATGTAATTTTCATGATTTAGAAGAATTATTCACCCAATCCCATTTCTATATTCTGACTTCTGATTCACTCCGCAGTGGACCTATATCTGGCTTCTGACCTAACCATTTCATCAAAATTGTTCTTACGTAACCCAGTGTCACCAAGGATCAGCCTCCTTTTCAGAGCTAGATTAAGGTTGGCTTGAATCACTCAACTCCACATCCTTCAGACATAAAAGGTCAATGCAAGATGCTCCCATTTTCATAGTTCCTCTACCTGTGGACCTTTATATTCTTGTACACTATATGTCTCTCTCACAGGCCTAGACATGAAACTCTGCCATTTTACTCTAAAGAAACAAAACTCCGCATTAATGAGTTTATTGAAGATTCAGGTTAACCTGAATCAAGTTAACCCAGTCTCAAATGCTCACTTATCCTATCTCCTTGGCACAAATCTCTCCTCTCCTGGATTGCCAAAGAAAATTCAAATTATTCTTCAATTAGTCAGGATGATTTGACTATCAGCAGTTCATAGTACCCATCTTCATAACTAAGCCACCTAGGGATCCAGCAGAAAAAAAAGGGATGAGGGGAGTCATCATACAGGAGGTGGATCATTTAGCAGGATCCACACTTCCTACAAAGCGGTTGTAATATTAAATAACAAAACTGTTTTTTATTCCAATCTTCACATAAAACAGGAATAATTGTATACTTTCTTACTAATGTGTTCCATGGAGTTTTTCCTCCAAGAAGTGGCTTAGGGGAAAATGAGCCCCAGTAATGCTTTGTGGCATCCAATCCTTCTACCCCGACCCTTTGACTTTCTGCCCCAGCCCCTCTTAGTTCTCCTAGAATTAGGACTAAGGTTAAGTGCCCTCTTGGGATATGACTTCCTTCCCTTCCTCTTGATACAAAAAGAGCCTATTACCAACCCTCATACACACAAGAGTTCCCTTCCTAGTTGCAGACTCTTCTGCTCCAGCTGGACTCCCCTAGCTCTGGACTCCCACTAGATCACACAGGGGTCCCTGCATGTCAGTAAACTTTGGATGACCTTGGGAGACCAAAAAATGGAATATCATTTTTTGATCTAAACAAAATAGTTTCCTGATTTAACACTGGCCAGGAAGGTGGGCTGCACCCTCAGTCTCTCTCTCCCATCATGGTTTTCACATGATATCAAAGGACTCTCATAACAGTCTGATTCTTATGAGTTGGGCATCCTGTGTTTCCCTTTAGGGGCCTGCTTCCTTCAAATAGAGGAGATGGGTGCTATGAAACCTATTCACTCTGGACTTGGGATGGCTCTTCTCCATCTTCCCAAGTCTGAGCTGGAGCCTCCATGCCCAACTCTGCTCTGCTCTTCTATTTCCTGACAGCAGCTAAGGCATGTTCCTGTTCTGCCCCCAAATTGACCTTACTAACAGTGAGAACTTGGAGGAGTCTTCGGGTCTTGGGAAATCCAAGTTTTCCCGGAAACGTTTTGTTGTAAACAGTGTCCACACTCTTTGCTCCAATAAAGCTCGGTTCCTTAAGCCACTTTGAATGTCTTGTTATGGTGTAGCTCGTTGCAAAATTCACCTAATTTTATCACAAATGCAGGAACTTTTTTTCCTTCCTGTTAATATACAGTCAAACATATTACCAAGTACTGGAGACTATCTATATCACTGTATAACCATTCACTGTTGTTGCCAGCTTCAAGACCACATTTGAATCCTATCAGGCCCAGTAAACTCTGTGAATAGACTCTGTGAACTGTCTCTAAGTCTCACTGTTTTGTCCACATTAAGTGTCTTGTTTGAAGCACAAAGTAAAATCTTTCTTTCCAATCCCTGTCACTGCACCTCCCTAGACAGTCACTACATGGGGCAGTTTATGGACTTCAGCAATGTTTACCTAACTCCAGATCCACACTATAGGAGTCCAGCCTTCAGGGAGAACTAGTTTTTTACATTTTTTGCCTGCATAATGAGAAGCTTTAAGTTTTTCATATTTTTACCTGAGAACAAGAATAATTACATTCTAGGCTATCACCCAACAATAATAAAATAATATGTGTCCATGCAATATAAATGCCCCATACTAACACACAAGGTACATGCAAAAGCCCATTATTGCACCACCAGGAATATGCACTACCAAACATTGAGAGTTAATGTTCCCTGATAATTTTCAAGTGAGAACCATCAGCTCCTACATATTCACAATGAAGCCTTTATACTGATATTGGCACAAGCTTCTGAAAATGTTTTAAATCCTATACACACCCTCAGTTTCCTATTAAATGTTGTAAGTTAACACTAGGGTTCTCTCTAGTGGTGAAATTTGACATTTCCCTACGCAATAATTTCAAAAGAATTTGATTTCTCCCACTTATTTCTCTCTAACATCATTCATAAGCCAGACGACCAATCACTGGAGGACTGACAAGAGTATGAACTTCGTTCTTGTTTTGTTTTGTTTTTGCCTTTTTGATGAGCTTTGATAGTCTCTTAACTAATCACTCACTCAACCAACATTTATTTAGTAATGTACATAGTATTGAAGACTCTATACAGCTTGACATCTAGGGACACAGATATGAAAGTAATTAAAATGCAATATAGTAACTATTATATCAGAGGAAAAATCAACCAATAAACAGAGGGGAAAAATTAGTCCTACCTAGGAGAGATTAGAGAAAAATACACAGAGAAGGAAACCTGAAGTTTAGCCTCAATGGGTGCATCAGGTTTTGCCAAGTGGAGAAAGAATATTGCGAGCCTATGTAATAGCATGAGAAAAGTTCAAGTTGGTGAAAGAGTATGGGCTGTGATGGTGAATGTGAGAAAGGTGAGAGAGAGGTGTGGCTGGACCAAACAATGAAGAGGGGGAAGGATTTAGTTCTATAGACCAGGGATAGTTACAGAGGTTTTCAAGGAAAGGATTGGCATGCCCAAATCTGTGTTTCAGAAAAACATGACTTTTCAGCCTGGGCAACATAGCAAGACCTATTCTCTACAAAAAGTTAAAAAAAAAAAAAAAAATTAGCCAGACATGGCGGTACATGCCTCTAGTCCCAGCTACTCGGGAGGATGAGGTAGGAGAATCTAAAGCCAAGAAGTTGGAGGCTGCAGTGTGCCAGGATTATGCTACTGCTCTCCATCCTGGGCAAAAAAGCGAGACCCTGTCTCACAAAAAGAAAAACAAAATGCCTTTGGCAGCACTGTGGAGGATAGTATGAAGAGGACAGAGACTGGAAGTAGGAAAAATAATTGACAAGCTGTGCGTTAAGGCACAATTGAGAAGCTGTGTATTAAGGTGCAATTAAGGAGAAAAATTTTGCATCTAAAGCCAATGGCTGTGAGTACAAGTTACATGAAAGGTTCTTGTAGCTGCTGCCATCAGTACCTCATCCATATTCCTAGGACCTTACCACTTCTCTGTGCCCCATTAGCTTTCAGCTGCTGGTGTCAGCACTCTCATGTCTGAGGGCTTTTGCCAGAACTATAGAAGATTGATCTGCCTACTTCTGTTAAAACAGCCCAGAAGACCTAGGGAATTTATACCCCACCAAGCAGCCCTCCACAAGTGACTGGTAGAAGTCTCTACAAAATAAACAAGGCCAGAGAGTTTTCCATGAGATTAAACTCTAGTTGCCCCCTTTGGTAGCCAGTTTTAAAATGCACTCTTATACTCAAGTTTATATTAGGACTTATGTAGGGCCTATTATGTAGGCTATCGTGAACTATATTAGGACTTATGTAGGGCCTGTAGCTCCTTTCTTTTGGCCAATTTATCCCTTTTGGAATAGGAGTAGTTACCCAATGCCTGTATCCCCATTGTATCTTGGAAATCATTAACTTGTTTTAGATTTTACAGGTTAATGGGTAGAAGAGACTAGCCTTGTCTCAGATGAAACTCTGGACCTTTAACTTTTGAGTTAATGCTAGAATGAGTTAAGATTCTGAGGGGCTGTTAGGAAGGCAAGATTGTATTTCAAAATGTGAGAAAGACATGATATCTGAGAGGGGTCAGGGGCAGAATGATATAGTTTAGATCTGTGTCCTTGCCCAAATTGCATGTCAAATCTTAATCCCCAATGTTGGAGGTGGGTCCTGATCGGAGGTGATTGGATCATCGGGATGGATTTCCCCCTTGGTCCTGTTCTCATGATAGTGAATGACTTCTCATGAGGTCTGGTTGTTTAAAAATGTGTAGCACATCCCCTGCAACTTTCCTCTTGCCCCATCCATGTGACATGCTTCCCTCCCACTTTGCCTTCTACCATGATTGTAAGTTTTCTTAATCCTCCCCCAAAGCAGAAGCTGCTATGCTTCCTATACAGCCTATAAAACCATAAGCCAATTAAACATATTTTCTTTATAAATTACCCAGTCTCAGGTATTCCTTTATAGCAGTACTAGAACTAAATAATACAACACATAGTCATCAGATTTTCTAAGGTTTACATGAAAGAAAAAATATTAAAGGCAGCTAGAAAAAAGGGGCAAATAACATATAGAGGAAAGCCCATTGGGCTAACAGCAAACCTATCAGCAATAACCCTACAAACCAGAAGAGATTGGGGGCCTGTATTCAGCATTCTTAAAGAAAAGAAACTACAACCAAGAATTTCATATCCAACAAAACTAAGCTTCATAAGTATAGGAGAAATAAGGTTATTTTTAAACAAGCAAATGCTAAGGGAATTTGTTACCACCAGACATGCCTTACAAGAGGTACTTAACAGAATGTTAAATATGGAAATGAAAAACCATTACTGGCCACCAAAAAAACACACTTAAGTACATAGACAGTTGACATTATAACCAACTGCACAATCAATTCTGGATAATAACCAGCTAACAACACAATGACAGGATCAAATCTCCACCTATCTATGCTAACCTTGAATGTAAGTGGGCTAAAAACCCCACTTAAAAGGCACAGATTGGCAAATTGGATAAACAAGCAGGACTAGACTATATGCTGTCTTCAAGAGACCCATCTCACATACAAAGACAGAAGAGGCTCAAAGTAAAAAGATGGAGAGAAATCAACCGAGCAAACAAAAGTAGAAAAAGGCAGTGTGATGGTTAATACTGAGTGTCAACTTAATTGGATTCAAAGGATGCAAAGTATTGATCCTGGGTGTGTCTGTGAGGGTGTTGCAAAAGGAGATTAACATTTGAGTCAGTGGGATGGGAAAGGCAGACCCACGCTTAATCTGGGTGGGCACCATTTAATCAGCTGCCAGCATGGCCAGAATTTAAAAGCAGGCAGAAAAATGTGAAAAGACTAGACTGGCTTAGCCTCCCAGCCTACGTCTTTCTCCCATGCTGGATGCTTCCTGCCCTCGAACATCAAACTCCAAGTTCTTCAGCTTTGGGACTCAGACGGGCTTCCTTGCTCCTCAGCTTACAGACAGCCTATTGTGGGACCTTGTGATCATGTTACTTAATACTTCTTAATAAACTCCTATATATATGTGTGTGTGTGTGTGTGTGTGCGTGTATATATATATATACATAAAATACCTACGTATTAGTTCTGTTTCTCTAGAGAACCCTAACTAATACAGATTTTGGCACCAGGAGTGGTTCTAGAGGAACAGAATATTAAGGATGGAGTTCTTTCATTGGTTTTGGGATTTCTGGAGTTGGCTGCTTAATATGATTACACCCAAAAATGCTAAGGACTCTACTTCTAATAGTATGGAGAATACTGGTAGTCCTTGGTATGAACTGTTTAGACAGTTATGCAAAATAAATGCATTTGACACTACTGATTCACCACTCATGAGAGGCAAGGAGTTTAGTGACTCTATAAGTAATACCTTTGACTATATGTGGAGAACCAAGAGACACAATGAAGTTGGTTGGTTGCTCCTAAGTTCACTGGACAGAGTGAAGAAAGAAAATGATGAACTCAGGGATTCTAACTCCAGGCATCAGAAGCAGATACTGAGCCTCAAATCTGCTAAGATTGCCCTGACAGTCTTATCTCCTGTAGAGAAGAGCTGAAATTGTGGAAAAACAGACACAAGCTCTTATCATGCAAGTGGCTGACCTGCAATGATAGGTGCATGGAGAGCCCCACCAGGTGTCTCCTGTTAAAGTGAGGGCATTGATTTGAAAAGAATGAGACCCTGAAACTTGGAATGGGGATGTGTGGGATGACTGTGATGAAGCTGGGGACACTGAGCTTGTAAACTCTGATGAACCTTCTTTGCCAGAAGAAACAGCTTCCCCATCTCCAGCAGCGGCAACACCCCTCCCCAACCCATGCTGCCATCAGCCTTTCCACCTTTGTCTGAAGAGATATACCCTGTACTGCCTGAGGCAATAGTGATGGCCCCCCTTGAACAGTTGCCAGGCAAGATAATGTTGATTCACCTCAGGAGCCACCCCCAACACCCCCGTTTGCTTCTAGACCTATAATTAGACTAAAGTCCCCACAGACCCCTAGAGGTAAGGTTGAGTGTGACCCATGGGGAGGCACACTACACTCGAAAAGAACTGCTTGGGTTTTCTAATTTATATAAGCAGAAATCTGGAGAACAGGCATGGGAATGGATAATAAGGGTGTGGGATAATGGTGAAAGGAACATAGCACTGGGTCAGGCTGAATTTATTGATTTGGGCCTACTAAGTAGGGATTCTGCAGTTAATGTTGCAGCTTGGGGAGTTAAAAAAGGTTCTAATAATTTATTTGCTTGGTTAGCTGAAATATGGATTAAAAGATGGCCCACTGTGAGCGAGCTGGAAATGCCTGATCTCCCTTGGTTTGATGTAGAGGAGGGGATCAAAAGGCTCACAGAAATTGGGATGGTGGAGTGGATTAGTCACTTTAGATCTACTCATCCCAACTGGGAGGGTGCAGAAGATATACCTGTAACCAATGCTTTGTGAAATAGATTTGCGAGGGTAGCACTTGCATCCTTGAAGAGCCCTGTGATTGCTCTTCACTGTATGTTAGATCTAACAGTGGGATCGATAGTCACTCAATTACAAAATTTAAATACAATGGGAATAATTGGATCCTGAGGTGGCAGGGGCCAAGTGGTGGCACTCAAACATTAAAGGCAAGGTGTACGTAACTACTGTAATCGACAGCAAAGGCAAAGCAGCAATCAGAATAGTCTGCCTCATGTAGAGCTCTGGCATTGGCTAATTAATTATGGTGTTCCTAGAAGCAAAATTGATAGGAAAGCTACTGCATTCCTACTTAACTTATATAAGCAGAAAACTTTCAGGTCGAATGGACAAAAGACTAATTTGAGTTACAAAAACAGAGAATCACAGCCCCTCAAGCAATTTCCAGACTTGGGCCAGTTTACAGACCCAGAACCTCTTGAATGAAGGGGAGGCCAGTTCTTTTTTTTTTTTTTTGAAGTAAAACTGGTTTTATCGTTTTATTTATTGAAAACTCTGGCACAAAATCTACAAAAAACTATCAGATGAAATAAATGACCAAGACTACAGGTCATAAAATCAATACACAAATGTCAATTGCATTTGTAGTACACCAGCAATGAACAATCTGAAATTGAAATTTAAAATACCATTTACAACAGCATCAAAAATATTTGAGTCAGGCATGGTGGCATGCACATACAGTCCCAGCTACTTGAGAGGCTGAGGCAGAGGATCACTTGAGCCCAGGAGTATGATAGCTCACTGCAGCCCCAGAAAGAGAATGGAAAGACAAGCCAAAAACTGAAGCAGCTATTTGCAAATCACGTATGGGATAAGATTGTGAGTGTGTTTTGGTTTTTTCTTTTTTTCTTTTCTTTTTTTTTTTTTTTTTTTTTGAGACAGGGTCTTGCTGTGTCTCAAAAGAGCTAGAGTATAGTGGCATGCTCACGACTCACTGCTACCTTGACCTCCCAGGCTCAAGCGATCCTCCCACCTCAGCCTCCTTAGTAACTGGGACCACAGGTGTGCATCACCATGCCTGGCTAATTATTGTATTTGTTATAGAGGATGGAGTTTCCCCATGTTGCCCAGGCTGGTCTCGAACTCCTTGACTCAAGCAATCCACCTGCCTCAGCCTCTCGAAGTGCCAGAATTACAAGTGTGAGCCACCACGCTGGGCCCTGGTAAATAATTTGTATCCAGGCCGGGCGAGGTGGCTCACGCCTGCAATCCCAGCACTTTGGGAGGCCCAGGTGGGCGGACCACAAGGTCAGGAGTTTGAGACCAGCCCGGCCAACGTGGTGAAACCCCGTCTCTACTAAAAATACAAGAATTAGCCTGGCATGGTGGCAGGCACTTGCAGTCCCAGCTACCCGGGAGGCCGAAGCAGGAGAATCACCTGAACCCAGGAGGCAGAGGTTGCAGTGAGCCGAGACCACACCACTGCACCCCAGCCTGGGCAACAGGGCGAGACTCTGTCTCAAAAAAAAAAATTATATCCTGAGTGTCTATTTTTTGAACTCTCATACCTCAATAATAACCCAAAAAACAAATGAGCAAAAGGTTTGAAGAGACATTTCATCAAAGAAGCCATATATCAATGACAAATAAAGGCATGAAAAGATATGCAGTATCATTAGTCATTAGAGAAATACAGATTAAGAGAAAAATACAAATTAAGACCTCAACAACATACCCTACCTATTTGATGGTAAATTCCAAAAGACTAGTCATACCAAGAATTTGTCAGAACATAGAGCAACTGAAACTCATACACTACTATTGGGAATATGAAATGGTACAACCACTTTGGAAAAAACTTACGAAGTTTCTTAAAAGGGTAAGCATATATTTATTTGCATGTGATTCAGATGTTCCATCCCTAGGTATTTACTCAAAAGGAATGAAAGCACATGTCCACAGAAGGACTTGTACACAAATATTCATAGCAACTGTATTTGTAATTGCCTGTAATCCCAACCCTTTGGGAGGTCAAGGCAGGAGGATTGCTTGAGGCCAGAAGTTGGAAACCAGCCTGGGCAACATGGTGAAACACTGTCTCTACTAAAAATACATAGCAATCTCAGCCACTAGGGAGGCTGAAGAAGGACAATCGTGTGAGCTTGGCAGATGGAGACTGCAGTAAGCCATGATCGCACCACTGCACTCCAACCTGGGTGACACAACAAGATCCTGCCTCAAAAAAAAAAAAAAAACAAAACCTGGAATGCAAATACCCATTAACAGGCAAATGGGCTGAGAGTGGTCACACCTATAATCTCAGCACATTGAGAAGCCAAGGTGGGAGGATTGCTTGAGGCCAGGAGTTGGAGACCAGCCTGGCAACACAGTGAGACCCGCATCTCTACCTAAAATACAACAGCTGATGAGCTAGAAAAAACAAAATTGGAAAGAAAATACCATAATGTTTTAAGAAAGTTTACAAATTTGTGTTGGGCTGCATTCAAAGCTGTCTTGGACCTTATGCAGCCTGTGGACTGAGGTTTGGACAAACTTGCTCCCACCTACTTAGGGAGGTTGGAGAGGGAGGATTACTGGAGCCCAGGAGTTTGAAGTTGCAGTGAGCTCTGATTCTACCACTACAATCAGAGTGAGACCCTATCTCTGAAAACAAAACTAAAAATAAATTTAAGATAAAAATTAAAACCAAGATGGGCACGGTGGCTCACGCCTGTAATCCCAACCCTTTGGGAGTCCAAGGCGGGTGGATCACCTGAGGTCGGGAGTTCGAGACCAGCCTGACCAACATGGAGAAACCCCGTTAGCCAATCAGGGTGGCCACAGTATGCCTGTAATCACAGCTACTCGAGGGGCTGAGGCAGGAGAATCGCCTGAACCCAGGAGGCAGAGGCGGGAGGCCAAGTCTTCTTAAGAAAGGACCCCACACCTGGCTAACATGGTGAAACCCCGTCTGTACCAAAAATACAAAAAAATTAGCCGGGCATGGTGGCGGGTGCCTGTAGTCTCAGCTACTCAGGAGGCTGAGGCAGGAGAATGGCATGAACCCGGGAGACAGAGCTTGCAATGAGCCGAGATCGCCCCACTGCACTCTAGCCTGGGTGACAGAGCGAGACTCCATCTCAAAAAAAAAAAAAAAAAGAAAAGAAAGGACCCCACTACATTACCAACAATTTATGCAGTGAATCTTTCTCCCATCCTTCCCCAAGGAGCCCTCCAGCATTTTACCAGGGTAACTGCACTGGGGAAAAGGAAATAATCAGACATTTCAGGGACTACTGGACATTGGCTCTGAGCTGATGTTGATTCCAGGGGACCCAAAATATCATTGTGGTCCTCCAGTTAAAGTAGCAGTTACAGAGGTCAGGTAATTAATGGAGTTTTAGTTCAGGTCTGACTTACAGTGGGTCCAGTGTGTCCCTGAACACATCCTGTGGTCATTTTCCCAGTGCCAGAATGCATAATTGGCATAGACATACTTATCAGCTGGCAGAACCCCCACATTGGCTCCCTGACTTGTAGACTGAGGGCTACTATGGTGGGAAGGCCAAATGGACACCATTACAGCTGACTCTACCTATAAAAATAGTAAATCAAAAACAATATCACATCCCTGGAGGGACTGCAAAGATTAGTGCCACCATCAAGGACTTGAAAGACGCAGGGGTGGTGATTCCCACCACATAGCCATTCAACCCTCTTATTTGGCCTGTGCAGAAGACAGATGGATCTTAGAGAATAACAATGAATTATTGCAAGTTTAACCAAGTGGTGACTCCAATTGGGGTGACATAATTGAAATTGTAGTTTCATTGCTTGAGCAAATTAACACATATCCTGATACCTGGTATGCAGCCATTGATTTGGCAAATGCCTTTTTCTCCATTCCTGTCCATAAGGCCCACCAGAAGCAATTTGCCTTCAGCTGGCAAGGCAAGCAATATACTTTTACTGTCTTACCTCAGGGGTTTACCAGCTCCCTGCCTTTGTGTCAAAATCTTATTCAGAGAGCCCTTGATAGCTTTTAGCTTCTGCAAGATATCACACTGGTGCATTATATTGATGACATTAGGTTGACTGGATTCAGTGAGCAAGAAGTAGCAAACACACTGGACTTATTGGTGAGACATTTGTGTGCCAGAGGATAGGAAATAAATCTGACTAAAATTCAGGAACCTTCTACCTCAGTAAAAATTTCTAGGGGCCTGGTGGTGTGGAGCCTGTCAAGATATTCCTTCTAAAGTGAAGGATAAGTTGCTGCATTTGGCCCCTTCTACAACCAAGAAAGAGGCACAACACCCTGTGGGCCTATTTGGATTTTGGAGGCAACACTTTCCGCATTTGGTTGTGTTACTCTGACCCATTTATCAAGTGACTCAAAAGGCTGCCAGTTCTGAGTGGGGTCCAGAACAGGAGAAGGTTCTGCAACAGGTCCAGGCTGCTGTGCAAGCTGCTCTGCCACTTGGGCCATATGACCCAGCAGATCCAAAGGTGCCTGAGGTGTCAGTGGCAGATAGGATGGTGACTGGAGCCTTTAGCAGGCCCCCGTAGATGAATCACAGAAGAGCATCTAGGATTTTGGAGCAAGGCCCTGCCATCTTCTGCAGATAACTACTCTCCTTTTGAGAGATAGCTCTTGGCCTGTTACTGGGCTTTGGTGGAACCTGAATGTTTGACTATGGGTCATCAAGTCACCATGCGACCTGAACTGCCTATCACGAACTGGGTGCTTTCTGACCCATCTAGCCATAAAGTGGGTCATGTACAGGAGCATCCCATCATCAAATGGAAGTGGTATATATGTGATCAGGCTTGAGCAGGTCCTGAAGGCACAAGTAAGTTACATGAGGAAGTGGCTCAAATGCCCATAGTCTCCACTCCTGCCTCCCTGCCTTGTCTCCACCAGCCTGCACTGAAGGCCTCATGGGGAGTTCCCTATGATCAGTTGACAGAGAAACAGAAGACTAGGGCCTGGTTCACAGATGATTCTGCACGATATGCAGGCACCACCTGAAAGTGGACACCTGCAGCACTATAGCCCCTTTCTAGGATGGCAGCGAAACATAAAAATGTTGACAGATCACTAGCTAGACTAATCAAGAAAAAAGAAAGAGAGGATACAAGTAAACATAATCAGAAAGGGCAAAGAGGACATTACCACCGACCCCATAGAAACACAAGAAAGCCCTCAGAGACTATTATGAACACGTCTATGCACACACACTAGAAAACTTACAAGAAATGGATGAATCCCTGGAAAGATACAACCTCCAAAGATTGAATCAGGAAGAAATTGAAACGCTGAACAGACCAATAATGAGTTCTGATATTGAGTCAGTAATTAAAAAGCCTACCAATTAGAAAAGGTCCTGAACCAGACAAATACACAGCCAAATGCTATCAAATGTATAAAGAAGAGCTGGTACCCTTCCTGCTGAAACTATTCCAAAAAATTGAGGAGGAGGAACTCCTCCCGAATTCATTCTATGAGGCCAGGATCACTCTGATACCAAAACCTGGCAAAGGCACAAAAATAAAAGAAAAGTTCAGGCCAATAACTCTGATTAACATAGATGTAAAAGTCCTCAACCGAATACGGGCAAACCAAACCCAGCAGCACATCAAAAAGGTAATCCACCACAATCACGTAGGCTTTATCCAAAAACTGCAAGGCTGGTTCAACATATTCTAATCAATAAATGTCATTCATCACATAAACAGAACTAAAAACAAAAACCATATGATGATATCAATGTGTTGCGAACAGGTCCCCCAAAATGTGGCCATAAACTGGCCCCAAAACTGGCCATAAACAAAATCTCTGCAGCACTATGACATGTTTGTGATGGCCATGACACCCACGCTGAAGGTTGTGGGTTTACCAGAATGAGGGCAAGGAACACCTGGCTCACCCAGGGCAGAAAACCACTTAAAGGCGTTCTTAAACCACAAACAATAGCATGAGCAATCTGTGCCTTAAGGACACACTCCTGCTGCAGATAACCAGCCAGACCCATCCCTTTATTTCGGCCCATCCCTTTGTTTCCCATAAGGAATACTTTTAGTTAATCTATAATCTATAGAAACAATGCTTATCACTGGCTTGCTGTCAAAAAATACTTGGGTAAATCTCTGTTCAAGGCTCTGAGCTCTGAAGGCTGTGAGACCCCTGATTTCCCACTCCACACCTCTATATTTCTGTGTGTGTGTCTTTAATTCCTCTAGCGCCACTGGGTTAGAGTCTCCCCAACTGAGCTGGTCTCGGCAAGTGGTGCCTATACGTGGGGGCTCTTATCCACGTCGAAGGGTCACCAGAGTGACGGTTGGAGAACATGGAACTAAGCTGGAGGACACCCAAGTACTCTTAAAGCAATCCTCATGGTGAGTAAGAAGGGGAGCTCAGAAGCATCAGGGTAACAATGGGACAAGTGTGGGCTCTGGTTCATTCCACCTTGGAACCTTTTCACACTAATAATAAGGGGGAAGGAGAGTATAATGAAGTAACAGAAGAAGTGACAGAGCAGGTTTGTTTGCCAGCTAAAGCTAAAGTGGCAAAGGGGGGAGAGGTTCACCCCTACCCTTCTGCACCTCCTATTATTTTGAATAAAGAGTAGCCTGACCCACCACCGGAGGACAATAGGCAAAAAGTAGTTGCCCCAGTGACTGTTCGAGTGGTGCCTTGAGTGACTGCTCTCAGTTCTATTCAGGCAGGAATTCAGCAAGCTAGATGAGAGGATGATTTAGAGGCTTGGCAGTTCTGTGTTAGAACACACCCACCTGATCAACAGGAAATATTACAGCTACGTTTGAGCCTTTTCCTTTTAAATTCAGGAAACGCCATGAGGGGCCCATCCTGGACCCCATTCCAAACTGGGGCATTTCCGGCTCAGGCCATTCCCTCACCCATATACAATGTCTGTCCCCCAGCACAGCTGGTAGTGCTGCAGTAGATTTATGCTGCACAAAAGCTGTGAGCCTTCTGCCTGGGGAACCCCTGCAAAAGGTCCCAACAGGAGTCTGTGGACCCATGCCAGCGGGAATGATAGGATTACTTTTAGGAAGGTCTAGTTTAAGTTTAAAAGGGGTATAAGTACAAACAGGAGTCATTGATTCAGATTACAATGGCAAAATTCAAATTGTTATATCTACTTCTGTTCTCTGGAAAGCAGAGCCAGGAGAGCGCATAGCACAGCTCCTGATTGCGTCATATCTGGGAATGGGGAAAAGTGAAATTAAATGAACAGGAGGATTTGGAAGCACAAATTAACAAGGCAAAGCAGCTTATTGGGTAAATCAAATTACTGATAAATGTCCTACCTGTGAAATAACTATTCAGGGGAAGAAATTTAAAGGTTTGGTAGATAGAGGAATGGACATTTCAATCATTTCTCTACAGCACTGGCCGTCTGCATGGCCAATTCCACCCACTCATTTTAACATAGTTGGAGTTGGTAAAGCCTCTGAAGTATATCAAAGTAGTTATATTTTGCATTGTGAAGGGTCTGATGGACCACCTGGGACTATTCAACCAGTTATAACTTCTGTACCTATAAATTTATGGGGGAGAGATTTATTACAACAATGGAGAGCACAAGTTCTAATTCCTGAACTATTATATAGCCCTCAAAGTCAACATATGATGCATGAAATGGGGTATGTCTCTGGTATGGGACTAGGAAAAAATTTGCAAGGTTTGAAAGAACCGCTTCAAGCAGAAAGACAAAGTTCCCGCCAAGGTTTAGGATATCATTTTTTATGGCAGCCATTGTTAAGCCTCCAGAACCTATACCTTTAAAATGGTTAACAGATAAGCCAGTTTGGATAGAACAATGGCCACTGAGTAAAGAGAAACTGGAGGCTTTAGAGGATTTGGTTACTGAACAATTCTCAATAATCATTTTCCAAAAATGAAACTGTTACAATTTTTGGAATTAACTAATTGGATTCTCCCTAAAATTACTAAATCTAAACCAATTGAAGGTGCTGAGAATGTTTTTACAGATGGGTCTAGTAATGGCAAAGCTTCTTATTCTGGCTCGACAGGTAAAGTTTTCCAGACGCTCTATACTTCAGTTCAAAAAGTGGAGCTTGTAGCTGTAATTGAGGTATTGACTGCTTTTGATATGCCTATTAATGTGATTTCTGATTCTTCATACGTGGTTCATTCCACACAATTAATTGAAAATGCTCAGTTACAATTTCATACAGATGAACAACTGATGATAAAAACAAAAAAGGAGGAGAAACAGGGATTATGGGACGGCCCATATACAATTGAATCTAGCATTATTAACTTTAAATTTTTTGAGCCTGCCTAAAGGCCAGATGTTATCAGCAGCTGAACAGCATCTACAGAAACCAGCTGCAAAGACAGAAGCAGAAAAACTGGTTTGGTGGAGAGACCCGATAACAAAAAGTTGGGAAATAGGTAAAATAATAACCTGGGGTAGAGGTTATGCTTGTGTTTCTCCAGGCCAAAATCAACAGCCGATTTGGATACCATCAAGACACCTGAAACCTTATTATGAGCCAGATGCTGAGGAAGAGATTCTGGGAGGATCCCAAGGACTCCCCAGTTGCAGCCATGTCGAGACTGATGCTGAAGAGGACCCCAACTGTCACAAGCAACACCCATCGAACACAGCCACCAACCTGGGGACAGATCAAGAAGCTGTCACAGATGGTGGAAGAAAACCTGAGGAAAGTGGGACAACTGGTCACAATGAGTAATTTAATGGTAGCTATGATAGTGGTGATCACCATTGCCATGTGTATTCCTTCAACAAGGGCTGACACAGAGAACAATTATACTTATTGGTCATATTTATCTATCTTAGCTGGCAATAATACCTGGATGTAATCACTTTATGACACAGTTACAAATGCTTTCTGATCTCAATATTTATCATAATAAATCTGCTCCTATAATTAATGCATACTGCTCTCAAAAACCTATTGGTGAACAAAATTGAACCTAGCCAGAAAAAATGAACGTACTTGTTCAGGAAGACTGCATTGCAAACCTTGTTTAGGCAGAGGTGCTGCACAATGATTCCTAGGAATTATTATTGATTGGTCCCCTAAGAGGATGTTTAGCCTGAATTGCACCTCTCAGTCTGCGTGCCATGGCCACACTATGTTCAGCTAGTCTGAACAAAACAGTCAGATGGTAGAAATGGTAAGAAGTATGGCAAGAGTTCTTATTATCTGGAACCATGGCCATATAGTAGCAACTCAACCTCAAATGATATGGCCCGTTGTAGGAACTAAACATAAAGATTTGTGGAAACTATTAATAGCTCTTAATAAGATCAAAATTTGGGAAAGAATAAAAAAATCTAGAAGGAAACTCTATAAACTTGTCTTTAGATATTGCAAAATTAAAACAACAAATATTTAAAGCATCCCAGGCACACCTGGCCTTAATGCCAGGAACTGGAGTGTTTGAAGGAGCTGCAGACAGATTAGCAGCTAGCAACCCATTAAAATGGATAAAACACTTGGAAGCTCTGTGATTTCAATGATAATTGTGTTTTTAATGTGTGTTGTTTGTCTTTGTATAGTCTGCAGATGTGGATCCCGACTCCTGCAAGCAGTAGCTCACTGTGACAAAGCTGCCTTTGCTTTTATCACTTTGCAAATCAAAGAAGGGGGATGTGTTGGGAACAGGCCCCCCCAAAATCTGGCCATAAACTGGCCCCAAAACTAGCCATAAACAAAATCTCTGCAGCACTATGACATGTTCTTGATGGCTATGATGCCCACGCTGGAAGGTTGTGGGTTTACCAGGATGAGGTCAAGGAACACCTGGCTCACCCAGGGCAGAAAACCACTTAAAGGCGTTCTTAAACCACAAACAATAGCATGAGCAATCTGTGCCTTAAGGACACACTCCTGCTGCAGATAACTAGCCAGACCCATCCCTTTACTTCGGCCCATCCCTTTGTTTCCCATAAGGAATACTTTTAGCTAATCTATAATCTATAGAAACAATGCTTATCACTGGCTTGCTGTCAATAAATACTTGGGTAAATCTCTGTTCAAGGCTCTGCTCTCTGAAGGCTGTGAGACCCCTGATTTCCCACTCCACACCTCTATATTTCTCTATGTGTCTTTAATTCCTCTAGCACCACTGGGTTAGGGTCTCCCCACCTGAGCAGGTCTCAGCATCAATAGATGCAAAAACGGCTTTTGATCAAATTCAACATCCTTTTGTGTGAAAGACCCTCAAAAAAGTAGGCATTAAAGGTACATACCTCAAAATAATAAGAACTGTCTATGACAAATCCACAGCCAGGCCAGGCATGGTGGCTCCTGCCTGTAATCTCAGCACTTTGGGAGGCTGAGGCGGGTGGATCACTTCAGGTTGGGAGTTCGAGACCAGCTTGACCAACATGGAGAAACCCCATCTCTACTAAAAATACAAAATTAGCCAGGCATGGTGGCACATGCCTGTAATCCCAGCTACTCGGGAGGCTGAGGCAGGAGAATCACTTGAACCCAGGAGGTAGAGGTTGCGGTGAGCTGAGATCATGCCATTGCACTCCAGCCTGGGCAATGAGAGTGAAACTCCGTCTCAAAAAAAAAAAAAAAAATCCACAGCCAACATCATACTGAATGTGCAAAAGCTGGAAGCACTTCTATTGAGAACCAGAACAGACAAAAATGCCCACACTCAACACTGCTATTCAACATAGTACTGGACGTGCTAGCCATAGCAATCAACAAGAGAAAGAAATAAAAGGTATCCAAACAAGAAAAGAAGAAGTCAAACAATCTGTTTGCAGATGATATACTATACGTAGAAAACCACATAGTCTCTGTCCAAAAATTTGTAGATCTGACAAACAACTTTAGTTAAGTTTCTGAATACAAAATCAACATACACAAACAAGTAGCATTTCTGTACACCAACACTATGCAAGTTGAGTGTCAAAGCAAGAATGCAATCCCATCCACAAGAGTCACACAAGAAAAATGAAACACCTAGGAATACAGCTAGCCATGGAGGTGAAAGATCTCTGCAATGAGAATTACAAAACAGTGCTGAAAGAAATCAGTGATGACAAACAAACGGAAAAACATCCCATGCTTGTGGATAGGAAGAATCAATATTGTTAAAATGGCCAAACTGCCCAAAGTAATTTACAGTTTCAATGCTATGCCTATCAAACCACCAATGACATTCTTCACAGAATTAGAAAAACCATTCTATAATTCATTTGGAACCAAAAAAAGGGGGGCCTGAATAGCCAAAGCAATTGTATTAGGGTTTTCCAGAGGGACAGAACTAATAGGATATATGTATATATGAAAGAGAGTTTATTAAGGAGAATTGGCTCACACGATCATGAGATGAAGTCCCCCAATATGCCACCTTCAAGCTGAGGAAGAAAGAAGCCAGTAGTATCTCAGTCCAAGTCCAAAAGCTTCAAAAGTAGGGAAGCCAACAGTGCAGCCTTCAGTCTGTGGCAGAAGGCCTAAGAGCCCCTGGCAAGCCAATGGTGTAAGTCCAAGAGTCCAAAGGCTGTAGAACCTGAAGTCTGATGTCCAAGGGCAGGAAGAATGGAAGGAAGCATCCAGCACAGAGAAAGATGAAAGACTCCACAAGCTGGCTTATCCCACCTTCTTCTACCTGCTTTATTCTAGCTGCTGTGGCAGCCAGTTGGGTGGTGACCACCCACAATGAGGGTGCGTCTTCCTCTCTCAGTCCACTGACTCAAATGTTGGAAACACCCTCACAGACACACTCAGAAACACTTTACCAGCTATGTAGGTATCCTTCAATTCAATCAAGTTGACCCCTAATATTAACCAACACAGCAATCCCAAGCAAAAAGAACAAAGCTGCAATCATCACCCTACCCAACTTCAAACTATACTATAGAGCAAGAGTAACTAAAACAGCATGGTACTTATACAAAATCAGACACATAGACCAATGAGACAGAATAGAGAGCTCAGAAATAAATCTACACACCTACAGCCATCTGATGTTTGACAAAGTTGACAAAAACAAGCAATGGAGAAAGAACTCCCTATTCAATTAATGGTACCAGGATAACTGGCTAGCCATATGCAAAAGATTAAACTGGATCCTTTCTTCAAATCATATACAAAAAACAACTCAAGATGAATTAAAGGCTCAACTGTAAAATCTAAAACTATAAAAATCCTTGAGGAAACCCTAGGAAATGCCATTCTGGACAAAGGCCCTGGCAAAGACTTCATGACAAAGATGCTAAAAACAAAAATTACAACAAAAACAAAAATTGACAAATGGGACCTATGTAAACTAAAGAACCTCTACACAGCAAAAGAAACTATCAACAGAGTAAACACACAACCCACATAATGAGGGAAAATATTTGCAAACTATGCATCTGATGAAGTTCATCCTGACAAAGCTCTAATACCCAGATCCAAATCCTAATCTATAAGGAATGTAAACCAATAAGCAAAAACAAACAACCCTATAGAAAAGTGGGCAAAAGACATGAACAGACATTTTTAAAGAAGACATATATGCAGCCAACAAGCATATGAAGAAATGTTGAATAGCACTAATCATTAGGAAAATGTAAATTAAAACTACAATGAGATACCACTTACACCAGTCAGAATGGCTATGATTAAAAATTCAAAAAATAACATATGCTAGAGAGATTACAGAGAAAAGGGAATGCGTATACACTGCTGGTGGCAATGTAAATTAGTTCAGCCACTGCGGAAGGCACTCTGGAGATTTCTCAAAGAACTTAGAACTACTATTTGACCCAGCCACCTCATTATTGGGTATACATCCAAAGAAATTCTACCATAATGTCATATGCAGTTGTATGATCATCACAGCACTATTCACAATAGTAAAGACATGGAATCAATCTAGATGCTCATCAAACAGAAACCAAATCCTGCATGTTCTCATTTATAAGTGGGAGTTAAATATTGAGCACACATGGACACAAAGAAGAATAGACTCAGGACCTGCTTGAGGGTATAGACAGGGAGAAGGGAGAGGTTTTAAAAACTACCTATTGGCAGAAGACAAGGACACCCTCTCTTACCAATCCTATTCAACATAGTATTGGAAGTTCTGGCCAGGGCAATCAGGCAAGAGAAAAAAAACAAAGGGTATTAAAATAGGAAGAGAGGAAGTCAAATTGCCTCTGTTTGCAGATGACATAATTGTATATTTAGAAAACCCCATCATCTCAGCCCAAAAACTCCTTAAGCTGATAAGCAACTTCAGGAGAGTCTCAAGATACAAAATTGATGTGCAAAAATCGCAAGCATTCCTATACACTAATAATAGACACAGAGCCAAATCATGAGTGAACTCCCATTCACAATTGCTACAAAGAAAATAAAATACCTCGGAATACAACTTGTAAGGGAGGTGAAGGACCTCTTCAAGGAGAACTACAAACCACTGCTCAAGGAAATAAGAGAGGATACAAACAATTGGAAAAATATTCCATGCTCTGTTCTCACTCATAGGTGGGAATTGAACAATGAGAACACTTGGAAACAGGGCGGGGAACATCACACACTGGGGCCTGTCAGGAGGTGGGGGGCTGGGGGAGGGATAGCATCAGAAGAAATACCTAATGTAAATGACGTCGTTGATGGGTGCAGCAAACCAACATGACACATGTATACCTATGTATCAAATCTTCATGTTGTGCACATGTACCCTAGAGCTTAAACTATAATAATAATAATACATTCCATGCTCATGAATAGAAAGAATCAATATCGTGAAATTGGCCATACTGCCCAAGGTAATATATAGAATATATAGATTCAATGCTATTCCCATCAAGCTACCTTTGACTTTCTTCACAGAACTAGAGAAAACTACTTTGAATTTCATATGCAACCAAAAAAGAGCCCATATAGCCAAGACAATCCTAAGCAAAAAGAACAAAGCTGGAGTCATCACACTATCTGACTTCAAACTACACAAGTCTACAGTAACCAAAACATCATGGTACTGGTACCAAAACAGATATATAGAAGAATGGAACAGAACAGAGGCCTCAAAAACAACACCACACATCTACAACCATCTGATCTTTGACAAACCTGACAAAAACAAGAAATGGGGAAAGGATTCCCTATTTAATAAATGGTGCTGGGAAAACTGGCTAGCCATATGCAGAAAACTGAAATTGGACCCCTCACCTTACACCCTATACAAAAATTAACTCAAGATGGATTAAAGACTTAAATGTAAAATCTAAAACCATAAAAACCCTAGAAGAAAACCTAGGCAATACCATTCAGGACATAGGCATGGGCAAAGACTTCATGACTAAAACACCAAAGCAATGGCAACAAAAGCCAAAATTGACAAACGGGATCTAATTAAACTAAAGAGCTTCTGCACAGCAAAAGAAACTATCATCAGAGTGAACAGGCAACCTACAGAATGGGAGAAAAATTTTGCAATCTATCCATCTGACAAAGGTCTAATATTCAGAATCTACAAAGAACTTAAACAAATTTACAAGAAAAAAAAAAACCTCTTCAAAAAGTGCACAAAGGATATGAACAGACATTTCTCAAAAGAAGACATTTATGTGGCCAACAAATCTATGAAAAAAAGCTCACCATCACTGGCCATTAGAGAAATGCAAATCAAAACCACAATGAAATACCATCTCATGCCAGTTAGAATGGCAATCATTAAAAAGTCAGGAAACAACAGATGCTGGAGAGGATGAGGAAAACTAGGAATGCTTTTACACTGTTGGTGGGACTGTAAATTAGCTCAACAATTGTGGAAGACAGTGCAGCGATTCCTCAAGTATCTAGAACCAGAAATACCATTTGACCCTCCAATCCCATTACTGGGTATATACCCAAAGGATTATAAATCATTCTACTATAAAGACACATGCACACGTATGTTTATTATGGCACTGTTTACAATAGCGAAGACTTGGAACCAACCCAAATGTCCATCAATGATAGGCTGGATAAAGAAAATGTGGCACATATACACCATGGAATACTATGCAGCCATAAAAAGGGATAAGTCCATGTCCTTTGCAGGAACATGGATGACGCTGGAAACCAGCATTCTTAGCAAACTAACACAGGAAGAGAAAACCAAACACTGCATGTTCTCATTCATAAGTGGGAGTTGAACAATGAGAACACATGGACACAGGGAGGGGAACATCACACACCAGGGCCTGTTGAAGAGTTGGGGGCAAGGGGAGGGAGAGCATTAGGACAAATACCTAATGCATGCTGGGCTTAAAACCTAGATGATGGGTTGATAGGTGCAGTAAACCACCACGGCACATGTATACCTATCTAACAAACCTACACATTCTGCACATGTATCCCGGAACTTAAAGCATAATAATAAAAAAACTACCTATCAGTACTATGCTGCTTACCTGAGTGACATAATTCTTTGTATAATATATAATATAATATAATATATAATATAAGATAATATAATATCTGTATAACAAACTCCCACAACATGCAATTTACCCATGTAACAAACCTGCACATGTACCCCCTTGAACCTAAAATTAAAGTTGAAAAGAAAAAAAAAATGTTTGGAAGCCTGAGGTGGGAGGATCACTCGAGCCCAGGAGTTAGAGATCAGTCTGGGAAACAGTGTGGAACCCTGTCTCTACAAATGTTTGTTTAATTAGCTGGGCATGGTACTGCATGCCTATAGTCCCAGCTACTCAGGAAGCTGAGATGGAAAGATCACTTGCACCTGGAAGATCACAGCTGCAGTGAGCCATGATCCTACCACCACACTCCAACCTTGGTGACAGAGTGATAGCCTGTCTCAAAAAACAACAAAAATACTGAATATGCATATGCAGCAGAATAAATTTAGATCTCTATCTTCACCATATACAAAAATCTATCAGAATCAACTAAAGACTTAAATCTAAGACTTCAAACTACAAAACTACCAAAAGAAAACTTTGGGGAAACTCTCCAGGACATTGGTCTAAGCAAAAATTTCTTAAGTAGTACCCCAAAAGCACAGGCAAACAAAGCAAAATGGACAGAAATGATCACATCAAGTTAAAATGCTTCAGCACGACAAAGGAAACAATCGACAAAGTGAAGAGACAGCCCACAGAATGGGAGAAAATATTTGCAAACTCTCCATCTGACAAGGGATTAATAACAAGAATACATAAGGAGCTCAAACATCTCAATAGAAAAAAAAATCTAATAATCTAATTTTAAAATGGGCAAAAGATTTTTGTCTTCCAAGATAGCAGATTGGAGGCAGTGTTAGCATGCCTCTCCCACTTGGAAAGACATGATAGTGTGCAGATGTTCATGCTGTGAACTGTTTTCCAAGAAGCAATGCAGGAACTTAACAGGGAAACTGAAATTCGTAGATTATTTAAAAGAAGTGACAGGCTGTAGCCTACACCATGAGCCAGGTGGAAAACTGTAAGTCTCCGGAGTGTGAGAGAGTGAGAGACTGCCTCCAGGATATACACCCCCACTGGGGAAACTGGAAATCCAGGCCAAGAGGGAAGGCATTAGTGCTACTCAGCACTGGAACTCATTTAGGGGGCACTGAGAAAACTAAAAGTAGAAATGGCAGCAGAAGGATCCTTCAATTTATTCCCAGTGTCCAGGACAAACTAGGGGAAGCTATTCCTTATTTTGCCTCATAGGGGACCTCATGGAAGTCTGCCAAGTTACTCAGGCAGTAGTCACTGGTTGAAAGAAGCTCTCAACTGAATTTCACAATATAACCTCAAGTGGGGAAGAACATCCTTGGACAGAACCAAGGGGCAAGTGGCAAGTGTGCTGCATCCATGAGCACAGGAGCTAGACACCCTGGCTCTGTGGGAAAACTTGGAGGGGCAAGGCCTCAAAGCCATGGTTGCCCTCTCCACTGGGAAAGTGTACGGCTGGGTAAGTCTTGAGTTCTGAGCATAGATGCCTGGAACTTAGCTCGCTGCTACTAGCAGAAAACTGCGGGTCTGAGATATGGCTTACCAAGTGCTGAGGAGCTAGGTGAGTTTTACTGGCATCTGTTACTCCTCACTCCCTGCACAAACACTTCTGTGCAGCAGAAGCAGTAATGCTTCTCTCTGGAACGTTATCCCAGTAGCCAGAGAACCACCCCACAACTCACACCAGGGCTGCTCCACACGTGGAGAGTAAAAGCACGAGCCTGCCTGACAAAACCCCAACCTCACTTTCCCCCTTCACTAGCCCTGGTAGCTTAAAACAAAGGATAGAAACTTTTGGAAGCTTTATGGCCCTACCTATCACATGAAAAACCAGATTACTGCTCCTGGGTAACATAAGGCAAACAAAAATCCCACTGCTACTACAGCAACTGGTGCTCTTTTGCAAGTGCCACCTCCTGGCTGGAGGCCAATCAACACAGCATTATAGCATTTCAAGGTAGAATAACATTGCACCCAGGAAGGATAAAACTTGTGCATGACCTCAGCTATCACCATCGCCTGCAGCACTCTGGCTAACCAGGAGGCCCTGAGTCTGTCCATGTGAACTCTTCATTACTACTACAAAGAGCATTTGAGAAAGCCAACACACTAAGGCTATCTATAAACAAGGAATCTCACTGAGTCTATGTCACTCCCCTGGCACCCCCATCAGACTAGTACTGGTACCCACTGCTGGGAGACTTAATCACAGGTCATATCTCTAGACCTCTTGCAAACATTCACCTGCACCAGCCTGGAATGGGCAGCTAGACCCTCGCCTAAGACAAAAGAATCCAGACAGCAGGCCTTGAGTCCCAAATCTTTCTGCTGGTGGGAAGTCTCTTTCAGCAGAGGCACAGTTGGCAGTACTGGGCTCAGCAGGGAAAGTGTGCAGCTCCACCTCCACAATCAGGCAGCCCTGGTGCTCATGAAGAGTCTTGGAGAAGATTTCTTTTTCCCCTTATCCACCACTGTAGATACAGCTGGGGCTTTTCTCACAAGAGCTCGGTATGGATGCACCTACAGACCTCTCTGGAACACTTCAAGGTGACTGCATCCCCACAGAAGGAGCACCCTCCAAATGCAGGCCTACACAGGAGGCAGAGTCACAGTTTCTCTCCACTTGGAACATCAATATTCCTGCAGATGAAAGGAGGTACCTCTCTGATTTGAATAGCCAGAACACTGGGTCAGGAGTGTGTCTGAGAGGTGAACAGCTTTCCTGTGGGCCTGGCAGGGGAGGTGAAGTGGCTCTGGTCCTTCTCTCTGAGAAGACCTCAGTGTATTTCACTGAGTGCTCCCCCAGTCACATCTGTCAAGTCTGGGACCTCTGCCCACCATTAGGTATTGCATTTACCCACCTGCTTTAGCCACAGCTGGCTTTCACCTGTGGAAAGCTCTCCTACTGGGCTGAAGCCTGAACTATTCAACCCAGTAAATATAATACTGTGGGAAAAAAATAATAAATAAGTGTACAACATGGGGGAATTAGATAAGCTTCAAGAGACCTCTGCCATTTCAACACTATAGGAGAGGGTGAACTTGCTCACACACTGAGCACATTGCTGCTACAACCAGCATCTGAGAAATTCATCACACAAAGACTCTCTGTAACTAAGTAACTCATAGAGAGTCTTCACCCCTGAGAGCACCAAGAGCCAAGTTATGCTACAGTAAACTATAAACATAAAAGTCACAACCTTAAGGTGGGAAAAAGAAATTTAAAAAAACAGTCAAAGCAAAAATAAATTCAAGGATAATCATGAAAAATAGTCTACAAACATGAGAAGGAACTACAAAAGTAATTCTGGTAATATGGCAAAACAGGGTTCTATAACACCCCCAAAACATTACACTAGCCCTTCATCAATGAATCCAAACCAAGATTAAATCTTTGAAGTACAAGATAAAGAATTTAAAAGGTTGATTATTAAGCTATCCAAGGAGATACCAGAGAAAGGTGAAAACCAATATAAAGAAACTTTTTTTAAAATTCAGGATATAAATAAAAAATTTTCTAAAGAGAGAGATATATTGAAGAAAAGCCAATCAGAACTTCTGGAAATGAAAGACACACTTACAGAATTACCAAATGCAGTGGAAAGTTTCAACAGTAGACTAGAACAAGGAGAGGAAAGAACTTCAGAACTCAATGACAAGGCATTCAAATTAACACAGTCACATAAAAATAGAGAAAAAAGAATAAAAACAAATGAGCAAAGTCAGGAAGAAATATAAGATTGTGCAAAATGGTCAAATCTAAAAATAATTGGTGTTCCTGAGGGAGAAGAGAAAGCAAAAAGTTTGGAAAATTTATTTGAGGGAATAATTGAGGGAAACCTCCCTGGCCTTGCTAGAGAATTAGACATCCAAATACAAGAATTATAAAGAACTCCTGGGAGATTCATTGTAAAAACATCATCACCAAGGCATATACTCATCAGGCTATCTAGAATCAATATGAAGGAAAGAATTCTATGAGCAGTGAGACAAAAGCATTAGGTAACCTATAAAGAAAAACCTGTCAGACTAGCAGCAGACTTCTCAGCAAAAACCTTACAAGCCAGAGCGATTGGGGATTTATCTTTAGCCTCCTTAAACAGAATAACTGTCAGCTAAGAATTCTGTATGTAGCAAAACTGTTTTATAAATGAAGAAAAAATAAAGTCATTTTTAGACAAACAAACGCTGAGTGAATTTGTTACTATCAGACCAGCCCCACAAGAAATGCTAAAAGAAGTTCTAAGTCTTGAAACAAAAGCTCAATATGCACCAAAATAGAACCTCCTGAAAATTCACAAGGGCTATAAAACAACACAATGAAAAAACAAAGTATCTAGGTAAAAATTAACATGGTGAATGGAACAGTACCTCACATCTCAATATTAACATTGAATGTAAATGGCCTAAACGCTCCACTTAAAAGATACAGATTGGCAGAATGAGGCCAGGCGTGGTGACTCACACCTGTAATTCTAGCACTTTAAGAGGCCAAAGCAGGTGGGCCGCCTGAGCCCAGGAGTTCAAGACTAGCCTAGGCAACATGGTGAAACCCATCTCTACCAAAAATACAAAAATTAGCTTGGCATGGTGACACATACCTGTAGTCCCAGTTACTCAGGAGGCTGAGGTGGGAGGATGGCTTGACCTCAGAAGGTGGAGGTTGCAGTGAGCCATGAACTTGCCACTGCACTCCAGCCTGGGTGACAGAGCCAGACCCTGTCTCAAAAAATAATAATAATGTAAGTTGGCAGAACTGACTTTAAAAATCACAAACTAAATAACTGCTGTCTTCAAGAAACCCACATACACATAAGGATTCATATAAACTCAAAGTAAAGGGATGGTAAAAGATATTCCACACAAATGAAAACCAAAAGTGAGGAGGAGTAACTATTGTTATATCAGATGAAACAGACTTTAAAGCAACAACCAAAAAAAGACAGAAAGGATTATTATATAATGATAAAAAGATCATTCCAACAATAAGATGTTACAATCCTAACTCTGTATGCACCAACACTGCAGCTCCCACATTCAAAAAAATAATTACTAATTGACCTAAGAAATGAGATAGACATCAACAATAATAATGGGGGACTTCAATATCCCACTGACAGCACTAGATAGATCACTGAGGCAGAAAGTCCACAAAGAAACAACAGACTTAAACTACACTCTAGAAGAAATGAACCTAACAGATATTTACAGAGCATTCTACCCAAGAACTGCAGAATATACATTCTTCTCATCAGCATATGGAACATTCTCCAAGATAGGTCATATGATAGACCACAAAACAAGTCTCAATAAATATTAAAATATCAAAATTATATCAAGTATCTTCGCAGATTGGCAGAATGAAGCCAGGCGTGGTGGAAGAAAACTTGAAATAAACTACAGGGGCACCCGCCATTGCTGAGGCTTGAGTAGGTAAACAAAGCAGCCGGGAAGCTCGAACTGGGTGGAGCCCACTGCAGCTCAAGGAGGCCTGCCTGCCTCTGTAGACTCCACCTCTGGGGGCAGGGCATAGCTGAACAAAAGGCAGCAGAAACTTCTGCAGACTTAAACATCCCTGTCTGACAGCTTTGAAGAGAGTAGTGGTTCTCCCAACATGGAGCTTGAGATCTGAAAATGGACAGACTGCCTCATCAAGTGGGTCCCTGACCCCTGAGTAGCCTAACTGGGAGGCACCTCCCAGTAGGGGCCAACTAACACCTCACACAACAAGGTGCCCCTCTGAGACGAAGCTTCCAGAGGAACGATCAGGCAGCAACATTTGCTGTTCTGCAATATTCGCTGTTCTGCAGCCTCCATTGGTGATCCCTGGTAAATAGGGTCTGGAGTGGACCTCCAGCAAATTCCAAAAGACCTGCAGCTGAAGGTCCTGACTGTTAGAAGGAAAACTAACAAACAGAAAGGACATCCACACAAAAACCCCATCTGTACGTCACCATCATCAAAGACCAAAGGGAGATAAAACCACAAAGGTGGGGAAAAACCAGAGCAGAAAAGCTGAAAATTCTAAAAATCACAGCGCCTCATCTCCTCCAAAGGAACGCAGCTCCTCGCCAACAATGGAACAAAGCTAGGCGGAGAATGACTTTGACGAGTTGAGAGAAGAAGCCTTCAGACGATCAAACTTATCCAAGCTAAAGGAGGATGTTGGAATCCATTGCAAAGAAGCTAAAAACCTTGAAAAAGATTCAACGAATGGATAACTAGAATAATTAGTGTAGAGAAGTCCTCAAATGACCTGATGGAGCTAAAAACCATGGCAGGAGAACTACGTGACGCATGCACAACCTTCAGTAGCCAATTTGATCTACTGGAAGAAAGGGTATCAGTGACTGAATATCAAATGAATGAAATGAAGCAAGAAGAGAAGTTTAGAGAAAACTGAGTAAAAAGAAACTAACAAGGCCTCCAAAAAATATGGGACTATGTGAAAAGACCAAATCTATGTCTGATTGGTGTACCTGAAAGTGATGGGGAGAATGGAACCAAGTTGGAAAACACTCTGCAGGATATTATCCAGGAGAACTTCCCCAACCTAGCAAGGCAGGCCAACATTCAAATTCAGGAAATACAGAGAACGCCACAAAGATACTTCTTGAGAAGAACAACTCCAAGACACGTAATTGTCGAATTCACCAAAGTTGAAATGAAGGAAAAAATATTAAGGGCAGCCAGAGAGAAAGGTCGGGTTACCCACAAAGGGAAGCCCATCAAACTAACAGCTGATCTCTCAGCAGAAACTCTACAAGCCAGAAGAGAGTGGGGGCCAATATTCAACATTCTTAAAGAAAAGAATTTTCAACCCAGAATTTCATATCCAGCCAAACTAAGTTTCATAAGTGAAGGAGAAATAAAATCCTTTACAGACAAGCAAATGCTGAGAGATTCTGTCACCACCAGGCCTGCCTTACAAGAGCTCCTGAAGGAAGCACTAAACATGGAAAGAAACAACCAGTACCAGCCACTGGAAAAAACATGCCAAATTGTAAAGACCATCGAGGCTAGGAAGAAACTGCATCAACTAACGAGCAAAATAACCAGCTAACATCATAATGACAGGATCAAATTCACACATAACAATATTAACCTTAAATGTAAATGGGCTAAATGCTCCAATTAAAAGACACAGACTGGCAAATTGCATAAGGAGTCAAGACCCATCAGTGTGCTGTATTCAGGAGACCCATCTGATCTGCAGAGACACACATAGGCTCAAAATAAAGGGATGGAGGAAGATCTACCAAGCAAATGGAAAACAAAAAAAATCAGGGGTTGCCACCCTAGTCTCTGATAAAACAGACTTTAAACCAACAAAGATCAAAAGAGACAAAGAAGGCCATTACATGATGGTAAAGAGATCAATTCAACAAGAACAGCTAACTATCCTAAATATATATGCACCCAATACAGGAGCACCCAGATTCATAAAGCAAGTCCTTAGAGACCTACAAAGAGACTTTGACTCCCACACAATAATAATGGGAGACTTTAACACCCCACTGTCAACATTAGGCAGATCAACGAGACAGAAAGTTAACAAGAATATCCAGGAATTGAACTCAGCTCTGCACCAAGTGGACCTAATAGACATCTACAGAACTCTCCACCCCAAATCAACAGAATATACATTCTTCTCAGCACCACATCGCACTTATTCCAAAATTGACCACATAGTTGGAAGTAAAGCACTCCTCAGCAAATGTAAAAGAAAAGAAATTATAACAGTCTCTCAGACCACAGTGCAATAAAATTAGAACTCAGGATTAAGAAACTCACTCAAAACCTCTCAACTACATGGAAACTGAATAACCTGCTCCTGAAGGACTACTGGGTACATAATGAAATGAAGGCAGAAATAAAGATGTTCTTTGAAGCCAACAGAACAAAGACACAACATACCAAAATCTCTGGGGCACATTTAAACCAGTGTGTAGAGGGAAATTTATAGCACTAAATGCCCACAAGAGAAAGCAGGAAAGATCCAAAATTGACACCCTAACATCACAATTAAAAGAACTAGAGAAGCAAGAGCAAACACATTCAAAAGCTGGCAGAAGGCAAGAAATAACTAAGATCAGAGCAGAACTGAAGGCGATAGAGACACAAAAAAACCTTTCAAAAATCAATGAATCCAGGAGCTGGTTTTTTGAAAAGATCAACAAAATTGATAGACTGCTAGCAAGACGAATAAAGAAGAAAAGACAGAAGAATCAAATAGACACAATAAAAAATGATGAAGGGGATATCACCACCGATCCCACAGAGATACAAACTACCATCAGAGAATACCATAAACACCTCTACACAAATAAACTAGAAAATCTAGAAGAAATGGATAAATTCCCAGACACACACACAATCCCAAGATTAAACCAGGAAGAAGTTGAATCCCTGAATAGACCAATAACAGGCTCTGAAATTGAGGCAATAATTAATAGCCTACCAACCAAAAAAAGTCCGGGACTAGATGGATTCAGAGCCATATTCTACCAGAGGTACAAGGAGGAGCTGGTACCATTCCTTCTGAAACTATTCCAATCAATAGAAAAAGAGGGAATCCTCCCTAATTCATTTTATGAGGCCAGCATCATCCTGATGCCAAAGCCCGGCAGAGGCACAACAAAAAAAAGAGAATTTTAGACCAATATCCCTGATGAACATTCATGCAAAAATCCTCAATAAAATACTGGTAAATAGAATCCAGCAGCACATCAAAAACCTTATCCACTATGATCAACAGCCCTTCATGATAAAAACTCTCAATAAATTAAGTATTAATTTGACATACCTCAAAATAATAAGAGCTATTTATGACAAAACCACAGCCAATATCATACTGAATGGGCAAAAACTGGAAGCATTCCCTTTGAAAACTGGCACAAGATAAGGATGCCATCTCTCACCACTCCTATTCAACAGTGTTGGAAGTTCTGGCCAGGGCAATTAGGCAGGAGAAAGAAATAAAGGTATTCAATTAGGAAAAGAGGAAGTCAAACTGTCCCTGTTTGCAGATGACATGACTGTATATTTAGAAAACCCCATAGTCTCAGCCCAAAATCTCCTTAAGCTGATAAGCAACTTCAGCAAAGTCTCAGGATACAAAATCAATGTGCAAAAATCACAAGCATTCCTACACACCAAAAACAGACAAACAGAGAGCCAAATCGTGAGTGAACTCCCATTCACAATTGTATCAAAGAGAATAAAATACCTAGGAATCCAACTTACAAGGGATGTGAAGGACCTCTTCAAGGAGAACTACAAACCACTGCTCAACGAAATAAAAGAGGACACAAACAAATAGAAGAACATTCCATGCTCATAGGTAGGAAGAATCAATATCATGAAAATGGCCATACTCCCCAAGATAATTTATAGATTTAATGCTATCCCCATCAAGCTACCAATGACTTTCTTCACAGATTTGGAAAAAACTACTTCAAAGTTCATATGGAACCTAAAAAGAGCCCGCATTGCCAAGACAATCCTAAGCCAAAAGAACAAAGCTGGAGGCATCATGCTACCTGACTTCAAACTATACTACAAGGCTACAGTAACCAAAACAGCATGGTACTGGTACCAAAACAGAGATATAGACCAATGGAACAGAATAGAGCCCTCAGAAATAATACCACACATCTACAACCATTTGATCTTTGAAAAACCTAACAAAAACAAGAAATGGGGAACTAATTCCCTATTTAATAAATGGTGCTGGGAAAACTGGCTAGCCATATGTAGAAAGCTGAAACTGGATCCCTTCCTTACACCTTATACAAAAATTAATTCAAGATGGATTAAAGACTTAAATGTTAGACCTAAAACCATAAAAACCCTAGAAGAAAACCTTGGCAATACCATTCAGGACGTAGGCATGGGCAAGGACTTCATGTCTGAAACACCAAAAGCAATGGCAACAAAAGCCAAAATTGACAAATGGGATCTAATTAAACGAAACAGCTTTCTGCACAGCAAAAGAAACTACCACCAGACTGAACAGGCAACCCTATAGAATGGGAGAAAATTTTTGCAATCTACCCATCTGACAAAGGGCTAATATTCCAGAATCTACAAAGAACTTAAACAAATTTTACAAGAAAACATCAAACCACCCCATGAAAAGGGGGCAAAGGATATGAACAGACACTTCTCAAAATAAGACATTTATGCAGCCAACAGACACTTCTCAAAATAAGACATTTATGCAGCTAACAGACACATGAAAAAATGCTCATCATCACTGGCCATCAGAGAAATGCAAATCAAAACCACAATGAGATACCATCTCACACCAGTTAGAATGGTGATCATTAAAAAGTCAGGAAACAACAGGTGCTGGAGAGGATGTGGAGAAATAGGAACACTTGACACTGTTGGTGGGACTGTAAACTAGTTCAACCATTATGGAAGACAGTGTGGCAATTCCTCAAGGATCTAGAACTAGAAATACCATTTGACCCAACCATCCCATTACTGGGTATATACCCAAAGGATTGTAAATCACGCTGCTATAAAAACACATGCACATGTATGTTTATTGCGGCACTATTCACAATAGCAAAGACTTGGAACCAACCCAAATGCCCATCCATGATAGAGTGGATTAAGAAAATGTGGCACATATACACCATGGAATACTATGCAGCCATAAAAAAGGATGAGTTCATGTCCTTTGTAGGGACATGGATGAAGCTGGAAACCATCATTCTCAGCAAACTATCGCAAGGACAGAAAACCAAACACCACATGTTCTCACTCATAGGTGGGAATTGAACAATGAGAACACTTGGACACAGGAAGGGAAACATCACACACCAGGGTCTCTCATAGGATGGGGGGAGGGGGGAGGGATAGCATTAGGAGATATACCTAATGTAAATGACGAGTTAATGGGTGCAACACACCAACATGGCACATGTATACATATGTAACAAACCTGCATGTTGTGCACATGTACCCTAGAATTTAAAGTATAATAATAAAATAAAAAAAGAAAGAAACTACAAAAGGAACACCAAGAAATATACAAATACATGGAAATTTAAAAATCTACTCCTGAATGATATTCAGGTTAACAATGAAATCAAGATAGAAATTTAAAAATTCTTTGAAATGAATGATAATAATGACACAAGTTCTCAAAACTTTTAAAATACAGCAAAAGCAGTGCTAAGAGGAAAATTTATAGCACCCTAAATGCCTACATCACAAGGATCACAAATTGACAACCTGTCATCACACCTCAAGGAACTAGAGAAACATAAACAAACTGAACCTAAAGCTAGCAGAAGAAAAGAAATAACAATGATCAGTGCAGAACTGAATGAAACTGAAACAAAGAAAAAAATACAAAAAATAAATGAAACAAAAAACTAGTTCTCTGAAAAGACAAACATAATTGGCTGGGCACGGTGGCTCACATCTGTAATCCCAGCACTCTGGCCAAGATGGGAGGATCACCTGAGGTCAGGAGTTTGAGACCAGCCTGGCCAACATGGCAAAACTCTGTCTTTACTAAAAATACAAAAATTAGCCAGGTGTGGTGGTCGGTGCCTGTAATCCCAGCTACTCAGGAGGCTGAGGCAGGAGAATTGCTTGAATCCTGGAGGTGGAGGTTGCAGTGAGTCAAGATCACACCACTGCACTCCAGTCTGGATGACAGAATGAAACTCTGTCTTAAAAAAAATAATAAAAAGAAAAAGAAAAGAGAAAAGAGAAATGAAATTTATTGACCATCTAGATTAATGAAGAAATAGAGAGAGAAGATTCAAATAATCTCAATTAGAAATGAAACTGGAAACATGACAACCAACACCACAGAAATATAAAAGATCATTCAAGATTACTATGAACACCTCTATGCTCACAAACTAGAAAACCTAGAGGAAATGGATAAATTATTGGAAACATATAATCCTCCTAGATTAAATCAGGAAGAAATTGAATCCCTGAACAGACCAATAACAAGCAGCGAGATTGAATCAGTAATTAAAAAAAAAAAAACTGCCAACCAAGAAAAAGCCCATGGCCAGATGGATTCATGGCGGAATTCTACCAGACATTGAATGAATTGGTACCAATGTTATCAAAGTTATTTAAAAGATTGAGTAAAAGAGAATCCTCATTGAATGACTCTGTGAAGCCAGTATCACCCTGATACCAAAATCATGAAAGGACACAATGAGAAAAGAAAACTGTGGATCAATATTACTGATGAACATAGATGCAAATGTCCTCAACAAAATGCTAGCTAAACAAATACAACAGCACATCAAAAAGATAATATACCATGATCAAGTGGGTTTCATCTCAGTGATGCAGGGATGGTTGAACATAAGTCAATAAATGTGATACATCACATAAACAGAATTAAAAAGAAAAATCACATGATCACCTCAGTAGGTGCACAAAAAAGCATTTGACAAAATCCAACATCCCTTTACGATTAAAACCCTCAGCACAGTTGGCATAAAGGGGACATACCTTAATGTAATAAAAGCCAATAAAAGACAAACCCACAGTCAACATTATGCTGAATGGGGAAAAGCTGAAAGCATTTTCCTTGAGAAGTGGAAAAAGACAAGGATGCCCATTTTCACCACTTCTCTTCAACATAGTACTGGAAGTCCTAGTCAGAGCAATCAGGCAAGAGAAAGAACTAAAAGGCATCCAAATCTGAAAAGAAGAAGTCAAACTATCACTCTTCACCAATGATATGAACATATTCTTAGAAAACCCTAAAGACTCCTCCAAAAGACTCCTGGATTTGACAAACACATTCAGTAAACTCTCAGGCTACAAAATTAATGTACACAAATCACTATCACTGCTATACACCAACAATAAAGCTGATAATCAAATAAAGAACTCAATCCCTTTTACAACAGCTGCCAAAATAAAATAAAATACTTAGGAATATACTTAACCAAGGAGGTGAAAGATGTCTGCAAGAAGAACCTAAAACCACTGATGAAAGAAATCATAGATGATATGAACAAATGTAAACACACCCCATGCTCATGAATGGGAAGAATCAATATTGTGAAAATAACCTTACAGCCCAAAGCAATCTACAGATTCAATTCAATTCCCATCAAAATACTAACATTATTTTTCACAAACTTAGAAAAAACAATTCTAAAATTCATATGGAACCAAAAAAGAGCCCAAATAGCCAAAACAATCATAAGCAAAAAGAACAAATCTAGAAGCATCACATTACCAGACTTCAAGTATCCTACAAGGTTATAGTTAACAAACATCATGGTACTGGTATAAAAGTAGGCACATAGATCAATGGAACAGATAGAAAACCCGGAAATCAAGCCAAATACTTACAAACAACTGATCTTCAAGCAAACAAAAACATAAATTGGGGAAGGGACACCCTACTTAGTAAATTGTGCTGGGAAAACTAGCTAGCCACATGTAGAAGAATGAAACTGGATCCCTATCTCTCACCTTGTACAAGAATCAATTCAAGATAGATCGATGACTTAAATCTGAGACCCAAAACCTTACAAACTACTCGTCAATAACTTTGGAAAAACTCTTCTGGATATTGGTCTTGGCAAAGAATTATTGACTAAAATCCCAAAAGCAAATGCAACAAAAACAAAAATAAACAAATGGGACCTAATTAAATTAAACAGCTTCTGCACAGCAAAAGACATAATCATCAGAGCAAACAGGCAGCCCACAGAATGGGAGAAAATATTTGCAAACCTTCCATCCACAAAGGACTAATATCCAGAATCTACATGGAACTCAAATAAATCAATAAGAAAAAACAAACAATTCCAACAAAAAGTGTGCAAGTGACATAGACATTTCTCAAAAGAAGATATGCAAATGGCCAATAAACATATAAAAATACTCAACATCATTAATAATCAAAGAAATGCAAATTAAGACCACAATGAGATACTACATTACTCCTGCAAGAATGGCCATTATTAAAAAGTTAAAAAAACAATAGACGTTGGCATGGATGTGGTGAACAGGGAACACTTATACACTGCTAATGGAAATGTAAATTGGTATAACCACTATGGAAAACAGTACGGAGAGTCTTTAAAAAAAAAAGTCAATCTACCATTCAGTTCAGCAATTTCACTACTGGGTATCTACCCAAAGGAAAAGAAGTCATTATATGAATAAGACACCTGCATGTGTATGTTTGTTGCAGCACAGTTCACAATTGCAACGATATAGAACCAACCTAAGTTCCCATCAACCAATGAGTGGATAAAGAAAGTGTGGTATATACACACTGTGGAATACTACTCAGACACAAAAAGGAACAAAACAATTTATTTTTGCAGCAACTTGGATGGAGCTGGAGGCCATTGATTATTGTAAGTGAAGTAACTCAGGAATAAAAAACCAAATAGCATATGTTCTTACTTATAAGTGGAAGCTAAGCTATGAATACACAAAGGCATACAGAGTGCTATAATGAATTTGGAGACTCATAAGGAATCAAACTTGACTTATAGAGCCAATAAAAGCCGCTTGGGAAAACTAGCCTCATACCTTGTCTACACAATCCCTGTACAGTGTTCTTGACCTGTGGTAAGCAGAAAATGTCACTTTCTGACAGGCCCAGGAGCCCCAAGTTATCTTGGTATCTGAAGAGGAGAGAAATTTACCTTTAAAGTATACGAATTTGATAGTACAAACCCATTGCTGGGTTCTGCTTAAAAAAAAAAAAAAAAGGCTTATCTGATATTCCTTTTATGGAACAAAGATACATCAAAGCTAATTTTAAAACCCTATGTGGCAAATAATTCTTCTTGCTGCACTTTATACAAATAATCGGGCCAAGTATAAGACTAAAGCTTACTTTTGCAAACAAATGGGTCCTATTATGATTTGTCTTTAGTAAAAATGGAAGACTGGAAAGAGAAAAGTTATGTTTCAAAAACTATGGCACATCTGTTATTATAATATATTCTAGTCTCGTCGGTTGTTTTTTAGGTTTTTTTTCTGCCCTTTAGACTGACTTTGCTTATTCCTGTAAACCAACAGTGATCTCTGGCTGCTGCTCAAAAGAAACAAGAGGGATAGGTAATGTAAAAACCTGGATCAATATTCTAGTTCTGGGCACACATTGGAATTAGCTAGCAATCCCATATCAGCTTGGTTTCAACAGTTGCTCAGTTCATGGAAAGCCTTCTTATTTAGTTTATTTGGGATAGTGTTGCTTATTTGCTTTACTGTTGTGGAATATATTGCTGTTGTACTCTTTGTGTAGGAATGCAGGATAAGCTTACTCAATGTTTTCTTAAATTGAACACTTATTAATCTTCCAGATATCATCTTTTGTCAGAATTCAGAGTTATGAATGACCCTCAGTATATGGATGCCTTGTGACTGAGCTCCTCTCTACCTCAAATACAAGAGATCCTAATAGTTAGGCAAGAATATCATTGCCCCTATTCAGCCTGAAGAAGAAGTTACAGAAGATGGATCTTTGTCCCTCAACAACCCTTAGGATTAAGGGTTCTCTTGTAAAAGGGAGGGGGGAAATATGTCAGATGATTGCCAGTCTCAACCCAGAGAGATTCCATCCTGAATAGGCACTGGGTAAAATAAGGCCAAGACCTATAGGGCTGCATTCCCAGGAGGTTAGGTGTTCTTAGTCACAGGATAAGACGGAGGGTTGACACAATATGCAGGTCACAAAGACCTTGCTGATAAAACAGGCTGTTGTAAGAAGCTGGCCAAAACCCACCAAAACCAAGATGTTGTTGAAAGTGATCTCTAGTTGTCCTCACTGCTCATTATACACTAATTATAATACATTACCATGCTAAAAAGACACTCCCACCAGTGCCATGACAGTTTACAAATGCCATGGCAACATCAGGAAGTTACCTTAAATGGTCAAAAAAGGGAGAAACCCTCAGTTTCAGGAATTTCCCACTTTTTTCTCGGGAAGTTCATGAATAATCCACCCCTTGTTTAGCATATAATCAAGAAATAACTAAAAGTATACTCAGTTGAACAGCCCATGTTTCCATTCTTTTATTCCTGTACTCTCTTAATAAATTTGCTTTCATTTAAAAAAAATGAATTCACTACTATATAATTCATCCATGTAACCAAAAACAACTTGTTCCCCAAAAGCTGTTGAAATAAAAATATATTTTTAAAAAATAGAAATTAAACAAATAATAAAATAAACAAAAGGTCTGAATAGACATTTCTTAAAATAAGACATAAAGATTGCCAACACGTATATAAAAATGTGCTCAACATTATTGATCATCAAAAAAATGCAAATCAAAGGTACAATGAGATATCATCTCACCTCAATGAGATGTCTTTTATCCAAAGGAGAGGCAATAGCAAATTCTGTTGAGGATGTAGAGAAAAGGGAGCTCTTGTTCACTGTTGGTGGCAATGTAAATTAGTACAGTCACTATAGAGAACAGTGTGGAGTTTCCTTAAAATACTAAAAACAGAACTACCATGTGATCCAACAATCCCACTGCTAGGTATATACACAAAAGCGAAGAAGTCAATATATCCCAGAGATATCTGCACTGCCATTTTTATCACAGCACTATTAATATAGCCAAGGTTTGGAATCAACCTAAGTGTCTATCAACAGGTGAATGGATAAAGAAAATGGAGTATATATATATATACAGTGGAGTACTATTCAGCCATAAAAAAGAATGAAGTCTTGTCATTTGCCACAACATAAATGAAACTGGCAGACATTATGTTCAATGAAATAAGACAGGCCCAAAACAGACAAATTTCACATGTTCTCACTGATTCATGGCAGGTAAAAACTAAATCAATTGAACTCATGGAAATAGAGGGTAGAATGATGGTTGCCAGTGGCTGGGAAGGGTAGTGGGAAAGGGTAGCAGAGGATGCCCTGATGGTTAATAGGTTCAAAAATATAGTTAGATAAAATGAATAAGATCTAGTATTTGAAACTACAACAGGAGAGTCAACAATAACTTGTTGTATATTTTAAAATAACCAAAAGAGTGGAATTTGAATGTTCCTAACACAAAGAAATGACAAATGCCTGAGGTGATAGATACCCTATTTACCTTGAGGTGACTATTACACATTGTATGCCTGTATTAAAATATCTCATGTACCCCATAAATATGTATACCTAATATGTACCCATAAAAAATTAAAAATAATGTTTTTTTTAAATAAAAGATGATGTTATCCTCCTCAAAGTATGTCCTCATGTCCCTACATGGTTTCTAGGCCAATAAATAAGGTCAACAATCAAATCTCAGCTTGACTAGGGAACCAGTTCACCAAAAAATCACTATAGGACCCAACTCATATGTACCTGCAGGAATAGAAAAACCATATTAGACATCAATCATGAGCATGCTCAGCCAGGGGAGCAGAATATAAGGGAGAGGTTGTTGAAATCGGGGCAATCTCCTGCAACTGAGGAAGTAGTACCCCAAGAAAGACATCTGGAATCAGTTCTGTGCCACTGGGATAGCTCCTTTAAAATTGGGGGCAGAGGGGAAATTATGGCCTACAACAAATCAGGTGAAGATTCCAGAAATGCTTTGGAAGAGTGCTAAGGAAGAAGTCAAGAGGCTCAGAGAGGTGGGAATGTTCAACTGGACCTATCATATGAGACCTGAAAATCCAGAAGATGACCGTGTTTCTCAAGAGAATCAAAAGGGAACACCCCTTTTACTAAAGCAATAAGAAATGCAAAGTGGTGCAAGGGCTGGGGATGAAGGGCACTGGCCTCATTGAGAGGCTTGGCAGTGTCTATGCTTTGTACACCAGGGATAATGATAGGGAAGCCCCTAGGATTCAGGGATGATAGGATTATGAAACAGCAGAGGCCAGGAGGCACTACTTAGCCATCAAGAGAAAGACAGATGTAGTTATCCAAATAGGTAACAAAGGTTGAATGGAAACCAGGGGGCTGTGACATACAGGGATCTATAGTGATGGTTAATAGATCATGGTGTGCCTAGATCTAAGATGGATGAGGGTACTGCCTGACCTGCACACCCAAAAGAAGATCAATAATGAGTGAGCCAAAGGCTGATGTCAGCTGCCACAATAGAAAATTATAATCTCTTTATCCAGTTTCCAAACCTAACCCAGTTCTCAAATCCAGAGCCCATCAGTTGAAGCAAGGCTAGGTCCTCTGCAGAAAGAACCCAACACACAGTAATTGTATACATTATCAATTCCCTCAGACCTTCCCTAGACTGATAAACCAGTATTAATATATATGGGGAAAGGGGAAATGCTTGTATTTATTTATTTATTTATTTATTTATTTATTTTGAGATAGGGTCTCACTCTGTCACCCAGGCTAGAGTGCAGTGGCACATTCATAGTTCACTGCAACCTCAAACTCCTGGGCTCGAGCAGTCCTTCCACCTCAGCTTCCCAAGTAGCTGGGACTACAGGGACTTGCTATAAAGCCTGGCTAATTTTTTTTTTTTTTTTTGTAGAGGCAGGATCTTGCTATTTTGCCCAGGCTGGTCTTGAACCCCTAGTCTTAAGCAATTCTCCCAAATTGGCCTTCCAAAGTGCTGAGATTACAGGCCTGTGCTACCACGCCTGGCCAGAAATACCCATATCTTTAAAGAACTCTCAGATGCAGAGTCTGAGCTGACATTGCCACCAAAGTAACCCAAATGCTAGCATGGGTCCTTCATTCTGTGAATGAGGAGGCATCCCAGTTAACTAAAAAATTTATTGGGGGTGAGGGAAGGAGAGGATCAATGAATTAAAAATTTTTGAAATGTTTTATGTGAAAGCTTTTTATTTGGCCACATGTATTGTTGGTTACCTTCTCAACATTGAAAAAATAAAGAGAAACATGAATTCAAGAGTCCACCCCCCTGGTTACAGTTGTACTTAACCAGGAAGACAAATATAGATTGTCATCACTTGTAGACCTTCATTCCAAAAAAAAAGTGTTTGGTTGCTTCCATGTACAAAGGAATAAATACTTGTATTTTGCTGATTATTTTGTAATCAACAAGTAATAATTTATAGCAGGCTTGTGGAAAACATGAAAACTTGAATTGTAGCATTCCCTCGGTAGAGTTACTAATTTGGTAGATGCCATAGTTTCAATATGTCCCCAAAATTACAATTTCCTGTGCAAAAGATGGAGTAAAATTTTCTGCAAGTGGAGAACTTGGAAGTGGCAACATTGTTACAAACAAGTAATGACAATAAAGAAGGGGCTGTTGCCATAAAGATGAATGAGCCAGTTCAGCTAACTTGTTGAAAACCTCATCTCCAAAGCAACAGTGTTGGAAGATAGAACCTAAAAGGAGGTGTTTAGCTCATGAGGGCTCCACCTTCATGAATTAATTAATGCTATTATAAAAGGGTGAGCCCAATTCTCATTTGTCTCCTTTCCTCTCCTGCTCTTCTGCCATGTGGGGACACAATGTTTCTCCTCTCTGGAGGATGCAGTGCTCAAGGCACCATCTTGAAAGCAGAGAGACTGAGCCCTAACCTGACCGTGCCTTGATTTTAGACCTGCCAGCCTCTAGAACTGTGAGAGAATAAATTTCTGTTCTTTATAAATTACCCAGTCTGTGAAATACCATTATAGCAGCACAAAACAGACTAAGACAACAGGCTACTACTTCAGATCCGCTCTGTCTGTACCACACCTTGTATTCTACTTCTATCATAACACCTATCACACAGATGGAAGTAATGTATTGATTTATGTACTGGTCTCTATTTGTTATCTATTGGTGCATAACAGATTACCCCAAAACCTAGTGTCCCAGAACAACCACATTTATTCTCTCACAGTTTCTGTGAGTCAGGAATTCAGGAGCAGCTTGATGTACCAGTGCGGGGTTTACCATGAGGTTGCAGTGAAAGGTTGACTGGGACTGTAGTCTTTGAAGACTTGCCTGAGGCCAGAGGATCTGTTTTCCAAAGACCGTCATTTGGTTGGCAAATTAGTGCTGGCTGTTTGTGAAGGTCTTCAGTTTTACCACCTGCGCCTCTTCACAGTGCTGCTTGAGTGTCTTTGTGATATGAAAGCTGACTTCTCCCAGAAACAGTGAGAAGTCACAATGTATTTTATGACATAGCCTCAGATGTCACACACTGTCATCTCCACAACATCTTATTAGTTGCACAGTCAGCCCTATTCAATGTGAGAGATAGGCCTGCTGGGACAACAGTTCAAGCAGGTGAACCTACACAGCATGAAAGTATCACACATTTCCTTAGTGCAGCTAACCCTGTGTGACCAGGGCTTCAACACATACCACTGTGACCACAACCTAGCCATGAGCATGAGCCTCACCAGCATGTCCAAAATGCTAAAATACAACAATGGCAGTGAAGACATCACTACATGGAGGGCTGAAGGTACTATGGATCTCTTGGTGCTAGAATTTGAAGCACTAAATCAAGAGAACTTTTAGACTGTGAATTGAAGTTAATGACTCTAGATGTTGAGCAACTTGAAATTCCAGAACAAGAGTACAGCTGTGTAATAAAGATGCATTCTAGTGAATTTGTTCATATATGCCAAGATCTCAGTCATATTGGAGAGTCTGCTATAATTTCTTGTGCAAAAGATGGAGTGAATTTTTCTGCAAATGGAGAACTTGGACATGGAAACATTGCCACAAACAAGTAATTACAATAAAGAAGAGGAGGCTGTTGCCATAATGATGAATGGGCCAGTTCAGCTAACTTTTGCACTAAGTTACTTAAATTTCTTTATAACAGGCACTCCACTCTCTCTTCCCAGTAACACTCAGTATGTCTGCAGATGCACCCCTTGCTGTAGAGTATAAGATTGCCGGATATGGAACATTTAAAGTATTATTTGGCTCCCAAAATTGAGGATGAAAAAGGATTTTAGAAATTCTTAGAATCCAAGAAAATAAAACTAAGCTCTTTGAAAATTGCTTCTGAGATTCCAGCGTGTACTGAAGTCATTTCCATCAAAAAATTTATGCCTCTGAATACACAGGTAGATGCGGTTTTCTGTAAATAACATATTTTTTCATCTATCTTCTAGAATCTATTTAAAGTACAAAATCCAAAGTCAAATCTGGTCTCATTAACCTAGAGAGATATCTGCTTTACTTACAAATATTCCTTCTGATTTTTATAACAAGAGGGTTATAAAAGGGATCTTGACTCTAAATGCAATTTTTAAGAATTGTGTTTCTGATTTAAATAAAGTTTAATCTGAATTTTAAATGTCAGAAAAGAAACTACTATAGCACATTGGCAGAGTAATTTTGTCTTTTGAATCTACTAATAAAAAATGCAGTTTGTATTTTGTATGTCTGTTTTTATTTACGATTTTACATTTCTAACAACTAATTTTATTATATTTTACACAAAGTACCAGTCCACAATACACTGAAAATAAAACAAACAAAAAGTCATCCTTCACTATGGATCACTCGAGAAAGACTGTCCTAAACCACAGATATGCTGCAAATTGAATGGAAGATACATGAACAGGCATGACTTGAGTCCTGGGGGGAATTAGCAGGTGCTTTATTTTTATGATGGTCCGGGGAGCATTCTGGAAATGATTCTAGACATCTAGCATCTTTGGAAGATTACAACTCATATTATCTCTGGGGAGATAACAACTAGAAAGTTGAGGGCTGTGGACAGACTCTAGGACCAGGAGCAATTGCATCTCTGTCCAGGCAGTTTGACAAAAGGAGAAGAAGCTAAATCTGAAGAGAGAAAATCCAAGTGCCTATGACTGCTGGCAGAACATGGTGCTTGTAGCTCTTTATCAGGAAATCTTCAAGCAGCTACTGGACATCTTTAAGTGTTCAACCATGGTTTGCATTGAGCACCCTGATGACCTCAAAAAAAAATGTGCCCTTTCCAATATCCCAGATTTTTTTTCATGGTATCCTGATAGCTAGAGTGCCATCTATAGACCAAGAGATAGTACATATATCTGGAAGAGAAAACCTGAAGAATGTAAAGACCTGCTGGCCATTATCAAAATATAATTATACAGTTATTTACCTGGGGAAGATAGATTAAAACCACCCTAACTTACATCTATAACAAACGTTATTTATGTAATTTTTTTATTATACTTTAAGTTTTAGGGTACATGTGCACAACGTAAAATTAGGCCTTTAAAAGTCTTCAACAGCATGCTATTTTTATCTAGCATCTACAAGTCTTGAGGTACCTTACTAGTGTTTTCCAGAAGGGCTCCAATTACTCTTTTGGTACTGAATTGTTTCTTCCTAAGTTACGATCTATTCTCGGTAGCAATTGTCTTCAGCAATTCAGTAGACATTCTCTCCAATGGCCTCTCTTTATGCATAGATCCAGCCTCTGGGAGTTTCTGGCAGTCTCACAAAGAACTAAACCCAGAATCATCCATGGATCTGCAAAACGTACAATGACTAAATGCAGATCTAAGATTAAAGGAAACGATTTTTAACAAGAAAGGGTTTTTGGTGTTTTTTTTTTTGTTTTTTTTTGAGACAGAGTCTTGCTCTGTTGCCCAGGCTGGAGTGCAGTGGCACAATCTTGGCTCACTGCAAGCTCCGCCTCCCGGGTTCACGCCATTCTCCTGCCTCAGCCTCCCGAGTAGCTGGGACTACAGGCGCCCGCCACCAGGCCAGCTAATTTTTCGTATTTTTAGTAGAGACGGGGTTTCACCGTGTTAGCCAGGATGGTCTCGATCTCCTGACCCCATGATCCGCCCATCTCGGCCTCCCAAAGTGCTGGGATTACAGGCATGAGCCACCAAGCCCGGTCAACAAGAAAGATTTTTAAGCAACATTAACGTTCATGCTACAGAGGCCAAATTTATTCTGTCATTATTTCAAGCTGGCTCAGTGTGCAGACGTTCCTGGCCCTAGTCACTCCACATTCAGTAAACAAGTAGTCTATAAAATGACAGTAGGTCAGGCATTATTAGTAGGGAGGCACTGAGTACATGATTTGAACAGAACAGACACGGTCCTTACCTTCACAGAGCTTACAGTCTCATAAGGGGAATCGACATTAAACACATAAACACACAAATAATAGATGATTACAAATTGTGGTAAATATTAGAAAAAGATTATTGGCTGTTCCAAGCCAGAATGAAAAGGTAGACTTATTTTAGATTGGAAAGCAGATTTTAGTTTTCGAGGTAAGCTGTAACGAACTGTAGAAATGAACTCTGAAAGTATAGTCCTAAGATAAACTGTAAATACTAAAATAGCAATGTGTGTGTATAAAATACTTAGATATTTTTATATTTGTACTAAGCCTTTTAGAAAATATGGCATTCATTGTCTTTAGAGCTATGTTCTCTGGCTTTTAGGTTTTTTTATTTGATTTGACGACTGTGCTTTGTTTCTACCACTAGCAGAATGTGAAGGTGTTTGACATATGATCACTCATTTCGTATTTCATTAATATCCAATAAAACATATGCGATGTTTGACAACTCAGTGTCTCTTTCTTCATTATCTTCCAGTCTCTGACCTTCATTTTCTTGAGGAATAACCCATTACACTGACCCTGCCTCAGGGCAGCTCAGGTCCATTCTGTGAACGTTTCCCTGCTATTCTGCAAGTGCACTTCAGTCTTGCATGTTATATTCATCCCAGAGAAATCGCAAGATGAAACTGAGATAAAAGTGAGCCCACCAAATTTTGAAAGTATTAATAAAAGTTTAAAGTACTATGAAGGAAAAGTATAGGTGGCTTGTAACTCAGGGTCCTGACCTAGTCTGAGAGATTTAGGGAGGCCCACCTTGAAGAGGTAATGTTTAAGTAAAATCTGAGTAATACAGAAAAGTTATATTTGCCTGGTATCTCAATACTAAAATAATTATATTAGTATGAATTGTTGACTTACAGATACTCATCTAATGATGAAAAAATATTTTTCCTGCATTCTAACTATGACCTAAAGTAGTAATCCGATAGAGTAACCATTAACTTTACAACAATAACAGTACAAAATCTCAAATGTAAACAATCTCTCAAACATAAAACTGAACAATTTCTCAAAGTTCTATTTACAGATAACAGCAAGAGAGGGGAGACTACAAAGCCCAAATTTCATCGAACATCCTAAAACTTTCAAGATCAGCAATTTGACAGCAAACATGAACTTTGTAATCAAACAGACTTCAAATCAAACCTCTGCTTCCCTAACAAACACTGAAAAGATCAAACGGGGTAAGCATGTTGTCTTATTTGTTAATATGGTACATAATACTTACCTCACAGGGTTGTGGTCAAGATTCAATTGATTATGTGTACAAAGTGCCTGATGTTAACTAGGCACTCAATGAGGGTTAGTTTCTTCCCACTAAATAAAAACAAACAGAAGTTTTCTCTTAGCTAACATTTTAAATATCAAACAAGATTTATAACAGAGACAAACCCTATTATAAAAATCAAACTATTAAACAGAATAAGACTTCTTTCCCTTCCCCAAGATGAAGACTACAGGAGCAAAGGTCATTTAGCTGGAAATTTAATTGCATATTTACTAGAATTGGGTATTTCAAAGTCTCTTTTCTGGAAATCAGAGATCTGTCATTGAAGAGTCACATTGCTCCATTATTTGTGCTCTGGCTGGCCCAAGGGAGAACTTGACTCAGCCTAAATAGAATGACTTGTAGATTTGTGAAAGCTGTGTGGTGACCTCGTGTTAATCATGTGGCAATTAAAGTGTCCTATCTTTCTCTCCTCAATATAGTTTTAGACCACATATTTTTCAAGGATTAATGTTTATCCTTGAGATGTAGGTGTGTGTATGTTTTATACACATGATAAAATCAGTCTAAGAGTGAAAAAAAAAAGATGAAACAGTAATAAAAGTGTGATTACTGTTCAAACTAACAGAAATATCACCCAGGAGAACCAGCATGGAGGACCAGGCCCATCCTAGATCTGGGACCCCAAAGCTACTATCCCACAAATTGTTCTGTAGATAGATAGATAGATAGATAGATAGATAGATAGATAGATAGATAGATGATAGATAGATAGATAGAAATAGAATTTAATATCAGACTCTATTGCCCTAGTCCTGAAATTCTGGTGCTGTTCTAGCTGGAGATGTGGAGATATCTACTAAACTTCAACCAAGTGACGGAAACTTAGGGGAATGATTTTTAAGAGAAAGTAGATCCAGGGAGCAAGACCACTGGGATTGGGATTCTCTAGGCTGCTCATATAATTGCTACAGTGAATGTTTGAGGCGGGCACCAGGAGAGTAAGATACCCATGAGATTTCAGGAAATTAGGACAAGCACTAGAGAGCCTCTATAAAGAAATCATGAAGAGCTTTCACTTTGGCTCATTAGAAACATTTTTTGTTTCTTGAAATTTTCTTAATTCAGACCATTTACATGGTCTGAATTCCCACTCCCACCGAAATTGTTTTAATCATCCCACTGGCCAGCTTTCCTCCTATCATCTGTGACACTGCACATTTGCCGTACTTTCCCTCTTCTGGTATTTCCCAAAGCACCACCGACCCAAGGCCCCAGTGGATAGCAGACTTTGCCAATGGTTTAGGAAAGATAGGGAGATTACAGCGCAGTGCAATATGAACAGACAACAGCATTAAATTCAGAGTTAGATTCTGCTGCCCTGGTGTTCCCTGGCCATCTCCACTTACGGAATTTTTCTCTCTTCTCACTCATCTTATTCAAGCCTATTCTTGTCCTTCTCTAACTTCTCCTCCAAGTAATGGTACTACTGTTGCACTAACCCAAAAGCAAAAGACCAAATATTTCTCCTACTTTATTACTTACAACAATATTATTTTATTTTTATTACTTACAACAATTTTTTATTTTTATTATTTACAACAATATATTATCTACACCCCTTCCATCAAATCACTGACCAGAACCACGGTCCCATTATTACCCATGACCATTAGGGCACTTTTCCTACACCAATGTGAACTTTTTTTCCCTCGGCTAATTATTACAAACTATAGGCATATTCTAAAATAACGCTTTTTATTCCAGTTACAGAAGTATATACTTGCTAAACAGATGTGTGCAGATGCCTTGCTAGTTTTCAGGTGGAGTTTATTTTAAAATGGTGTCACTCTGGATCACCTAGGCTCCTGCTTTCCTAACATTCCCCTCTCTACTTACAAGAGGACCCTTAATCGTAAGGGCAAAGGCTGGTCTTCTGTAACTTCTTCCTGCTGACAGTGGATGTTCATTTTGGGGACAGGATTTTCTCATAAGGGTCTACAGTTGGCCTCTGGGGTACCAAGGGAGGTCCTCATTTACATGGTATCCTGATGAGTCTACGGGCATAGACCCTGCCAAGTATTGGAGGAGTAAAAATCTCTAGATGCCTGATCTAGATCTAAAGACACCTAAAGGCAGGGTGTCTTTATTTCCCGGTTCAGAAGACGGGATGGATTGGAAGCTTTGTGTCAGTATCATCTTTATGTGGAATTGTTGTAATCTAAAAAACACAAACTTTACCAAGAATTTAAACAAGCAAGGGCCAAAGATTAATAATAAGACAACTATCAAAGTTCCTAGGAAGGGCAACAACCAAGTGAGACTCAGGAGGGTGCTTCTAATGGCTGACCAGATACAGTTGGGATTGGTGCCTTGGTTATATTTACGCAACCACACAGCTTGTTCATGTATTTTCTGTATATCTTCTTCTATGTGACCTGAGGTGTTTACATAACTGCAGCAGGTTATATTGATTATGGTGCACACTCCTCCTTGTTCAACCAATAAGAAATCTAGTGCTAATTTTCAACGAATAAGTAATCTAGTGCTAATCTTAATTCATCTAAAGCATCCCCCATTTTATGAGACAGTGTTTAGAAACGAATAAGTAAAGTTTTGAAGAGTTGCCTAATAATAGGCAAATTTTCCCTCTGGGGCTCCAACTCCAGCCAATATAAGGCCAATTGTCCACTTGGCTCTCAGGTGAGTGATTTTATATAACTGTGTATTAGAGGACTTTGCTTGTCATATTGTACATTGACCCCTGAACCAAACATTTTCATATACACTGATAACCATGGGTTTCACAATATCAAATAAGACAAGTCTTTTATAGGCTGATCGAATGGGTGACCACATAGCCATATGTATCTGCTGGGGATGCAAACCTGTGTGGGATGGGAGTTGTTAAGAAGATTGAGTACCTATAGGAAAGAGTAGGAATGTTACTTATCTGTTTATTTGTAAAACCACAGCTTTAGGTCTCCTAGGGGTTCGCAAGTGTGGGTTGTGATTTTCTCAGGTGCCTGCAGGGACTCAAGAAACAGGTTTAATTTTGGACATGTGTACTCAGCTAGTCATTCAACTGAAATTTAACAGCAGTGGAGGTGCTTAAAAATAACCTGATAGGGGCCCTTCCATTTGGGTTGTAATTAATCTTTGAGGGATTCCCTCTTTCCAAGTTTTTAATAAGACTAAGTCCCCTCATTGAACAGGGGAGCTATGAATATCTATGGACGTGGTCCTGATGCATGTATATTGAATGAACATGCATGTAACATATGACATTGTTTACTTGGGGTGGAGACTTAACCCTTACCTGGCATGGTCTTAGATCCTGTTTATAATTTGACATCTTATTGCCATAAAGAATCTTTTCCGGCTGGGCGCGGTGGCTCACACCTGTAATCCCAGCACTTTGGGGGAGCCAAGGCAGGTGGATCATCTGAGGTCAGGAGTTTGAGACCAGCCTGGCCAACATGGTGAAATCCCATCCCTACTTAAAATACAAAAATTAGCTGAGTGTAGTGGCACACACCTGTAGTCCCAGCTACTCGGGAGGCTGAGGCAGGAGAATCACTTGAACCCAGGAGGTGGAGGTTGCAGTAAGCTGAGATCACACCGCTGCACTCCAGCCTGGGTGACAGAGCGAGACTCCATCTCAAAAATAATAATGATAATAATAATAATAATAAATAAATAAAAATTTTTAAAAAGCACGGTGAGATACCACCTTACTCCTGCAAGAATGGCCATAATTTAAAAATCAAAAAGTAATAAATGTTGGTGTGGATGTGGTGAAAAGGGAACACTTTTACACTGTTGGTGGGAATGTAAACTAGTACCACCACTGTGGAAAACAGTGTGGAGATTCCTTAAAGAACTAAAAGTAGAACTACCATTCAATCCAGCAATCCCAGTATCCAAAGGGAAAAAAGTCAGTAGTGAAAAAGACATATGCACACACATTTATAGCAGCATAATTCACAATTGCAAAGATATGGAACCAACCTAAGTGCCCATCAATCGACAAGTGGATAAAGAAAATGTAGAACATATACACCATGGAATACTACTCAGCCATAAAACAAAATGAAATAATGGCCCTTGCAACAACTTGGATGGAGTTGGAGGCCATTATTCTAAGTGAAATAACTCAGAAATGGAAAACCATATACTGTCTGTTCTCACTGATAAGTGGGAGCTAAACTATGAGGACTCAAAGGCATGAGAAAGACTTTGGGGATTTGGGAGGAAGGGTGAAAGGGGGTTGAGGGACCAAACACTACATATTGGGTACACTCTACACTGCTTGGGTGATGGGTACACCAAAACTCAGAAATCACCACTAAAGAACTTATCCATGTAACCAAAAACCACCGCTTCCCCAAAAACTATCAAAAATTTAAAAATAAATAAATAAATACCTAAGAATGGAAGGGTCTGTTCTGTCAATCTTATGATCACTATTTCAACGTTAATGCTCGTCGATTGTGCCTGAATTCCAGGTGGGGGAGATGTATAGTGAGACATATGTGACCCCCAGCTTCCCTTCATGGCCTAAACTACACTTTAAAGGTTTTTAAAATTATTATTATTATTTCTTTTCATCAAGAGGGGGTCCATTCTGTTGGGTCTTAGGATTTTATTTTATTTTTTTACATTTATATTCCGTCCTTTTTGTCAAGGTATGCCAAGCTTTTATTTTGTCCCATATTGATGCTGAATGTGTGTTATCATGTCCCAAAGATGTGTTATCTGTCCCAGATCCATCATGGCCCTTGCTGGAAACTCTATGGCTAGGGGACTTAGAGTCAAAAGACTTACAGCCAACTAATGCACTAGGCCAGATGGGAATGGAAGTGAGTAGACATTCATTAACCTTAACACCTCTTTTAAGCAAAATAAATCCCAAAACCAAAAGCCAAAAAGCAAAGTTACGAAATTGACTTATCTATAAATTCTATGCATCAACCTACTGCAATCTGGGCTTTTAGCAATTAGTTATACAAATCACAGCATTTTGTTCAGCTATTTAGGAATCTGTGTACCATCCTTGATTTGGAGGGTCTGAATTAATTTTACTCCTCAAAACCAGCCTTTACAATCTCATGTGATAGTCTCTGGGCCTGGCAGGATTTCATAGTTTCAAATTCTGGGGGTAAAACAAAACATAAGGATGATTTCAGGTAAAGGCAAAATTATTAAATAAATCTTAATGGTTATTAATACAGGCCTGTCCCTGTGTTTCATGAAAGCTGTTTACTCTGTTGCCTTTGCCCAGGTCCAGAGACAAGGCTTTGGTTAACTTGAGTTTGATGTCAGATACTTGCATGAGTCAGTGCCTTCTTTAGCTAACATATGTGTACTAAGGAGTCAAAGCCCTGTAACTTAATAGCACAGTATTAATTAATAGTACCTGATAAGAACCTTTTACAAGGGAGCTAGAGATGGTGATAATGAAGTCCATGACCCGACTGGAAGCTGTAAAAAGATTTTATAACTTTGTTTGATTAGTTTTGATAGCTTTAATAATCCCCAGCAATTAGTCAGACTTCATTTAGGGTTTAATTGTGAGGATGTTTGTTAAAAATGATGAAGGCTTAAAACATTTGATAAAAACAGAAGCACAGGTCACTGTAAAATAATAGTTACTCATTTAACCAAATTGGTAATTAAAAGACTTTAAAGAGAACCTACAGAAGGTCATATGGATGTAAAAACTTTAGCCCTTTTAAATCCCAAGTTTTTTAAAAGCAGTTGAAAACCTAATAAAGACATAGGAATACGAAATCCTGTTTCTTAAGTCAGTTACCAAAAAGTCGAAAAAGAACTTCTGCAATATGACTGCTTCTCCTTGTGAGAAGCTCACTTAGATAGTCTGGAAGTCAAACTTGATGGGAAAAAAAGTGCTTGAATTTAACAAGACACAGGTGTGTTCAAGGTTATCAGTAGAGCGGGGGAATATGTGACTCTTGGGAAGAGCATGAGTTTTCTGATTACATTGAAAATTTAGACATATCAAGAAAAGCCAAGAGTACAAAATCAAATTATACTGGAGGAAAGAATTGCTTCTCTAAACTTGCAACATAAAACATTTTAGCATTAGGCCACAACAACAGTTAGAACTGGAAGAAAAAAGTTACAGGAGCTAACAAAAATGCTGTAGGAGAGAGTTATTGTCTCAGGCTTCTCAAGGGGAGAAAAAGCTGAAAGCAGCAGGACACAGAAAAGTTGAACTGAGATATGATTGAGAAATTTTTAAAAGAAACAGATTATAAAATTAAAAGTAAAATTTCTTGCAATTTCATTAAGAGCAAATCAACACCTTAAGAAAATCTTGTTTTAACATAGGGGACTAACCCTAGAAAGAGTATTATAAATTATTTCCTTTTAATTATAACCAACTTAATCACATACAAAATTCCTTTCATAAATTCCCCTTCACAAAGCTTATCACAACTTATATAGACCACCTACAGCAAGCTTGGACTTTCTGACTTGTCCTAAACTTCCCTTTTTCTTAATCAGTCATTTTATTTTAGGACAGAAATTTACCATACAAGATCCTTTTTCATGCAAAATTATTCTCTTTTCTTTATAACCTGAGTTACCAAAAAATATATCTTCATATCCATAACTTTATGTCTCTCTCTCTCTTCCCTACTTACTGGTTCTTTCTCACTTTGTTTCATAAGTAATTATTTTCAAGTTCATAATTTGAGTTGACCTTTAGATAACTTCTGAATTTGACAAAATGATTCTTTTTCTCAATAAGACTAGATCCCAGGAGGCTTTTCTCTGCAATCCTGTCCAGAGAGATGCCAAATTAAATAACCCAAAGAACAAAAATCATCAAGATCAGAAAGAAAATGGTAGCTATTAACTTCAGGGCATGCAAGCATAGGTCGACATCCATCACTAGTGAGGCACAGACAGCAAGTATGCAACAGAAAAAGGGGACAAGGGGGACCAAGAAGCAGTAGGTGCTGACAAATATCTCTCTGTACCTCAAACACTTTATCCGTCAGGGAGACATTGCAACTCTAAACCCCTAAAGGCTGAAAAACCCTGTCCAACAGGGTGGCAGCCGACCTGGAGGATCCCATAACTCCAGGCTCCTCAGCAGACGTGGCCCAAAGGATCCAACAACCAGGGACCCCTAACCCCCAATCCCTGGGGAATAAAAGGAACGTGGGTATCTCAGTGTCTTCTTGGGTTCAGAAGGCTAAGCAGAGTGCAAAAAGGAAAAGGGACAAGAAAGGGAAGAGAAGGGACAACAAAGGTCACTCACTCATCCATGAATCCAGAAACTTAGGAAGCAGGAAATCCTGAAATATTTGTCAGATGTTAGCATTTTATAGATAAAACCATTCCACAATTTCAGAAACATCTTTTCCCATATCATAAACTTTCTTAATTGGAAATCACCCAGACATCCAACAAGTAATCCAAAGAAATATGTAAACCAAAACTTTGGGTAAAGTGGTCTTTGGTGGGGGTTTGGTTTTTTTAAAAAAGAGCTTTTTTGCCTTTTTTTTTCTTCAGTTTCAAATGAGTTTCTAATGTTCACATTTTAGCCAGAATTGGTTGAACTCTACAAGAAAAACAAAATCTCCAAGTAACTTTGAACAATAAGCTTTATCTCAATGCCAGTAGCCTAATAACAGCAGATTCAAAACAGGCAGAAAGAAAAGAGAGAAACAGAGAACTTCAGATGTGGTAATCAGATGGCAAGCATGAAAAGTGAAAGTAGTGAAGCGCTTGCCCAGCCATACAAGGCCAGCATAGAGCTGCAGTAAAAGCAAAGGCATCAAGCTGGAAAATGATGAGAACTATAGCTTTTCCATACCTGGCAAAGGGGATCAGGTGGATTAATCCAAAGCACACAATGGCAAAGATCTTGCAAGGCTACTTCCATTTTTATTATACCCCAGGGACTCTAACCTCATGTGCCTAGTCTCTAACCTGAATATCAGCTTTGCCTAAACCTAATAGAGGACACCAAGATGGACCCAACTTACCAGAGGGGCCAATGAGTGTTGTGCAGACTGAATTTCCTTGGCATTAGGTAACATCTTAAGGTCCTTTTATAGTGTCCCCAGAAGATGATGCTAGAAAGGGGTCTTTTCGGCCGGGCGCGGTGGCTCACGCCTGTAATCCCAGCACTTTGGGAGGCCGAGGCGGGCGGATCACGAGGTCAGGAGATCGAGACCATCCCGGCTAAAACGGTGAAACCCCGTCTCTACTAAAAATACAAAAAATTAGCCGGGCGTAGTGGCGGGCGCCTGTAGTCCCAGCTACTTGGGAGGCTGAGGCAGGAGAATGGCGTGAACCCGGGAGGCGGAGCTTGCAGTGAGCCGAGATCCCGCCACTGCACTCCAGCCTGGGCGACAGAGCGAGACTCCGTCTCAAAAAAAAAAAAAAAAAAAAGAAAGGGGTCTTTTCAAGATCCAGACCCCAAGAAAAGGTTCTTGGATCTCACCCAGGAAGGAATTCAAGGTGAGTCTCAGATTTCTGTGAGAAGAGATAGTTTACTGAAAGCCACTCTGTCACCCAGTAAAGCATCCTCAAAATGAAAGCAGAGGAATGCACTGTCTTTAAGTTTTTCTTATATAGGGGTCTTGCCTATGTAAAGATTAAACTAAGCTGTGCCTATGTGCAGGTGGGCTGACAGCATGACTAAATGTATTATTCTACTGATTTAAAGAAAACTATCCTTGATATCTTAATGTGTAAGTCCATCGAAGCATAACTATATCTTGAAAGCATATATTGTTATAGGTGTTGTAACATCTGGACTTTTCTGTTGTAGGACTTTGTCCTTGCAGGCATTACCAAGCTGCTTCCTTAGTGGTAAACATCTTAGGACCATAGGTCATGACTGGCAAGGAATATGCCTTGCTAGTTTTAAGATAGAGCTTATTTGAAAATGATGTTACTCTGGCTCTCCTAGGCTCCTGCTGCCCTAACATGTCCACCACTTTTCAGCATTTCAGCATTTTCAGCACTCTCCAGCATTATTAGTCCCTTTCAAGGAATGTCCAGAATAGGCAAATCAATAGAAACAGAAAATAGATTAGTGGTTGCCAGAAGCTAAATGGAAGGAGGAATTAGCACATATGGGGCCTCTTTTGGGTGACTGAAATGTTCTGGCCGGGCATGGTGGCTCCTGCCTGTAATCCTAGCACTTTGGGAGGCCGAGGCAGGTGGATCACCTGAGGTCAGGAGTTCAAGGCCAGCCTGGCCAGCATGATGAAACCCTGTCTCTACTAAAAATACAAAAATTAGCCAGGTGTGGTGGCAGGTGCCTGTAGTCCCAGCTACTCAGGAGGCTGAAGCACGAGAATCGCTTGAACCCAGGAGGCAGAGGTTGCAGTGAACCGAGATCACACCACTATACTCCAGCCTGGGTGACAAAGCAAGACTCCATCTCAAAAAAAAAAGAAATGTTCTAGAACTAGTAGTCGTGATAGTTGCATAACATTGTAAATATATTTTGAAAACAGTAAGTTGTACACCTTGAAATGGTTAAAATGGTAAATTTTATCTCAATTTTTTTTTAAACAGGAAAAAAAGAAACAGTGAGGAAATGAACCATAATGTAGAAGTGTAGGGTGAAAAAGACAAATGGGCCAGGAATGGTGACTTGCCTGTAATCCCAGCACTTTGGGAGGCCGAGGCAGGCGGATCACCTGAGGTCAAGAGTTCGAGACCTGTCTGGCCAACATGGTGAAACCTCATTTCTACTAAAAATACAAAAATTAGCTGGGCATGGTGGTGGACACCTGTAATCCCAGCTACTCAGGAGGCTGAGGCAGGAGAATCGCTTAAACCCAGGAAGCAGAGGTTGCAGTAAGCCAAGATTGCACCATTGCACCCCAGCCTGGGAGACAGAGCAAGACTCTGTCTCAAAGAAAAAAAAAAGACAAATGGGTGAAATGCTGAGGAATTGCAATCTATACATTTTTACAAATACTCTACCTTATCAGGGCTAAGACATCAATTGTCAGATATGCCATAATTTTATGTACCATTATGAAAGAAAAATGGTGCTAATTAAACTATGACATGCCATCAATAGTAAGAAGCAACTGATTACAGAGATTTTAACATGAAAAGGAAAGTTTTAGAATCTAGGAGAGATGTCATTAGATGTAGAAAATAAACAATTATTTTAAAAATAAGGAGAAAAGAGGCTGGGCACAGTGGCTCACGCCTGTAATCCCAGCACTTTGGGAGGCCGAGGCAGGCAGATCACGAGGTCAGGAGATCAAGGCCATCCTGGCTAACACAAGGTGAAACCCCGTCTCTACTAAAAATACAAAAAAAAAAAAAAAAAAGCTGGGCATGGTGGCGGGCACCTGTAGTCCCAGCTACTCGGGAGGCTGAGGCAGGAGAATGGTGTGAACCCAGGAGGCGCAGCTTGCAATGAGCCGAAATAACACCACTGCACTCCAGCCTGGGTGACAGAGCAAGACTCCATCTCAAAAAAAAAACAAAAAAACAAAAAAAAGGAGTGGTTGGTGCAGAAACCCAATGAGTTCAATTTGAAACATCTTGGGTTTCAAATGTGCTATTTGGGTATTCAAGTTGAGAATGATGGAATATTATAAAATATTATTATTTATGCTAATATAATGGGAGAGAAATTATATTTCTAAAGGTATATATAACATTGGGAATTTTGAAAACATCTAGAAGCCCAAAAATGAAAAGTCACAAAAGGTAAAACCATTCTCATAAGAAGAATCCATGATTTTCTTTTTTTCCATTAGGAGAAGCCCTCACATTCAAATGCCCAGGATTTACTATTCTGAAACCTCTTCTCCCTTCTCCTCTCAAAACAATTCTCAGCAGATCCTTTGATATTTATAGAAAGGAAAAGACCATCTTTACCTTCAAAGAAGTTTATCAAAGTGCAGCACAGAAGGAAAGACCAAGAAAAGACAGATATCAAGCATTCAGAAAAGAGTGTTAATTCCAATTGTGTTTCCAAGGTCATTATTCAATTTGACCAGCATTTAGTAATCACCTAGTATTTTTTCGGGGCTCTGAAGTATACTCTTCAGGATATGAAATGTAAATAAAATACAATCTCTACAGTTAAGGAGGCTACAGGTAGGAAACAGGTTGTCAAAAAAGGCACAAGTAACAGAACATGAGACAAAATGAAGCAAAACTTACTTTGCTTCATTTGCCTATTTATGTATAAGCCTGAAGAGTCATGCAAACACGAGTGCTACAGAGATTCAAAAAGGGAAAAGACCATATCCAAATAGAAAGAGTGGGGATGCAAGATAGGAACCTGGAGACACACCTTAAGGAAATATAAGGGGTTAGTTGGCCACAGTAGATGTTCCAATCAGAGCAAACTAAAAAAAACTCATGCATTGCATTGGGGAAAACAGTTTCAATAGAACAAGGAGATGGAAATCAAACAAGTTGAGTGAAATGTGGTTAGTGAAAAAGTGGAAACGAGTATAAATTACGCTTTCTAAAAGTTTAATAGAACAACTGAAATATTTAAGAGATGGTGGAATACTAGGGGACTATTAAAAGAAATAATGTAGATAATGAAAACACACTGCCAGGGAAAGATAGTAAAAATGTCATTAAATTTCTTAAAACACATGGAACACAGAATACTTGCATGCACGTAATATCAAGCTTCAAGATATGTAAAGTAAAAAAAAGTACTCTCAGAAATTAACAAACTCATAATAATGATGTATTTTTGTTTCTTTTTATTTTTAGTTATTATTTAAAATAATTTTATTGTTATTTATTCATTTTTATTTTTAATTTTAATATGTACAGAAAGAATTGTACATATTTGTGAAGTACCTATGATACTTCAGTACACACATACAACGTGTAATGATAATTAGAGTAATCATAATGATTTCTAAACATCTCTCAGTAGTTAATAGAATAAGCACAACAAAATCAGTATGAGCTGACTCCAGTACAGGACTGGTGCTTATCCTTATTAATAATCAGATCAATACAAATTAAAAACAGAATTAGATATCTTTACACACGACCAGATTAAGAAGATTTTTAAAGTCTGCCAATTCCAAGCATGGGTGAGGATGTGGAGCAACGAGGACTCTCATACACTGCTGCTGGTAGGTGAAGCCATTCTGTGAAATTCCTTGGCCTTGCCTATTAAAGTTGAAGACTTTAATTCCACTCCTAGTCAAAAAATATTTAACAACCAGTACAGAAAGGAAACTCCATTTCTCACAAATGGCCATATACATGTGACTCCAGGGGAGTTCTGACCCACAGCACTGGAGGCCACAGCCACAGGAGGTCAGATGGACACTAGGTATTTATCTACTGGGGTTCCAGGGACTACTCTGTTTTAGGGGGACAGCCAGAGACCCAGAACCATCAGGGCTGGTTGATGGACTCACACATCAGGTGGGACAAAAAGAGTAGCTCCTTAGCAGTGACTAAATAGGGGCCCCCAGGGCTGCAACAGAGTTGAAGGGGAACTTGGGGATTTGGGATAGTGACTTTTTACCAAGCTGAATAAAAATACTTCAATATTTTGATAATTGGCATGGCCTTCATAGTGGGTACTGGCTGAATATCAGCTCTGAATTTTCTTTAAGGCAACTCAAGCATATGTGCAACCAAGTACATGAAAAGAATTTGTATGTAACCACTAATTCATCATAAGCAAAGAGGAAAAAAAACAGCAAAAAGGAAAATGGATGAATAAATTATGTTCAATTCATACACTGGAATATTCTAGAGTAATGAAAATAAGCTACAGCCACAGGCAATGTGAATGATTCTCACATAGAGTAGAGGGGAGAAAAAAGACATGAAACAATACATACACTATGATTCCATTCATAAAAAGGCTTTGCTAGATTAAACTATTGGATAGAGAAGCTTAAATAGGTAGTAAACCACTAAATATGCAAGGAAGTGATTATCAGGGTTGTGAAGGAGAAGAACAGGTAAGTTAAATGGGCGATTCTGAGGAGTAGAAATTTCCTTTACTTCATAATTATTTGTTAATTCATCTTTATATGTTTAATGGGCTTTTCTCTATTATTTTATATTTTTCAATAAAAGAAAAAAGAATTTAAAAAATCTTGGAGCTCACTGGGAGCAATGAGGTTTGCAGCTGAAGTCCAATAGTACAAATGATGTGGTAAGAGGCCGGCAGGGCTGTGAATTACAGCAACAAAGGAGAAAAGGAAGTGATTGGAGAATTAAGCAACATGAATGGTATTTATTCAAAGACAGCTCATTATAGGACACGGAACTCCCTGGGTAGGAGTTTGAAGCTTTCTTAACTCAGAAAGAAACTTCCAACACAGTTTCCCAAAGAAAAATGGGCACCAAGGGCAAAGTAAGCAAGTAAGCTGTATCTTTGTTCAGTTTGTGCTTTTCTGTGTCCTTGTATGTTTGGCTAAAAGGAGCTTCCTTCAGGAACTCAGGAAGCAGTGACTTACAGTTGATCAAAAGGATATGAGTGACCCCTATGCCAGGAATTTATTCTAGGGAAATTAACTGTGGATTGCCAAAATGTTTATTAGAAGGGTGTTCAGTTAATATTAATATTATTTAAATGGCCAAAAGAAGAGAGATTTAAGTAACTGTGCTGTAACCATAAAATATAATATGCATATGTTACAAATAATGTTGCAGGAGAATATGGGAAAATGTTCACAGTATATTAATAGTAGAAAAAGTATATTACAAAATACTATGGACAATGTATCTTATTTGGGGATACTCGAAGAATCTGCATCAAAAGCATAAAGTGGGTGATGAGCTTACAGATGAATCTTATTCTATTTTTTGTCTTTAAAAACTTGATAGGCCTTGGCATTTTGAAACTTCCTGTTAATTAATATATACTTCATTTGAAACAAAATAAATAATATTCAAAAACATAATTCAAAATTATGTAACTATTGAAAAATATACATTAATGTGGTCAAAGACTTTGGGAAAAGTATACCAAATGTAAGCATAGTAGTGTTAGAACAGAAGATTATAGGTTTGTTTCTTTCTACTTTCTTTCAATGTTGCTTATATTTGAAATTAAAAATATAATTTGAGGCTAGAAAAAATTGGGGTTATAGAATCCTAAATATTTAATTTCTGTTCATTCATCTTTACCCAAATTCTTACAATTAGATGAAATTTTTATTTAATTTATATCCTACAGATAAATTTAATAATGATGTAAGCCTCATTTCTCAGACTTTTAATGAATTCTCTGGGGATATTGTTCAAATGCAGATTTTGATTTAGTGGATTTGAGGCAGGGCTTTCATCTCTAACAAATTCCCAAGTGATGTGAATAAATGCTTGTCCGAGGACCACACTTCGAGTTGCAGAGATGTAAAACACATCTATTCTCCAGCAATTATCTGACTCAGGTAATTCAGAGGTGATTTCAAACAGTTCACTCAATAGATTTTTATAGGCCATCTACCTTATTCAAACTCCATAAATCTATTCTCTCTGTTATAGAGGGAAAAACTTGAGACATTATATCAAGGTAAACTTTAATACACCTGTTTTTTTTTCAAGAAATAAAAAATGTAATGACTATAATGTAGAATTTAACTTCTTATTTTTCTTTAAGATCCCTTGTCTTTAAAATAATATCTATAAGATCCAGCTACAAACTCTTTAACTCTTTGTCATGAAATTACAGTATCAATATATTCTAATTTTTTCTCATGATCTCCTCTCTCCTACCCCCAACCCTGTCAAAATCTCTATCTCTATCTCCCTCTTCCTTTTCTTTCTCTCTTTCAGGTTATTAAATGCAAAGCAGCCATCGCCTGGGAAGCAGGCAAGCCCCTTTGCATTGAAGAGGTTGAAGTAGCTCCCCCCAAGGCTCATGAAGTTCGCATTCAGGTAAGTGGAGACTTTCCTTGGGTGGGAACAGACAGGGCCCCAAGTGGAGACCTGGCTTCTGTCAGGTCAATCCTCTGTGCTATGATTCAGAGGCCTTGGAGTTTCTAGTACAGGGAAGCTGTATTTTTAGATTCAGTCAAAAACAGGCATTATCCCAAAAAGGAATAAATCATCCATTATTTTAGTAATTTTCAAATAATGGGCTTAAAATTTAATTGATCTTAACATTAATCATTTACCCTAAGAATCAGACAAAGGAATTCACTTTGGATTTGAATTAGTTAGGTTTTCTTTTTGCTTTCCAATTGCTAATTATTTGAAAGTGTTATTAAAAGGAAGATAGACAATTTGATCGAAAACAAGACAGAAGAAAAAACCTGACGTGCTGCCCTAGGCAGCCGAAGGGTCCTGGGTATCCAGAGGAAGGGACAGGAGTAGGTCACAGGGAGAAGAGAGTGCATGGAATGGAGTGAGATCACTGATGGCAAGTTTGGACAATTTCCCCATTTTTCCCAAGCTGACCAGGCTTATATTTTCCTTGAGGACCCCCACATTAAGAGTCTGTACATGAGAGTGAATGGGACATTCTCACTGACAGAACCTTAAAGAAGAATATAGGTATACATTGGTAATTAATTCAGACAATCCTTGATTTGATATTGTTCTCTCAACTGTAAAAGGTGTATTACCTCAACTTCATTTCAATAAGCCCTATTACCTTTGATTTTTTCCTCTCCTGGAGGCAATAATTGCCAATCCTATCTCTTTTATGATTTTCTGACAACAGCAAAAGGTAGAAAACAAAGATGCATTATAAGAGGAAAATAATCTAACCCAGTATATTTTTATTGGTTCTTTTTTCAAAAGGTGATTCTTTTATTGAGTTCTAGAAGTCTTATAAAGTTTTAAAATGATATCAAGCCTAATCTTATATGTAACATCCAGCCCAATAATATAGTTGCAGAAACACAATTAAAGTCTGTGATTGCCTTGTAGATCATTGCTACCTCTCTGTGCCATACTGATGCCACTGTTATCGATTCTAAATTTGAGGGCCTAGCTTTCCCAGTGATCGTTGGCCATGAGGCTGCAGGTATTGTGGAAAGTATTGGGCCAGGAGTGACCAACGTCAAACCAGGTATTTTATTTTATTCAGAAAAAATGGAAATGTCACAATATTTCAGAGATAATTATTGATAGAGTCCTGGCTTGGCATGCTATAATTGATCTCTATTTACAAAAGGGGACCATCTTTTCCAAAGTAAAACGAGAGACACAATTTATCACAGTCTAGCAATAGGACAGAATATTTGAAATCAGAATTGTCTAATAAAATCTAGGAAATGTGGTCACTTTATTTACACATAGCACTGAGAAACTGTCCCATGAAGCAAAGTTATGAGGTTAGCTCTAACTGAAACTTCCATGTTTAACAAATGACACCTTATAAAAGAACAAGATCATGTCCTTTGCAGAAATATGGATGAAGCTGTCAGCCATTATCCTTAGCAAACTATTGTAGGAACAGAAAACCAAATACTGAATGTTCTTACTTATAAGTAGGAGCTAAATAATGAGAACACATGGACACAAATGGGGCAATGACAGGCACACTGGGTCCTACTTAAGGATGAAGGATGGAGGGAGGAGAGGCTCAGAAAAATAACTATCGGGTACTATGTTTAGTACCTGGGTGACAAAATTATCTGTACACCAAACTTCCGTGACACAAGTTTACTTATATAGCAAACCTGCACATGTACCCTTAAATCTAAAATTAAAGGTGTTGTTTTTCCTTTTTTTTTTTTTTTTGAGATGGAGCCTTGCTCTGTCACCCAGGCTGGAGTGTAGTGGCACGATCTCAGCTCACTGCAACCTCCGCCTCCTGGGTTCAAGCAATTATCCTGCTTCAGCCTCCCGAGTAGCTGGGATTACAGGCATGTGCCACCACACCCGGCTAATTTTGTATTTTCAGTAGAGACGGGTTTTCACCATGTTGGCTAGGCTGGTCTCGAACTACTGACCTCAGGTGATCCACCCACCTCGGCCTCCCAAAGTGCTGGGATTACAGGCATGAGCCACCTTGCCCAGACTTTTTTTTTTGTTCGAAACAGAGTCTCACTCTGTGCCAGGCTGGAGTGCTGTGGCACGATCTTGGCTCACTGCAACCTGCACCTCCCAAGTTCACACAAATCTTGTGCCTCAGCCTCCAGAGTAGCTGGGATTACAGGCATGAGCCATCACATCTGGCTAATTTTTGTATTTTTAGTAGAGACAGGGTTTCACCATGTTGGCCAGGCTGCTCTTGAACTCCCAACCTCAGGTGATCTGCCTACCTCAGCCTCCCAAAGCACTGGGATTACAGATGTGAGCCACTGCACCTGGTGTAAAATAAAAGGTTTTTAAATGACATGTTATAATAACTTCTATATAAAAAAGCAAACTATTTTAATATTAACAGCAAACTATGTAAAGAATGAGGACTTAGAGGTAGCTTTAGTGAGAAATATTATATATATGTCAACGTTAGCTGAAGTGTTTTTTTGGAAGTTTGTAAGATAAAGATAATACCTAAATGAAGCACCCCAATAGCTGAAATTATTTACTCCACATTTTACAACAGATCCTCCAGATACTGGAATATGGGCTATGTAATCCTCATTTGGCAGGCCAGATGAACCGTGCCACTCTTTTCTCTTTTAATGAGAATGCTCCAAAGTTAGAGGTATATTAGTATCTTTCCATTCCAAAAAAGATTGTACAAACAAATTGCTTCCCAAAATTTTGTGTCAATGAAGGAGTCTGGCCAATATAATCCCTTTAGCCCCAGCTCTGCCACTTACTGGCTATGTGATCTTGGCCAGTTATGTCACTTTTCTGTGATTCAGCTCAGATTTCTGTTTTCTATAGTGTGAATAAAAATAGGGCTCGTCTCAAAGAGTTGCTCTGAGAATTAAGTTCTGAAATAATACATGTAAGTAGTTATAATGGTGCGTGGTATGTATTAAATGTTGAATGAATGTGAATTATCATCATTAGACCTCAGGCATCGAAGCACAGAAGTCACTATTAAATTGGAATTTATTAAAAAGTGGAAAAATGTGGAATTTGAAAGTGAATCTAAAGGTGAAACATAGCAATGATATAAAGTTTATACCTAGCCTATAATTGTTTACCTCTCCTATTATCTAAGGATGTTATGTTTCGTACATGGTGTTTGGAAATGTAATAAACAATAGTCATGATGCAGAGAGTCACAATGACAGCAAAGTCCCAGAGTTCTGTATCTGATGATATCAACATAGATTTGTTGCTGGACTGCCTAGCAGAGTAATTTTTTAAAAAATACAATATATGCAATACGTTGGGGAATCTGCAGTCTTGTAAGGTAATGAAATACTGTAGCCACCTATACTTTCCACTGAATATAAAATGTATACTATAAAGAAAAGGTGTTTTCCACTGATTTATCTGGTAGAAGCTATAAGTAACACCTTAGGCACCATCCAACATATGGCCTTTCTTTCTAGGTGACAAAGTAATTCCACTTTATGCACCTCTATGTAGAAAATGCAAGTTTTGTCTGAGTCCACTCACAAATTTGTGTGGGAAAATCAGGTAAGCACTCTACACTGTTAGTATTAGTATAAATTTGAATGAATATTTTGGAAAGCATATTGACATTACCTAAATGGCCTTGAAGAGGTGCAAACCTTCCACCCACTAATTCTAATCCTAGGTGTGTACAAGATACTATTGCAAGTGCACACAAAGAAACATGTGCTGGAATGTTCTTTGTAACACTGTTTATTAGAGTAAGCAATTTAAAACAGCACAAATGTCCATCAGAAAGAGAATGAATTTTAAAACTGCTATGTAGTAGCACAATGGACTACTACACAACAATAAAAATGGCTAAACTTGAGCTGCATGTATTAACATAAAATAATCTCACACACATAATGTTAAGGGAAATAAGCAAATTGCTGAAGGAATATTTAGTAAAGTGTCATATACAAAAACAATACTATACTTTCTTATGGTTATTTGTATATGTAGTAAAAGCATAAACAAATCACTGAAATAATAAATGCCAAATTCAGAATAATAGCTACTTCTACAGGGATGAGAGAGGGATACAATAAGGCACAGTAAAGTAATTTACTCCAAGGCAACATAGTTATAAGTCTTAGAGCCAGGTTTTTAACCCCGGCAGTATGGCTCTGGAGTCTAAAATCTTAATCATCTTGTTTTTGCTTTACTAGACTACAGAAGGATCCTTTCATCCTTAACACTAATTGAAAGCAGTTATTTAAGAAGCTAAAATTGTACTACTCTTACATCTATTACTGTGCCTCAATTTTTTCATCTATAAAATGAGGAGCAAAATAATGCCTGCTTCATAGACTTGTTCTAGATATTCAAAGAACTAATTTTTTTTGCAAAGCTTTAATGAAATAATGGATTTAGGCAATACCAATAAATTCTTTCTAATAAATGTTATAAAAAGAGATAATCAGATATTCCAAATGAAATATACGATACCACCTATAAAGTATTACCACAAAAATATAAAATCTGAATCAGATCAAGTGTTTAGATCAAAAATACTAATTTATGAGGGGATGCAGGGATAGAGAAATATGTTCAACCAGATTACAGGAATGTTATGAGCAAAATTCAGAATGAGAAAAACTCTATAGGACAAATGATTCAATTTCTTCAACAAATAAATTGCAAGGGGAAAAAGAGAGGGAGAAGGGATCTATAATTTAAGATAATTAAGAGACAACAAAAATGTGGACCTAAAGTAATCCTTTAGAGATATATGGTAATGTTTTTACAGATGAAATCGTGATATCTGGGATTTGCTTCAAAATATTCCAATGTGGGGGAGGGAGCAGATATTGTGGAGGAATAATAGATGAAACCTGACTGGCCATGAATTGATGGTTACTGGAGCTGGGACATGGACACATAAGGGTTCATTATGCTATTCCTTCTACTTTTATACATGTTCAAATTTTCCACAACAAAAATGTTTTAAGAGTTAATACATGTAAAGCCCTTAAAAGCATTTCTGGTACACAAAAGCATTCAATGAAAGTTTGTTCCCTGGCCGGGTGCGGTGGGTCATGCCTGTAATCCCAGCACATTGGGAGGCCAAAGCTGGCAGATCACCTGAGGTCAGGAGTTCGAGACCAGCCTGACCAACACGGAGAAACCCCGTCTCTACTAAAAATACAAAATTAGGGCCAGGCGAGGTGGCTCACACCTATAATCCCAGCACTTTGGGAGGCTGAGGCGGGTGGATAGCGAAGTCAGGAGTTCGAGACCAGCCTGGCCAACACGATGAAAGCTCATCTCTACTAAAAATACAAAAATTAGCCGGGCCTGGTGGTGCGTGCCTGTAGTCCCAGCTACTCGGGAGGCTGAGGCAGGAGAGTTCCTTGAACCCAGGAGGCGGAGGTTGCATTGAGCTGAGATCGCGCCACTGCACTCCAGCCTGGGCGACAGAGCAAGACTCCGTCTCAAAAAAAAAATAATAATAATAATACAAAATTAGCCAGGCGTAGTGGTGCATGCCTATAATCCCAGCTACTCGGGAGGCTGAGGCAGGAAAATCGCTTGAACTCGGAAGGCGGAGGTTGCGGTGAACGGAGATTGTGCCACTGCAGTCCAGCCTAGGCAACAAGAGCAAAAACTCCGTCTAAAAAAAAAAAAATTGTTCCCTGCACTCCAGCCTGAGTGACGAAATGACACCCTGTCACTTTTTAAAAAATTGTTGCTGTTATTTTTTAAATTTGCTGTTATTCAACAAACTATATTTTGTGAAAAGTCTTGTTGTTTCCCTAATTTTTCTGTCTTGTAAATTGTCATCAAAAATATATAATGCTCAACATATTTTGTAGGAAAATGATCAGTGTTCCATTTATTATAACTTCTCTTTATTTGTATCACTCTTTTTTTTAATTTTCTAGTAATCTCAAAAGTCCTGCTAGTGATCAACAACTAATGGAAGACAAAACCAGCAGGTTTACCTGCAAAGGAAAACCAGTTTACCATTTCTTTGGAACCAGTACATTCTCTCAGTACACTGTGGTGTCAGATATCAATCTTGCCAAAATAGATGATGATGCAAATTTAGAGAGAGTTTGTCTGCTTGGATGTGGGTTTTCAACTGGCTATGGGGCTGCAATCAACAATGCCAAGGTAAATGGTTAAACACCAGTTTGTGTAAAACAGAAGTTACTAGGAGGCAGTGTGATACAGATGAACTAGAGTTAGTTATCTTCAAACTGTGGCTGTGTCATTTATTACCTCTGTGATTTTAAGCAAGTTATTTAATCCCTCTAGAATAATATCTACTACAAATACTTATGAGGATAATTGAATAATATTATATATGTAAAACATCTGGCCCAGTAGCCTACATATAATTGACCCAGCATATGTTCTTATACTATACTAACATATTAGGTTATAGATCTTCCCTGATTTAAATACAGCCTGTTTAAATATGTCTCCTAAGGATGAATGCTCATCCTAGGACAGCTGACTCAGTCAAAGGGCAACAAAAATGACAGAAACTCACTTCCATCTTCACACAACCACCCCTGTCTTCTCCCTGTTGCTACAGATTTATCTCCCTCCATCAGTAGTAATTCATTTCTGCTACTCATCATGTCCCTTTGTGGCTTCAAAGGAGGGTCTCTGGTAGCAGCCGTAATGTTGACCAGATGTGTCCCTGGAATCCCATGTTAGAATTTAGAAACTCTTACAAAGCATCTGATCTAGAACTAGAGAGACATCAAAGAGGGATCTCACAATTGGACATCTCAACCTGCTTATCTGAACCTCCCTGACATCGATCTTTATTCCTGACTCAAAACCGCAAAATGCAGCCAGAGTGGTCTTTCAAACAACAAGTCTGAAGATTTTATTTTTCCTGCATTATTTCATTTTTCCCTCAGGGTGAGCTCAAATTCCTCAGTAGGCTACAGTGACTTCCTACTTCTCCCTTTCCACTGTGCACTCACTGTTCCCTTGGCTCCACTCTGAGTCTCCAGGCTTCAGTCACTGTGGTCTCTGGGCTTTCCACACTTGGCTTCCAGCAACAATGCAGAGAAGACTGCCCTACCTCCTTCAGGCTGACTCCACTTATCACTTCCTCTCAGAGATCTACTTCAGGCTCTCAGCCATGCTTTGGGTATCCCTCCCAGTTTTCACCCCAAATTTTTTTCTTTTTTGAGACAGGGTCTCACTCTGTTGCCCATGCTAAAATGCAGTGGCATGATCATTGCTTACTGCAGCCTTGACCTCCTGGGCTCAAGTGAACTTCCCACTTCAGCCCTCCAAGTAGCTGGGATTACAGGCATGCACCACGATGCCTGGCTATTTTTTTAATTTTTTATAGAGACAGGGTCTCCCTATGTCGCCCAGGCTGGTCTTGAACTCCTAGGCTCAAGCAGTCCTCCCACTTCGACCTCCCAAAGTGCTAGGATTACAGGCATCAGCCACCACCAGCCTCTGTCTTCATTCTTATCACACTATAGAGAAATCTCCCATTTATTTTTTTGTCCTATTGTACTATTTGTTCCTTGAGGGCAAGAACTCTCTGTTGTTCATTGTGATAGCTCCAGAGCCTGGAATTGTCCCTGGCACATAACAGGAGCTTGATAATTTTTCAACGAATGAATAAATAAAACCAGGTGCATAAAACATCCTGGTGAGGCCTGGTCCTCGGCTTTGTAATCCAGAAAGTCCTTCTTATCAGGTTACCTAGAGTTGTTCAGTGTCAAGGAAACAAAGTCAGCCTCACCACAATAAGAGGTTGATCTAGTAGCCAAGATACCAAAGTATGACTCTTCATTGAGAATTTTATCTGCCACATAGACAAAAATGCTACCCTTTGCTATCAACATGTTATCTCCCTTTAAAAATGTATTTACGCACACAATTACTCATTAATAAAAAATTTAAAAAATTGTGTTAGAAACCAAACTACAATCAGAGAAGGGTACTAGTAGCTGGGTGGAGTTGACAGCAGATGTGCACATGGCAGTCAAAGCCTATTTTCTGCTGTATGGCGCTAGAGACTTAGGGAAGAAGTATCACTCTTCAAGTCTTCCTTTGCTGGGCTCCATGCAGTCCATCCTCTTCTACTACTCCAGTCCTTTTAAGGGCCATCAGCACTAGAGGTTCAGCTACAGCTTTCTTTTTTAATTACTTATTTATTTTTAATTGAAAAAAATTTATACATTTATGAAGTGCAATTAACGTTTTGATATATATATACACTGTAGAATAATTAAATCAAGCTAATAATGTATCCATCACTTCATATACTTATCTTTTTGTGGAGAGAACATTAAAAATCTACTATCTTAGCAATTTTCAGATATACAATACATTATTATTAATTATAGTCACCAGAGCGTACAATGAAATTCCAGAAATTATTCCTCCACTCTATCCGAAATTTTGTAACCTTTGACCAACATCCTCCTATTCGTCATTTATCCCCCCAGACTCTGGTAACCACCATCCTAGTCTCTGCTTCTGTGAGCTTGTCTTTTCCACATATAAGTGAGATCATGCAGTATCTGTCTTTCTGTGCCTGGCTTATTTCACCTGACATAATGTCCTCCAGGTTTATCCATGTTTTCACCATAACAGGATTTTCATTTTTTTAAAAGCATAATTAGTACTCCATTGTGTATATACATATCATATTTTTCTTATCTATTCATCTATTTGTGGAGCAAAAGCCAGAGGTGTGCATACCTAATATTATTGATAAATAAGGAAAACATTGCAGTTTACCTGTTGCTTAGTAATTTTGTTTCCAATTTAGAATGTATTAAACTTACCTTGAGCAGATTTTCTGTTTTCCTTTTGTTTAAGGATTGGTTCCACATTTTGGCTATTGTGAATAATGCTTCATTGAACATGGGTATGCACATCTCATTTCCTTTGGTTGTATATACAGAAGTGGAATTGTACAGCTTTCTTTTAAATCCAGTCAAAGTCGACCTAAATTTCCAGGAGTTGTTCTTCCCACTGTTAAGGAAGAGATTCTAGCTGCTAAGCCACCTCATGAGATCCTCAGAGAGAAATGAATCTGATAGGAAGAAATTAAGGAAAGTGAAGTATCAGTAATTCTGCCCAAAAGGCAAGAGCTTTAGTAAAATTTAACTTACTTCTGGGAAGAAAAGTGAAGCAACTTCTCTGTATAATTATTGAGAACACACCAACATCACCAGAACCCCTCTTTCTTTTTGATGTGCTTGTATCCTTTACTGCCAATTAAACAACATTACACAGAGACCTTTGGAAGTGTGGAAATGTCCTCTAACAGTGGTACTTGCAGATAGATAATCATCTACTGTGTGTAGACTCACTTGCAAATTGTGGGGGCAATTTATAGTGACCCCACCTAAGTTCTGCAAACAAAGGCACTTTTACACACAGGGGTCCAGTTGTATAATACAAGTAATGCAGCATATTATATTTATACACTGTTGTGAGCTAGCCTGAGAATCCAACTACTAGTTACATTGCTGCAATGGGAAAAATGCATTTCCACTTCCTAAGAGACTCACAGGCTCCTTTTAACTGAGACTCTGGAGCAATATATTAAGAATCATACTGAACACATGCCACAACATTATAGTAAAGAAGCCATCATAAGAACAATATTCTTACTATTTGCAATATATATACATATTTATTATTTCCTCTGAGTAGCAAAAGCCAGAGGTGTGTATACCTAATATTATAGTAAATAAGGAAAATATTGCAGTTTACCTGTTGCTTAGTAATTTTGTTTCCAATTTAGAATGTATTAATACTTACCTTGAGCAGATTTTCTCTTTTCCTTTTGTTTATGTTTTAATCCTAACAGCTTTGCATCCTCATTAGGAAATATTAAGTATTTCTCTATGTAGTATTTTTCTATCGCTATAATAGTCTGTAGAATAACATATTCCAGTTACAGCATCTTTTCTTACCATCTTATCTATTATTTCCATTTAATGCAATGAAACAAATATTTATTAAAGACTCAATATACAGAAGACTCTTTCATAATAATATGGAATTTAAAAAGTTTCTGCCTTCATAAAATTTACGGTCTTTTAAAGAAACACACCATACACCCACAATCAAGGCAGGTTATAAATTATATAATAAAAGAAAAGCAAAAAGACAGGCATTGATTTCTGATTGAAAAATCAAGAAAAGTTTCATAGACAGAATGTCTTGGAAGTCAGGCCTAGGAGTATAGGTTATACTTTAATTAAAGAAAATAAGGTTAAAAGTACATCAGTCTGAGGGAGCAGCGTCAACTACGGCATGAGAAGAAAGTGCAACAATCTGTTCGCAGTTCTTGTACTGGGAATATCATGGGGATGAAGCTGGAAGGTAAACAGAGGTCAGACAATAAAAATGCTTTCATGCCATGCAAAACAAATTGGACTTCATTCCAAACTGGTGATTTGGAGTGATCAAGTAAATCACTGTAATATTAATACAACCAAATGAGGACTATTCGAAATATAGATGTCAAATTAATAGTGATCCAATTTTAAAAGGAAAGCAATAAACCCTTCAGAATGTGTGGGTTTTCAAATTTTGTTCAGATAACACTGAAGGGAAAAAGTAAAACAAGGGAATTATTTTTACTTGGGTTTGTTTCTTATAATCTTAATGAACACTAAATAATTCTCCAAATTTAAGTAGTAATGCATCCATTTTCGCATTGGCAGATTTCCTCCATTGGCTATATCATAGAGTTTAATAGCAGGCTGTCTTTAATTCATATGTTCATGCCCCCACTTCCTCCTGACTCTTAAAAGAAAAAAAGTGGGACTGGCTGCTTTAGAAGTTACTTTATAATTTTCCTGCTTGCAGGTCACCCCTGGTTCGACTTGTGCTGTCTTTGGCCTAGGAGGTGTGGGTCTTTCTGCTGTAATGGGTTGTAAAGCAGCAGGAGCTTCCAGAATCATAGGTATTGACATCAACAGTGAGAAGTTTGTGAAGGCTAAAGCCCTGGGAGCCACTGACTGCCTCAATCCTAGAGACTTACATAAACCGATCCAGGAAGTTATCATTGAATTGACCAAGGGAGGTGTGGATTTTGCCCTTGACTGTGCAGGTGGATCTGAAACCATGGTATGTATATTTTGTTCTTGGATCATATTTTCAATGTATTCTTTGGCTGTCAAATAATAGGGGAAAGTGGATTATGTTTATTATGGTACTTAGTACTTTCAAATGGATGACAGGGTGGTAGAACTATAAGCCACAAATCATTTCCCATTCCCTCAGCTATACTCCATTTCCTTCAATGCCCATGAATGTGTCCCCCCAAATGCCAGTACTATCTTGGTGAGTTCAGTCTTCTCTTGTGATAAGAAGCCATACCAGCATTATTTGTAGATGCTGATTTTTCTTTTGAGATCCCTTTAAAAAGCTCAATATTATTTGTCTGGAGATAATATTTTCTAATTTTGTTTTCTATGATAATTCCAATTCCTATTCCTTGGAGACAATTTTAGGGGTTTTTTCATTTTTAATTAGAGAAATGTTCCTTTTGACTATTAAATCAAATAAAATGACAAGTGCATTAACTAGACAGCATTCTTTAGCCAAAGATATAAAGGGATGAATTAACTGCAATGCATAAATAGGAATAAACACCTATTTTGTTTAGCTATCTTATGCATTATATACATTATTAATATTAACATTTGTTAATGTAGAATCTTTTCTTTAACAGTATATAATATTTAAAATTAATAAACAATATGTGCATGTGTTGTTATATTTAATATTAACATATTCTCAACACTAGCTATATGTTAGAATTTCCTGAGGGGTTTTTCGTTGTTTTGTTGCTTTTTTAATACCAATGAATGGGCCAAACCCAGGATATTCTTGTGTGCTGGGAGCCCACTGACAACATTTTAAAAATTAATTTCTCAAGTTGAGAACCACTGACCTAAAAGTTAGCATCTTCTATTATTAAGCTGACTTATTATACCATGAAAGTCATTTTCAATTATGGAACAGAATTATATTAGAGAATCCAAATGGAAAGAGAAAGATTTATTTAATCACCAAAAGATGAGTTACCTACTCTCCCACCAAAAGTTTCTATAGCTAGGAAAAGCTTCTATAGAAAGTTTCTAGGTTCCAATGACCTCTAACCCTCTAAACCAAGGGTCAACACCCTGTAGCTTACCAGCACAAGGATTGTTTACTAACACCTGCTAAGGACCCTTTTAAGGAGCTGAATGTAGTGATACTGGAGTCTATGACCTGACTGGAAGCTGTAGAAAGATTTTATAACCTTGCAGTGATTAATTTTTTAGAGCTTTGATAACCCCCAGCAATAAGTCAGAGACTTAATTTAGAATTTAATTTTGAAAGTGTTTGTCAAAAATGTTAAAGGCCTCAAAACATTTGATTAAAACAGAACCACAGGTCATTGTAAAACAATAGTTACTTATTTAGCCAAATAAATCATCAAAAGACTTTAAAGGCAATACATGAGGATGTATGGATGTAAAAACCTTAACACTATTTTTTTAAGCAATTAAAAACCTAATGTAGACAACATGGGAATTATTTTGATAAAATGTAAAATGTTGTTTCTTAAGTCAGTTACCAGAAATGGAAAGAAAAACTGGTAGTGTGACTGCTTCTCCTTATGGGAAGCCCATTTCAATAAACCTGATGGGAAAAGTGCTTGAATTTAATCAGACATGGGAAAAGTGTGTTCAGGATTATGAGTACAGCAGGGGAATACATAATTCTTAGTAACTGCATGAGAAATTTTCTGGTTACATTGAAAAATTTAAACATATCAAGAAAAGCCAAGAGTACAGAATCAAGTTGTACTGGAGGAAAACATTCACTCCTAGACCTTTAAGATAAAACATTTTAGTATCAGGCCATAAGAATAGTTAGAACTGGAGGAAAAAAACTTATAATAGCTGATGAAAAAGCTAAAGAAAAGAGTTATCTCTGTCCAAGGGGAGACAAAGCTGAAAGCAGGGAGACATAGCAAAAGGTGAACTGACATATGATTTTGAGAAGTTTTCAAAAGAAACAGGTTATAAAACTAAAAGTTAAGTTTCTTTTAATTGTATTAAGAGCAAATCAATACTGTAAAGAGACTTTGTTTTAACATAGGGGAATAATCTTAGAAAGACTATTCTAAATAATCCTTTTTTAATCACAGCAAATTTAATCACATACAAAATTTTTTTATAAATTCCTCTTCATGAAACTTATTATGACTTACACAGATGATCTATGACATGCTTGGACTTCTGACTTATCCTAATTTTTTCCTTTTAAATAATAAGTCATTTTATTTTAGGACAAGATTTTACCATAAGATTCTTTTTTATATGAAATTATTCTTTTTTAATAACCCTTTTATTAAAAATACATTTTTATATTTATAACTTTACATTTCTCTCCCCTACTTACTTTTTTTTATCTTTTTAAGTAAATAACTTTAAAATAATTTCCAAATTATGTAAAATTATTCTTTAATAAGAATACAGGCCAGGCACAGTGGGTCATGCCTGTAATTCCAGCACTTTGGAAGGCTGAGGTGGGCAGACTGCTTGAGCCCAGGAGTTCGAGAGCAGCCTGGGCAACATGGCAAAAACCCACCTCTACTAAAAATATGAAAATTAGTCAGGTGTAGTGGCACACGCCTATAGTACCAGCTACTTGGGAGGGTAAGGTGAGAAAATAACTTAAGCCCAGGAAGTTGAGGCTGCAGTGAGCTATGATCACGCCACTCCACTGTAGCCTGGGCAACAGAGTGAGACTGCCTCAAAAAAAAGATAATACAATTATATATTTATATATGAATTAGAATTCTTATTCCTAGTAACCTTAAATTTTCATGAAAACTTAGAAAGCAAGAAATCCTGAACTGTTAGATGTAAGCATTTTATAGATGAAATCATTTCACAATTTTAGAAACATGTTTTCCTATATCATAATTTTTTAATTGGAAATGACTCACATATCCAGCATTTATTATTTAATTTAAAATAATTTTCAGATTTTATATTACACAAAAAGTCCACTTATAAGCATTTATTTCATTTACATATACTTTTTCATTTTTAATAGTTATCTAGATAACTTTTGATAACTGAGATATTATGCAGAACTAGCCATTATTTAAAGTTATTTCCTTGTTAACTTTTTTTTTGAGATGGAGTCTCACTCTGTCGCCCGGTGGAGTGCAGTGGCACGATTTTGGCTCACCGCAACCTCCACCTCCTGGGCTCAAGCAATTTTCCTTCCTCAGACTCCTGAGTAGCTGGGACTACAGGCACATGCTGCCATGTCTGGCTACTTTTTTGTATTTTTAGTAGAGACGGGGTTTCTCCATGTTGGCCAGGCTGGTCTTGAACTCCTGATCTCAAGTGATCCACCTGCCTTGGCCTCCCAAAGTGCTGGGATTACAGGCGTGAGCCACCATGCCTGGCCCTTGTTAACTAAAGTCTAAACATTAGGTGAAAACCTAAGTAAGAACCATAAGGTTAAACACATAGGTATTTTGCTGATAAATTAGGTGATTCAGTTGCTGTTATTGACCTAACAATTTTAAATTAGTCTTATTTGTCAAAAAAAAAAAAGTCACACAACGATAGATTTGGCTGGGTTTACAGTCTCACAACCTTTGTCCCAAACCCTGACACTTTAAACATTTAGCAGAGGCAAATATAAAACTTATTTACTTACACACAAATGTATGCTGATTTTTTAGACATCTTTATTTTTATTTTACTAATAATTTTTTTTTTTTTTGAGACAGAGTCTCACTCTGTGACCCAGGCTGCAGTGCAGTGGTGTGGTCTCGGCTCACTGCAACCTCCTCCTCCTCCCGGGTTCAGGCAGTTCTCCAGTCTCAGCTTCCCGAGTAGCTGGGACTACAGGCAGGCACAACCACACCCAGCTAATTTTTGTATTTTTAGTAGAGACGGGGTTTTGCCATGTTGGCCAGGCTGGTCTCGAACTCCTGGCCTCAAGTGATCCACCCACCTTGGCCACCCAAAGTTCTAGGATTACAGGAATGAGTCACCTGCACCCGGACTGTGCTGAACATTCTATTTGTAATGGAACACTGGGCCCTCAAGGCTCAATCTACAATGATACTATGATGTCATTAGCTTGAATCCCATTATCTTACATGCAGAGTTGGATTAATTTTTTTCTAAAGCATTGTACATTGCCACACTGGAGTTCATATTCTACTTTTCCACTGACTCAAGTATTCTTTTATGCTCCATCACAGAAAGCAGCCCTGGACTGTACAACCGCAGGCTGGGGATCATGTACTTTCATTGGAGTAGCTGCTGGTAGCAAAGGATTGACTATTTTTCCAGAGGAGCTAATAATCGGCCGTACTATAAATGGAACATTCTTTGGTGGTCAGTTTTTTTTTTCTTCATAGCTTTAAATTCTTTTCCTAGTAGTTCTGAAATTCTTAGAGTGAAGGTTATTGAAAAGAAATAAAAATAATTTATTCAACCATTGAATCCCTAGAGCATATCCAAATACTACATAAAAACTATTAATGACTTATAAATAATTTATATAAAAAGGTAATTATAATTTGCAAATTGAAATTTAATTTGCATTTGAATGAACCAACATGGAGGAACAAAAAATAAACATTGACCTTATTGAGATAATTTCTTATATAGAGTGGAAAATAATCTTAAATTTTTCTTATAAAGAAAAATTTTAAAATAGATATAAGTACAGAAAATTAAAGATGGAAGGAGTTTAATCTATTTGAAGCAAACCAAATCTGACCTAATAATTTCATTCATTCAGCAAATGCTGATTAAACTACTTCGTGTCAAGTGCCATGTCTTTATTTTGCATTTTGTCCACATTACAGGTTGGAAAAGTGTAGATTCTATCCCAAAGCTGGTCACTGACTATAAGAATAAGAAATTCAATCTGGATGCACTGGTGACCCATACCCTGCCTTTTGACAAAATCAGTGAGGCATTTGACCTAATGAACCAAGGAAAAAGGTACATTACTAATAGATGACTGAATGATTTAAAAAACGTTTACAATGATTCTATCTTCTTTTTGATGTTAAGAAGCAACCAGCTTGTTTTTTCTGACATTTTCCACATCCCAGGTACTAGATGTGCTTAAAAGATTAAATAGTGGTCATTTCAGAGGGGAAAACCTTCCATTTCAATAATGCACATCTGTACACTGTTACAATATAGAATGGTGGCATAAATTGATACAATTTCCATTTCACAAACCATTAACTCAGTTGGGCCTGCTCCCTAGAAAGAGAGGTTTCTGTGTAGTATGTTAGATCCCTCTAGTAGAGTGTACCCCTGAGTTTAGCACCGTGGTGTTCTGCAGTTTGACACAGAGTGCCTACCCCAGACCCTTCACAATCAGAATGGGGTGAAAACCATGCCTCTGTGGCAGGGATCAGACATGTAAAGGATGCCCCAACTGTCTCATTCTCTTGCTTTGTCATGGAGTTCCTCTAAGATACCTTCTGATCCACTATTTTAGTTATACAGTGCTCCCATGTCAGGGATCCCAGGAACTGATGCATAGAAATGTTCCACCTGGAAGATTCTTAGGGGTTGGGGGATTAGTAAGACTAGGATCAATGATTCTAGGTAAAATGTTCAAGCACAGCCTTGATCAATAGAAACAAAGGTCAAAAACATTAGGAACAATGTTACATAGAGGAGACGCAGGACCAAGAAGAAATGAAAAGAGAAGATACAACAAAAGAGAGGAGGAAAAGTCTAAAGTAAAATTAAAATAACTGGGATTTGAAGCAGGGAATAAATGTTGCAGAAGAAGAAGATAGTTTCATGGTGTGAGGACCCAGACTACTTCTTGGGGAAGAAACCTGAGGAAATATCCCCACTGACATGAACTCCCCAATTTGCAAACGTGTCAGTCACAACATATCAGAAGGAAGTTCAATAAAAAGAAAATACAAGCATTATTTTTTAAGCTACACCATGTAAACTTAGTATATAAGCCCTGCAATGTATTATACAACTTCAATATCCCCATAAGGAATACTCCTCAAGTTAGGAGATAGAAGTTGAAGTGGGGTTTGAGCCTCACACCCTTCTATTCATATCCTCGAACACAAACCTTTTCTCCTAGAATTCTCAATTATGGAATACATCCATAAGGAATGCTAAGTGGCAGCCAGGTGGAAAATGCTGCATTGCTTTATGGGCAAGTCTCCCACATTCTCCCAGGAGGCTTCCCTGGTAATCAGCCTAGGGGTAGACACCAGAGTGAGGCCTCCTGCTCCTTCTCTGGCCCACTGAGAATACCACCTGACTGCCCACACAGATGGAAAGGTGGCAATGAGGAAGGCAGAAGTTGGGCCTCATCAGGTGTGTCCACCATATGGGCACAGGAAGCACAAGAGAGGGCAGGCCCTCCTACCACCCAACTGCAAAGAAGCAAGGAAGTGGGGGGATGGGGATGGGATACAATGACTGACTAGCCTGTTGAGGTGTAGTGATCCTGCCCCAGAGTGAGGAAAGGACACAGAGATTCTCCTTCTACAGGTAGGGGTGTCTTCCAGTCCTGGGTGAAGAAAACATTTATGCATAGCACCCTGCTCATAGCAGGGGTTCCACAGTTCCAGCAGTAATGTTTGAGATAAAGACTGCTCTGTCCTTGAGGCTTATCCCCCTCTTTGTGTCTACATGTTGGAGTTACCCAGAAATAAGAACATCTGGGTTCTTAAAAAGTAGCATCCCAACACACCAACTTTGATGCCCACTCCCTCCTTCAATGCTCAACTTTGCCCTCAGCTATAGGAGATCCGAGAACAGTGACTATTCCAAGACTAAAACCTGACTCCCTCCTTGGTACATTCTAATTCTCCTCAACAGCACCACTGAGTAACAAGGACGCTGCCTAAGGTGAGTAAGGGTCCTCAATTCCCCCCAAGTTTACTAGCACATGCATAAAATATTATTAACACCATGAATGGAAGAGGATGACGGGATAAAAGAAATTAGGCTTAATAAAGTGAATGTCTATAAAGGAAGACCAGATCCTGAAATGAAAAGGCAAAACTTATTTGTGAGCTTTGGTTAAATTTATCATGAAAATTATACTTATTAATGTTTTATTGTTATTAACAGCGTCCGAACAATCCTCATCTTTTGAAGATGCCAGGAGCAATTCAGAATACTATCTGATTGAATGTGAACCTGCCTGGTTAATTTATTACCTGATTTGATGAACCAAGGAAAGCCATGAGTTTAAACAAATATTTACATTTAATATGGGAACATAAAAGAGCTTTAAATATTATAGACTTTGTACCTGTTATATATATGAATATTCCCTATGTTAAATAATAATAATAACTAGTGTTTATGAATAGAATCATATCATCTTTAGAAATTGTTTAAAATTAGTTCTGGGAAGTTGAAAGTGGGGAATGAAGAGATAATAAATAAAACTAGATTGGCCATATGTTTATAATTTTTTTAGATTGGGTAATGAATACATGGAGTTTCATTATACTTTTCTCTCCACTTTTGTCTATGTTGAAAATTTTCTGGGAGCTAAATGATGAGAACACATGGACACATGATGGGGAACAACACACACTGGGGCCTGTTGAGGGCAGGGAGTCGGCAGAGAGAGAGCATCAGGAAGAATAGCTAATGGATGCTGGGCTTCATACCTGGGTGATGAGATGATCTGTGCAGCAAAGCACCATGGTACATGTTTACCTATGTAACAAACCTGCACATCCTGCACATGTACCCTGGAACTTAATAAAAGTTGGAAATTTTTAAAAAGAATGAATAAGACCTGGTATTTGATAGCACAACAGGGAGACTATAGTCAACAGCAATTTAATTGTATATTTTAATATGACTAAAAGAGTATAATGGATTGTTTGTAACACAAATAAATGCTTGAGGAGATGGACACCCCATATTACATGATGTGATTATTACACATTGCATGCCTATATCAAAACATCTCATGTACCCCATAAATATATACACCTAATACCCACAAAACTTAAAATATAAAATGTTTTAAATAAAAATAAAGAAAAGATTTCCCACAATAAAAAGATTTTTACTGGAAAAAAATCACTATATTTCACATACATGTGTACATATATACATTATATATATATATACACTATATATATGAAATATATAGTAATTGTGATTATGTGTGTATATATATATTAATATATACACACATATATACATAAAACATTATTATATACTTTGTGTTCCAATAAGCCACAAGCTACTTTTTAAAAATAAGTTGCTAAATAATTTTCTTTTTAACATCTGCTAATTTCTTTTCTCTTAGCCCCACTCTATCATTAACTGCAATCACATGGAAGGAGATATCAGAATCTATTTAAGTGAATATTTTAAAAAGAATAAAAGCATATCTACTCTCTCAAGTTTCTATCTCTGTAAAATAACTGCCCTTTCATCTTTGATAATTTTTTTTCTTCAACTTTTAAGTTCTGGGGTACGTGTGCAGGATGTGCAGGTTTGTTACATAGGTAAATGTGTGCCATGGTGGTTTCCTGCAGAGATCAACCCATCATTTAGGTATGAAGCCCAGCATCCATTAGCTATTCTTCCTGATGCTCTCCCTCCCCCTACCCCCCTCAACAGGCCCTAGTGTGTTGTTTCCCACCATGTGTCCATGGATTCTCATTGTTCAGCTCCCATTATAAATGGGAACACACAGTATTTGTTTTTCTGTTCCTGCATTAGTTTGCTGAGGATAAGGGCTTACAGCTCCATCCATGTCCCTGCAAAGGACATGATCTCATTCCTTTTCATGGCTGCATAGTATACCATAGCATATATGTGCCACATTTTCTTTATCCTATCTATCATTGATGGGCATTTGGTTTGATTCCATGTCTTTGCTATTGTGAATGGTGCTGCAATGAACATACATGTTCATGTATCTTTATAATAGAATAATTTATATTCCTTTGGAGATATACTTGGTAATGGGATTGCTGGGTCAAATGGTATTTTTGCCTCTAGATCTTTGAGGAATCACCACCCTGTCTTCCACAATGGTTGAACTAATAATTTACATTCCCATCAACAGTGTAAAAGCATTCCTTTTTCTCTGCAACCTCACCAGCATCTGTTGTTCCTTGACTTTTTAATAATCACCATTCTGACTGGCATAAGATGGTATCTCATTGTGGTTTGGGTTTGCATTTCTCTAATGATCAGTGATCTTTCATAATTTTTACAACACATAATGTTGAGCTTAATGATCTGCAATTGGCACTAATTAATACTATTGATCTGTAACTGGCACTAATTAATGCTATTTTCAATAGTCAATTAAAAGTTACAAAAATTGATGTACTTATAAAATAATGTAGTAAGTAAACTTTTATAGTTATAAGATTTAACAGATAAAAAGATGTATACAAAAATAGCAAAATGGAAGGTTTCAAGTTATTATACTCGAGATGTTACAATGAACAGTTTAAAAGGACAACATAGAACCTAAATGCCCATCAGTGATAGACTGGATAAAGAAAATGTGGTACATATACACCGTGGGATACTATGCAGTCATAAAAAGGAATGAGATCATGTCCTTTGCAGGGACATGGATGGAGCTGGAAGCCATTAACCTCAGCAAATAACGCAGGAACAGAAAAACAATCATCACATGTACTCACTTATAAGTGGGAGCTGAACTATGAGAATACATGGACACATCATGGGGAACAACACACACTGGGGCCTGTCTGGGGGGCAGGAGGGAGAGCATCAGGAAGAATAGCTAATGGATGCTGGTCTTAATACCTAAGTGATGTGTTGATCTGTGCAGCAAACCATCATGGCACACGTTTACCTATGTAACAAACCTGCACATCCTGCACACGTACCCCAGAACTTAAAAGTTGAAGGAAAAAAAAAAGGATCAGATAATAATTTAGATCAGAGTAATAAAGACTAGCTTTCACCTTGGACCAGAACTTAAAATAAAAGTTGAAGGAAAAAAAACAGGTAAGATACATAATAATTTAGATCAGAGTAATAAAGACTAGCTTTCATCTTGGAGCAATTTCTGAAACCTATCAGTTTTCTTTAAAATGATTTACCACGTATTGAATTCTGAGAGAAGATAAACATCTTTGAAAGTTTTGGCTGAAAGGATAGTAATTAATATCTCAAAGTAGAAACTTATATTCTTGCTTATTTAAGATTCTCTCTCATTAGAAATGGAAGCCAGACACTTTATCTGTAAATGCTTTCTTTGTTGGCATTGTGGGACTAAAATGCACCCCACAGGTTGTTGGCCTTTCTCATGCAATTCCCTATATCAGTTCTTTTCTCTCTCCTCATCCCTTTCCTCCTTTCCTTTGCTTCAGTGAATCCTTTCTAGATTCCATTTCAGACCCACCTCTTTTTCAGATCTTTGCAGCCACAAAGCTGTTCTCACTCCCTGATCTCCTTTGATGCTCGGTGTTTTTAATCAAAATCCTATCACACGCCGTTTCCATTGCTAGTTTTTCAAGTACATGTTTGTAAAATCCCTGAAGGCAGAACGATCTTTGAATCCATCCCTCTATCAGAGATGGTCGATAAATATACGTTGCTTGATAACAAAATTCTATCCTCGTGTGTGAATAGTTCATATTCACCCTTTTGAATGGAATTTTTCCAAAACATTTTCTATATTTCCTTTTTTTCCTAATTAGATAATCCCAAATCTAATCTTAACAACTCAGAATAGTCATTATTGAAATGGGAGAGTTCCCTGATCCCCCTCACAGGATGTGCAACAGGGGTGTGACTCGCCTGTTCAGTCACCATTGCTCAAACCCCTGACAAGAATGCGAGCATGCAGACTGGCAGGTGCAGGAGTCAGGGCGAGTGCTTCGGGCTCCGGCCCCACAGTAGTGTCCAGGGGTGGGTGCCTGCAGCCCCAGTGTTACAAGGTTCTTTTAGCCTTGCTGTCCACAGACAACATAACTGTTAACCAGCTCAATGGACCCTCTGCTTTTTTGCAAGGGCAGAGGGCCAGTGTGACAACTTTCTGTATCCCAAGCTCTTGCCCAGCATCCAGGAAGAATTAGGTTGCACACAGACTTGAAGGATGAATGCAGGGTTTTATTGAGTGGTGAAGGTGGCTCTCAGCAGGATGGATGGGGAGCTGGAAGTGGGGATGGAGTAGGAAGATTTTCTTCCCCTAGAGTTTGGCCATCCAGAGGCCAAACTCCTCTCCCACCGCCCCCAGCCTAACTCCTCTTGGTGTTTAGATGTTCCTCCTCTTCTCTCTTTCTCTGCCACATCATTCTGCCATTCATCTGCTTGTTTCCTCATCTCCTCATCTGTTCATCTGCTTCTAGAGCCTGAGGTTCAGAGTTCATATGGGTACCAGATGGGGGGCATAGCAGGTCAAAAGGCAACTTTCAGGGCACAAAAACAGAAATGCCCATTCCCACTTAGGGCTGAGGGTCTCCAGACTTGAGGGTGGGGCCTTTGCTGGGGAACCACCCTCTTCTATCCAGTATTTCCCTGTCTCTTGTCCATATTATTATGATCATTAATTTTTATGCTAAATTGTGATTCAGTAGTCTCAGTCTCTCTCTACTGCCCCCCACCCTCTGAGCAATCACTGCTGCAGTAAATGTCCCTGTCTCTATCAGTCTTCTAATTTTCATACCTAGTTCTGCGATTCAAAAAAAAATTCTGATTATCCTTGGCAGAGCTGTTAGAATTGTATATAAAATCAATGAGACTGAGCAAAGTGGCTTACATCTGTAATCCCAGCACTTTGGGAGGCTGAGGCAGGACAATGGCATAAGCTCTGATGTTTGAGACCAGCCTGGGGAACATAGCAAGACTTTGTCTCTACTAAAAATAAAAGTAAAAATGAAAAATAGCTGGGCATGTCAGTGTGTGCTTGTAGTCTTAGCCACTTGGGAGGCTGAGGTGGAAAGAGGATCACTTGAGCCCAGGAGATCGAGGCTGCAGTGAGCTGTGATTGCACCACTGCACTCCAGCCTGGGCGACAGAGCAAGACCCTGTCTCAGAAGCAAAAATAAAACTGAGAAACCCCAGAGTGAGATGCATGGAGTTTAAGGCTTCACCTCCATCATTCCTTCAGCAACAGAGGCTTTTTTTCTCCTCCATGCACCCAGTTGAAATTCCTAGTAATGTATAGTATAATTTTTGTTTTGTTTTGTTTGTTGTCGTTGTTACTGTTTAAGACAGAGTCTCTGTCACCCAAGTTGGAGGGCAGTGGCACGATCTCTGCTCACTGCAATCTCCACTTCCCAGGCTCAAGTGATTCTCCTGCCTCAGGCTCCCAAGTAGCTGGAATTACAGGCCGTGTGCCACCACCCCCAGCTAATTTTGGTATTTTTAGTAAAGATGGGTTTCTGCCATGTTGCCAAGGCTGGTCTCGAACTCCTGGCCTCAGGTGATCTGCCCGCCTTGGCCTCCCAAAATGCTGGGAGTACAGGCATGAGCCACTGCACCTGGCCAATAGTATAATTTTTCAAAATGCACATCAAATGCCTAAGTTGCTCAAATATATCTCTTTCAAAATGAGGAATGAATGCTGAATCTCTATATGATACTCCAGAGAAAACAAAAATCATACATCAATGATGCCATTGGCAATATGTAGAAAACCTCCAGTTAAGAACTATGCTTCAAAGGCATTTTTAAAAGTTTGTAAACTACTGACAGTTGTCCACTTTTCCTGAGTATTCTCATTCATTCTTCACTTAAAGAATATTGCTTTTTGAAAGAGTAGGGGCAACAAAAATTAAAATATTTCAAAGGAGTCAAGCCAGTGAAATAAAACTGGAATGGAACTTGACCCCTCCAAAGGAAAAAATCAAAAGTGGTAATTTAAAGGTTTGATGGAAGATCTACCTTCCCGTGTTCTAAACACTTCATTAGAATTACCGCTCCCCCTCCCACAATGCTCTGGACCAAACATTGAAAATCTGTCCAAGGCATATAAGCCATGGACCTTCAGTATGTTAAAGATTATTAAACTTTCAGGAAAAAAATTATATTGTTCAGTATAATAAGATACATGGGTCTATGTAAAAAAAAAACTTATTTTTTGGTCTGAAATTATTACAAACACTTAAGAACACCAGTTAATACGGTGCACAGTAGTTGAATTTCGAAGGCAATACAATCACAGTATATTACTCCGAGAAGAAAAAATTATGCAGTTTTAAGATATATTTACAATGCCTTCAAACATTGCTTTTCAAATGCTACTACAAATGCTACTATAGTGCCCTCTGGTGTTTTGTTTTGTTTTGTTTTGTTTTGTTTCGGTTTTTTTTTTTTACGTTTTTCCATCTGCTAAATCTTATTTTCTTTGAGAAAAAGAATTTGCAAAGAGATAAAATAGCATCTTTCACTTATATCGTAGTTGACATTTAAGTATTTTCATACATATTATTTCATCTGAAGAGCTTCTTGAGGGCAGGACTATTTTCATATTCTTTGAGAGGCTTGCAGAGAGCAGGCCTCCAGCAATGCACCTTGTGAAGCAAGCAAGAACTTCACTGAATGAATCCTGTATTACAGGGAAAACAGGCAGTATTTTTCTTACTGGTTTATGAGAATCATAGCACCTGCAAGCTGAACATTATCTTAAGGATGAATGGGAACAGTAGGAAAATGTCTTTGTTCTTAGGGGATACTTGCTGAAGAAGATAGCGGTGAATTTCATGAGTTTTGCAACTTCCTTTCAAATGGTTCATCAAAAAAAATGTGTGATCGGGGAGTCAAGATGGCCGAATAGGAACAGCTCCAGTCTACAGCTCCCAGCATGAGCGACGCAGAAGATGAGTGATTTCTGCATTTCCATATGAGGTACCGGGTTCATCTCACTAGGGAGTGCCAGACAGTGGGCGCAGGACAGTGGGTGCAGCGCACCGCACGCGAGCCGAAGCAGGGCGAGGCATTGCCTCACTCCGGAAGCACAAGGGGTCAGGGAGTTCCCTTTCCTAGTCAAAGAAAGGGGTGACAGACGGCACCTAGAAAATCGGGTCACTCCCACCCCAACAACGCGCTTTTCCGACGGGCTTAAAAAATGTCGCACCAGGAGATTATATCCCGCACCTGGCTTGGAGGGTCCTATGCCCACGGAGTCTCGCTGATTGCTAGCACAGCAGTCTAAGATCAAACTGCAAGGCCGCAGTGAGGCTGGGGGAGGGGCGCCCGCCATTGCCCAGGATTGCTTACGTAAACAAAGCAGCCGGGAAGCTCGAACTGGGTGGAGCCCACCACAGCTCAGGGAGGCCTGCCTGCCTCTGTAGGCTCCACCTCTGGGGGCAGGGAACAGACAAACAAAAAGACAGCAGTAAGCTCTGCACACTTAAAATGTCCCTGTCTGACAGCTTTGAAGAGAGCAGTGGTTCTCCCAGCATGCAGCTGGAGATCTGAGAAAGGGCAGACTGCCTCCTCAAGTGGGTCCCTGACCTCTGACCCCCGAGCAGCCTAACTGGGAGGCACCCCCCAGTAGGGGCAGACTAAAACCTCACATGGCCGGGTACTCCTCTGAGACAAAACTTCCAGAGGAACGATCAGACAGCAGCATTCACGGTTCATGAAAATCCGCTGTTCTGCAGCCATCGCTGCTGGCACCCAGGCAAACAGGGTCTGGAGTGGACCTCTAGCAAATTCCAACAGACCTGCAGCTGAGGGTCCTGTCTGTTAGAAGGAAAACTAACAAACAGAAAGGACATCCACACCAAAAACTCATCTGTACATCACCATCATCAAAGACCAAAAGTAGATAAAACCACAAACATGGGGAAAAAACAGAGCAGAAAAACTGGAAACTCTAAAAAGCAGAGCACCTCTCCTCCTCCAAAGGAACACAGCTCCTTACCAGCAACAGAACAAAGCTAGATGGAGAATGACTTCGGTGAATTGAGAGAAGAAGGCTTCAGACGATCAAACCACTCTGAGCTACAGGAGGAAATTCAAACCAAAGGCAAAGAAGTTGAAAACATTGAAAAAAATTTAGATGAATGTATAACTAGAATAACCAATACAGAGAAGTGCTTAAAGGAGCTAACGGAGCTGAAAGCCAAGGCTCGAGTACTACATGAAGAATGCAGAAGCCTCAGGAGCCGATGCGATCAACTGGAAGAAAGGGTATCAGTGATGGAAGATCAAATGAATGAAATGAAGTGAGAAGGGAAGTTTAGAGAAAAAAGAATAAAAAGAAATGAACAAAGCCTCCAAGAAATATGGGACTATGTGAAAAGACCAAATCTACGTCTCATTGGTGTACCTGAAAGTGATGGGGAGAATGGAACCAAGTTGGAAAACACTCTGCAGGATATTATCCAGGAGAATTTCCCCAATCTAGCAAGGCAGGCCAACATTCAGATTCAGGAAATACAGAGAATGCCACAAAGATACTCCTCGAGAAGAGCAACTCCAAGACACATAATTGTCAGATTCACCAAAGTTAAAATGAAGGAAAAAATATTAAGGGCAGCCAGAGAGAAAGGTCAGGTTACCCACAAAGGGAAGCCCATCAGACTAACAGCGGATCTCTCGGCAGAAATTCTACAAGCCAGAAGAGAGTGGGGGCCAATATTCAACATTCTTAAAGAAAAGAATTTTCAACCCAGAATTTCATATCCAGCCAAACTAAGTTTCATAAGTGAAGGAGAAATAAAATACTTTACGGACAAGCAAATGCTGAGAGATTTTGTCACCACCAGGCCTGCCCTAAAAGAGCTCCTGAAGGAAGCACTAAACATGGAAAGGAACAGCCAGTACCAGCCACTGCAAAATCATGCCAAATTGTAAAGACCATCGATGCTAGGAAGAAATTGCATCAACTAACGAGCAAAAAAACCAGCTAACATCATAATGACAGGATCAAATTCACACATAACAATATTAACTTTAAATGTAAATGGACTAAATGCTCCAATTAAAAGACACAGACTGGCAAATTGGATAAAGAGTCAAGACCCATCACCGTGCTGTATTCAGGAAACCCATCTCACGTGCAGAGACACACATAGGCTCAAAATAAAAGGATGGAGGAAGATCTACCAAGCAAATGGAAAACAAAAAAAGGCAGGGGTTGCAATCCTAGTCTCTGATAAAACAGACTTTAAATCAACAAAGATCAAAAGAGACAAAGAAGGCCATTACATAATGGTAAAGGGATCAATTCAACAAGAACAGCTAACTATCCTAAATCTATATGCACCCAATACAGGAGCACCCAGATTCATAAAGCAAGTCCTTAGAGACCTACAGAGAGACTTACACTCCCACACAATAATAATGGGATACTTTAACACCCCACTGTCAACATTAGACAGATCAACGAGACAGAAAGTTAACAAGGATACTCAGGAATTGAACTCAGCTCTGCACCAAGCAGACCTAATAGACATCTACAGAACTCTCCACCCCAAATCAACAGAATATACATTCTTCTCAGCACCACACCACACCTATTCCAAAATTGACCACATAGTTGGAAGTAAAGCTCTCCTCAGCAAATGTAAAAGAACACAAATTATAACAAACTGTCTCTCAGACCACAGGGCAATCAAACTAGAACTGAGGATTAAGAAACTCACTCAAAACTGCTCAACTACATGGAAACTGAACAACCTGCTCCTGAATGACTACTGGGTACATAACAAAATGAAGGCAGAAATAAAGATGTTCTTTGAAACCAACGAGAACAAAGACACAACATACCAGAATCTCTGGGACACATTCAAAGCAGTGTGTAGAGGGAAATTTATAGCACTAAATGCCCACAAGAGAAAGCAGGAAAGATCCAAAATTGACACCCTAACATCACATTTAAAAGAACTAGAAAAGCAAGAGCAAACACATTCAAAAGCTAGCAGAAGGCAAGAAATAACAAAAATCAGAGCAGAACTGAAGGAAATAGAGACACAAAAAACCCTTCAAAAAATTAATGAATCCAGGAGCTGGTTTTTTGAAAAGATCAACAAAATTGATAGACCACTAGCAAGACTAATAAAGAAGAAAAGAGAGAAGAATCAAATAGACGCACTAAAAAATGATAAAGGGGATATCACCACCAATCCCACAGAAATACAAACGACCATCAGAGAATACTACAAACACCTCTACGCAAATAAACTAGAAAATCTAGAAGAAATGGATAAATTCCTCGACACATACACCCTCCCAAGACTAAACCAGGAAGAAGTTGACTCTCTGAATAGACCAATAACAGGATCTGAAATTGTGGCAATAATCAATAGCTTACCAACCAAAAAGAGTCCAGGACCAGATGGATTCACAGCCGAATTCTACGAGAGGTACAAGAAGGAACTGGTACCATTCCTTCTGAAACTATTCCAATCAATAGAAAAAGAGGGAATCCTCCCTAACTCATTTTATGAGGCCAGCATCATCCTGATACCAAAGCCTGGCAGAGACACAAACAAAAAAAAAGAGAATTTTAGACCAATATCCTTGATGAACATTGATGCAAAAAAATATGTGTGTGTGTGTGTGTGTGTGAGAGAGAGAGAGAGAGAGAGAAAGTAAGTGTGGCAAAAAATATTGGTACACCTAGGTGAAGGACATAGAGATGTTTATTGTACTATTTTTCAGATTTTGAAATCTTGAAATTTTTCAAAGTAAAAAGTTGGGTGAAGAAACATGGATGGTTTCCAACTCCAAATGCAATAAAGAAATCACTTTTTAAAATATGTCTGGCAGGTCAGCTAACCTTGGGCTTAACACATACACAGGCCAATTTCTTCCTTATGGCTAAATCTAAGCTCTGCCTTCCTAGTTCTGCTCTCTGGAGTATCACAGAGTAAGCCTAGTCCCTCGGAGAGTTGAAGACAATTGGCATGCCTCTCCCCTACTCTTCCCACTACCACCAAGTCCTCTTTATTCCTAATTAAATGTCTCTAAGTATAACTTAAACTCAATATTCTACATACAGTCTGAATAACATCCTTATTTGGAAAAATATGCCAGTAAATGCAGTCTCTATGTATTCTCTTGCCAGCCATCTCCTATTGTTGACAAATATTGAGCTTTATAAAATTCCTAAATATATCCACTCTGAAATGCTATTAAACCAGACTGCTCTTATTATATAACTTTATTTTTTAATTTTTTTCTTTCATACCTCTTAGGCACTATTATTCTATAACTTTAAACCCAAGGATAGGCCAGGCACGGTGGCTCACACCTGTAATCCCAGCACTTTGGGAGGCGGAGGTGGGCAGATCACAAAGTCAGGAGATCGAGACCATCCTGGCTAACACGGTGAAAACCTGTCTCTACTAAAAATACAAAAAATTAGCCGGGTGTGGTGGCGGGCGCCTGTAGTCCCAGCTGCTCAGGAGGCTGAGGCAGGAGAATGGAGTGAACTTGGGAGGCGGAGCTTGCAGTGAACTGAGATCCCGCCACTGCACTCCAGCCTGGGTGACAGAGTGAGACTCCATCTCAAAATAAAATAAAATAAAATAAAAAACCCAAGGATAGACCATTTATCTTCTCTGAAGTTTCAAGTTCTTTTTGAAAGAAATTATAGGTAAACAAGGTACTTAATAATATAGAAGAAAAACAATATCATCCTATGTTTTGGTATTAAATAACTTTTTATCACTTTCTCCATTTCTGACAATAAAATTATCTTCTATAGACCTGCTTATAATATAGCTAATAAAATTTCAGAAGCTGGCCTTAAAAATAAATCTTTATAATTAACCAAAGAAGTCTGAGAAAAAGGATGTCCCTTCTCCTTGCATCTATGAAAAGAGAAATACAATTCTGCATCATTAACTATTTCAAAAAATCTGATTTGATTAGGTAATAAATTAAGAATGTTCCAAAAAATATCCATTTGTTCTCAGCAATATGGAGCTGTGTGAATATTCATAACTGTTACTAGAACACCTTCTGTTCCTTACTAAAAAGAAATCCATTCTCTGTAAATGTTATTTGAACCAAAATGTCTTATAAGACTCTAAAGTGTTAGAAAGTGTTGCTTTGTCCTATGAAAATAACCTCCAAAAAGAATCTGTAATTCTGATTGTCTTACTGACAAGGTTTTGACCTGGGAAGAATGTTGTAGGAATACATCTCTGTATTTCTAAGCAGTATTTTAGTTTTTCTGCTTAGTTAAAAGAAAGTCATTAGCATTTTCCTTTCCCCCTACATGCATAATGGAGTAATTTAAAGCTTATGCCTTAATTTTTTAAATCTCAGAGTCTGAGTCTATGTTTAATTTATATTAATAAATTCATGGATGATAGTAGAAGTAGAAGCATGACAGAGCCAGAAAACAATTCTATATCCAGAGTAAGTGTTGGTCCCAGTGAGAACAAATTTCTGCCTCCTCCATGATGAAAGAGATCAAATGTGACCAACCTGTCCCATAGAAACTGTCTACTCCCCTTGAGTTATTATACCATACTGGGGACCCAGGGTTGGTGGTGCTACTTCTCAATCTGGTATTCAGCAGTGGCTGAGCTAGAACAGCCTTGACAAGAAAGTATCTATGATGTTGGGTCCATGCTTATATCCACGGCCACTACGTTTACAAGCCCACTGAGCAAGCAGTTGGATGCCCTGCTCAACAACATCCCCAAGGTGGTCATCTTGTTCACCTAATTATTGACAATGTCCTTCAAAATCAGACCTTTTGGTGAGAAGCACATGGAACATAATTTTCCTCACTCAGTGACCATTACAAAAGGTCCATCACACCGCTACTCCAGATTTCCTTGTTACCAATCTTACAATCATATTCCTTCAAAGTCCCTGATCATCTGACCAAATCATAAATTACTACCCATAAGTCAATGTAGATCTTTACTTCAGGTGATTTCATTCCTGTCCAAGAGGGCTCACAGAAATATAATGCTTGAAGTTCTATACCCCAGCAAGATTTTTCCAAGTCTGCCACTATCAACTACCAGGATATTGTGCAGAGCATTTCTAAACCAAGCTATAATTCTCTTCCTGCTCTTTGAACTGCTTATAGGAAATTCCCCCAAGGAGAGGAAGTGAAGGAAGAGTGTGAGTTAACTCTTCCTTCACTTCCTCTCCCAGCACCTTTGGGACCTGCTGGGATCCAGTTTATATATATATGTGTGTGTGTGTGTGTGTGTGTGTGTGTGTGTGTGTGTGTGTGTGTAGTGTATATATATACATATATATACATATATACCTATGTATATATATACGTATATATACATATATACATGTGTATATATACACATATATACCTATGTATATATACGTATATATACATAGGTATATATATACATATATATGTGTATATATATATACGTATATATACAAATATACACAGAGAGAGAGAGAGAGAGAGAGCCCACTCAGATAGCACAGATATATCACTTCCACTTGATAATAGTATTCTCCTGGGCATGTCCAGCCTTATAATTCTGTGGATCAGGTAATACCCAGTTCACAGTGAGAAACTCAGGTAGCACAATCACCTAGTGTGTCTCATAGCCAGGCATTTAATCACAACAGGACTGAAACAAGCATTACTTTGCTCTAAAACTCGAGGTTCTCCATCATGCTTCTATTATTGGACCTTCCCACAGGTTACATTCAACACCTGCCACAGACACTTAAAAACCATTCATTCCCGCCGGGCACGGTGGCTCACACCTGTAACCCCAGCAATTTGGGAGACCGAGGCAGGCAGATCACCTGAGGTCAGGAGTTCAAGACCAGCCTAACCAACATGGAGAAACCTCGTCTCTACTAAAAATACAAAATTAGCCAGGCATGGTGGCGCATGCCTATAATCTCAGCTACTCGGGAGGCTGAGGCAGGAGAATCGCTTGAACCCGGGAGGCAGAGGTTGTGGTGAGCTGAGCTGAGGTAGTGCCATTGCACTCCAGCTTGGGCAACAAGAGCAAAACTTCGTTGCAAAAAAAAAAAAAAAAGAAAAAAGAAAAGAAAAGAAAACCATTTATTCCATAAAAGGAAGGCATCAGAGTTGTTCTTGTGACAATTTAGGCCAGCTAAAGAGACTTCTTCTGCTCTAAGCTCTGCTCAAAGCTGGAAGTCTTTTAAGTTACATTATAAATAGGTGAGAACTCCCCCAAAAGGAGGCTCCCTACACTGATTGCCTATTCATCAGCCATTCCTCATTTCTCCCTTAGAAAGAGAACCCCAATTCTGTTCAAGAAACAGGCAATAATGAGCTCAGGGAAGATGGGACTCTCCCAGTGCTCCAGGAGATGATCCATGATTAGTCTAATTCTATTCCCATTGGTAGTGACTGATTTGGAATGAACATGTGACTCAGTTCTGGTGAATGAGACATAAAAGGAAGTCTGCTGGAGGACTTTTGGGAGCCATTTCCCTCTTTATTAAAAAAAAGCAGGGGAAGGAGTAGGGAAGGGTGAAAAGAAGACTCTTCCCTTCCTGCCCTTGGATGCTGTCATGTAAAAACATGACAGGCCAGAGTTGCAGCAGCTGTCTTGCAACCATGATGGGAAAGACAAGAAAATGGCAGAGAAGCAATCTAGGGCCCTGGCATCACTGAAAAGGAGAATTTATCAACATCCTCTAGACTTTTGGTTGTGTGAGATAATAAATCTTCATTTTTGGGGGGACAACCCCCTTTGGGTCCCCTCCCATTGTATGGGAGCTCTGTTTTCACTCTATTAAATCTTGCAACTGCACACTCTTCTGGTTCGTATTTGTTATGGCTCGAGCTGAGCTTTCACTTGCCGTCCACCACTGTTTGCTGCCATCACAGACCCGCTGTTGACTTCCACCACTCCAGATCCAGCAGGGTGTCCGCTGTGCCCCTGATCCAGTGAGGCATCCATTGCCACTCCCAATCAGGCTAAAGTCTCGCCATTGTTCCTGCGCAGCTAAGTGCCCAGGTTCGTCCTAATAGAGCTGAACACTAGTCGCTGGGTTCCACGGTTCTCTTCCGTGACCCACGGCTTCTAATAGAGTTATAACACTCACCGCATGGCCCAAGGTTCCATTCCTTGGAATCCATGAGGCCAAGAACCCCAGGTCAGAGAACAAAAGGTTTGCTGCCATCTTGGGAGTGGCTCACCACCATCTTGGGAGTGGCCCACCACCATCTTGGGAGTTCTATGAACAAAGATCCACCCGTAATATTCGGTGGCCCGTACGGGGATTCTTCAAAGCGGTGAGTAATAATTTGCTCGCCATTCTGTCCTATCCTTCCTTAGAATTGGAGGAAAATACCAGGCACCTGTCAGCCAGTTAAAAACAATTAGCATGGCCACTGGACTTAAGACTCAGGTGTGAGGCTTCCTGGGAAAAGGCTTTCTAACAAGCCCCAACCCTTCTGGGTTGGGAGCATTGGTCTACCTAGAACCAGCTTTTGCTTTCACAATTTTCCTGGGGAAGCTGAGGGTTGACTAGAGGCAGAAAGCTGTTGTCCCAAACCCCCAGCATTGGATGGTCGAGATTATGGTGCAGCCAGAAGTCTCTACTCAACAGTCGCCCATGCGTGTGCCCCTACCTCTCCTTCTGACCCATACCTCCTGGGTCCCAACCACAACTTTCTTGAAAGTGTAGCCCCAAAATTCTTCTTACTTCTGAATCTACTTCCTCTGATCCCTGCCTCCTAGATACTAATGCTTCAGACTTTCACTTCCTCTCCCAAGTATTAGAGCAAGTTGTATCTCTAAAGGGATCTAAGGAAGCTCTACGCTGTGTCCTTGGGCACCTAGGCTATGAATCCAGGGAGTTTTATCCCTGGTGTTCCTCCCAATTTAGGCATGCAGCTCTCGACATGGGCAGTTATGTGGGACCCGTTCCCCACCACCCTTGCCAGGGCCTTAGAACTGATAACCCAGTACTTTAACAACTGGAACTGGGTCTACAACATAATATATCAAGATGAAAATGAATTGAGTAAATTAAAGGGAGGCACATATTCCTATAGCGGCAAATGGGGGCAACAAGTGAACGACCCTCCACTGTGTTTCCAAAATCCACCTACAGAGACAGAGAGGAGAGAGACAGAGAGAGACAGAGAGGTGGGGGTGGTGGGTAAGAGAGGCAGAGAGAGAAAGAAAGAGAAAGACAGAAGTAGTAAAGAAAAAACAGTGTGCCCTATTCCTTTAAAAGCCAGAGTAAATTTAAAACCTATAATTGATAATTGAAGGTCTTCTCTGTGACCCTATAACACTCGATACTACCTTGTTGTCAGTGTAAACAAGGGCGTAGCCTGAAAACACTGAGACCACTAACAACTCGTAGCCTTCCTATCAAAAATCTTTAACCCAGTAACCTGCGGATGGCCCAAATGCATTCAATCTGTAGTGGCAACTGTTTTGCTAACAGAAGAAAGTAGAAAAATAACTTTTAGAGAAAACCTCATTGTGAACACACCTCACCAGTTCAGAACTATCCTAAGTCAAAAAAAAAAAAAAAAAAACAAAGCCAAAAGGTAGCTTACTAACTCAAAAATCTTAAAGTGTAGGACTATTCTGTTAGAAAAAGATGATTTAACATTAACCACTGAAATTTCCCTTAACCCAGCAGATTTCCTAAAAAGGGATTTAAATCTTAATTACCATACGAAGGTCCCACCAGACCTAGGAGGAACTCCCTTCAGAACAGGACAATAGATGGTTCCTCCCAGGTGATGGAGAAAAAAAACCACAATGGGTATTCAGTAATTGATAGGGAAACTCTTGTAGAAGCAGAGTTAGAAAAATTGCCTAATAATTGGTCTGCTCAAACGTATGAGCCCTTTGCACTCAGCCAAGCCTTAAAGTACTTACAGAATCAAAAAACTCCATCTCAATCCTGACTCAAAGGTTACCTACACCCTCTCTGAAATGAATTTGCATAAGAACTGTTGTTTATGGGAATGCATCTTGATGGGGCAACTGGGTTGTTATGAAATACTCAGGAACCCAGCCTAGCTCTAGGACTCACCCCTGAGCACAAAGGCAATGTTGGGCACACTGGTAAAGGACCACTAGAATCCAGCAGCCTGGACCCCTTTCTTTGTGGTCAAGAAAGGCGGGAAAAGGGGTGCAGGACTGCTACATCAGTGAATGTTAACTAATCCGATAAGCAGATGTCCATGGGTGGTTATGCACCCTGGAAAGGAATAAGCATTAGGACCATAGAGGACGCTGTAGGACTAAGGCTCATCAGAAAATGACTAGGGGTGCTGGCATCCCTATGTTCTTTTTTCAGATGGGAAATGTTCCCCCCAAGGCAAAAAAGCTCCTAAGATATATTCTGGAGAATTTGGCCCAGTCAGAGTGCACGTAACTCTTTCCCTCTCAGACTTGAAACAAATTAAAATAGACCTAGGTAAATTCTCAGATAACCCTGATGGCTACATTGATGTTTTACAAGGGTTAGGACAATCCTTTGATCTGTCATGGAGAGATATAATGTTACTGCTAGATCAGACACTAACCCCAAATGAGAGAAGTGCCACCATAACTGCAGCCCAAGAGTTTGGCAATCTCTGGTATCTCAGTCAGGTCAATGATAGGATGACAACAGAGGAAAGGGAATGATTCCCCACAGGCCAGGAGGCAGTTCCCAGTGTAGACTCTCACTGGGACGCTGAATTAGAACATGGAAATTGGTGCCACAGACATTTGCTAACTTGCATGCTAGAAGGACTAAGGAAAACTAGGAAGGAGCCTATAAATCATTCAATGATGTCCACTATAACACAGGGAAAGGAAGAAAATCTTACTGCTTTTCTGGAGAGACTAAGGGAGGCATTGAGGAAGCATATCTCTCCGTCACCTGACTCTACTGAAGGCCAACTAATCTTAAAGGATAAGTTATCACTCAGTCAGTTGCACACATTAGAAAAAATTTCAAAAGTCTGCCTTAGGCCTGGAGCAAAACTTAGAAACCCTATTGGCAACCTCGATTTTTTTATAATAGAGATCAGGAAAAGCAGGTGAAATGGGAAAACTGGGATAAAACAAAAAAGGCCACCCACTGCTTTAGTCGTGGCCCTCAGGCAAGTAGACTTTGGAGGCTCTGAAAAAGGGAAAGCCTGGGCAAACTGAATGCCTAATAGGGCTTGCTTCCAGTGCGGTCTACAAGGACACTTTCAAAAAGATTGTCCGAATAGAAATAAGCCACCCCCTCGTCCATGCCCCTTATGTCAAGGGAATCACTGGAAGGCCCACTGCCCCAGGGGATGAAGGTCCTCTGAGTCAGAAGCCACTAACCAGATGATCCAGCAGCAGGACTGAGGGTTTCCAGGGCAAGTGCCAGCCCATGCCATCACCCTCACAGAGGCCCGGGTATGCTTGACCATTGAGGGCCAGGGCGTTAACTGTCTCCTGGACACTGGCGTGAACTTCTCAGTCTTACTCTCCTGTCCTGGACAACTGTCCTCCAGATCTGTCACTATCTGAGGGGTCCTAGGACAGCCAGTCACTAGATACTTCTCCCAGCCACTAAGTTGTGACTGGGGAACTTTACTCTTTTCACATGCCTTTCTAATTATGCCTGAAAGCTCCACTTCTTTGTTAGGGAGAGACATCCTAGCAAAAGCAGGGGTCATTATACCCTAGAATTAGGAGAAGGAAAAAGGGTAAATATATATACAGACTCTAAGTATGCTTACCTAGTCCTCCATGCCCACGCAGCAATAAGGAGAGAAAGGGAATTCCTAACTTCCAAGGGAACACCTATCAAACATCAGGAAGCCATTAGGAGATTATTATTGGCAGTACAGAAACCTAAAGAGGTGGCAGTCTTACACTGCCGGGGTCATCAGAAAGGAAAGGAAAGGGAAATAGAAGGGAACTGCCAAGCAGATACTGAAGCAAAAAGAGCCGCAAGACAGGACCCTCCATTAGAAAAGCTTATAGAAGGACCCCTAGTATGGGGTAATCCCCTCCAGGAAACCAAGCCCCAGTACTCAGCAGAAGAAATCGAATGGGGAAACTCACAAGGACATCGACATCGTTTCCTCCCCTCAGGATGGCTAGCCACCGAAAAAGGAAAAATACTTCTGCCTGCAGCTAACCAATGGAAATTACTTAAAACCCTTCACCAAACCTTTTACTTAGGCATTGATAGCACCCATCAGATTGCCACATCATTATTTACTGAACCAGGCCTTTTCAAAACTATAAAGCAGATAGTCAGGGCCTGTGAAGTGTGCCAAAGAAATAATCCCCTGCACTTCAGGCCATACATTTCAATCCCTGTATCTTTAACCTCCTTGTTAAGTTTGTCTCTTCCAGAATCGAAGCTGTAAAACTGCAAACAGTTCTTCAAATGGACCCCCAGATGCAGTCCATGACTAAGACCTACCACGGACCCCTGGACCGGCTTGCTAGCCCATGCTCTGATGTTAATGACATCGAAGCCACCCTTTCCAAGGAAATCTCAACTGCACAACCCCTACTATGCCCCAATTCAGCAGGAAGCAGTTAAGAGTGGTTGTCGGCCAACCTTGCCAACAGCACTTGGGCTTTCCTGTTGACGGGGGGACTGAGAGACAGGACTAGCTGGATTTCCTAGGCCGATTAAGAATTCCTAAGCCTAGCTGGGAAAGGTGACCGCACCTACCTTTAAACACAGGGCTTGTAACTCAGCTCACACCCAACCAATCAGGTAGTAAAGAGGGCTCGCTAAAATACAAATTAGGCTAGAGCAGAAGGTAAAGACACAGTCAAATCATATATCGCCTGAGGGCACAGGGGGAGGGACAATGATTGGGATATAAACTCCAGGCATTCGAGCCGGGAGTGGGCAACCTCCTTTCAGGGGCAACCCCCTTTGGGTCCCCTCCCATTGTATGGGAGCTCTGTTTTCACTCTATTAAATCTTGCAACTGCAAAATAATAATAATAATAATAAATCTTCATTTTTTAAGCCTCTTTTACTCAAATTTCTATTATTTTCAGGCAAAACAATCTAATTGATACATATGGTACCTCCACTGCCACCTCCAAAAATTGCAGTAGATCAGACAATACTATTTTCCAAACTACTCCAGCTACCTGTCATAGTGATCATGCCTACCTGGCTTCTCCTGCCTCACTACTTAGCCTCTACCACCCCAGTATCTGGTATCCTGGTTGAAATCAGGAAGCCCATCTCAACCAAAGCATCCCCTGCCAACCTACAGGGAAAAATGAACCATAGCCCTCCCCCTTGACAATTTATTTCTCAATCCCTTGTTGGAAAGTTTATTTTCTGGGCTTCTCTCAAGGAACATAGTATGGGGGTTAGGTAAGCACGTAGCACATGAAAAATTCCTCCCTACATTCCTCTCTCTGTGTCCTTGTATTCCTTCCTTTATATTATCTAAAGAAATATCTGGCATCTCAACTTCATTGAACATGGATCATTTTTGAGCTTGGATTTCTATCTATAAATAGAACAAACAATTTTAACTTCTAATGTTTTTTGAGCTAGTGTGATCAATACAGAATTTCTAATAAAGGCACCCATCATGACCCATTTAGCCTGATCTAAAATTATGCCCTTCCCCACTTGCCCTAGCACCCACAGAATTCATTTTCGCAAGAGTTGGTCAGAGTTTGGTCAGCATTCATCAGCAAAATATAATACATATTATTTTGGTATTTAACACTTCTCCTTCCAACTTGCCCCCTTACTGCTTAGTCTGACTATAATTATAGGCCTGAAGACAATGAGAGATGGAAGTGAATAGGACATGAGGAAATTGGCTTCCCCTTACAGGGACGCTGCTCAGCCAAGGTCCTTATATGTCCTCAAATCAAGCAGTGACATCCTCATCAGACAGGCAAAAGAAAATGTTTCAGTAGGCAAAGAAAGATCAGTGGAGACTGGGAGTTCAGGATAATCTGAGGGACATTTGAATCTTTCAATATATACCCATTATAGTATTTGAGATCCTATTATTTCCCAGTCAATGCCCTGGTTTTCACCTAAGAGATCTTTTGTGTTCCTATGAATTTAATCAGTGTTACAGCTGGAAACCTACAGGATCAAATTTTTAATTTGGCTTCTGGCTAGTTTAACCTTATGGCTTCAAGAAATTATGTCATAAAACATCCTTAGGTTTCAGTTTATACCATGAGCCAAGAACCTGAAATTTTAAGCTTACCATTCTCCTTAACTAAACTGCCCAACACTTTAATGAAGTAACCACCTACCTTACAGACTTTAAATAGCTCATGCACTTTAATATTCTTCCATGGCAATAACCCTATTGTCTCTAAGGCCTTGCCTTTAATTCTTATTTCCTTTCAGGAAGTCAGAGGTTTTTTTTTTATTATTAACTGTTCCACTCCTGCATGTCTAGAGCTGCTCCACCCTTAGAGTCATCTGAATTATCACTGCCTTCAGCCTAAACCAGGTCAGAAAATTAATCCCAGATTGACCCATTTCCCTGGTGGTCTGTTTTCTAGTAATAGTCCAGGTATTTTTTTTTTTTTATTGATTTCATTGCAAGTCACAGAAATCAATTCGGAATTATTTTAAATGATAAGTCATTTATTTAAAGGATATCATGTAGGTCATAGAATTATTAGGAGGATTAGAGATATACAGCTTGAAATTATGTCTAATCTGAGGCAGCAAAACTGATCTGGTCACCATTTTCCTTATCCTTGTACCTCAGAGGCTGCAAACTGAATCACCAATACCACTCCTGGACACAGGATACCACCACTGGCTTGGCTGCCATTGCTGCCCCAATGAATTAATCATGCTTGCAACAACTTCACCAGAGAGTCCCTCCGCAGTCCACAGCTTTCAACTTGAGGTCTTGGACACATACTTCTTTGGTGGCATCTGAGTCACATGTGTATTACCTGGCTGCGAAGAAATATTTTCAGACTCATAAGATGGAGAATACCCCAATGTCAGTTATCAAAATAATTTTAAAAAATCCACCATAAACTTCCTTTATAAACTCACTGGTTATGGTTTTGGTTTTGGTTTTTCCTGAACTGAACGAAATCTTGGACAGATTTCATAGCTCTTCCAGTGAATTTTAGATATAAAGAAAAAAGTATAGACCAGTCTAAAGAAATATTTCATCCAATTAAAACTTCTCGCCTCTCTCCTCTCCCAACTCAGGTCTGCTTCAAACCAGCAAATCCACCCTGGTGAAGGAGTGAGGAGTCTGCTTCTTCTTGCTTCTCTGCTCCATCTCTTCTACCACTTGCCAGCTACTGTTTCAAGCCTCCTCCATTGTCCAGCCTAGAAGAGAGGGGAAACCTGGAGAAAAAGACTACATTGCATATGGCCAGTACAGTTGCGATCTGATATTGGTGCTCTACATTGCATATGGCCAGTACAGTTGCAATTTGATATTGGTGCCCTACCTTTTAGATACTACGTTTTTTGGTTTTTTCTTTTTTTTTTTTTTTTTTTTTTTTTTTTTTTTTTTTTTGAGACGGAGTCTCGCTCTGTCGCCCAGGCCGGACTGCGGACTGCAGTGGCACGATCTCGGCTCACTGCAAGCTCCGCTTCCCGGGTTCACGCCATTCTCCTGCCTCAGCCTCCCGAGTAGCTGGGACTACAGGCGCCCGCCACCGCGCCCGGCTAATTTTTTGTATTTTTAGTAGAGACGGGGTTTCACCTTGTTAGCCAGGATGGTCTCGATCTCCTGACCTCATGATCCACCCGCCTCGGCCTCCCAAAGTGCTGGGATTACAGGCGTGAGCCACCGCGCCCGGCCGGTTTTTTTTTTTTGAGTTGGGGGATTTCTGTGGGTTTCACAAAGAACTCCTCCTCTATTAGAGAACTCCTCCTCTATTAGAGATCTCCTATCTCAATTCTTTTATAAGGATGATTCTTTCCACAACTGGCCATTTAAGACCTGCATTCAGTCCTTGGCTTTCACCAGGGTGACCTTCACTATCCATCTGTGCATCTATCTCTTTCGTGAAGTTCTTTTCCCGATGATCCACAACCGTATCCTTTCCAGAGTCTGTATTTGGTCCATGAAAAATACACTTGTATCCTTGTTCCCACTAAACTGTTCTACTTCATTCTGCCAACAGACAGGCTGTTCTAGCTAGATGTTACTATTTGAATGTTCCCTCCAAAACTATGGGGAAATTTAATTGCCATTGTGATAGTGTTAAGAGGAGGAATCTTTAAGAGGTTATTAGAAGCAGGGCAGGGTGGCACACGCCTGTAGTCCCAGCTACTCAGAAGTCTAAGGCAGGAGGATCACTTGAGCCCAGGAGTTCTAGGCTGCAGTGAGCTACAATCACCACAGCACTCCAGACTGTGTGACAGAGCGAGATGCTGTCTCAAAAAAATAAAAATAAAAGGTGATTAGAGGATGAGGGCTCTGCTCTCATGAATGAATTAATGCTGTTATCTCAGGTATTCTGTTATACCAGCAGAAAGTAGAGTAAGACAGCAGCTTCTTGCCTTAATTTTTTTTTTCTTTCACATACCAGAACTTGAATTTTCTAGATTCCAGAGAAAACATTTCAAGCTTTCTGAGCAGTTTTCTTCTCTTGGCTTCAGATGAAGGGGAAGTACTTTCACCACCCTCACTGTGGAGATGGGAAGGGCAAACACAGCATACTGACAACTATCTCCAAAGAAATCTTCACTTCCAAATACTTCCACCCTTCCCCATGAATTCTTTGCCTCACCTTATATAGATGAGAGACAGGAGATAGGCTAATGCTGGCAGAAGCGATTTCTCTATCTCTTAGCATGTCCTACATAAGGTGGTCTAGCCCCTTGCTTTAGAATGTGGAGGTAATTTGGTGTCTGTATAGCTTGGTCTTGAGTTCTTAGCTAAATTGAGATCATATGTAAAGTCCCATTTAAATTTCCTGTTATGTTTAATCATGAAATCATACCTTGTATTTCTCCAACCTGTCAAATTCTCCATAATATCAAGGAAAACATATGATCCGGTTACTTACAACTATGGATAACTTACAACAAATCATTACCTACAAAAATATAAAAGAAATGTACTGCTTCAGAATTGTAGAGCTGCCCTCAGGAGTCTCTGACCTCCCTATACTGTGATATGTGTTGGTCTTGAAAAGTAACAGGAAAAATTACACAATGCTATTGAGATCTACAGCTACAAACTAAATGTCTACCTTATTTTTATGTCAGGTGTATATGTGTTTCCCAAGAGGAAAAGAGTTTGTTGGGTAGCTTTGGTACCTCTCAGTATGGAATCTCAGTATTTAGAATTAGTTCTACCACTTCTGACTCCTTCATGTTTAACCCATCTGTGACTGCCTCCACTATGGACAATTTCTGTTTCAATTCACAGGAGCTATGGCAATAGCTGTCTCTACTCTAACGGAGTACGTAGCCAAGCAATGTCAACTAGTGCTGAGAGGTTAAAAAAAGAAAAAAAAAGTTTCCCTCAATATGAAGCAGACACATATGGTTTTATGAATTCTTCCTTCAATTCATCCAGTATGTATCTTTCTTTCTTGTAAGTTTTATAAAATATGCTTCAAATTTTTGAAATGTTTGACTATGTTTACTGCATAATCACCTCCCTGTAACAAAGTCTGAAATGATGAATCACTTTCACTTAGTGAGTCCCTCAGTCCAAAATAATCCTTACTTAAGAGTAAAAATTAGGGGGTGGAGCCAAGATGGCTGAATAGGAACAGCTCCAGTCTACAGCTCCCAGCGTGAGTGACACAGAAGACGAATGATTTCTGCATTTCCAAATGAGGTACCAGGTTCATCTCACTGGGGACTGTCGGACAGTGGGTGCAGGACAGTGGGTGCAGCACACTGAGCGTGAGCTGAAGCAGGGCGAGGCATTGCTTCACCCGGGAAGCACAAGGGGTCAGGGAATTCCCTTTCCTACCCAAGGAAAGGGGTGACAGATGGCATCTGGAAAATCAGGTCACTCCTACCCTAATACTGCCCTTTTCCAATGGTCTTAGCAAACGGCACAACAGGAGATTGTATCCTGTGCCTGGCTCGGAGGGTCCTATGCCCACGGAGACTCGCTCATTGCTAGCACAGCAGTCTGCAATCAAACTGCAAGGCAGCAGCGAAGTGGGGGGAGGGTTGACCGCCATTGCCGAGGCTTGAATAGGTAAACAAAGCCTCCGGGAAGCTCGAACTGGGTGGAGCCTACCGCAGCTCAAGGAGGTCTGCCTGCCTCTGTAGACTCCATCTCTGGGGGCAGGGCATAGACAAACGAAAGGCAGCAGAAACCTCTACAGACTTAAATGTCCCTGTCTGACAGCTTGGAAGAGAGTAGTGGCTCCCCCAGCATGCAGCTTGAGATCTGAGAATGGACGGACTGCCTCCTAAAGTGGGTCCCTGACCTCTGAGTAGCCTGTGAGGTACCCCCCAGTAGGGGCAGACTGACACCTCACACGGCCGGGTACCCCTCTGAGATAAAACTTCCAGAGGAACAATCAAACAGCAACATTTGCTGCTCACCAATATCTGCTGTTCTGCAGCCTCTGCTGCTGATACCCAGGCAAACAGGGTCGGAGTGGACCTCTAGCAAACTCCAACAGACCTGCAGCTGAGGGTCCTGACTGTTAGAAGGAAAACTAACAAACAGAAAGGACATCCACACCAAAACCCCATCTGTACCTCACCATCATCAGAGACCAAAGGTAGATAAAACCACAAAGATGGGGAAAAAACAGGGCTGAAAAACTGAAATTCTAAAAATCAGAGCACCTCTCCTCCTCCAAAGGAATGCAGCTCCTCATCAGCAATGGAACAAAGCTGGACGGAGAATGACTTTGACGACCTGAGAGAAGAAGGCTTCAGATGATCAAACTTCTCCAAGCTAAAGGAGAAGTTTGAACCTATGGCAAAGAAGTTAAAAACATAGAAAAAAGATTAGACAAATGGCTAACTAGAATAACCAATGCAGAGAAGTCCTTAGCCGATTCGATCAAGTGGAAGGAAGGGTATCAGTGATGGAAGATCAAATGAATGAAATGAGGCGAGAAGAGAAGTTTAGAGAAAAAACAATAAAAAGAAATGAACAAAGCCTCCAAGAAATATGGGACTATGTGAAAAGACCAAATCTACATCTGATTGGTGTACCTGAAAGTGACAGGGAGAATGGAACCAAGTTGGAAAACACGCTGCAGGATATTATCCAGGAGAACTTCCCCAACCTAGCAAGACAGGCCAACATTCAAATGCAGGAAATACAGAGAATGCTACAAAGATACTCCTCGAGAAGAGCAACTCCAAGACACATAATTGTCAGATTCACCAAAGTTGAAATGATGGAAAAAATGTTAAGGGCAGCCAGAGAGAAAGGTCAGGTTACCCACAAAGGGAAGCCCATCAGACTAACAGCTGATCTCTCGGCAGAAACTCTACAAGCCAGAAGAGAGCGGGGGCCAATATTCAACATTCTTAAAAGAATTTTCAACCCAGAATTTCATATCCAGCCAAACTGAGCTTCATAAGTGAGGGAGAAATAAAATCCTTTACAGACAAGCAAATGCTGAGAGATTTTGTCACCACCAGGCCTGCCCTAAAAGAGCTCCTGAAGGAAGCACTAAACATGGAAAGGAACAACCAGTACCAGCCACTGCAAAAACAGGCCAAAGTGTAAAGATCATCGATGCTAGGAAGAAACTGCATCAATTAACGAGCAAAATAACCAGCTAACATCATAATGACAGGATCAAATTCACACATAACAATATTAACCTTAAATGTAAATGGGCTAAATGCTCCAATTAAAAGACACAGACTGGCAAATTGGATAAAGAGTCAAGACCCATCACCGTGCTGTATTCAGGAAACCCATCTCACGTGCAGAGACACACATAGGCTCAAATAAAAGGAAGATCTACCAAGCAAATGGAAAACAAAAAAAGGCAGGGGTTGCAATCCTAGTCTCTGATAAAACAGACTTTAAACCAACAAAGATCAAAAGAGACAAAGATGGCCATTACATAATGGTAAAGGGATCAATTCAACAAGAACAGCTAACTATCCTAAATATATATGCACCCAATACAGGAGCACCCAGATTCACAAAGCAAGTCCTTAGAGACCTACAAAGAGACTTACACTCCCACGTAATAATAATGGGAGACTTTAACACCCCACTGTCAACATTAGACAGATCAATGAGACAGAAAGTTAGCAAAGATATCCAGGAATTGAACTCAGCTCTGCACCAAGCAGACCTAATAGACATCTACACAACTCTCCACCCCAAATCAACAGAATATACATTCTTCTCAGCACCACATCCCACTTATTCCAAAATCGACCACATAGTTGGAAGTAAAGCACTCCTCAGCAAATGTGAAAGAACAGAAATTATAACAAACTGTCTCTCAGACCACAGGGCAATCAAACTAGAACTGAGGATTAAGAAACTCACTCAAAACTGCTCAACTACATGGAAACTGAACAACCTGCTCCTGAATGACTACTGGGTACATAATGAAATGAAGGCAGAAATAAAGATGTTCTTTGAAACCAATGAGAACAAAGACACAACATACCAGAATCTCTGGGACACATTCAAAGCAGTGTGTAGAGGGAAATTTATACCAGTAAATGCCCAGAACAGAAAGCAGGAAAGATCTAAAATTGACACCCTAACATCACAATTAAAAGAACTAGAAAAGCAAGAGCAAATACATTCAAGCTAGCAGAAAGCAAGAAATAACTAAGATCAGACCAGAACTCAAGGAGATAGAGAAACAAAAAAACCCTTCAAAAAAATCAATGAATCCAGGGGCTGGTTTTTTGAAAAGATCAACAAAATTGATAGACCGCTAGCAAGACTAATAAAGAAGAAAAGACAGAAGAATCAAATAGACACAATAAAAAATCATAAAGGGGTTATCATCACCGATCCCACAGAAATACAAACTACCATCACAGAATACTATAAACACCTCTACGCAAATAAACTTGAAAATCTAGAAGAAATGGATAAATTCCTCGTCACATACAGTCTCCCAAGACTAAACCAGGAAGAAATTGGATCTCTGAATAGACCAATAAAAGGCTCTGAAATTGAGGCAATAATTAATAGCTTACCAACCAAAAAAAGCCCAGGACCAGATGGATTCACAGCCAAATTCTACCACAGGTACAAGGAGGAGCTGGTACCATTCCTTCTGAAACTATTCCAATCAATAGAAAAAGAGGGAATCCTCCCTAATTCATTTTATGAGGCCAGCATCATCCTGATACCAAAGCCTGGCAGAGACACAACCAAAAAAGAGAATTTTAGACCAATATCCTTGATGAACATCGATGCAAAAATCCTCAATAAAATACTGGCAAACCGAATCCAGCAGCACATCAAAAAGCTTATCCACCATGATCAAGTGGGCTTCTTCCTTGGGATGCAAGGCTGGTTCAACATATGCAAATCAATAAACATAATCCAGCATATAATCACAACCAATGACAAAAACCACATGATTATCTCAATAGATGCAGAAAAAGCCTTTGACAAAATTCAACAGCCCTTCATGATAAAAACTCTCAATAAATTAGGTATCGATGGGACGTATCTCAAAATAATCACAGTTATTTATGACAAACCCATAGCCAATATCATACTGAATGGGCAAAAACTGGAAGCATTCCCTTTGAAAACCGGCACAAGGCAGGGATGCCCTCTCTCACCACTCCTAGCAACATAGTGTTGGAAGTTCTGGCCAGGGCAATCAGGCAGGAGAAAGAAATAAAGGGTATTCAATTAGGAAAAGAGGAAGTCAAATAGTCCCTGTTTGCAGATGACATGTTTGTATATCTAGAAAACCCCATTGTCTCAGCCCAAAATCTCCTTATGCTGATAAGCAACTTCAGCAAAGTCTCAGGATACAAAATCAATGTGCAAAAATCACAAGCATTCTTATACATCAATAACAGACAAACAGAGAGCCAAATCATGAGTGAACTCCCATTCACAATTGCTTCAAAGAGAATAAAATACCTAGGAATCCAACTTACAAGGGATGTGAAGGACCTCTTCAAGGAGAACTACAAACCACTGCTCAATGTAATAAAAGAGGATACAAACAAGTGGAAGAATATTTCATGCTCATGGATAGGAAGAATCAATATCATGAAAATGGCCATACTGGCCAAGGTAATTTATAGATTCAATGCCATCCCCATCAAGCTACCAATGACTTTCTTCACAGATTTGGAAAAAACTACTTTAAAGTTCACATGGAACCAAAAAAGAGCCCGCATTGCCAAGTCAATCCTAAGCCAAAAGAACAAAGCTGGAGGCATCACACTACCTGACTTCAAACTATACTACAAGGCTACAGTAACCAAAACAGCATGGTACTGGTACCAAAACAGAGATATAGACCAATGGAACAGAACAGAGCCCTCACAAATAATACCACACATCTACAACTATCTGATCTTTGACAAACCTGACAAAAACAAGAAATGGGGAAAGGATTCCCTGTTTACCAAATCCTGCTGGGAAAACTGGCTAGCCACATGTAGAAAGCTGAAACTGGATGCCTTCCTTACACCTTATACAAAAATTAATTCAAGATGGAATAAAGACTTCAATGTTAGACCTAAAACCATAAAAACCATAGAAGAAAACCTAGGCAATACCATTCAGGACATAGGCATGGGCAAGGACTTCACGTCTAAAACACCAAAAGCAATGGCAACAAAAGCCAAATTTGACAAATGGGATCTAATTAAACTAAAGAGCTTCTGCACAGCAAAAGAAACTACCATCAGAGTGAACAGGCAATGTACAGGATGGGAGAAAATTTTTGCAATCTACTCATCTGACAAAGGGCTAATATCTAGAATCTACAAAGAACTCAAACAAATTCACAAGAAAAAAACAAACAACCCCATCAAAACGTGGGCAAAGGATATCAACAGACACTTCTCAAAAGAAGACATTTATGCAGCCAACAGACACATGAAAAAATGCTCATCATCACTGGCCATCAGAGAAATGCAAATCAAAACCACAATGAGATACCATCTCATACCAGTTAGAATGGTGATCATTAAAAAGTCAGGAAACAAAAGGTGCTGGAGAGGATGTGGAGAAATAGGAACACTTTTACACTGTTAGTGGGGCTGTAAACTGGTTTAACCATCGTTGAAGACAGTGTGGCGAGTCCTCAGGGATCTAGAACTAGAAATACCATTTGACCCAGCCATCCCATTACTGGGTATATACCCAAAGGATTATAAATCATGCTACTATAAAGACACATGCACATGTATGTTTATTGCGGCACTATTCACAATAGCAAAGACCTGGAACCAACCCAAATGCCCAACGACAGACTGGATTAAGAAAATGTGGCACATATACACCATGGAATACTATGCAGCCATAAAAAAGATGAGTTCATGTCCTTTGTAGGGACATGGATGAAGCTGGAAACCATCATTCTCAGCAAACTATCGCAAGGACAAAAAACCAAACATCACATGTTCTCACTCATAGGTGGGAATTGAACAATGAGAACACTTGGACACAGGAAGGGGGACATCACACACCAGGGCCTGTTGTGGGGTGGGAGGCGGGGAGAAGGATAGCATTAGGAGATATACCTAATGTAAATGACGAGTTAATGTGTGCAGCATACCAACATGGCACATGTACGCACATGTAACAAACCTGCACGTTGTGCACATGTACCCTAGAAGTATAATAAAAAATAATAATAATAATGCAAAACTCCCATAAGGCAGTTTCTCTGGCGACAATCCACGCTGTCTCACTCTTATGAGCAGCCCGGCCTGGAATATCACTCTCAGGTTGTACTGTATTCTGCACTTAACTTCCAATTTTTTTCAACAAATTATGCTGTACTTTAAAAAAAAATAAAAATAAAAACTTTGAAATCAGTTCGTCAATATCCACAAAATAATTTGCTGGTATTTTTTTACTGGGATTTAGTTAAATCTATAGAGCAAATGGGAATAAATGATATTTTGACAATGTTGTTTCAGAATATCCATGTACATGAGACATTTCTCCATTTATTTTTTTTCATCAGAGTTTTGTAATTTACCTCACAGATCTTGTACATATTGTGTCAGATTTCTACCTAAGCATTTCATTTCTGGGGATGCTAATGTAAATGGTATTGGGTTTTTAATTTCAGACTCCACTTGTTCATTGCTGGCATATAGGAAAATGACTGAAATGTGTGTATTAAACCTGTATCATGCAACCCTGCTATAATCACTTATTAGTTTCAGGAGACTTCTGTCAATTTTTTCAGATTTTGTAAATAGATAAATGTCATCTGTAAGCAAAGAGAGTTTTACTTCTTCCTTTCTAATCAGTATACATTTTATTGCTTCTCCTTGTGTTATTCCATTAGGTAGGATTTTCAGCAAGATGTTGAAAAGGAATGGTGAGATGGGACACCTTTTTCTTGTTCCTAGTCTTAGCAGGAAGTCTTCTAGCTTCTCACCATTAAGTATGATGTTAGCTGCAGGCTTTTTGTAGATGTTCTTTATCACATTGAGACAGTTTCCTTCTAATACTCGTTTGCTGAAAGTTTTCATCATGATTAGGTGTTGAATTCTGTGAAATGTTTTTTACTCCACCTATTGCTATAATTATGTTATTTTCTTCTTCTTTAGCCCATTGATGTGATGGATTACATTAACTGATTTTCTAATGTTGAACCAGCCTTATATACCTGGGATAAATACCACGTGGTTGTGGCATGTAATTATTCTTATACATTGTTGGATTCAATTTGCTAATACTTTGTTGGGGATATTTGTATCTAGGTTCATAAGGGATATTGGTATGTAGTTTTCTTGCAATGTCTGTGGCTTTGGTATTACAGTAATGCTGGCCTCATAAAACGAGTTAGGAAATATTCTCTCTGCTTCTATCTTCTGAAAAAGATTGTAGAAAATTGGTATATTTCCTTCCTTAAATGTTTGGAAAAATTCATCAGTGAACCCATGTGGGCTTTGTGCTTTCTGCTTTGGAAGGAACACTTGTTTGGTGTTCTCTAAGTTTCCTGGATCTGTGGTTTATTTCCTGACTTTAATTTGGGGAAATTCTCAGTCATAGTTGCTTCGAATACTGCTTCTGCTCCTTTTGCTTTCTTCTCTTTCTGGTACTCCCATACATGTATATGATACCCTGTTCCATTTATTCGTTTCTCCTCTTTGCTTTCTTGTTTTGACTGTTTCTATTAACATATACTCAAGCTCAAAGATTCTTTCCTTAGTCACATCCAGTCTACTAATGAGCCCATCAAAGGCATTTTTCATTTGTTACAGTATTTTTTCTGTCATTTATTCTCAATTCTTTCTTAGAATTTCCATCTCTCTGCTTACATTATCCATCGGTTCTTGCATGTTGTCTACTTTTCCCATTAAAGCCCTTAGCATACTGTAAAAAATAAAGTAGAGGTTCTTCTTCAAAGACTTTCCTGCCCATCTAATTAGGAATAAATGGTAACTTCTCTTATAAGCAAAATTTATTCAAAGACCTGTGCTCCTAAATATTTGCCCTGGCATGCTTATACTAGTCCAAGCAAGCACTAGGTCATAGCCTGTTCCTCTTCCTTATTTAAAAGTGTTTTTACCTTTCTCAGCATTCCACAAGTTACCTCCTCCTTCCTTTGTTCTCCTCTACCTCTGCCTCTTTTAAAAAGTTCTAAGTTGCTAGCAAGTCAGGACAAATACAGAATGTGAGGTCCCGTTCCAGACAATGGAAACCGGACACAGCAGTAGGGTGGATACATTAGGTTATAAATGACCCTGTCTCCTTTGTTTGGTGTACTCTCATGGCAAAACTGCTGGCCAGTGTACCCTTTCTGCAAAAGTAAAAATGGCCTTACTAAATTAAATTTATGTTCAAGTACTATTTCTTTACAGCACCGGGGAACAAGCATTTCAAACAATATTAATCATAGTTGTTTTAAATTCATGGTCTGATAATAGCAACATCCCTGTCATCCTCTGGGTTTGGTTCCACTGCTTGCTCTGTCCATTCAAACTATGTTGCCTTTTAATATGCCTTGTAATTTTGTATTGAAAGGCGGATATAATATACTGAGTCAAAGAAATTGCAGTAAATAGCCCTTTAGTAATGTAGTGGTAAGATACACGGGAAGGGGAAGTGTCCTATAGTTCTACCATTTTATCTCAGTCTTTTAGTGAGCCTGTGTCCCTAGGCTGTAAACTTCACAGTTCTCAGTTTGTTTTTTCACCCCCTTAGGTGGTACAGAATGTCTAGAGGGAGCTGGAGTTGGGTATTTCCTTTCCCCCAGGTCAGTTAACCACTTGTAAAAATCCCAGTACACTAGGCTCGAGTAAAATAGTTTCTTTTGTTGGCAAGTCTTGTTAAGAACAAAATGCACTAGAATTTTTCAAAATAATTCCTTTTACACTCCTCATGCAGGAAGCAATTGGGGATTTTTCTCTGATCTTCTCTGAGAATTCACGGAGGTAAAACTCACAAAAGTGTGAAAGCCCCCCTAAGATTGGGTCCCCCAAGAATCTTTAACTCTCAAACTAATCCACAATGAGCCTCTGGCAATTCATCAATTACAGCTCAGACTTTCCTACTCCAGTAACAGTTCCTGCAAAAGTGTGTTTCTATGGTAAGTTGTGATTCTTTGAATCCACCCATCTGTGTCTCTAATTTTGGAGAAGCTGTTTTCTCTGTGACCCCACTTCACTTACAGCTCTAAGAAGAGTTATTAATTTCTCATTTTTTTTAGCTTTTTAGTTGTTGTTAGGATGGAGTGATGACTTCTAAATTCCTTACATGTCAGACCAGAAACCTAAAGTCTTGCCTATTATTGTTAAACAAGGCACTACAAAAATGCAAGTGTCTCTTTCCAGAAAATAGACAATATATCTGCAATAGGGAAAAGAAAACTCTCTGCCAAGTCTTTTTTTTTTCCCACTAGAAATTGCTTGCTGCATTCCAAGCAGAAGTATTGACATACACAAAGGCCTGGAATCAAGAAAAAGCATAGTCCCTTTAAGGAACTACGAATGTTCCTTAAATGTTGGTGTGAAATTTGGCAGGAGAGCAGGAAATAAGGATAGAGGTATATACAGAAGGAAGTAATTCAGAGCCTGAGTGGCCTAAAGAGTTTGGATTTTATCCATTTGTTCTCCCTTGAATATTTTTAAATAGAAGAATGGTATTTATTTATTTATTTATTTATTTATTTATAGCCTAACTCATTCAAAAATTATTGAAGGAAAATAGGAAATGGCATTGATTGATGTTACGTTTTGGAAAGATCACTAACAGGGCATTCCTTTTTAAGTATTAGATTCAAGGGCCTGGCATCAAAGAAATCAGATGGGAGGCTCTTTCAGTAATCCTGTAAGAAATTATGAAAGCCTGAACTAATACAGCAGCAGTGGGGAGAGAGAGGCACAAGACCAGAGAGATATTTAGGGCTTGGTGACAAACTGAATGCAGGGACCGAGGGAGAGGGAGAAGTTGTGACTCTCATGTTTCTGGCTAGGGTAAGTATGTGGAGAGTGTCAACACACAGAGGAAAGAGTCCCTATAAGGAGAAAATATTAATAGGAGTTTTAGGAGTTGCATTCGATTGTGAGATATCCTAATGGAGACAGAAATCCAGTAGGCAGTTACATGTCCAAGTCTGGAGTTTAGGGGAGCCATCCTGATTGGAGATAATAATCTGGTAGTCATCTTTCCATAAATAGACGTTAAAAGCCAAAGTGTGAGTGAGAGAGTGGAGTGAAAGGACGGAAAGACTTTGGACAATCTTACCATATGTACCCGGAAAAGAGCCAAGAAAAAGACTGAAAGACAGAAAAGAGCAGTGTGTCTGACAGAGCTATTTTAACAAAATTCAGCGTTTACAACAGAGTTTAAGAGTAAACTGGCAGGCCAGGTGCGGTGGCTCATGCCCGTAATCCCAGCACTTTGGGAGGCTGAGGTGGGTGAATCACTTGAGGTTAGGAGTTCAAGACCAGACTGGCATACATGGTGAGACCAACCCCCTGCCCCCACTCCCAATCTCTACTAAAAATACAAAATTGAGCCAGCGTGGTGGCGTGTGCCTGTGATCCCAACTACTCAGGAGGCTGAGGCACGAGAATCACTTGAACCTAGGAGGCGGAGGTTGCAGTGACCCGAGATCGCGCCACTGCACTCCAGCCTGGGCGACAGTGCGAGACTCCGTCTCAAACAAACAAAGAAAGAGTAAACCGACAAATACTACATTCTCTCTCTCTACACTCTGGCCCACTCTTAACACAAAAAACTGTCCAGGATCAGGAGACTTTTTGTTCTCCTCATCTCCTCCTTCCAAAGTTCTCTGCCCACGTTCTACTGTCTCCCCAAAATCCTACCTACCCTTCAGGAACTGCTGGAATGGGAGCTTGGGAAGTTTCAGCAAACTCCTCTCTCCTCCTTTGTGGCCCCTTTATTCCCAAAGCTGTGTCCTCTCCCTATGACGAGTCCCTTGAGGGGCTGTATCTTACTCCTTGTGTCTCCAAGCACACATAATGTGTATTAGGGGAGGAAGCATTCGCCAGTGGAGCACAAAGCTGTTGCAGGTCTCTTACTGGTTCTCAGGCGCTTTCAGTGAAATTCCCGTTCCCTCACCGTCCACATCTGTAATTTGCAAGTCTTATCTACGATAACTGCTGTAAAGTTACACGGGGAAGCCCTTTCCCGACAAAAAAAACGAGTTCTGCAACAAGTCCGTCGGATTTTAGCAATGAAACCGGCGCCGTGCAGCCTCGCCGGCGAGTGCACCCTGGAACGCACAACTTAGCGGCACGCACCACAGCTCGAGCACCGCCCTTCCGGTTGGAGCCATTGCAAGCCCCCCCCACGCCCCGCCCCCCTCGCTAGGCGCTCGCCACGCCCATGCCTCCGTCGCTGCGCGGCCCACCCCGGATGTCAGCCCCCCGCGCCGACCAGAATCCGTGAACATGGCGAACGAGGTAGGGCCCGTTGAGCGGAGGGCCCTGAGTCCAAGGGAGGGAGTGCATGGCATGGGACTAGGCTGCTATCCTCGGGGGCGCGCGAGGCTCGGCGCCCAAGACGGGATCTGGCTCTTGGTTCTGAAACTGGGCCCCCAGCGAGCGGCTCAGAGGGGCAGAAAGAGAAGGAAGCTTTGTCTCGGCTCTTCAGTTGGGAAGCAGCTTTCTTTGCTGCTTCTGGGACAGTCGGAACGGGGTGGGGGGGTGGGAGAGCCGGAGAGTGGGGGGCAGGGGCTGGTCAGGTCGGTATCCCAGTGGAAATGGCTTAGGAGCGGCCACGCATTGCTTCTTACACGAAATTAAGTAACTCGCTCTGGGTCATTCTTGCAGCTTGCATACTTGGCAGAGCTGCAGCCAGATCCCGTGCTTCTAACTCCTAGGTTGCTTGTGTTGCATAATTGAGCCTACGCCTTAATTATTGTGCCTCCAAGGAGTGTATTTTGGAAAGACCCCTACGTCCCTTTCAGAAACATTTTCGAGCACTTAAATACCAAGAGATTTATATTCCCTCTAGTCCTCACGTAACAAACACCTCTGCGAGGTGTTATCCCCATCTTACCAAAAACTGAGGTTTGAGGTTGGTTGTGCTTGGTCACACCAACGATGGCGAGCTGGGATTCCGACCCAGGTCTGCTCCTCTATGACAAATTCATAAAATACAAATTAGACAGTAAAGAAAGGCAGAAATTACGAATAACATACTCAGTCTAAAGTTGCTGATTATTTTAATGTTTTGCAATTTTGGACATTTTCTAGTAAGACAAATGGCCTTAAACATATTGGAGTTTGAAAGAAATAAACTCTAAACAGTCTTTCAGACTTAAACTGGTAGTTGCTTTTCCTTATTACTGAGTGTCTTTATTCAGAGAAGGTGAAAGATTATAATTGTTACTATAGTTCAAATGTTGAAGTAGGGCCATTTCCCGCGGATTTAGAGTGGGGCTTTGTTTTGCTTAGAATTGTCAGTAAAAGGAAAAGGTTAGGCTCCATTAAGACATTTTTTAAAGGGGAGCAGGCCATCAAATTTAGTATTCTTGTTTCTTTGGATTCCTATGTTGCATAACTTAATTGTTAGTATTCTGAATCTGACTTGTGGAGTTGAAATTTATGGCACATTGAAATGAAAAAGGTTCTAATGCAGTGTCTGATTCTTTGTACTATGAGATTTAATATCTGCAATTTAATTTTAAAAACGATCATTTCCACATTTCCAACCTCACCAATTTACAGAGGCCATTTCCCTCCCCCCCCCCTCCCCCGCCAGTTCAGACGGAGTTTCGCTCTTTGTTTCCCAGGCTGGAGTGCGATAGCGCGATCTTGGGTCACTGCAACCTTTGCCTCCCGGGTTCAAGCGATTCTCCTGTCTCAGCCTCCCGAGTAGCTGGGATTACCGGCGCCCGTCACCATGCTCGGTATTTTTGTATTTTTAGTAGAGACGGGGTTTCGCCATAGTGGCCAGGCTGGTCTCCAACTCCTGACCTCAGGTGATCCGCCCATCTCGGCCTCCCAAAGTGCTGGGATTACAGGCGTGAGCCCCTGCACCCGGCCTACAGAGGCCATTTTTTATATCTCTATGTAGTTCACCTCTCCTTTCCCTCAACCGTTTGTTCTGTTGCTACCAATAACTACTAACTTATTTTGCAAAGCTATGCTGTGCCAAGGATTGTGTTAGGGACTTCATATTCTTTTTTTTTTTTTTTTTTTTTTTTTGAGACGCAGTCTTGCTCTGTCACCCAGGCTGGAGTGCAGTGGCGCGATCTCGGCTCACTACAAGCTCCGCCTCCTGGGTTCACGCCGTTCTCCTGCCTCAGCCTCCCCGGTAGCTGTGACTACAGGCGACTGCCACCTCCCCTGGCTAATTTTTTGTATTTTTAGTAGAGACGGGGTTTCACCTAGCCAGGATGGTCTCGATCTCCTGACCTCGTGATCCGCCCGCCTCGGCCTCCCAAAGTGCTGGGATTACAGGCTTGAGCCACCGCGCCCGGCCAGGGACTTCATATTCTTTCTTATTCAGTTCTCACAATCACCCTATATGTAGGTGTTTTACCACCATTTATAATTACCTTTTCCTCATCCTTCAGTATCCTGGTTAGAAGTGAAGCTCTCCCAAACCAAGCAAAGTTACACTCTTAACCTACTTTTTTTGCTTTCTGTATTACTTTGTGCCTGTCTCTTTAAATCACACTCTTTGTAATTATTAACTTTAAAGTCTGTCTCCTGTAAACCCAGTGGCTTACAACCTTTAGTCTGTCCACACATTTCTCAAGTGTAATGTAAACTAATTAGAACCTTTCTCATTACGTGTGATTCTCTTGTAATGGAGGGTATACATGACTATAATCTCTAAAGCAGGTCTGTGTGCTATAATTAGTCACGTGTAATTTTAAATTTTCAGTAGCCTCATTAAAAAGGAAAAAGTGAAGTTTTAATATTTTAATTATGTTAAATTACATTATTTATAATGTTGTTATAAATAAACTACCATTTCAACATGTAAGCAGTATTTTTAAAAATACTGTTGATGAGATATTTTTACTTTTCTTTGAACTAAGTCTTCAAAGTCCAGCTATATTTATAGCATATCTCAGTTTTGTTTGTTTGTTTGTTTGTTTTGAGACGATGTCTCGCTCTGTTGCCCAGGCTGGAGTGCAGTGGCACAATCTCGGCTCACTGCAACCTCCACCTCCCGGGTTCAAGCCATTCTCCTGCCTCAGCCTCCTGAGTAGCTGGGACCACACAGATGCGCACCACCATGCCCAGCTAATTTTTGTATTTTTGTAGAGATGAGGTTTCACCATGCTGGCCAGGTTGGTCTTGAACTCCTGACTTCATGATCTGCCCACCTTGTCCTCCCAAAGTGCTGGGATTACAGGCGTGAGCAGCCAAGCCCGGCCAGTGGTCATTTTCTAAGAGCTCAGTAGTCATATTTGGCAAGTGGCTGCTGTATTGGCCGGTGCAGTTACAAGGGATATAGCTCCTCACTGTTACACTCCTAATCCTCCTTCCCACCCTGCAGTTTTGCACCAAGCCGGTGGTATTCAGAACAGCCTGAGCAAAAGAATTTCTTCAGGCATATGTTAAGCATGCAGATTTCTTGGACCCCATGCCAGACCTGCTGAATCAGATTCTCTCGGAACTTGTGTTCTTAACCTGCTTTTGCATATGCACTGTAGAAGGCCATTAAATATTTGATGAGTACAACTTTTTAACCAAAAGATACTTTTCTATCTGACCAGGTAATCATCTCAATTAAATCATTTTTGATGTATACTATTTGTGTGAAATCTAAAAACATATCACTTGGAAGCATATGTTTCTTTGTGAATCTGTGATATACTTTTTAAGATTAGCATTAATCTGTATCTAAATTGGCTATTAAGTAGTTACTTGTTTAGGAGGATAAACAGCTTATTCCCTTTTTTCCCCACTTCAGGTTATCAAGTGCAAGGCTGCAGTTGCTTGGGAGGCTGGAAAGCCTCTCTCCATAGAGGAGATAGAGGTGGCACCCCCAAAGGCTCATGAAGTTCGAATCAAGGTAATGATACATTTAAGGCACTGGGAAAAAAAGAGACACAATGAGGTCTCTGGATAGATGAGTAGATCTGAGATCTGCAGAGGATAAATCCCAAAGGACAGTGTCAAAGAAAAGGTGTTGAAAGTCATCCAGCCTTACAATCACAACATCCTTCTCTTATCTTTCACCTTTGCAGCATGCTTCTCCATCTCTTTTAGTTTTGATCTTGGGCTGAGCAGCTATCCCCATGGGTCACTGGATTATTGCAATTTATCTTCTGCAGTTTAGGTTTAAGGTAACTCTGTAGGATACTCATTTTTCTGCTGATTAGATAACTTTAAATATATGCTGACACGTTAGAAACAAAAGAAGAAATGTTACCAGAAAGGGGTCCTTATTCTGACCCCAGAGAGGGTTCTTGTACCTCACGCAAGAAAGAATTTGGAGTGAGTTCATAGGATAAAGTGGAAGCAAGTTTATTAGAGAAGCAAAGAAATAAAAGAATGGCTTTTCCATAGACAGAGCAGCAGTATGGGCTGCTCAACCGAGTATACATATAGTTATTTCTTGATTATATGCTAAACAAAGGATGGGTTATTCGTGAGTTTTCCAAGAAAGGGGTGGGCAATTCCCAGAACTAAGGATTCCTCCCCCTTTTAGACCATATAGGGTAACTTCATGACATTGCCATGGCATTTGTAAACTCGTGGCACTGGTGAGACTGCCTTTTGGTGTACAAATGCACTATGATTAGCCTATAATGAGCCTTGAAGATGACCAGAGGTCACTTTCATTGCCATCTTGGTTTTGATGGGTTTTTGCTGGCTTCTTTACCCCAGCCTGTCTTATCAGCAGGGTCTTTGTGACATGTGTCTTGTGCCAACCTCCTATTTCATTCTGTGACTAAGAATGCCTAGCATCCTGGGAATGCAGCCCAGTAGGTAGGTCTCAGCCTTATTTTACCCAGCGCCTATTCAAGGTGGAGTCGCTCTGGTTAAAATGCCTCTGACAGAAATGGTCTTCAGTTTTGCTACAGCGACTTAAACAAGATTTGAGAAGAGGCTCCTGATTGAATAGAGTAATAAGCAAATGAAGTCAGCTTGCTTAGAGAGCTTTAAAATGCACCCACCCTGGCGGACAAGGGTAGGGTTCAGGGAATTCATTATTCTAGTGCTTCTCAACCTCTGGTGGCAGAGAAATGATGTTACCCTTGGAGAGAGGCATATTGTACAAGGTAGCCAGCTGGAGAGATCTTTGAAACCTTGGCATGTAGAAAACTTCATGTGTTTAGCATTCTACTACTCTCTACTTGTTTTGATATAAAATTAGTGCTTTAGAGTAGTGATCATTAACATTCTAGGAAGAGAGTCACAGCAAAAAAGAGCTGTGACTTGGAGTATACTTCCCCTACCATCTCACTTTCAAAACACACCACACATACTGGCTCATGCTCCCAAAGATCACAAATACCAGGTGGAGCAGACCAGGACCAAATAACGTCTTTTTATCTTTTTTTTTTTTTTTTTTTTTTTTTTGGAGACAGAGTTTCACTCTGTCGCCCAGGCTGGAGTGCAGTGGTGCGATCTCGGCTCGCTGCAACCCCTGCCTCCCAGGTTCAAGCAATTCTCCTGCTTCGGCCTCCCTAGTAGCTGGGATTACAGATATGCGCCACCACGCCTGGCTAGTTTTTGTATTGTTAGTAGAGACGGAGTTTCACCCTGTTGGCCAGGCTGATCTCCAACTACTGACCTCAAGTGATCCACACGCCTCAGCCTCCCAAAGTGCTGGGATTACAGGTGTGAGCCACCACACCTGGCCCAAATAACATCTTAAGGTCCTTTGCAACCCATACACAGGAATTTGAAATCATATAATAGTGTTTTTTTCTTCAAATTCAGAAATTAAGCTGACTGTGATTTTGCCACTGAAGATGTTTGTCCTGGATGTATTAAGTGCCCATACAGCTCAATGGGTATTCATTGTGCTCATTGAGCTGTATGGACACAATGAGTACAGCCATCTTCCCTGCAAAACTGCAGACAGGTAGCAAAGATTGTTACGTTGTAAGTGGATATATAAGCCAGGAGCAGAGACGCATAAATAGAAATACTCCAAGATTTTGCCTTTCTGTGCTTTTGGTGGCTTTAAAATATAAGTTACGGCTGGGCATGGTGGCTCACGCCTATAATCCCAGCACTTTGGGAGGCCAAGGCAGGCAGATAATGAGGTGAGGAGTTCAAGACCAGCCTGGCCAGCATGGTGAAACCCCATCTCTACTAAAAATATAAAAAATTAGCCAGGCCTGGTGGTACGCGCCTGCAGTCCCAGCTACTCAGAAGGCTGAAGCAGGAGAATCACTTGAACCCAGGAGGCGGAGTTTGCAGTGAGCCGAGATCATGCCACTGCACTCCAGCCTGGGTGATAGAGCGAGACTCTTGTCCCAAAAAAAAATAATAAGTTACTTGAAAGCCAGAGAGATAGAGATAACAGGCTTATTTAAATAGAACTTGTATGTGGTTTGTAAAAAGGGAGTTGGTTCCTCTGAAAGTTCTGAAATTTGGTCCAGACTCAAGCAGACTGGCCTATTTCAGAAATAGTCATTACCTCTTTAAAAATCATATTTCCCAGCTGTCATGAGGAAACTAGAAGTGAGTTGGATTCCACCTGTTTTGCACACAGGCGATGGTTCTCTCCATGCTTGAAGGCATAGTGCCCATAAAATGACCTTGTTTACCTTCTCTTGCTAACGCGCGCTGAAAGGGGGACTAGATGTTCCCTATTTCGTTGCATATAAATGCACCATTGCTTTTATGTACCACTAAAAAATTGCTGCCAATTCTAATTGTTAAGATGCCATGGATTATAAGCACATGCTGATTTTAGAGAGGTTAAAATATGAAAGAAATGTGTCTTAGAGTCAATGAAATATAGTATTATAATAAAATGACTTTTCTTGTATCTGTACCTCTGAATTGCATGCACACATACTTACACATTCGTTGTTTTAATGTCCTGATAGATCATTGCCACTGCGGTTTGCCACACCGATGCCTATACCCTGAGTGGAGCTGATCCTGAGGGTTGTTTTCCAGTGATCTTGGGACATGAAGGTGCTGGAATTGTGGAAAGTGTTGGTGAGGGAGTTACTAAGCTGAAGGCGGGTAAGGAGAATACTTGAACCACTTGTTTAATAATTTTGGCTTATTCCTATGGGGAAATTGTTTTTCTGATAAAACTACCCACTATTTATGAATAGGTATCATCTAAGTAGATTGTCAAGATTAAGTTGATTCCTCATCTGGGAAGCACAAATATTTGGATATTTTTTTCTCTCTGATTTTGCAGACTACTGTTTTTGTGAAACTTTTCTAAGTACATTTCCAAAACCAATTTTGGCATATTAAGCAAGAATTTTTAGAGATGCATCAATGAAGCAGGATTTTGAAGCATATAACTTCATTGTTCTTCAGTTATTGTTTAAAGAGTTTCATTTAGATAAAAATATTGAAACATACTTTTTGCATGGTCAGACAGTATCTGAATGATGTTACCTAGGTAAAGTTCTAAGACTTGAAGTTTTTAACTTTGCAAAGCCACATCCGTTGACAGGAATTTGCAAGGGCTGATGTTTTCATTTAGAAATAGATACTACCTATTCAGGATGTCTTTGCATTTGTTTCCAGGTGACACTGTCATCCCACTTTACATCCCACAGTGTGGAGAATGCAAATTTTGTCTAAATCCTAAAACTAACCTTTGCCAGAAGATAAGGTTAGTATCTTTTTATGTTCTTCTTAAAACACAAGTGCTGCGGGATAATTAAGGAATCACAGAGACCGAGGGGTTGAGGAGGAATTATTTAATAATTTAGGTTCATTAACCCAGTCGGATTAACGTTCAAAGGACTGAGTCCCGAACAAAGAGTCAAGCTACCTTTTAAGCATTTCGTGGGGTGGGGGGAGACCTTTGTAGGGGGAGCATATTACAGAAGCAAGAAACAAAGACAGTTATTCAACTGAGACATGCATTACATCATTTCTTATTTTTCAAGGAACAACGTGTTTTATGATTTGAGATGATCTGTCTAGTGACCTTGCAGCTGCACAGCTAGAGAAACAGAGTCTTCACAATGCGTGGGAAAGGGAGAGAGAAGGCTCACTAGCCACAGAAAAACAGGCAGTTAATTTTAAAGGACTCCAGCTCTTTCTCTTCCTCAGGGGGAGTTGGGTTTTCTTACATACAACTGAGTTTTTGCTTACACATTCTTTAATTTCTTTTAATTCCTGTTCCACAAGGTCATATTAACAATGATAAGAATAAATAATTGTGTGGCAGTTTATGTAGTGCATTGTACATCAGTGGTTTCATTCCATCTTTATAACAACCTCACTACTATCCCCATTTTCACAGATGAGAGAAGACTCAGAAATTAAGAGGTTTTGACACAGAGAGGGTACCTGGGCACAGCAACAGCCTTCTCTACCATTTGCGGTTTTCTGCCTAATTGTGCAACTGAAGAAACATTTATTTTTCACATGAGGAAATGTGTAGCTTGTAGAGGTGGCTGATTTAAGTAACTTGTGCAGCTCTCAAGGGGTGTCTGCCTTCTGTCTCCTTTCTACCCCATAAAAGAAAGAAGCGGGGGGATGTGAAGAGACCAGGGGAGTGACTCCACCTTATGCCTCACCCTGGTCTCATCTTGCCCAGCTGTGGTACCCTATGTTAACCTTGGCTGGTCTTCACAAAGGCGACTGGACCCTGGGCCCTCCCTGTCCCAGGATCCCCTAACCCCTACCCCAGAATGGTTTGTCATAATCTGGAAATTTGTTGGCTCATTTTTCTTTCAACTCCTTTATTTTTCATTGAACAAATCTCTGCTTTTGAAGAGTTGAGGTTATCTGCTATCTTTTTTTCTTTTCTCTCCCTCCCTCCTGCTGCAAAGAAAAGAACCAATAAGTTTTAGGGATTTTTGTGTGTATAGACATTGTCATCCGGATGTAACTTGCTTTGAAGCAGTGTTTCTGTTGTGAGTGTCTCTTACTGTAAATATTTGTTCATATTTTTGTGAATTCAGTACTGTGTACCATTGTATTAATAGTAACTTTTTATAAAGCAAACCATAAATATACTGACTTTTCTTACAGATAAAAGAGAAACTAAAGGGGTGTGCCCAGTATCACCAGCCGTTAAGATATAAAACAGAATTTTCTGTACCCATTCTCTTCACATAACAGCAGGCTAAATTTGCCAAACCATGTAGTAAGGAAAGACGTGCTTCTGAGATTAAACGAAATCATTTTTATGAACCACTGCCCAGTAAGTGAGAGTAATAAAACTTACCCACTAAGGCTATTAGGAAGACTGCAGGAGATAACCTAACTCCTTGACACAGAAAAGGTAGTTGTTTTTATTGTACTAGGTAACAACACTGAAAGAACTACCTCTTTGAGGAAATTTAAGATCCCCTTGTGTGTGTTCCGTTTTTTTTTTTAATTGAAGTAGAGCATGCATATTATAAAGCACTTAAGGTGTATAGATCTTAAGTGTACAGCTCAATGAATGATTATGTATATAAACACCTGTTGATTTGAACGTCACCCAGATCAAGATAGAGAACCCTGCCAGCACCCGATAAGCTCCCTCATGTCCCTTCCAAGTCAGAACCTACCTCCCTCTTAGGTAACCACTGTCCTGATTCTTCCTTTCACTGTGACCTTGTATAAATAGAGTCATGCAGTGCATGCTCTTTTGTCAGGTTTCTTTTTTTTCATAATGTCTGTGAGATATATCCAAGCTGCATATGCGTCAGTAGTTCCTTCTTGTTGCTCTGTCTTAATCCATTCAAAATACCAGTATTGATCCATTCTCCTGTTGATGGACATTTAGATTACTCCCAGTTTTGGGTGGTTACAGTTAATGCTGCTAGGAACATTCTTATTTATACATGTCTTTTGATGGATATAGGCATTGCTTTCTCTTGAGCATTTTCTTGAGATTATAATTGCTGAGTCGTAAGATATGCATCTACAGCTCTCTCGTGTACTTGTACCAGTTTACACTTGCACCAGCATTGTATGGGAGATCCATTTGTTTATAATGCCATTGACAAAATTAGTTTATATTTTTGGAAAACAAAATTCCATTTATTTTATAAAGCAAATCCAGTTACTTTGGTAAAACCAGAACCAAAAACAAAAAAATCTAATCACTTTGAAAGGGAATTTTAAACGCAGTCTGAAAGATTTTGCAACACATCAAATATAATAGTGGTGATGGGTTCTTTGTGATTGTAACCATTTAAATTCTTTCAAAGCATAAAATGTATTCCACATCACCTTTTGTTCAAGAAACTCCTCTGGAATACAGTGATTTCTCACATTAAGGAAGGCTAAACAAACTTAAATTGTTCTCATTAAGATATAGCAGTTATTTTTAGTCGGGTGCAGTGGATCACACCTGTAATCCCAGCCCTTTGAGAGGCTGAGGCAGGTGGTTCACTTGAGTCCAACAGTTAGAGAACAGCCTGCACATCTTGGTGAAACCCCCTCTCTATAAAAAATTTAAAAAATTAGCTGGGCTTGGTGGCACGTGCTTGTGGTCCCAGCTGCCCAGTGGCTGTGGTGGGAGGATCACGAGCCCTGGAGGTTGAGGTTGCAGTGAGCCATGATGTGCCACTGCATTCCAACCTGGGCGACCGAGTAAAACCCTGTGTCAAAAAAAAATTCTTTCTGATGGAGCTTTGTCACCTCTTCTTTGTTTCTGGTCATATTTATTTTTCTCTCAAAGGAAATGTATTTGCTCTTGAATCTAGAGACAGTCCATTTTCTCTTCATCTGTATATTTATTCATATGTATGTTCGAAAGAGTTTAAGAGTATACATCAAATTATAGTGTTCAGCCTGGGCAACATAGTGAGACCCCGTCTCTATGCCCCTGTAGTACCAGCTACTTGGTACTGAGATGCAGGAGGATCACTTGAGCTCAGGCAATCCTCCTGCCTCAGTGTTCAAGGCTGTGGTGAGCTATGCACTCCAGCCTGGGCTGTCTCAAAAAAAGCAATTATAGTGTTTATTTTATTTAAAATAACATAATTACTAAACATCAGTTCTGTGCCAGACACAATGCTAAAGCCTCATATAACATCTCATTAGACTTTTATAGCAATTTGTAAAGGAAGTTACCTATGTTTCTCAGCATTTTCTAGTGAGAAAATGAAGGCATAAAGATTAATTAACTTGCTCAGATCACACAGGATTTGAACCCAAGTGCTCTGACTTTAGGGTGGGTCCTCCTAAGCAAGATGTTACATCACCTCTGTTTAGAATAGCAAAAGTAATTTTTGTTACCATTTATTATATCAGTGGCCTTTGTAAGCTTTTTGGGTTTTCTTTCCTATTGGTGTAACCAAGTCACAGGCAAAACAAAGTGAAGAAGTAATTTAACTTGCATTATTGAGGACTGTTAGTTACACTTCAGAAAAATGCCTCCTGAAAGATATAAATTAGCCAGTTTGGCTATCTGTTTTCATTAGTTGATCTGGTTAATGGTTTGTAATCTCTACTTGCATAGATACTGGTTTTGACTTTATCCTTTATGATGTTATATTTGCTCACAGAGGTTGTTTTATTTTTTTTTATTTTTGAGACAGGATCTCATTCTGTCACCCAGGCTGGAATGTAGTGGCACAGTCACGGCTCACTGCAGCCTCAAACTCCTGGGCTGAAGTGAACCTCCTGCAGGCACGTGCTCCGCTACACCTGGCTAATTTTATTTTTTGTAGAGATAGGGTGTTGCTATGTTGCCCAGGCTACTCTTGAAATCCTGGCTCCAAGTTGTCCTCCTGTCTCAACTTTCCAAAGTACTGGGATTATAGGAGTGAGCCACTGCACCTGGCCCACCGTTTTAATGATGGGATTTTAAAATAATTCCATCTGATCCATAAGTTGTACCTTTTAAAATGAGTTCAGTATTCTGACAGTATGATCTAGAAGGATAGTGAATATTGGAAAAGATGGATAAGATTATAAATATCTTATAAATTTCCTTTATAAGGCATTGCTGCAAGGTGCTAAATTACTAATGAATATATTTGAAATTGTAGTTTACAACACTTTCTTAATATTTACTGGTCATTATTTTTAAAACATTTCTTTTTCCTGTGGGTTTTAAGAAACCTAATTCCAACTTGCCTTTTTCCTTTTTTTTTCTTTAGAGTCACTCAAGGGAAAGGATTAATGCCAGATGGTACCAGCAGATTTACTTGCAAAGGAAAGACAATTTTGCATTACATGGGAACCAGCACATTTTCTGAATACACAGTTGTGGCTGATATCTCTGTTGCTAAAATAGATCCTTTAGCACCTTTGGATAAAGTCTGCCTTCTAGGTTGTGGCATTTCAACCGGTTATGGTGCTGCTGTGAACACTGCCAAGGTAAGAGACTGACTTGGGTTTTTTGCTTCTGCCTTCTAATTTAATTCAGTGAAACTTTCCTGGAATAGTGAAATTGGCCAATCTGTATGAAACCCAGTGATTCTCTTGACTCTGGTAGAATGAGTACTTTATAAACTTTCTTTACTCCTAGTTGGAGCCTGGCTCTGTTTGTGCCGTCTTTGGTCTGGGAGGAGTCGGATTGGCAGTTATCATGGGCTGTAAAGTGGCTGGTGCTTCCCGGATCATTGGTGTGGACATCAATAAAGATAAATTTGCAAGGGCCAAAGAGTTTGGAGCCACTGAATGTATTAACCCTCAGGATTTTAGTAAACCCATCCAGGAAGTGCTCATTGAGATGACCGATGGAGGAGTGGACTATTCCTTTGAATGTATTGGTAATGTGAAGGTCATGGTGAGTATGGGCTTCATTCCTTTTTAGTTTATGGAACTGCTTTTTTTGAAGTGCAGTTTTAGATTAAAAATTGTTTTGTTTTGGCAAAGGAAAAGTCTCTTAATAAGAATTTTTCTAGTGAAAGAAGGGGAAAATATCTATTTGAACTACAATGGGAAATGATACAAGAACAGCTCAGGGAAGGATGAGAAAAGATGTTTCTTTGCCTTTCAATGCCTGCTAAGTGCATGTCTCATGAAATGAAAAGACAGAATAAAGCAGTTGTGCAGAGCATGATCTTTGGAATCAAATACACATCCACTTACTAACTCAGTGACCCTGAACAAACAGCTTCTCTCAACCTCAGTTTCCTCATCTGTAAAATGCAGGTACAGGTTGAACATCTATCCCTAATCCAAAAATCCAAAATGCTCCAAAATCTGAAACTTTGAGCACCAACATGATGCTCAAAGAAAATGCTCATTGGGGCATTTCAGATTAGGAATGCTCAGCTAATAAATACGATGCAAATATTCCAAATCCGAAAAAACCCAAAATTCAAAACACTCTGGTCCCAAGCATCTCAGATAAAAGATAATCAACCTGTAGTAACAACACCTACTTAAACCTACATAGACACTCAGTAAAAGTATTACTATTAATTCTGCTGCCTGCTTTTTAAAATTAAATCTTTTAGAGTTTTGAACTACAGTTTACTTTTTAAAATAGAAAGCAAATAAACACTTCAAATTATTTTAATTTATGTTAATATTTAACCAGGTTAATTTGTTAAAATAAATTGTTCAGGCCGGGCATGGTGGCTCACACCTGTAATCCCAGCATTTTGGGAGGCCAAGGCAGGTGGATACTTGAGGCCAGCCAGGGCAACATGACGAAACCCCGTCTCAACTAGAAATACGAAAATTAGCTGGGTGTCGTGGCGCACGCCTGTAATCCCAGCTACTAGGGAGGCTGAGGCACGAGAATCACTTGAACCCAGGAGGTGGACATTGCCATGAGCCAGGATCATGCACTACACTCCAGCCTGGGTGCCAGAGGGAGACTCTTATCTCAAAAAAAAAAAAAACAACAAAAAAAATTAAAATATAAATTGTTCAATAACATTGAGCTCACTAAATGTTAAGTTTGGCCTTTTGTTGCCATTATCTTTAAAAACTATGCCATCTCTAGAAGTTTCGCCAGCAGTTGTTCTCAGGAAAATGCACTGACTTCTGTGATTTGGTCATATCTCTGTGCCTGCAGAGAGCAGCACTTGAGGCATGTCACAAGGGCTGGGGCGTCAGCGTCGTGGTTGGAGTAGCTGCTTCAGGTGAAGAAATTGCCACTCGTCCATTCCAGCTGGTAACAGGTCGCACATGGAAAGGCACTGCCTTTGGAGGTAATTCGATGGATGAGATGACTGCATTTTCTCTTTTGTTAGTTGCATTGGCAGATGTTTAATCCCAGCCACCTAATTTTTTTTATATTAACAAGAATCTTCATGAGTTCCTTCTCATTATAAGTTGTTGCATGCAAGGCTGTTTTATTAGAAGGGATTCAGACTCAATCACTATTTACCCCTGGGACTTGGGGGGGAGGGTGGTGCTCACCTGAAACATAGGACCACTTGGTGCATATTCTATAAAAGAAAAATATCAATATTCTGATAGTGAGGAAGTAGTTATGGGTATAGCAGGGACAGGAAGTTGATTGCAAAGTAAGCAAACAGCAGTATCAGCCATGGTGTGTTTCTTGTGGACCCAAGTAGCTTGTTACATTTTTATTCATTTTTCCAGGAGTGCAGTGATCACTGGATGTGATCATATATCTGTCTGATTTTAGCAGTAACCAATATTGAGTCTCAAACTGAAAATATTTAATTGGACAAAGCCTTATCATAAAATCAAAAAGCTGCTAGACTGATCATTTTTCCCTTTGTGATCCTAAAAAGTCCTTGGTGGTTTGGGGTTGCGGGGAAACAGTTTCTATCTTTTCCATGGTTGCTCAGCCAGAGGAGAGAAAAGATGTCACAACATGTTTGTATTTCCCAACAGTTGTGAATGAATGAGTCTAAAGTTTTTAAAGGGCTTTAAAAATATATATTTATATTTCATCCTCCTCCTAAAGAAAAAAAATCACATAGTGTGTGTTTTGAATGATCTGTGTTTAACGGGTTGTCTTTTAAGGTCCTCTACCTCATATTATGCCAGCTTTTTTGAAGGCCAGAAGAAAAGATTTGGAAAATATGCTAAAATGAGGGGTTTGGCCAAAATCTTCGTTCTTTATAACTACAGAATTTGCCTTAGAAGATGTCAATCTGACTTGACCTCCTCTTCAAAGCTCTAGATACATGTCACAGCAGAGTATCATAGAAGAAACTTTTTAAGCCATGTATGCTATTCGGGGGTATCATTTTGGAGTCCATAGCTGTATTTTAAAGGGCATTCTAAGCCTGGCTGATCCAGGGGATCTTGCTAGTAACCTCTAACTGAAGCCTCATTCTAGCACATGCTGGTTGGGAAATTCATTGTATCATTGAGGCCCCTTGCATTGCTGATCTAAAGATAATAGAAGCTTTTGTCTAGAGAACAGGAGTGACTGTGGTCATCTCAGTTACCAGGACATTTAAAGGAGAAAGAAAAAATCCCTACCATTTGTGGGGAAAGAATAATTAGTGGAGAATATAAGAGAGGAGATTTGGAAAAGGCTCAAAAGAGGTTTGAAATATCGTTGAAAGCATCCTTAGAAGGTGAGAAGGCTTCTTGTTGATTGTATTCCTTCTTTAGATACAGTGAGAAATTGAAGTACCTAATTTTATTTAAAATCTTACCATTTAGTCGGGCCTGGTGGCTCACGCCTGTAATCCCAGTACTTTGGGAGGCTGAGGCGGGTGGATCACGAGGTCAGGAGATCGAGACCATCCTGGGTAACATGGTGAAACCCCATCTTTACTAAAAATACAAAAAATTAGCTGGGCGTGGTGGCAGGCGCCTGTAGTCCCAGCTACCCGGGAGGCTGAGGCAGGAGAATGGCGTGAACCTGGGAGGCAGAGCTTGCAATGAGCTGAGATCACGCAACTGTACTCCAGCCTAGGCGATAGAGCGAGACTCCGTCTCAAAAACAAACGAACAAACTTAGCATTTAGCTAAAGAGTTCTACTTCATTTTTCAGTTTCATAGTTTTCTGTTCTGATATGCTATCCCTATTTCATTGTTAAATTTAAAACCAAGGAAATAAAGTCCTGTATTAGTTTTTTTCTTCCTTGAATATCATGATTATAGAAATCTTTGCTGATGTGGACCTAAATAAGCTTGTTGTTGAGACTTCCAGAGTTCTGTCCTGGGTAGTTTAAAAGTCTCAATTGGCCAAAACTTTAATGAGGTTTTAGTAAATCTTAATACAGAGGAAGGGAAATTTCAAAAGTATTTACTTCTTCACTGAAAGGTGTTGGTCAAATTCTTCATCTCCATGCTATTTTGGAGTTTCTCATTACTCTTTAACTCATCAAAAAATTCATTCTTTTAAATGCCTTTTGTCCTCAGCTAAGTAACAAGCATACTGCAGAAATTTGTTGAATAAATTAATGTGTGATTTCTTTTAGGATGGAAGAGTGTAGAAAGTGTCCCAAAGTTGGTGTCTGAATATATGTCCAAAAAGATAAAAGTTGATGAATTTGTGACTCACAATCTGTCTTTTGATGAAATCAACAAAGCCTTTGAACTGATGCATTCTGGAAAGAGGTAGGCTTTCTCTTTATATATCATAGAATGTAATAATGATGTTGAGTTTGAGGGGATGGAGAGTCGAAAAACACAATTTTAGTTGTCTTAAAGGTATCATTTAAAACTTAGTATGTTGCTTCCTTTTACAGCATTCGAACTGTTGTAAAGATTTAATTCAAAAGAGAAAAATAATGTCCATCCTGTCGTGATGTGATAGGAGCAGCTTAACAGGCAGGGAGAAGCGCCTCCAACCTCACAGCCTCGTAGAGCTTCACAGCTACTCCAGAAAATAGGGTTATGTGTGTCATTCATGAATCTCTATAATCAAGGACAAGGATAATTCAGTCATGAACCTGTTTTCTGGATGCTCCTCCACATAAATAATTGCTAGTTTATTAAGGAATATTTTAACATAATAAAAGTAATTTCTACATTTGTGTGGAAATTGTCTTGTTTTATGCTGTCATCATTGTCACGGTTTGTCTGCCCATTATCTTCATTCTGCAAGGGAAAGGGAAAGGAAGCAGGGCAGTGGTGGGTGTCTGAAACCTCAGAAACATAACGTTGAACTTTTAAGGGTCTCAGTCCCCGTTGATTAAAGAACAGATCCTAGCCATCAGTGACAAAGTTAATCAGGACCCAAGTCTGCTTCTGTGATATTATCTTGAAGGGAGGTACTGTGCCTTGTTCATACCTGTACCCCAAATTCCTAGGATGGCATCTGCCCTTCAGGGGGCACTAAAATGTATTATTGAAACAGCATTCTGGGCTTAAATAGGTGTATGTATGTGTTGGTTGTGACTGTACTATTTCTAGTATAGTGAACTACATACTGAATATCCAAGTTCTCAGCACCTACTTTTGTCAAATCTTAACATTTTGCCACTTCGAGATCACATTGCCATTCCTCCCCTCCAGAGGTAACAATTATCCACAATTTGATGTTTATCATTCCTGTGTTGTTGTACTTTCACTGTGTATAACCTAAACCATCTACTCTTTAGTACTGTTTTATATATTTTTAAGCCTCATACTTGCTCATTCTACAGCTTTTTTCACTCATTATTGTATAATTATATCTGAAGCTCTCGTTCATTAATTTTAGTCCTGTGTAGCAGAATTCAATTACGGGAACTACCATAATTTATCTGTTCTCCAGTTGAAGGCATGAAGTTGTTGCCAGTTTCTGTATTATAACACTGTAGTGGAACATTCTTCTGCATTGGGCTCACTGCGTGTTACCTAAGACGTATCACAGAATAAACACATTTAGCCTTATAGACATTGCCAAATTGCTCTTCAAAGTAAATGTGAGTTTTTGTGAATTACATGAGTATGGAATGGTGTTTTATTATGACTTTAGTTTGCATTTTCCTCAATTCTCGTTAAATCCTTCATTCTAATGGACATTTTATTGTGAAGAACCTGTTCATATCCTGTGCTCAACTTTGTATTGAATTATTTTTCTCTGAATAATTTTTAGGAGTTCTTTTATTCTAGACATCAATCATTTGTCAGTTTTATATGTTGCAAATATCTTCTAGTCTATCTTGTGACTTTTCTTTTTACTTTATGGTATTTTGTTGAATAAAGTTTTAATGTAGTCACATAAATCTTCCTGGTGGTGGTAAGTAACATTTAGGTTATTTTATCCTGAGAAGTATAAAGAAGCAAACAAAAATGGTCCAGGATCTTACCATCCTGATAATCCTTGACATAAAAATAAATTAATGAATGCAATATACCTAAGGGTTAGAAAATATAAATTGTTAGGAAATTATATAATGAGAAAGAAAAGCTATACACCTGCAAAAAAATGGGTGATTACTGTTAAGTTTCTTACGTATCTTTTTAGGAGTTTCTATGCACACAATAGCATATATATCCTCTAAAATTACACGAAAGGAATACTATCAACACTACTCTGTGAACTTTTTTCTCCACATGATAACATAGAGTTTATATCAGTGCATCACGTTTACCATGCAAATATCTTTTGGTTGGATTGATGCTATGTGCTTTTTCAATTTATTGATATGGTTTAAATGCTCCCACAGAATTGTGTGAGAGAGCAATATGTCATTGATTGAAAAGTGGGAAACAAACTGGTAGTAATGGTCAGGATTTCCCCTTTTCAGAACTTTGGTGCATTTGAAGTGCCTGACAATGTAGTCCAGCTTCCCTCCTGTTTTACCTAGAGGGCTGGAGATATGAGGGCCCAAAGGGGCCACAACTGTTATCTTAAGTGGACTGAAAGGAAGACGAAATTAAAACTAGCTTCTACTCCACTTGTAGGAAATGTGCTTTTAATCTTTGGTGTAGCCCAGCCTTCTAGGAACAAAAGTATCCTATGTTGGCAACTGCAGTAACAAAACAGTTATGGAGAGTATGGAGGAGAGCCAGTAACTCCTAAAGGTCTTGTTCCTTTGACTTTTCTTCTCAAACAAACATGAGATATTCATGAATTGCAATGGCAAACGTTTTTTAGGTTCGCCAATATGAAAATGTAAAGCAGTTTTAAGATGATTAATATTAAAATAGGCCAAGTGCGGTGGCTCACAACTGTAATTCCAGCACTTTGAGAGCCCAAAGTGGGAGGATCACTTGGCCTCCGAAGTTCAAGACCAACCTGGGCAACACAGATGTCATCTCTAGAAAAAAAAAAAATTTTTTTTTTTTAATTGGCCGGGCATGGTGGCATGTGCCTGTGGTCCTAGCTACTAAGGAGGCTGAGTTAGAAAGATGGCTTGATCCCAGGAGGTCGAGACTGCAGTAAGTCATAATCGCAGCACTGCACAGCCTGGGCAACAGAGTGAGACCCTGTCAAATAAATAAATAAAATACTACTCTAATTTTTGTAGCTAGCCTATTATTGAATTTGCTTTTCATTTCTGGCACAGTTAAGTACATACTCTTGAGCCAGCTGATTAAGTTTAGTATTAGCATTTCCTGGCTGAAAGCACAACTATCTCTTTCAGAGATCCAGTATAAAGAATCAGTTTTACAAAATCTGTGCTTGAGCCCGGGAGGTCGAGGCTGCTTTGAGCTGTGATTGCACTACCGCACTCCAGCCTGGGTGGCAGAGTGAAACCCTGTCACAAAAATAATAAAAATAATCAATTTTACAAAATCTTTACTATTAGAATTCCTGGGTCATGAGACTCGGCTATAGTTGTCAAGTCTTTTTTTTTTTTTGAGACAGAGTCTGTGTTGCCCAGGCTGGAGTGAAGTGGCACGATCTCAGCTCACTGCAACCTCTACCTCCCGGGTTAGAGCGATTCTCCTGCCTCAGCCTCCCGAGTAGCTGGGATTACAGGCGCATGCCACCATGCCCGGCTAATTTTTGTATTTTTTGTAGAGACGGGGTTTCACCATGTTCACCAGGCTGGTCTTGAACTCCTGACCTCAGGTGATCCACTCACCTCAGCCTCCCAAAGTGCTGGGATTACAGGCGTGAGCCACTGCGCCTAGCCAAGTCTTTCTTTTTAAGATCATTTTAATACATCGTCTTGAATTGAGGAATTGCTTAACATATGTATGTTATATATGCTAAAAACTGCCAGGCGTGGTGGCTCACACCTGTAATCCCAGCACTTTGGGAGGCCGAGGCAGGTGGATCACTTGAGGTCAGGAGTTTGAAACCAGCCTGGCCAACATGGTGAAACCCTGTCTCTACTAACAAAAATCAGCTGAGTGTGGTGGCGCACAACACCTGTAATCCCAGCTACTCGGGAGGCTTAAAGCCAGGAGGCAGAGGTTGCCGTGAGCCGAGATCGCGCCACTGCACTACAGCCTGACCGACAAAGCAAGACTCAGTCTCAAAAAAAAAAAAAACCAACCAACCATTCACTAAGTGCATGTAAGCAAATCTACCCTGGTTGTCCCAAATTGGGATTCAACCACTTTAGAAGTCTTGTTAGACATTTTTTCAGTGGATACATAATAGTTGTATGTACTTACCGAGCATGTGATATTGATATGTGCATACAATATATAATGATCACATCAGAATAACTGGAATATCCATCACCTCAAACAATGATCATTTCTAAAAGAACATTCCAAAGCTGCTCTTTTAGCTGTTTTGAAATATACAATAAATTATTAATTGTTGGGAAACTTTTGAAAGTTATCTTTAAGCTGCTTTTTTGGACAAGAGGTATATAATTGCAATACAGATGGATATTAACTTCCACTGTATATTTCATTAAAGCTGGTAAAATTTTTTTAAAGGATCTAAAATTTTGCCATGTAAGGAACTTAAGCATCTTTATGTTTAATTGCAAAATTTTTATATTCCCAATATAAAAATTTCTCTTCAAGTATTTCCTGCATTGCCATTTTTAGCATGTTTGGCTATTCTGCTATGTAACCTACCTAGTGATACTCGCTGGAGACAGTCCGTCTACAGGCATGTCTGATAGGCACAAGTTCTTTATTCACACAAAACTAACATATAGAGTAGAATTTATGGGATGATGACGTCGTTTGGGATAGAGGTATGGAAAAAACTGCATTATGTCCAAAACTTTACTACAGTGGAGCCAGTCAACATGTGTACAACTTAACACCTAACAAAAATGGCTCCAAAAAGTATACATAGCACTATTTCTGTTCATCCCATCTGAATGGAAAATTTTACTTAGCTGGTAATTCTCAAAATGTTTTGTTGACTCAGGGAAGGGGAAACATATTTTACATGCACAGAATGCTTCAGAACTTTTCTGCTCGGCTACCAATCTGCCATGTAGGTTGATAATCAAAGTCCTAAAGTACAGTTTAGTTCTTTGGGCCTACAGGGACACCTTGTTGACTAACTGGCTTCAGCCAATTTTTTTCAGTTCACACACAAGATCAATTTCTTTGTCAGCAAATACCTTTTAGAAAAAGTACACTACAAACACACTTGGAAAACATTTTATTAAGTACTGTATAAACAGCTATTTAGATAATAATTGCATAGAACTATACCAAGGTAATTGTGTCTTTAAGGAACAACTACCAAGTGAACAAGATGAGCAAAGTCCTCTATTATACAAGATTTCCTTCGGTGGAACATTATGGTGACAAAGCAGCGTAATGGGCTCTTAAGCAGATTGATTTTTATCAAACTGGACATATCAGAATTCCTTATGTATAAGAGAAATATGCACATGCTCCTTTCAAGAAAAGAGTGATAACCCACCATGGAATTACCTCCAGTTTAAACATGTACTCTTGACTGCCAAAAATATCGAGATATGTTAAGCAAGATAAAGCAGCAGAACACGCTTTAAAATATGTTGATCTCTTTCTGTAATCTACATGTTAATATTAAATGTTCTTATCCTTGGCATTGTTTCCTCAGAATCATCCAGGGCTCAAATTCAGATTTAAGTTTAAAAAATTCTATCTGGAATTGTCTGGTGATCTCTGACCCAACTACTGAAACAAAGCAAATCTGCTTCATAGCCAGTCACATTCTGTATAGAATAAAACAGTTGGTAGTTGTCATATCACTGCACAAATAGGAGATTGCCACAGAGAAGTGTGGTGATTTGTTCTCCTAGCCACAGAATCAATTTAAAAATTGTAGAAATTGGCTGGGTGTGGTGGCTTACACCTGTAATCCAAGCACTGTGGGAGGCTGAAGTGGGAGGATCACTTGAGGCCAGGAGTTCAAGACCAGCCTGGGCAACATAGACCCTGTCTCTATAGAAAAATAATAATAATCAGGTGTGTTGGAACATGCTTGTAGTCCTAGTTACGTGGCAAGCTGAGGTGGGAGAACTGCTTGAGCCCAGGAGGTCAAGGCTGCAGTTAGCCATGATCATGCCACTGCCTCCAGCCTGAGGAACAACAACAACAACAACAACAAAAAACTATTAAAATACTGTGAACGACTAACAGCACAATTGTGATAAGTGAAAATTTTTATAGGAAGTCCTTCTTGAGTGCTCCATATTTTAACTTTTTGGAGTATTCTAGTAAAATACCAGTGTTGACCTTTTTTCAAAAATAACCAGAATCACCATATACACAGTTCTATTGTTGCTCACCCACAGTCCCCAAAATGAAAAGCAGCAAACACGTAGCCAGGGCCACCTTATTCCTGCTTCATCTTGCAAAACACCCAAATAAATGCAGACTATTTTTCTTTTTCCTACTTAGCACCAAAAGGAAGATGAGAGAAGGTTGCCATAAGGGCCAGAGTTTCCATACACAGACTGTGTGCTAAGCTAACCTTTCCTTAGGTGTCCATTTTTAAAATAGAACAAAACACAACTTTTATAGGTTTTAGCCTAATGCAGCCTATGTTATGAAACAGTTTGTTCCTAAAACATGAATGTCTAAATGTTATGTTCTAACATAAAGGAGTTGGCCCCATCAAAAAGTGGGCGAAGGATATGAACAGACACTTCTCAAGACATTTATGCAGCCAACAGACACATGAAAAAATGCTCATCATCACTGGCCATCAGAGAAATGCAAATCAATACCACAATGAGATACCATCTCACACCAGTTAGAATAGCAATCACTAAAAAGTCAGGAAACAACAGATGCTGGAGAGGATGTCAAGAAATAGGAACACTTTTACACTGTTGGTGGGACTGTAAACTAGTTCAACCATTGTGGAAAACGGTGTGGCAATTCCTCAAGGATCTAGAACTAGAAATACCATTGGACCCAGCCATCCCATTAATGGGTATATACCCAAAGGATTATAAATCATGCTGCTATAAAGACACATGCACACATATGTTTATTGTGGCACTATTCACAATAGCAAAGACTTGGAACCAACCCAAATGTCCATCAGTGATAGACTGGATTAAGAAAATGTGGCACATATACACCATGGAATACTATGCAGCCATAAAAAAGGATGAGTTCATGTCCTTTGTAGGGACATGGATGAAGCTGGAAACCATCATTCTCAGGAAACTATCGCAAGGGCAAAAAACCAAACACCACATGTTCTCACTTACAGGTGGGAATTGAACAATGAGAACACTTGGACACAGGAAGGGGAACATCATACACTGGGGCCTGTCGTGGGGTGGGAGGAGGGGGGAGGGATAGCATTAGGAGATATACCTAATGTAAATGACGAGTTAATGGGTGCAGCACACCAACGTGGCACATGTATACGTAACAAACCTGCACGTTGTGCACATGTACCCTAGAACTTAAAGTATAATAAAAAAAGAAAAAAATAAAAATAAATAAATAAATAAAGGAGTTGGAAAATGAGCGACACTGCCACAAGTGTGGTGTAATTTACAAGTGGTATGATTTGCTCCTCTTGCAGCTGGAAAGCTTGGTAAAAGTTAAACACTATCAAATGTAGACAGAATCTTACTACACTGTCTCAAACAGTTCCAGCATTTCTAACTGCCAGACCACTAATATATCCCTCCCCACCTCTACTGTATTTTTTGCCCCCGAGATTCACTGCATTCATTCTTAAAGTAGCCCATGGTTTATGAAATTCAGAATAAGATCTAAATTACTTCAATGATATGTTCTAAGAAAAAAAGAATCATAAAGAAAGTGTACTTTATTGTTGGCAGTGATTTTAGTGTAGTAATTTTGAAACAATTTTACATCTGTCTGGTAGTATCAAGCAAATATTAATCTCCCAGATTACTTGTTTAGGAAAAAAGGTATTTTTACAGTGAAAAGGTCTGACAAACACCAAGTGATCAAACTTTGCATCAGCAATAAGGTGACAACAACATTATGTGCCTCACGTTGTACAATGAATGGGGCATACAACTGCCATTTCTGTAGTCTTCCACCAAGATGTTTATCCTGCATCTATCCTCATGAGGAACAATCAGACAAACGGACTTTTGTAAACTAACCTGATTTTTCAAGTGTCCATTTCGTAAGACATCAAAAAAGGTGTGAGGGTTATTCTAGCATGGGTGTCCAACCTTTTAGCTTCCCTGGGCCACAGTGGAAGAAGAATTATCTTGGGCCACATGTAAAATACACCAACGATAGCTGATGAGCTCAAACAAAGGCCTGTGCATAATTTTCATGATATCCACCACCACAGATAAAAGATCCTCGCACTCAAAGGATTAGACACGGCTGCTAGAGTTAAGAAGACTAAGACCAGGTATGGTGGCTCACTCCTGTAATCACAGCATTTTGGGAGGCCGAGTCAGGTGGATCACCACGGGTCAGGAGTTCGAGACCAGCCTGGCATCAACATGGTGAAACCGTCTCTACTAAAAATACAAAAATTAGCCTGGGTCATGGCGGGGGCCTGTAATCCCAGCTACTAGGGAGGCTGAGGCAGGAGAATCGCTTGAACCCAGGAGGTGGAGGTTGCAGTGAGCCAAGATTGTACCACTGCACTCCAGCCTGAACAAGAGTGAAACTCCATCTAAAAAAAAAGGAGACTACAGATACATGACAACTAAATGCCATGAATTTGGAAGCTTTAAATAACATTTTGGGGGAAAATTAAAGTTTATATCCTATACATTATATAATTCTGTATTAATACTAAATTTCTAATTGTGTTATGATCATGTAAAAGAATGTCATTAGGTTAAGAGATACATGCTGATGTAGTAGGGTGAAGTACGATGTTGCTTCTTTCAAAAGAAAAGTGCTTATACAGAGATAAAGCAAAGGTGACAAAATGACATTTGTTAGATAAAGGTAAGGGATATATGATTATTTCACTGTACTATACTTTCAACTTTTCTGTAATTTGAAAATTTTCAATATAAAAAGTTGGAGATAAAAAATAAAAATTTTAAAAGAAGGGAAAAACAGGAAGGAAATCGCTTACAGATACCATGAGGGTAGAGGTTAAGCAAAGGGGAGCATCCTGCTCTCAGTTTTAACCAAATCCAATGAAAACCCAGAAGTCGTTAGAGAACAAACTGAGGAATCAAGCAAACAAATTCCTAAACCTCATCAACTCTTGCCTATTAATTTAGATATGTGGGTGCAAGTGGTATAAAGGTGTTGGTTAATCCTTTTTATCAACAAAAGACATAAAATGAAGTTCATGTTTCCCTTCTTCCAAGTTATAATTCCAAAGGAGTTGGAAGACTGGCAGGGGGAAAAAATTATTCTAAAAGTTAATGTAAAAAAAGAAGTTAATACTTTGATTTTTTTTTTTTTTTTTTTTTTTTTTTTGAGATGAGGTCTCTCTCTCTCACCCAGGCTGGAGTGTAGTGGCACAATCATAGCTCACTGTAACCTTGAACTCCTGGGCTCAAGCGATCCCCCCATCTCAGTCTCAAGAGTAGCTAATGCTACAGGCTCGCACACCATGCTCTGACTTGTTTTGTAAAAAGGTGGCAGAATGATGAAACTAGGTGTTTTGTCACCTAAATCCAATGAACATTTGTAATTAGATATATGCAATTAGACTAGAGTCCATATTGTTTTAAAATCTCCCAAACTAAGAAAAGCATTATCACCAGTGTGGTGTTTTATCTTTTAACCAAAAAACTATCACACCAAGATCTTTCTTCCTTCAGCTTATATTCTAATGACAGACACTGAATAAGCCCACATTGTTAATTCCACAATCAGTACATAAAATGCTCCCCTAATATTCAGCATTCTGTCTTAAAAGCTCTCAAAAATATGGTTGCATCTCAAATGCTGCTGGCACTCTACTGAGTTTATGTACAGCCATTACACCTGAAAAAACATTTCTACTCAAATGGTCATGAATTTATTTTAGATTATCAAACAGCCTCCCCATTCCCACCATTTCCCTCTGAAATCCCAAAGAAATGCAGCAAAGTTAATGACTACATGGTAGGATAATCATTCAAACTTTTTAATCTCCCTTTACACATTATATTAACATTCATATTGCAAGGCATTCCATTCACAAATATTACAGTTTGATAAAAACTTCACACACATACTCCCAAAGTCTATACCAGATTCAGTCAACTTTACTAAATCATTCAAATAATAAAAGTAATGAAAACATTATTATATTTTAAAGCAATAAGGTCTGAGGCACTCTGGGAAAGATGTTCTCTTACAAGTATAATGTGTCAGTGGTATGAAATTATATTACAAGGATGCCCAGTAATCAAGTACACTCTAATGACAATGACTTTGTGATTTGATATGTCTTCACTGGATACACTCCTACTTGGACAACTGCTGAAAGGAACGTAGATATGGGGCAGCTGAGGTCATTTCTAATGAGGTTCCCAACTATGTAAAGGAGAGGTGTGTTTCCACACACGAAGGACAGCTGCATCTCTACTGCAAGGTTACAGTACACAAAATTCCTTTCTCATCACTATCACATTTACTCAACGTTAGATTTTAATAGCCCACTTGACCTCCTGGGTTCACAGCTGGAGACACTTTAGAACTCTTTCCCCATCCTCCACCATAGTGCAAACTTCACGCTTCTCTGAGCACCTCCAAGGTATGCCCTTGAAGTAAAACAGAAAAGGGAAGAAAGGGGGCTTTTTCTTTTCCATTTCTGACCAAACAGAGGTCTGAAATAGCAGTGTATTATGAAATTCTCATTCCCTGCAACAGTCAGCCACCACTTGGAAAATGGCTATTTTTGCCATAAACTAGATTTTTAAAAGCCTGATAACCTTCCAAAGTGAATTTTACTACATTCATTCACTGACACACAGAGTCCACATTGGAGAAAGTCTCATTGGGTGAGTGCTTCCCTATGCACAATTACAAGGGTAAATAATTAGCATGGGGGAGAGGGGAGGCCAAATCCCAACCAGGAATTAAATCACTGCAAACTATGGATCCATTTGTAAGAACATATAAACCTGTCAGAGCAGAAACAACACAAACTCCAGGTCACATAGTGTTTGGTAATTATGTATACAGAACTTAAAATGTATACATATATATTTCCATATATATAATTTAAAAAATCTGGTGCAACACATATTGCTAAGTTTCAAAGATTCTCATTTCCAATGTTCACCTGGAAAGCAGATGGCTCTTGATGGCTGTTTTGCGGCAGTGATAAAAGCAACTACAAGCAAGTTTAAGTAAAAGTGCTCAAAGGGCAAATGAGAAAACAGGTGTGCAGGGGGAGGGGGCTGAAGAGTTGAGCAATGTTTCCTTTATTCTTCTCAGCTTTTTCAGACCCAAGACAAGTTCTTGAGGACACACATCAAATGCTGTAGTCCTTTCTTATCTATAGTCAAAACAAAACAAGTGATTAAAAAAAGGTTCCTCTTCCTTTCTGTACTCTCAATAAAATGCATAGCACAGTAAGAAGGTACTGAGATGTGCCATCTTGGGAGAAATTAAAATTGAGACATGAAGTGAGGCCGTGCACTGTCAAGTCGCCGGGTTAGGATTTCACAGCCAGTGTCTGTGACCAGGAGGGTGTGCTCAAACTGAGCAGACCGCTTTCCGTCTCTTGTCACCGCAGTCCAACCATCTGGCCAGGTTTCATCCTGCCATCCGCCTTCAACAAACAAAAACAATTTCTTAGTTCACTCAGTTTTCTAAATGAACTCTATCAAGAAGAAAGCCAAGGAAAAAATTCACTACTAAGATCCTTATTTACATGCCAATTGTTTTAGCTAATGCCTTTCCAACTTCATTTTGGTCTTCAGTATGTTTGATGTTTAAATTTCATCAGATGTATTACAACCACATTTTTTATATATCCCAAATATCAAATCAAGATGGAATTTCCAAAATAAAGGCGCTGGATTTCATTTTAACAACATATTGATACCAATCACCACAACTTTGAGTAACAACCTTAATTAATTATATGTATCATTATATGTATCAAAGCATCACTATGTACCCTATGAATATGTACAATAATTGTCCATTTTAAAACAGGAAATTTTTTAAAAAGGACATTCTGCAATATGCTACAACACAGATGAACCTTGAGAACATAATGCTAAGTGAAATAAGCCAGTCATAAAAAAGCATATGCTTGGCCAGGCGCGGTGGCACACGCCTGTAATCCCAGCACTTTGGGAGGCCGAGGCGGGCAGATCACAAGGTCAGGAGATTGAGACCATCCTAGCTAACACAGTGAAACCCCATCTCTACTAAAAATACAAAAAATCACCCGGGCATGGTGTTGGGCGCCTGTAGTCCCAGCTACTCGGGAAGCTGAGTCAGAAGAATGGCATGAACCTGGGAGGCAGAGCTTGCAGTGAGCTGAGATCGCGCCACTGCATTCCAGCCTGGGCGACAGACCAAGACTCCGTCTCAAAAAAAAAAAAAAAAAAAAAGCATGTGCTTAATGATTCCACTTCTATGAGGTAGAGTACAGTAGTCAAAATCATGGAGATAGAAAGCAGAACAGTGGGTGCCAAGGTCTGGGAGTAGTGAGCAATAGGAAGGGAATGTTTAATGGGTTGAGTTTCAGTTTTACAAGATGAAAAGACTTTTGGAGATGGATGGTGGTAATGGGTGCACAACGTTATGAATGTATTTAATAATATTGAACTGTACATTTAAAAATGAGATGTGTATTTTACAATTAAAAAATCAGAAAAAAAACTTGAATGAATTTAGCTCTTTCCTAGTATAACTTGGGCATCTGACAAAACTATACTCAGCATATATTGTGAAGGAAATCATGTAAATGTTTACAGTTTTATTACAGCATTCAATTCCTGATATAATTTCAAAATGGTAGGCACACAAACAGATGGTGAGAACAGATTATACAGTGAAATTTTTGTGAACTATACCCCTGGAATCAGAAAGAGGGGCAAAAGAAAGACTGGTGTGAGAGCATAAGAAAAATATGAAGCAGAATGGTCTGGACAGGAGTTGAAACCAGAGAAGGGAAGCAAAGGGACAGTGAATCTGGGAGGCCATGAAAGAAAACTCAGAGAAAGGAGGGAAAGGGGGTGAAGGGGTCATAATGAGGGAAAGCAGAAAGCAAAGGCCCAAGAGAATGTGAAGCAGAGGTGGAATGAGAAAGGCAATTCTAGATACTACTGTAAAAGATGTATTTGCGAGCTTTCTTCTTTCAAAATTAGATGTTAAAAAAAAATCAATACTTTCTTCATTTTGAGTAATCTTTAGGTGAAACATATTACCTCTAGGACTCACTGCCTCAGACAGACAAATCCCAGAACATAAACTCTGTAGTGAAGTAAACTACTTTTGCAATATTAAATCCCAGGCTAAAAAGAAAATACGAGGCGGCCTAAAAAAGTTAACTCATGCCTCATCAAGCAACTAAAGATGAGTACATCGATGTTTTTCAATGTAATGGCCTTTACACAAATGGCCTTTACACAAATTTAAAACATTACTACTGTAATTTTATTGTGATCTGATAAAACAGGATTTTTAGTAATGTCAAGTCAAACTTATTTGGCTATTCTGAGGAAATTCTCCTGCAGATTTGAGACTTTCTAGTCCAGGGATTTAACCTAGCTGAGTTACACTTCAAGTATATCTGCTATAATTTGATGATTAATTACCTGTGCTGGCTGTATAGAAAGTTATTTGCTTACTGAAAACACTACATCATGGCTCACCAACCAGGTGCTAGTTAATGGAAATACGTAGCCAAAATGACAATTTCCTCCCACTATCTTTCTTTTCACTGCTAAATACTTACCATCTTTACAACTGGTTGCACGTGATCAGAACTTTATCCTTATTATAAGAGGATGACAAAAACTTTACTGCACATTTGTGCAGTCTTTTAAAGTATATAACATAACATAAATCATCTCAGTCTAGCAGCCCTGGGTGTTGGCAAGATAGAGATTCTAATTTTCATTTTACAGAAAACGCAATAAGGAACCAGCTTTAGAAGGCAGCCTCTAAAGTGACTTCAGTGATCCCCAGCCTCCTGGCATGCAGGCCCTTGTGTGAGCTCCTGCTCCCCTTGAGTGCGGGCTGGATTCAGTGAATCACTTCTAAGAAAGACAATATAGAAGTCACTCCCAAGACTGGGTTATAAAAAGACTGGAAGGATCAAGAGAGGGAGTATCCTTTAAAACAGGGCTCAGGACACACAAGCTCTACTGCTACTGCCTCACTTTGCATCCCCTAACCAGAAAGCTCCATTACCAGAATCACTCTGAAAATCTCGGTGAGGAGCCCTAATTGTGACTCCCAGTCTCCTATCACTGCTACAAGCCTGTCTGGAAGAGATGACAACAGTGGGGAGGCTGCCAGAGCCAAGTGTGCTTTCCAAGTGTCCTTGGTGTGCTTTCCCCACAATAGCTATATGATGCCACGTGATGACATGAGTACAGACCATGAAGGGTCAGAACAGCTCATGAGCTGAGTCTGACAAATTCTGCCAAGTAACAAGCTAAGTTACAGGCAAGCTACCCACCCTCTTCAAGGACCAGTTTCCTAGTTTCTATAATGGGGTAACACCTACCTTATAAATTGTGAAGAATTAAATCATATAATCATGTCTGCCTCGAACTGGGTGGCTCGTCAATGCTCTGCTCTGTTCCCTCCTCTTCCCTCTCCTACATCAAGCAAGAACGTCCGCACAGACTTGACCTGGGCACCTCATTATTACAATGCACCCTTTGACATGATCTTTATGAAAAGGGACCAGAATTCAAGCATTTCAGCATCTCCTGACAGAAGACTACCACGCAGAACCCATGCCGTTCTTGCCAACCCTCACAATTTTCAGTTCTTCACGATACTGAATCAAGTTTGAGGTGGGACAGGGAGTGAGTAGGAAGCAAAAAGCAAGCAGGTAGAAAAGACCACTGACATGATGAATTACCTAAAATACATATAAATTCAATTGAAAAATATCATGGCATCCTTTTTTCTCACCTTCACAAATCATTGGCTCAATTGTAAATACATGGCCCGACTTCATCACTCCAACTGCTTTATTTTCTGAAATCAAAGAAAAAAATCTCAAAAGGTAGCAAAACCAACAGTGTACTGTTGAACAGCTAACTAGAAAGAGTACATAACTCAAATTCCCATCAGTGATTGTTAAATTAATTACCCTGATTCCCTTTCTTAAAGTTCAACAAACAGGTATTATACTGGCAGCCATCTAATATGGTGCACGTATTGTCCTAGGCACATTTCAATTACGCTTATGTGTTCTCTAGGAAAACAGAGGTATTTGTAGGCTGTATTTCAGAGATGAGTATCACTTCTATAAAAAGAAAAGTGGCAAATAAAGAATAAAAGAAAAGTGCCTTGATTTCTATTACCTCATGATTAGAATTGCAATCACAGAACCAAGAGTTCCACTACTCATCCGGGTAGAGAAGCTCAAAGGAGAATGACAGATGTTTCAGATTATGCCAGAAATTTCCCACCGCTTTGGGGGGTAAGCATGTGTTTGCACACAGGTGCACAGCCCATAGAAACTACATGATTTTCATAATGTTTCATAAGCTGTTGTGTTTTTCTCATCTTCAAAGAAGAACAAAATCTATGCACATTAACCTACTTTTTAAAAAATAAGCTGGGTGCGGTGGCTCATGCCTATAATCCCAGCACTTTGGGAAGCCGAGGCAGGTGGATCACCTGAGGCAGGTCAGGAGTTTGAGACCAGCCTGGCCAACATGGCGGAACCTGTCTCTACTAAAAATACAAAAATTAGCCAGGTGTGGTGGCGTGCACCTGAAATCCTAGCTACTCAAGAGGCTGAAGCAGGGAATCACTGGAACCCAGAAGACAGAAGTTGAAGTGAGCTGAGATCAATTGCGCCACTGCACTCCAGCCTGGGCGATTGAGCAAGACTCTCTCAAAAATAAAAACAAGGCCGGGCGCAGTGGCTCACACCTGTAATCTCAGCACTTTGAGAGGCCGAGGTTGGTGGATCACGAGGTCAGGAGATCGAGACCATCCTGGCCAACATGGTGAAACCCTGTCTCTACTAAAAATACAAAAAATTAGCTGGGCGTGGTGGCGGGGGCCTGTAGTCCCAGCTACCGGGAGGCTGAGGCAGGAGAATGGCATGAACCCGGGAGGCTGAGCTTGCAGTGAGCCGAGATTGTGCCATGCACTCCAGCCTGGGCGACAGAGCAAGACTCCGTCTCAAAAACAAACAAACAAACAAGCAAACAAAAAAAACAAAAAACAAAACAAAAAACAAACAACTAAGGAGACCATTATTTTTTAATTCAAAGCAAAAAAGCAAACTCCATTTCTCTCTCCAAGTACTTTTTAGCTTCTTTGTCCAAGTTCACTAATGTAAGTTTTTTTCAGGATCATCATGAGCAATACAACAATAAATTACAGTGACCAGACCTGCCATACCCCTCAAAAATGCCAAAAATGTTAAAACTAGGAATAGGCTTTTTTAGACAAAAATGGAGAACTAATTTAAATTCCAAGTTAAACAAAACCTAATAAGGGTATCAGCTAAGTGAATGACTGCAATGCCCAACCTGACCACCAGATGGCTAATACATCAGCTTTTCAGGGTTCCTCTGCGAGGTTGTTCTGATCTGCAACTTTGTTATGAATGGCAAATTTGCCCGCCCTTTGAGGCTGACTCAACTAAACTCTCCTCTTTCCAGGAATGGTCTAACCTCCCCTACACGTTTATATTCCTGCATAACTTTCCAGATGAATAGCTATCGTGCTGCTTTCCACTATCTTAGGTATTGCCAAAATACACTTACTGCAGATTTCAAATCTGGAGCTTCTAAACTGTTATAAAATCCTAAGGTCATTTGAAAAAAGGAAGAAAAGAAAAACAAACATTTGACTTTTAATTTCTAAATTCATAAACTTTCAAAATGACATGCTTAATACATATACAGAATTGGTCTGTATTTCCTTGGAGAAACCAAAAAGAAAACGTCAAGAATGTCAGTGTGGTGTCACAGAAAGTAAAAAGGATGAAAGACTCTTGAACTCTGCCGTCCAGAACAGCAGCATTGGCCATGTATAGCTAGAAAGTACTTGAAAAGTGACCAATCAGAACTGAGGCTATCAGTGCAAAAGCCCTTTGGATTTCAAAGACTAAAACAACATGTAACATATCTCTCAATAATTTTTACACTGATTAAAGTTTCAGTTTCCCAACATACCTCACTCAACAAATACACATTATCTGAGTGACTATACTATCGCAGACACTCTTAGGTACTTTTTAAAAAATTTGTACCTGATCTATAGTCTCTCACAGAATGACTGTAATATGCAGGCATGCCTTGTTTTATTGCATTTCACTATATTATGCTTCACAGATACTGCTTCCTTCTTTCTTTTCTCTTTTTTTTTTTTTTTTGAGATGGACTCTTGCTCTGTTGTCCAGGCTGGAGTGCAGTGGCACGATCTCGGCTCACTGCAACCTCCACCTTCCAGGTTCAAGTGATCCTCCCACCTCAGGCTCCTGAGTAGCTGGGGACTACAGTTGCATGCACCATGGCCGGCTAATTTTTGTATTTTTAGTAGAAGCGTGGTTTCACCATTTTGGCCAGGCTGGTCTAGAACTCCTGACCTCAAATGATCCGCCTGCTTCAGCCTCCCAAGGTGCTGGAATTACAGGTATGAGCCACCACATCTGACCAGATGCTTTTTTTTTTAAAAATAAATTGAAGATTTGTGGCAACCCTGCTCTGAGCAAGTCTAACAATGTCATTTTTCCAACAGTGCATGTTCACTTCATGTCTCTGTGTCACAATTTGGTAATTTTCACAATCTTTCAAACATGTTCATTATTATCACACCAGTTATAGTGATCTGTGATCAATGGTCTTTGATGTTAAAATTTTAATTGTTTTGGAGCACCACAAACTGTGCCCATGTAAAGACGGCAAACAAATGTTTGTGTGTGTTCTGAAGGCTCCATCAGCCTGCCCCACTTCTCTCTCCCTCTCCTCAGGCCTCCCTATTCCCTGAAACACAATACTGAAATTAGGCCACTTAATAGCCCTAGAATGGCCTCTAAGTGTTTAACTGAAAGGAAGAGTCACATGTCTCTCACTTTGAATCAAAAGCTAGAAATGATTAAACTTAATGAGAAAGGCATGTCAATAGCCTAGATAGGCCAAAAGCTAGGTCTCTTGTTCCAAAGAGTTAGCCACATTGTGAATGCAGAGGGAAAGTTCTTGAAGGAAATTGAAAGCGCTACTTCACTGAACCCACAAATGCAAGAAAGTAAAACAGTCTTACTGCTGTTATGGAGGAAGTTTGAATGGTCTGGATAGATCACACAACCGACAACATTCCCTTAAGCCAAAGCCCAATCCAGAGCAAGGCACTAACTCTCTTCAATTCTACGAAGGCTGAGAGAGGTGACAAAGCTGCAGAAGAAAAGTTGAAAGCTAGCAGAGGTTGGTTCGTGAGGTTTAAAGAATCCGTCTCCATTACATAAAAGTGCACGGTGAAGCGGCAAGTGCTGATGTAGAAACTGCAGCAAATTTGCCAGAAGATATAGCTAAGATAATTGATGAAGGTGGCTATACTAACAAACAGATTTTCAATGCAGACCAAAACAGCCTTCTAATGGAAGAAAATGCCACCTAGGACTTTCTCACTAGAGAGGAGAAGTCAACAACTGGCTTCAAAGAACAGGCTGACTTTCTTGTTAGGGGATCCTGCAGCTTGTGACTTTAAGTTGAAGCCAATGCTCATCTACCATTCCTAAAGATTCCTTAAGAATGAAGCGAAATCTACTCTGCCTGTGCTCTAGAAACAGAACAACAAAGCCTGGATGACAGCACCTCAATTTATAGCATGGTTTACTGAATATTTTAATAATATTAATATATAATTAACATATAATATAGTTAATATAATTAATAATATTAATGCTGAAACCTACTGCTCAGAGAAAAAGATTCGTTTCAAAATATTACTGCTCACTGACAATGCACCTGGTCGCCCAAGAGCTCTAACAGAGATGTACAAGGAGATGAATGTTGGTTTCATGCTTGCTAACATGGCATCTATTCTGTAGCTCATGGATCAAGAAGGAATTTTGACTTTCAAGTCTTATTATTTAAGAAATACATTTTCTAAGGCTGCCGTAGATAGTGATTCCTCTGATGAATCTGGACAAAAGTAAACTGAAAAACCTTCTTGAAAGAATTCACCATTCTCGATGCCATTAAAAACTTTGTAGGCTGGGTGTGGTGGCACACGCCTGTAATCCCAGCACTCTGGGAGGCAGAGGCGGGTGGAATGTATGACTCCAGAAGTTCAAGACCAGCCTGGGCAACACAGTAAAATCCCATTTCTACTAAAAATACAAAAAAAAATAGCCAGGCAGGGTGGTACGTGCCTGTAATCCCAGTTACTCAGGAGGCTGAGGTGGGGGAATCACCTGAGCCCAGGAGGTGGAGGCTGCAGTGAGCTGAGATCGTGCCACTGCACTCCAGCCTGGGCAACCAGAGTGAGACCCTGTCTCAAAACAAACAAAAACAAAACCAAAACCAAAAAATTGTGATTCATGGGAGGAAATTGTGTGATGCATGAGAGGAAGCCAAATATCAATATTAACATGAGTTGGGCAGAAAGTGATTTCAACCCTTTTGGATGACTATGAGGAGTTTGAAACTTAGTGGAGCAAGTAACTGCAGATGTGGTGGAAAGAGCAAGAGAACTAGAATTAGTAATGGAGCCTGAGGATGTGAGTGGATTGCTGCAATCTCATGATGAAACTTGAACAGTTGAGTAGCTGCTTCTTACAGATAAACAAAGAAAGTAGTTTCTTGAAATGGAATCTACCCATAGAGAAGATGTTGAGATGACAACAAAAGATTTGGAATATTACATAAACTTAGTTGATAAAACAGGAGCAGGGTTTGAGAGAACTGACTCCAATTTTCAAAGAAGTTCTGTGGATAAAATGCTATCAAACAATATCACAAGCTACAGAAAAATCCTTCGTGAAAGGAAGAGTCAATCAATGTGACACACTTTGTTGTCTTATTTCAAGAAACTGCCACAACAACCCTGATATGGTTTGGATCTGTGTTCCTACCCAAATCTTATGTTGAAATGTAATTCCCAGTGTTGGAGGAGAGGCCTGGTGGAAAGTGACTGGATCCTGGGCGCAGAGTTCTCATGAATGGTTTAGCACCACCTCCCTTGGTACTGCACAGTGAATGAGTTGTCATGAGATCTGGTTGTTTCTCCTCCCATGCACTCTCTCTCTTGCTCCTGCTCCCACCATGTGAGACACTCACTCCCTCTTTGCCTTCCGCCATGATTGTAAGTTCCCTGAGGCCTCTCCAGAAGCTGATGCTGCCATGCTTGTATAGCCTGCAGAACCGTGAGCCAATTAAGCCTCTTTTCTTTATAAATTACCCAGGTTCTAACAAGAATTCTACCAGGAATTTCTAACAATGTGAGAATGTAATACAAACCCCAGCCTTCAGCAACCACCACCCTGATCAGTTAGTAGCCATCAACATCAAGAGAAGACCTTTCACCAGCCAGAGGATTACAACTCACTGAAGACTCAGATGACTGTTAGCATTTTTTAGCAATAGAGTATTTTTAAATCAAGGGTTGTGCATTGTTAGACTACACACACAATAGACTACTGTATAAACATAACTTTTTATGCACTGCACTGGGAAACCAAAAAATCTGTATGACTTGCTTTATTGTGATATTCACTATATTGCAAGGGTCTAGAACCAAACAGTTACCTCTGAGGTATGCCTGTACAGTTTAAATGCAGAGTATTATCATCATTACTTCCCACCCATTGATTCAAACATAGAAGCAAATAAACTCTCACCTAACAAGGATTTCTCCTACATAGAAGGAGTGGAGGAATGTTATACAACAATTTCCTGGTTCTTCCCTCATTTGGGCTAGGAATATAGAGTTACAAACTAAAGCAGAGATTTACATTTCAAAAGATATCTCTGCTATACAAAAAAAAAAACCCTCAATAGTTTAATACTTCCCTACAGTGATCATTGCATATTTTGTTTTACATAAATGTGACTCTTCATAAACATAATATATAAGGCTGGGTGTGGTAGCTCACACCTGTAACCCCAGCTCCTTGGGAGCCTGAGGTGAGCAGACTGCTTGAGCCCAGGAGTTTGATATCAGTCTGGGCAACATGGAGAAACCCTGTCTCTACAAAAATATAAAAATTAGCCAGGGATGGTGGCCCACACCTGAAGTACCAGCTACTCAGGAGGCTGAGGTAGGAGGACTGCTTGAGCTCTCGGAGGTCAAGGTTCCAGTGAGCTGTGACTGCACCACTACACTTTAGCCTAGGCGACACAGCGAGATCCTGTCTCAAAAAAACTATATAAAATAAAGTACACCTGGGTCTTTGTTCCTCTTTTCATAATTGTTTCTTATGTCTAATCAAATGCTTTAATAGGAAACTCACATGACACCTTTTGTATAACAGTGGCAACATATTTTGCTGACACTATAACCACTGACCAAAATCCCCTTCTCCCATAAATATTATTGTCTTCAGTCTCTCTCTTTCCCTCACACTCAAATCCATATCTAAACTCAAATTTTATTGCTTCTGCAAGTAAGGGGACTGTTTTCATTCCCTCCCCTGCACATACTCTTACATACACACACCCCACTGTAACTAGAATAGCTACTTCCATTCTGTGAAAGGGAATGCATATTCAGATGATTACAGGGTATAAAAGGAAGGAATGAAGTCAGTTACCTATTTTCTGTTGCTAGCTTTTATTTCAAGCATGATTCACATTTTAAATAAAAAGAATTAGGTGGTCTGCTAATAACCATTTATTGACACACATTAGATGCTGTGCTCTAAACCAGCAGTCCCCAACCTATTTTGCACTAGGGACCGGTTTTGTAGAACAGAATTTTTCCACAGACCAGGAGGATTTTGAGGGTACAAGCCTTGGGGGGATGATTCAGGATGAAACTGTTCCACCTCAGATCATCAGGCATTAGATTCTCTCATACGGAGTGCGCAACCTAGATCCCTCACATGCACAGTTCACAACAGGGTTCAAACTCCTATGAGAATCTAATGCCACTGCTGATCTGACAGCAGGTGGAGCTCAGGTGGTAAAGCTCGCTTGCTTGCTGCTCCCCTCATGCTGTGCAGCCCAGCTCCTAACAGGCCATGGATTGGTACCTGTCTGCGGCCCAGGGGCTGGGGACCCCTGCTCTGAATGACTGCTCCAGCTTCTCCCTTAGAAAGGTTGCTCACTCATTTCACTTTCTCTTCACAACTATCCACGTCTAGGATTTTACCACCTCACACCTGCACTACAGCAACAACTGTCCATCAGGCCAACTATCTTCAGAACTCCCACCTGCAATCCATCTTAGTCACCACTGCCAAATTAGCCTTCTCAAAATATCAGCTTCATTATGCCATTCTTCTGCCCAAAAATATTTCTGAAGATTCCGACATACAAGTCAAATTCCTTCAGTCTGGCATTTGGCACACCTGGACTGCCTGCTGCTAGTCCTTAACATATAACTCAGCCAACCTTATATTTTCTCTGTTTTTCTCTATTTGAAGCACCCATGTTCACCCACCAACTGGCTTTTTCTCCTCTCCACCCAACCAAAACTTAGTTCTCCCACCGCCCCCTGCACCAAATTTCTTCAATCCTTACTCGTCAGCATGAAGTATGGGAGAAAAGACTGACTCCAGAAAGCAAGACAGAACCCAGGTATCAATGCTAGTCTGGCATTTAATTACTAGTTTGTGTGACCTTGAGCAAGCCAATTACCTCTGTAAGCACAGAGTTGCTTTAAAAAAATTGGGCTAAGAAGTTATCCATAGAGTTGTGATGATCAAATGAGATAATGCATATTACTGTCATTGTAAACATTAACATTAAATGCTTTCATGTACTGTTTTCATGCAGAATTCTAAGTGCTTTCCATGTATCATCTCACTTAATCCTCATAACAATTCTACAGTAAGTACCATTCCCTACTATTGTACAGATGAAAAAAATTAAGCACAAGGAGATGAAAGTGTTCATCTAGCAGCGGCTCAAAATATATGTGCTAAGTTCCTTCCTAGGTCACTTACTGTGGACAGCTTTCATTTCTGACATTAAATAACAGATTCATTCCTGAACATGTTCTTCTCTCTCTACAGAAAATGTTTCTGTAAGATATTATCTATCTTACACTTTCTTTGTTATTGTATCACACGGCACTCAACCTAAGGAAAGGCACTTTGTTTATTCCCCTCTATTTATATAAACAAATATTACAGGATCTGACATACATTAAACACTCAAACCAAGCAAGACGAACTGACTTCACCTAAGGAATCAGAAGAGTAATGGCTAGGCCTGTGGCAAACTGTTGACTGTTTGCCAAAATAAGGTTACTTTTCTTCCATAACACAATTAGATTACGTTTTCCCATCTCCCTTGCATTTAAATGTAGCCATGTGACTGAATTCCTGCCAATGGAAAATAAATTTGATTTATGCCAATTCCAGCTGTCTGTTAAAAACTCCCAGGTATACCCCTTCAAGCTTCAACCCCCAACATCTCCACTATCTACTGACCAGGAGGGCAACTCCCAAAGTGACTTTGAAAGCCATAGGTCAAAGATGACACAGCCTGTGTCACATAGTAACTGCCCTGCCCCCACAGTGACCAAACACACCTGCCTTGGACTATTATGTGAGTAAGATACGAACTTGCACTGTGTTTCAGCAAATACACATTTTGGGAATCTATCTATTACAGCTAAGAGATTACTCTAGTGAATACAAAATAGTAGGTACTGTTAAATGTATGAATAAGTATTTGTTGAATAAATGGTGAGCTTATACCAAATCTCTGGATAGTACTTACTAGCATAGTGGGGTACATTGGGAGCTGTATGAAAAAGCTTGTGGATTCCATGCCCACAATAGCTTCGAACAACTGAAAACCCATTTGCTTGGGCATGCTTCTGGATAATGTTTCCCAATTCTCTGTACCGAACACCAGGCTTCACTGAAAGGAAAAAAGAAAATTCATGATAAACTAATAACTAATACGTACTAAGCAATTACTATCAACCAGATGCAGTGGCTCATGCCTGTAATCCCAGCACTTTGAGAGGTCAAGGCAGGAAGATCGCCTGAGCTCAGGAGTTCAAGACCAGCCTGGGCAACAGGGCAAAGCCCTGTCTCTGCAAAAAATATGAAAATTAGTCCCGCATAGTGGTGCATGCCTATAGTCCCAGCTACATTTGGGAGGCTGTGCTAGGAGGATCACTAGAACCCGGGAGGTCAAGGCTGCAGTGTTCCTGCCACTGTACTCTGGCCTGGGCAAAAGAGAGAGACCTTGTCTCAAAATAGAAAAAGAAAAAAAAAAAGTAATTACTATCTTTGTGCTAGGAAGTTTTTGAAACACTTTTATGCATCCATGCCTCAACTTACAGATGAGGCACAGAGAGGCCAAACAGCCAGTAATTGGTAAAGTTCTAATTCAAACCAAGGGCATCTGTAGTTCCTCCTTTCATGCCAAAAACGTTAGACTCATAGCAGCACTAAAGGGTTGGAAGTAGGTACCTTTTGCTTTCTTTAACAACAGAGAAAAATAGAGAGGAAAATACACTTCTTTTCGCATCCTTCCCTAAGGCCAAGTGTTCCATTCTATTAATATGAGCAGAAGAGATAAGAAAGTGCACTAGGAGTAAAAGGAACGTCCAAAAAGTAACGAATTGTCCTGAGTTTCAGCCTGGACAACTTCTAAAAGACTTACTTCCCCTGGGCTTCTTTATCCCCATAAAAATAGTTCTCAAACTTTCCATGACTGCCTCTACAGGACAACCCTAGAGGTACAGTACAGGAAAGATACTTCTCACTATATACACTTTCTGCTCTGTTTAGTTTTTATGACTTTTACTAGTGTTTCAATAAAACACAAAACAAAAAAAGTGGTTCTCATCACTATAAGGTTCTCCCTCACACTAAGACCCAGGAGCTGGGCACTGTCAGACTCCTAGAGAACCTCAAGATGGCTCTGGGGATCCTTAACTCTCTCTACTCTCCTACTCAGCCTATCTGATTCCCAGACTGAGGTTCAGATACAATGTATCTTTCCCATCCATTTCAGGGTAAATAGCTCAAGGAATCAGTTTAATTAACATTTTTACTTGCTCTTAACTGTATTTTGCAGCTTGATTTTGGGGGGAGAAGGAAGGAGGTTTCTGGTTTTGAAAAATCATGCTGACTTTCATAATTACTTTCTTTCATTCCTATCCAGGCCTTCCTATCAGCCTGGGGTGGGAGGGGGAACAATATTGTAATCCATGTTGCATAGAAAGAGTGACAGAGGAAGTCTTCCCTAATTTTCAAACTGCTCCAACTGCGGCCCCAAGGGTAGTATCTAGAGATATTAATATTTCTGGTTGTCAAACACAGGGTGGTGGTGTAACTGGCATTTACTGGGTAGAGACCAGGAATGCTTGTGGAACATCTTATGTGTATAGAACAGGTCTCTACAACAAAAAATTATCAGGCCCAAAAGCCACTAAGTGCATAGACTAAGAAACCCTACTTAAGAAGCCTAATTTCAACAGCTTTTCAAACCCTCTACCTGGGGGAGTAAGGGAGGTGCAAAATGAGGGGCAAAAATGATATATACAAAGGAATTCAAAGCACTTTCCAAAAAAGATCAAGCCACTTTCGTTCCTTCCTGGCTACTGTTATGAAAACTATTGGCAAGTTCCAGTCATACGTCATATAAAACAGCATTCTAACTATCTGGTTTTTTCTTTTTCTTTTTTTTTTTTTTTTTTTTTTGTTTCTTCAGTTGATTCACAGAGAAGCAAAAAGAATAGAAATATTGACTATATTATCTGGCAGAAACTCTAAAAATTATTTCAAACTTAAGCTTTCACAAATGACAAATTAAACATTAAATTTCTTCAATTCCACCTCCTGTATTAATGTTTTAAAATAATCAACAATGAGTAATAAGTTTTCAAAATTTCACCTGATACACAAAAATATCATATTCCTTCATTTCCATTCCTCCAACTTGAGTAAAAATTTCATCTCCCATACACATTAAAGAACGCACTAAAAACAATAAAAATACTGGATCAACATTATTAGAGATAACTGTATGTTTGTCTAAGAACTCTGTCCTGTTCACTATTCTGTTGATGACATCAAGATTTGGAGAGACTGGGGAGGATTGCAGGTAGCACACTGGTAATAAAGTTGATATGGTAAGGATTTAACCAGAAGGCTGTTTGCCCATTTATTAACAGTTTGTTAACAACTCCAACAAGATGCTGTTAAGAACTTTCCTTTCTTTTTTTTCTTTTCTTCTTTTTTTGAAATGGAGTCTCGCTCTGTTGCCCAAGCTGGAATGCGGTGGCACAATCCACTTCCCAGGTTCCAGCAACTCTCCTGCCTCAGCCTCCCGAGTAGCTGGGATTACAGGCGCCCGCCACCACACCTGGCTAATTTTTGTATTTTTATTAGAGACAGGGTTTCACCATGTTGGCCGGGCTGGTCTCGAACTCTTGACCTCAAGTGATCTGCCAACCTCAGCCTCCCAAGGTGCTGGGATTACAGGAGTGAGCCACCATGCCCAGCCCCTTTCCTTCTCTTATCCCCATAAGATACTGATTAAACAAAAAAGCCTCGATAAGTTGTTCATATGTACAAAGACAGACAGCCTGAGAAAAATCCTCCAGAAATACACCCCTACCCATTACTACAATAGTAAGAAATCTGGAAAGCACCAAAATCCAACAGAATAGTTACACAAATTGTAATACTATAGAATATAATACATAGCCATTAAAAGAATGAGGTAAATCTATGTCTGTAGGTATATATGCTAACTTGAAAAGATCTCTATGATAGTTGAAAAAACAGCCCAGTTACACATTAAAAATATTATGATTCCATTTAACTTAATTTAACACATACACATACGTGTGTGCATTAATGCACAGGAGAGAGAAAAAACCTAAACGGTAATGGGATATCTCTAGAGAGAAGAGAGAGATAAGAGGGGAGGCAAGTGTAAAGGAGGATCACACATTTTTCACTCATAATCTTCACTTTTAATTTTTTATGAGGAGAACATAATATTTATGTACTGGAAAGAATTTTAAAAATAGAATAAAAGTTGCACTAAAAAACCATCTGCACAGTCCTCTTCATTTATCAGGCAAAGAAAAGGAAGATAAATCACAGAAGAAACAAAGGATGCTAACCAATCATCTGGTCTATCACCACCAAGAGATTCCCAGATCATCCTTTTACCCATTACTGCTAACAACCAAAGCTAACTCAGGTAGAACAGGGGCAACCTGGAAGGTACAAGGAATGCACAGAACTGCAGCGCCCAGTCATTCTTGGCCCATCAACACACAGGACTGCCAATAGGTGCTCAACACTGAGGCTGACCTGCATCAATGGCTTGCATCAGGCACTCATATGTGGTCTGAACAAGTTTCCGTGCTCCATCATCCACTTCTCCAACAAAAAATGTCTCATTCAGGTCCCCATGATAACCATTGCGATAAAGAGTGATATCCACTGCAAGAGAATGTGCAAATATAAAGACCATACTTATTTTCATTTCAAAATTCAAGTGTTTTTCCAACATGACAGCATCTAGCAACTTAATGAAAAAGACAACTTCTGCATTCTCAAATTAGACACCAATGGATAGATAGTTATTGCCCAACAGAAGCTCCCTGAGATGTAACTGAACTCACTGTGGAGAGCAGGAATATGGCCATGTAACATAAGCCAGATAGTGGGTTTTTATACTCTTATAGTAATTGTATCACTTGTGGCAAAAGAAAAATGTATGTGGGACACAATCATGCAAAATAAATTACCAGAGTTAGTAACATTAAATTGAAAACTTTGCTACATTGCTACAAAATACCATTTTCACTTATCTTTTACAAGTTCCTTACTCCTGCTAGGGAATAACAGAAAAATTTACACTGCTCTACACCTGTTTTTTTAAAACTCATTTGCTTTTCTCTTATTTGTGAATATTCATTCTTCTCTTTGTCCCCATGTTTAAGAATATAGATTACTATTATACTATATATTATATACTATTATACCATTATAATGTATCTAGAGAGCACATTGAGTATTTTTAAACCACATATTTCAATCAACCTGTAACATCACAATATAGATATTTTGGTTCTAGCACAACACATACATTCCTGAAAAACCTCACACATTCTACATATAATAAAAATAACAGGCTTTATATTTGAAAAACAGGGTTGGCCTCAAAACCTATGGAACTTTATGAACAGATACCCTAACTAAAGCAGTAGCAATTCTAATAAAAATAGTGTCATAGTTAAATTTCGGCTATCATTCACAGCTAGCATCACAATCAGTCAATTATCTGCAGCCTCTAACACTTGGGCTCATGCTTCCTCATTTGATAGGTAGTTCCTTTAAGATATCTTATTAACAAAGAGTCTAATTCCATCAATATTAAAATGCCATCTAAGCCAGGCACGGTGGCTCATGCCTGTAATCCCAAGACTTTGGGAGGCCAAGGTGGGCAGATGCTTGAGTCCAGGAGTTTGAGACCAGCCTGGGCAACATGGCAAAACCCCATCTCTACAAAAAATACAAAAACTGAGCTGGGCATGGTAGCAATGAGCCTGCAGTCTCATCTACTTCTGAGGTGGGAGGATCACCTGAGCCAGGGAAGTCAAGACTGCAGTGAGCCATGGTGGCGCCCCTGCACTCGAGCCTGGGTGACAGTGAGACCCTGTCTCCAAAAAATAAAATAATACACAAAACAAAAACAAATGCCATCTAGGAAAGCCTTCATTAATGTCTTTTAAACTACTTCCTCTACTCTCTATACTTGTAACTTCCCAAGGTAGCTTAACATAGGGGTCTTTAAAGCTACTTCCACTCAAGTAAGGCACTTCTGCAAGATTTTCAGCTTTCCTTTAGGTCTTCATATATTATGAAGGGTTTTCCTGTATCTATAACAAAGCCTGCCCTGGTCTCTTCAAAACCATTAGTGAACTTCTGGGGGAAAAAAACTAGACTCCACATTTCACTGACATCTTTGACCTATTTACCAATCACATATGAGATAAGCATTAAAGAAATACACTGCACCAAACACATCACACCGGAAGTATCTTAAAAGCAACATGCACAAAACCGTTAAGAGAGCTTCCTGTAGATTTAAGAGTTAGTGATACTGAATTTTAAAAAGGAAAAAGTTTAAGTACAGGAAGCAAGTCAAGAAAACACAAGTCACTGTCAGATTCCCCAAGCTTTGTTGTTTCTTTGCCCATGGTGATGAAAGTAACATATTTTTCTTACCATTAACAATGTCACCTTCTTGTAAGGGCCTTCTGTCTGGTATTCCATGGCAAATGACTTCATTCACTGAGGTACAACAAGACTTTGGGAAATTATAATAATTCAGGGGAGAAGGGTAGCAATTTCTTGCAATACATGCCTATAATACAGAAAAAATAATTTGGAATATATAAAAGAAAAAATCTGTATGAAATTACAGATTTTAAAATTTGAAAAATGTGAAAACAGTTGGACACATGCTACTATGAAGAACTCAGTATTTTATTTTAGTAACAGTACTGGATATTATCTTAAACAATATACAACAGGGTTTGTGCCAGTCAGGTACACATACACAAACCAGTTTACTGGTAACTGCACAAAGGAAAAGTAAAATGACATACAGGTTAAGTATTCCTAATCCAAAAATCTGAAATCCTCCAAAATCTGAAACTTTCTGAACACCGACAGGACACTCAAAGAAATGCCCATTGGAGCATTTAGAATTTCAAATTTGAAATTACAGACACTTAACCAGTTACGTATAATACAAATATTCCAAAATCCAAAAAAATTCAAAATTCAGAACACTTCTGGTCCAAAGCATTTCAGATAAGGGATACTCAACCTCTATAACAAATATATATATAAATATTACCACATATGAAGATTTTACTTTAGAATTAACTAGTCCTTATGAAAAATGTTAAAGTAAAAATAAAATATTTGAAGTAAATATTAACAAGCATTTTTGATGTAATTATAATTCTTATGTTGAAACAAGCCTATATCACTATGCCCCAAAAATGACTACTAGTATAATTAAGAAACGGTAAAGTACTTCCAGATATTTTAATAACCACATTCAGTGGAACAACAAAAGAACTCCTAACAGAAAAACATGGTCTGCTCTCCATAACAAGTCTTACTTTACTGGATGCTTTTACACAGTGGTAATCACAGTATACGTAATTTCTGTTTCCAACCTGCTCTAGTCTTCAGGCTAATATTTTTTAATGGTTGCACAATATACCATTTGCAGAATATGCAGAATATACCATGATTTTACTAGCAATTCCATTCTTACTGAAAATCTAAATTAATATGAAGTTTCCTCAATTACAAAAAAAAAAAAAATCTTACAACCAATAACTACATTTGTGGCTTTTCCCTCATTTAGGAATATACTTCTCTACTTCTCATAGCATTACAAATAATAGTTCAGAGCATACAGAATTAGACTTTCTAGATTGAAAATGCCAATTCCATCACTTACAAGTTGTGTAACTTTTACCAATTTAATTAATTAACCTCTCTCTTCCTCAGTTTCCTTACCTATAAAACGGAGATTACAATAGTACCTACCCTCAAGAGGTTGTTGGTAAGATTAATGAGTTAATGTAAAAGAAGCACTTGAGTACCTGGCCCACAGAGCATACTCAAAATGCTATTATTGCATACGATACGTCTTATACTAACATATGAAACAATACCCAAAAGTCAGGATTAATAAGATTCTGAATAAAAAATTTATAAACATTTTCATAGCTCAAGATAGATTGTCAAATCCTTCCAAAAGGGTTCTTCCAATTTACAATACCATCACCAAGCAGAAGAGAGGACCAGTTTCATCATTTCCACACAAGCAATGCATATAAACATCTTTAAAATACAAATTTACTAGGTCTTTATAATTTGTATTTGTTTACTAGAACACGTGTGATCTGCTTTCCATATGTTATATTAACTACTTATCACTCTTTTTTTTAAAATTCATATAATGTGTACACTCATCTAATAAGGTCTTAAGGTCTCTCTTTGATGGGCAGACAATCTTTATTTATTTATTTTTAATCCCTATACTTACTACAAATATTTATGTGGACTGTTCATTGCCTTGAGGAAACATTTAACTAATCTACCATCAGAAGTCATATTCTTTTTTTTATTTCAGAATATTTGATGTCTGTAGTGGCAGGATTTACTTAAAGCAGATAAAATCAATCATTTTATAAAAGCTCAACTGAAATGCTTATTACAAATATGTTGTTTCAGAAACAAGATATTTCAAGCTTACCTCAGACCTTAATATTATAGATTCTTAAAGATGAGAATAATGACTGTTGAATGTTTTCCATATTTGAAACAAAGCAAAAATTTGCTTTCAAATGAGTTTACCCAAGTTACCTTAGACACTCAGAACTTAAATCTACTTAATGTTTAAGTTCAAAGCATCTAGTAATGTAACAAAATTACTCAAAGTAAAAAAGTGAAGTTCTTACTAAGTGTACAGCGTGATCTATTTCTTCAGTAGTTACACCTGGTTTAATCATGCCGGCAGCAACATCCAAAACTTCTCTAGCAAGCTGTAAAAAAGGAACACTCAATACATTAAAAAAGACACAGAAACAGAAATCTATACCCTTTCTACTGTTTGACTGTGGAAGATTGGTAAAAATGAATCTCCCCTTGAATATTATAATTTTATAGAAAATATATAAATATATTATATGTAAATACATAAAAACAAACATTAATTTTATATAAAAATTGGGTTAACAAGCAAGCAGCAGTAAGGTTGGCTGATTTCTATGTGAAAATATACATCCTAAGAAATCTAAACTATCATCAACTGATAGAGGTAGTCTTCTCTCATTTCTATAATGGGGAAAAGTAGAGGAAAAGAAAAAAGAACAGATGAGCCTGGGCAACATAGTGAGATCCTGTCTCTTAAAAAAAAAAAAAAAAAAAGTAGTCAGGTGTAGTGGCACATGCCTGTGATCCCAGCTACTCAGGAGGCTGAGGTGGAAGGATAGCTTGAGCCCAGGAGTTTGGAGTTACAGTAAGCTATGAGCTATGATCTATATGATCTATGATTGTGCCACTGTACTCTAGCCTGAGTGATAGCAAGACCCTGTCTCAAAAAAAAAAAAATAGATGAATGAATTCCTCAAAGAATCACAGCAAGTCATAGGAAGAGAAAGTTCTCCAGGATATCAAACAAAATTAGAATCAAATCACTTTTAAAGCACTGAATAGAAACCTTAAGAATCTTACTTAAATGAATAATATCAATGTATTATATTTTCCTTCAGAATAAATATGTGATTTCACCTAATGAGTACCAACCACTACTACCACTCATCATAGGTATTTCACAAAAAGGCCTACAGCATAACCCTCTGAGCCTTAAACTCTGTCCTATGTTATGATGACTTGTGAAAATAAAATGACAAAATGTTTTTAAATATCATTAAATAAATGAAAAGGATTGTCATCTAAATATAGACTATCCACCAGATTAATTCTGAAATAGGCTTTTAAGAAGAAAACTGTTGACTAAAATTATATACTAACAATAGTTTAATGAAAAGCATGGCTAAACCGGGCACAATGGCTCACGCCTGTAATCCCAGCACTGTGGGAGGCCGAGGCGGGCAGATCACCTTACGTCAGGAGTTAGAGACCAGCCTGGCCAACATGGTGAAACCCTGTATCTACTAAAAATACAAAAAAAGGCCAGGTGTGGTGGCTCACGCCTGTAATCCCAGCATTTTGGGAGGCCAAGGTGGGCAGATCACGAGGTCAGGAGTTCGAGACCAGCCTGGGCAACATGGTGAAACCCCATCTCTACTAAAAATACAAAAATTAGCCAGGTGTGGTGGTGGGCACCTGTAATCCCAGCTACTCAGGAGGCTGAGGCAGAAGAATCGCTTGAAAACAGAAGGTGGAGGTTGCAGTGAGCAGAGATCACGCCACTGCACTCCAGCCTGGGCGACAGAGTGAAACTCTGTCTCAAAAAAAAGTTAAAAAAAAAAAAAAAGCATGGCTGGTCAGTCTAACAATATAACATTTGCTATCTTTATAAATCAGCAAACCACTGACTTCATGTCTAAGTACTGCTTAAACATTTCCTACCCCATGGAGAAAAAATCACTCTTACCCTACATACAAGTCGCATCCCTTCTATATCTTCAGATGAGAGTAATTTAATCTGAGAAGTACCTTTAAGAGCCTGTTCAGATTCAGACATTCCTGGAATGAAAATTCGGTAAGTAAAACCAAAATGAATGCAAAGATGTAGTATTTATTTGCATAATTATAAACCTGTGGCATAAAAACAGTAGTCTCACTGTTTCACACAACAGTAATTCATGATTTGGGATGGTCTAGGTTAGATTTTTAAAAAAAAACATTTTCAACATCAAAGGGAAACTCGCTAAACCAACTGAAGAAAAAATTCTAAAAGATAAATTTTCAGACCTATTAGAAATCAGCCAATACTTATAGAGTACTTATTATATGCCAGGCCGTGTGATAATCAGACTCAGTAAATGATATACATTTGAAAAGTACCACAGAATTTACAAATTACTTTCATAATCATCTCATGAAGCAATTATACATCAACAACTGATGAATTAATTACACTATTTTCTGAAACAGGAACCAAAGTTAAGTGTTTTTCAATCTCCAGTTTGTGACCTTTTATTAGGCTACACTTAACATTTTTTAAAAGTAAATAAATGGGACAGAAAATATTAAAATGGCATAACAAAGTATTATACTCGTATTATACGGAGTAGGAATAAGTGCTGCCATGAAATCTTTATTTATATACACATACAAAGATCACGTTATAAAAGCCATTTCTGAGTCATACTCAAAAAAGTTTTAAAAATATTGCCCTAAAAATCTTCACTAATAAAATTTGTTAGCTTCAAGTTTTACATACATGAAAAGTAATAAAGCCAGGATAGCAATTAACTCAAAATCTAACAAAAATAATGTCAACTAATCTTATTTACAAGTACTAATGGAAAAATTCCAAATAAAAATATTAACAAACAGAATCCAAAAAAACTTAATACATCAGGATGCAAGTGAGATTCATACCAGAAGGCAAGGATAGTTCAATACTGACAAATCTATTCATCCAATTCATCATTCATAAATAAAGTAAAAGTAAATAATCATCTAGAAGGAAAGTTAATTCTGATAACATGGCCAGCTACCACCTTGACATGATAAATATAAATCTCAAACTGAGAACCAACATTACAGAATGCCCACTATCGGCACTATTATTTAACACTGTCCTGGCAATACTAGCAGATGCAATTAAACAAGAGAAAGAAATAAAACATATAAAACTAGAAAAGAAAGGACAAAATTCTTATCAATTTCAGATGTGATTATGTATCTCTAGAACAGAAGAATCACCTGGTAAATGACCATAAATACAAATTCAGCAAGTTGGCATATTGTTTAAGATAAATTTATCAAAATCAATAACTTTCCCACATACAAATAATCAGCTAAAAAATACAGAAGCTATTATGTACAAAAACAACTAAAAAGATGAAGTACCCAGGAATAAATTTAACAATAAAATCCCTACATGAAGAAAATCTGAAAACACCACTGAAAGACATAAAAGGAGTCAAATAAAACTTTAAAAACATACCCTGTTCCTGGACAGGAAGACTCAATATTGTAAAGATGTCAATTCTTCCAAAATTAATCTATAAATTTAATACTATCCCAATAAAAAAATGTCAACAGGATAATTTTGAGAACCAGACAAGCTGATTCTAAATTTCACATGGAAAAACAAACATGCAAGAATAGCCAGGAAAATTCTGAAAAAGAGGAAAGGTAGGGGCAACAAGGCCTACCAAATATTAAACATTATATAGCTATGATAATTAAAAGTTTGGCAGTGGTACATGATTAGACAAATGGGTTAATAAAACAGAATAGAATCCAGAAATAGACCTAAAGACATGTGAGAACATAATACAACAATATAGGTTGCACTTCAAATCAATAAGGAAAGGCTGATTTTTTAAATAACTGGTGATATAATAACCAGGTATCCTTCTGAGAAAAAAAATTAAGTTGCATCCCTATTTAACTCCTTATGCCAAGTAAGTTTCAGATATACAAATGATTTTTATCATACATAAAAAAGACTGAAACCATAAAAATGCTAGAAGAAAACATAGGAATATTTTTTTATAACTTCTGCACCAAAAAGGTCTTTCTAGGTCATAGAGCCATACACACTGTAAAATAAAACACTGATAAATTTTACTATGTTAGGATACTCAAAATCTGTAATAAATGTAATGACAAAACAAACGGTCAATTGGTAAAAAACAGTTTTAAAAACATACATCAAAAGGTTATTTTCGTTAATATACTAAGAACATTTATAAATCAATATGGAAAAAACTAGTACTCTAACAGGGAAAAAAAGGCTAAGGATATGAATAAACATTTCAAAAGGGAAGAAAATATAAATGACTTTAATATATGAAAAGATGCTCAACCTTACTCATAATTTTAAAATGCAGATTAAAATAATAGCAAAATAACATTTTTCGTCTTTCAGATTAGCAAAGATCATAAAGCTTTGTAACACACTATGCTGCGAAAAATATAGCAGAAAAGAGACATCCATGTATTTTTAATGGAACTGGAAAAATCTCTGAAATTTGTAATATCTCTCAAAATCAAAAATGTATATATCCTTTGATCCACCTATTTTAGACTATCAACCTACAGAAATACTTTGACACATGGACAAAGATATAAATATAAGAGTAGTTACTGCAGTCAAATTGCAACAAATTTGCAGTCAAATTACAATAAGCAAAAACCTCGAAATGATCTAAACACTCAGTAGTAAAAGCCTGGCTTAAGAAATATGATACATCCACATAACCTTCATTCACTAAAAAGGAGGTGGCTTTATAAGACACATTTGTAAGACATATTAAGTGAATACAGCAAGGTGAAAAGGTAAATATAGTTTTTTCCATTTGTGTATAGATGGCAGAGACGGGGTCCTAATGTGTTTACATATATAGAATAGTTCTGAAAAGTTCTGTACATAAAGGTGAATAGCAGTTACCTCTAAGGACTAGAACTTACTTTCACTGCATAACATTTGTTAGAATTTACCTTGTCTATGATTGTTTTTCTAAAATACAAGCTAATACTACATTTAAGATTAAATAGAAAAATAATGAAATTATACATCCTCAACAGTAGGCTATCATTTAGACTATCTTTCCCTTAAATTTTTCTGAAATAGTAGGGTTTAACTAAAATTTAAAAATGATATTCATAAGAATGTTATGTAATACAGTTCCCCACTTCTTAGAGAACAAAGCAAGGATAGCTTAGCTTGCTAGATAAAACCACACAAAATTGCTGAGAGTCGACCTTCTTTGACATGCAAAATCAGTAATTTCACAAAGTCTAAATTAATTATGTGTACAGGCCTTAAGGTCAGAGATTGTTCCACTGACCTGTGTTGCAAATTACCTATCTTCGCTGGGTGTCTCAGTATCATTATCTATAAAAATGGAGAAGACAACAGAACCTACCTCAGCAGTGTTGAAAGTGTTAAATGGAGTAACACGTGCAAAGAACTTAGCACAGTGCCTGACACATAGTTAAGCAAAAATAAATACCAGTTATTATTAGAGAACCATCATCATCATATCATTCTCATCATTACTATCACTATCACCACCATTACTACTTCTGTTAATGTTACAGTCCAAAGTCTTTAGTTATGCATTCACTCAGGCCTCTACCATCTGCCTTTACCTAAATAGATATTGTTTAATTTAGATAGGAGGGAATATTAAAATTAAAAACTGTTTTTTAGTAAGTCTAGAAGTTGTTATAACAACATAAAATACAGTATTATTTTAAATATAGTCTTTAACAGCTACATAGTGTTTTCAGAGGTAGGTAGATTTCTAATGGGGGCAAGAATCTTTAATTCTCTTCAATGTTCTAATGGTGCTTGAAAACACATTTATTAGAAGTCCAGCACTGAAAAATTTCTACAAGAAAAGCATTCCTTCCCTTTGCAGTAGTCATCAAGCCCACAAATTGAAAAATGAAGAATCAACATAGCAGAGCTTACCTAAGGGATGATCAGCATAATCTGGTCTTTGAATATAACTTGGCACTGGCCTTGTTGGCATCTAAAAACAAAGTTAGTTAAAACTGATTTACCAACGAAAAATAAATAAAACGAGGGGAGAAAGAAGTCCATTCAAAAGTTTTTAGAAGTTTTAAATGGCATCTTAAATATTATAACAGATATATATTTCATTAAGATTATGCTTTACTTTTCCTAGTGGTAATGCCACCCCTTTTGCAGGGTATTTAGAAAGGGGGAAAGTGGCCAAGGCCATTAAGGATTTAAGATTAGACAGAGACTAATAACAAGACACCCATGTTATTCCAAACAAATTGGCAAGCTAACAACAATAAAATGATGTCTCAAAGTAAATATATACCAACATGTTCCTAGTCATTATCTCTGGGAGGCAGAATTAAGGAGATTTTGTTATGCTTTTCCTATTTTTCCAAATTTTAAAGATTAAAGATGTATTCCTTTTATAAAAAGAAAATCATCAGTAAAGAGAATTTAAATATTTAAGGGTGACAAACAGATTTCAACTTGAATGAATTCTTACATTAAGACTCCAAGTCCTATCTGCCAAGAATAGAGGAAGGCAAAAGAGTGGCAGAAAAGCCATATCTAAATTAAGGGAGAAATATATCATAATAAAATAATTTTAGAAAAGTATAATACAGTCAGTCCTCCATATCTCCTGGTTCTGCATCTGTTGACGCACAATCTGTGATACGGAAGGTTGACTTTAAGGGACTTGAGCGTCAGTGGATTTTCGTAACTATATGGGGAGTGAGGATGTCCTGGAACCAATCATCCATGGATATCGAGGGACGACTGTACACACTACCATCATGCCAGCAACAAAATATCTATTCTACCTTACCCTACACTTCTTTTTAAAAGTTTTAGTTCTTTCATCTAAAATTTTTCCCACTTCTTCCATGATTGCCAAACTACCAGCTCCCAAATGATGCACCGTAAGAGCTCAAGAGCTAAAATTCGAGTTCCTTTGTAAACACAATCCTGATTATATGATTCACTACTGGAAAACAAATTACGAGTATCATTTTTGGAAAATTCAAAATTGGAATGTTGTTTTTATTACCTTATTTACTCACCAGTGGATAATGTGGTCTGAGTTTACCAGTATATCGATAACCTGCCCATGGGTCAGTATTAATATCACCTTCCACAGTCCAGGAAGACACTTCTCGCTTCGCCTTTTCATCTTCTGGGAGACGGAGGAATAGATATGAGAGGAAGGAGGAGAAGGAGGGAAAGGAATGTTTCAGTGGTCAAGCTAATGAGCAGCAGCATACTTTGAATATCTCTTGTTTAAAACCAAGCCAACAAGTCCAGGCACAAAAATCCACCAAACTTTTACCTTAACCTAAATCACCAAAGCAACTGCTTTACTGCTATATTCAAAACCCTTATAACTCCTTTTTGAAGATCTAAAGGTCTTGGAAGAAAAAACTCCATGTAAACATATACTAAGTTTTTACATAATATCGAACAAGAACAGGTCATAGACAGCTTTTCTAAATGTATTCTGACCACATCAATTTATAGAAAGCCCATTTTAAAATATGAAACATAAGCCCTAGTAAAACCTACCCAACTGAGGTCAGATGTTACAAATAAATTATGTTCTTACTAAAAGAACAGATCCCAAGTAATCCCAAAGCAAATTCAAAATCAAAAATAATTATTTCTCACAAAGCTGATCAATTGCTTTCAAGTCAATATTTCAAATTGCTTTGAAAACTTTATGATCATCATTTGCCTCTTTTCAGAAAGGGGTAAAGGAAAGAGGCAGGAAAAAGGCAAAGACAAGGGAGGGAACGGTCTGTTTAAAGTTCAGCAGAAAAATTAAGAATCATATCCATACACACAATCGTGTCAGTTATTAATCTATGTGTGCTGACTGAAATATACGCAAGAATTCTACTCACACAGAAGACACTCTTTGGTGCCTGTGATGTCAACATACTGGCTGCACCTCTTATTCACATAGTAAAATAAAACTCTTATCCACATAGTAAAATAAGACTTTAAGTAGCCGGAATACAAGTCCCTCGTAGACCAAGTATTGGCCTAAACATCTCCCAGTGCACTCAGACCTTTTCCTGATTATTGTCATTCTACCATAGGTTTTAAAAGTCAAACTTCAAACTTGATTTTAGAAGTGTCCGAAAAAAAAAAAAATAAAACTCCCCTCTTAAACAATCTATTTAAAATACAAAATGAAGGAAACTAGATGGAATCTTAAAATGTTAAACTTAGAGAGGATCTTAAAGACAATATAGTGTTGTTTCTTTATTGTACATATGAGGAAACAGAGACTGTGTGGTTCACAAGAGCTGTGACACAAGAATGCCAGCCCCCGTCCAGTACTCTTAAAGAGCATGTGGCTAACTCTGGAAAGGCCCTTAAGGTACAACTGACAAGAATGCAAAAATATGGAAAATCCATTCATATTACTTTGGAAAAGAATATATTTATACTATCACATATAAAGGAATAGAAAGATACCATGCTATTGAATTTTAAAATATCTTTCTCCCCTCTGGAATTCAAGAAAGCCACTGTGAATGTTAATATCAATAGGAAAACTTTCTCCTCACAGGACAAAAACAAACTTCATTCACTGCTAGTTGGGTCAAACATGACAGAAAACAGTTCAAAATGGGGGCCAACTGAGCCTGCTTCAGCTATGAAGTGCATCAAGTGATTTTGTCTGAAACATGAACCTCAAGAATAACTTTCTCCCAAAACCTAGGAGAGAAAAGCAATCAAGACGCAGGCTTTTTGCACTAGCATACTTCTGGGGAGGAGAACAGGAGAAGGTGAGGGTGTAAAAATCCTTTAAAGCTTCCTGTTGCTCTGGATTTTACCCTTCCACAGTTTATATTCAAAAGAGAATTTAGGTACAGGCACAGCAGGTCACGCCTGTAATACCAGCACTTGGGAGGCCAAGGCAGGTGGACTGCTTGAGCTCAGAAGTTCAAGACCAGCTTGGACAACATGGAAAAACCCGTCTCCACAAAAAATACGAAACTTAGCTGGGCATGGTGGTGCACACCTGTAATCCCAACTACTCGGAAGGCTGAGGTGAAATAGAAGGATTGCTCGAGCCCAGGAGGTTAAGGCTGCAGTGAGCCATGATTGCACCACTGCACTCCAGCCTGGGCAACAGAGGAACACCCTGTCTCAAAAAAAAACAAAACAAAACAAAACAAAAAAAAAACGAATGTAAAGCAAACAAATAATATAACCCAAAACTACCAAGACAACTAAAGTTGAATATGGCAAGTTCTCCTCTCATCTCTAGGTACAATTTACTTAACGGAAAATTCACACTTGAAAAGAAAATTCGTTTACATTTTAGGATCAATTTGATCTGAGCCTTAGGTGCTAACCAGATTAACAGACCATTAACAAATCTGAATTGAGCTGATGATGGTAGCACAACTGCATAATAACTAGTCTTTTTGAAAAGACTGTACAACAACAGGGCAGTATAAATATACATTTGTAAGCTGTCTTCCAAACATCACAATGCAACAGTCCCAGGTAAAATGCAGGTAGTGTCATAAGTACGTGATACATGCAAGGTCTGGCCCAAAGTTCATCACAGTCAGGCTTTATTCTTTAAAAAGTTGTATGCAGGCTGCTTCCTCTGGTCAGCTGACACAAAATAACTACAGATGTCTAAGCTTTGCATGGGACAGGATTTTCTGATCAAAATTCTGACTCAAGTCTTCCAGAGATGATTATTAGTTTTTGAGTACTTACTATGCATGGTACACATGCTAAGCACTTCTCATGGATTTCTTTATTTAATCCTCACACAAACCTATGATTCCAGCATCTTGGAGGTGAGACTTAGAATAACCCATGGTCACAAAGTTTGGTGGAGCCAGTTTAAGACATTACATAACACCTTCTCTCTGTAATCCAAAAATCAGGCACACTAGTGTGAATGGGTAGGGGAGTGGAAGGAAAAGTATTACTTAGAGTTCTTTTATTAAATGCGGCTTTTATACCTTAATTTTGGCTATTCAAGATACTTGTCAAATTATTCCACCTTTACTTCAGGAAAATGAGAAACAAACACACTGAATATGTCAGCGATACATTAAAAAGTGTACAATAATACAGTCTTGAGATGTGAAATGCTACAACTTCTACAGATAATACTAAAAGTAAATGCTGCTTAAGGTACACTGTGACAGAAGACACAGTATAAAAAACATGCACCCAAGAATCAGCATTAAGTGCTTTTAATTAAGGACTTTACCATCTGAATGGTCTTCTTTACTATATGACAAGTAAAAAAAAAAAAAAAAAAAAAAACTACCTTTGAGTCATTTATTTAACTCACTTGAAAATTTCCTAAGGCCTGCATAAGAAAATTAAGCTTCTATGATTAAGCAAACTCCAGATCCAGATGTTTCAGTGGTGAATTCTATCAAACATTTAAGAAGAAATAATATCAATTCTACATAATCTCTTCTAGAAAACAGAAGTGGGAAATATATCCCATTTTATTTTAAGAGTCCAGAATTGCTCCAATACCAAAACCAGTCAAATATATTAAAAGCAAATTATAGATCAATATTCCATATGAATATTAATCAGAGATCAGTAGACACTATACTTAAAAAAAAAAAAAAACCTAACTATATCGTCTCCATGACAAGAAATGCTTGCTATGTGTTATCTCACTATCACTTCTTGGACTGAAGTGCTAACTTTAAAGATGCATTGGTTCCTTCCTAGTGCAACATTCTGTTTCCCCAATGCTTTTCCTAATACTCTTCTTGTCTCTGGAGATCACCCTTCCCCACACCATTCCCTCCCTCTAGGACTGTCACTCAAAATTTACTGTGGTCAACTTACTAGGGTATGAAAGATACAGAGCTGGCCACCTAAGGATGATCTCTATCCATCACAGCCAAAGGGATTAAGAACAGCAGGCTCATCCACTGAAAAAAGTTATCCCAAAAGATCCAACAGAGCAATAGCTACAAGATGGCACCATACTAAACACTAGAGGTGTAAGTAAAAATGCAAATAGCCTAAATCCAGTGTTGTAATAATCACCTTCTTTTTACATAGGGAACACTTGCTGTTTATTCCCTTGTAGTGTAAGTCAAAAGGAAATAGCCCTGCCCCTAAATATCCAGTATTGAAGAAACAGGCACACATCAATGAGTTAGCAAATCTGAGGGAGAGGCCGATTTTAAGCTTTTTTACTAACATATTGTTTAACCTCAACCCTTTATTACTTACCAATGCTTTTAACTTCCTGGGTATAAAATGCTAGTAACTGGCTCAAAGAGCTCTGCAAAATACCTAACACATTAGAAACACAGGATGTATGTAATGCATGAATGAATATAGTTAAGTGAGATTATTTAAATCCATCTCTAAATTTTGACAGAGGTAACAAATCAACAAGTCCTATCTTTTATGCGTTGATAAACTTACACTGAGTCACATCATTTTTCCTCATCTCTAACCACATTTCTCCCACAACAGCCTAGCATGTCCATTAAATGTAGATGTCGCTTTATACAACTACAGAAAATTTGTCTTTTTAAAATTTGTATTTCCCTGTTCCTTCAAATGGTGGTTTGGCTGACCTCAATTAGATTTGTTTTGGTAAAAACACACTACATTCAAACTTCATTAAATCAGCTAACTCCTAAAAAAAAAATACACAAGTAGATGAATATAAGACACCAAGATCAGGTATGTAGAAACAGAAACCTTATACCAAGAACAATGTAAATAAATAACCATGTTATTTCCCACTTCAAATTAAATCAAGCTTTGATCCATCAGGATGGCAATGCTATATAGAACAGAAAGCCCTTGTCAACTTTCAGGCAACTGTGACAGGTTGTCTTAAACCAGCCACGCTAATGACATGAATTTACAGGATAAATTAGCTGGAGCAAAAAAGGCAATGTGAATCTCAGCTACATCAGTGTGGCTGACAGTAATAGCTAAGGAGCAGCTAATAGTTTTACTTTGTAGTGTCACACAAAAAACTTCAAAAAAGAAAATTAAACATAAGACTGCAGGTAATAACATTAAAACACCAAAAAACAAAGTAATATAGTTTTGAGTAGAAAAAGCAATACAAATTGAAACTAAAAGAAACCAAAAGGAATCTGGTTAAATGAAGCCAAATCACTCACATAATCCCTGACTACAATATGCAAACACTTCCAGCAACATAACAGTGTGTCAAAAGATGACAGCATCATCAGGTATGGCTCAAGCAAGATCCATCTATACTAACAACTATCTCATGTTTTCATGTTAAATATGTAATACAAGATTAAGATATTATCCAGACATATTTTATTTACATATCACAAAAATTTAAAATATGTCATAATTCTAGTATTCAGGATTATACTTTCAGAACATTCAAATATACACTTTCAGAACTAGAAGAATTCTTGTTTTCTGGCACAAATGCCACTTCTAAGACAAATGGTGTAAAAATTTGTGATTGTACTTACTTGCTTTCTTATGTAGTAACTTGTGAGTAGCCCAACTTCCTTTAAAACATTCCTAAAAGAACAAAAAAGGAAAATTAGTGTCAGGCCTTCCTTAATAAGAAACATTTTAAGGAATATTGTATATAAGCAAGAGTTATTGTAAACTATTTGCAAAAACCAAGACCTGTAACTTTGCGAATTAAATATTTGGGAAAAGCTTAAGAAATGACACCTGTTCAATATTCACTTCAAAAAGCAACCTAAACTTTATTTCAAATAAGCAAGGAATATTAGGCTAAATGTTATATAATAGTCACAGTTATATTTCAATTTTATGTCAACAAACTATTACGAAGTATTTCAAAAGAATCATTAGACAATTAACCAATCATACACTGGAAAAAAACTGCAAGAAAATTTTTGCAGATTCTTTTATTTACAGTAGTTAGATTCCCAATCAGTCATACACACACTAAAATCACCCATGTAAGTAGTTACTATGTGACACAGCCCTGAGGCCATAAGCTGTGTGAGGGAAGGGATGGTATCAAAGTTTACCACTATTGCTCAGAGCCAAGCAGAGTGCCTGGCATGTGCTAGGGTTTCAGTGAATGCTTGACTGAATGATCAGAATTAATGAGTAACTAGAAAGACTTTTCATTTAGGAAAATATGTTCATGTAACATATTTCAGACACTAGTAAGAAGTGGCAAACTGGGAAAATGAATTCAAGTAATTAATTGAATTCAAGTAAGGAACTCAAGTAATAAAGGAAAAGAATAATTCAAACAGACATAGACTTTATTTATGTTTTGAGGTTGATGGCCTCTCCTTCAAAGAGTTCAAAGTTACTCAAATAAATTATTAAAAATGCTAAGAGAATTCACAAAGTCTTACAAATGTGTTATCTTTGTAGACATAAAACTAGTAAGACACGGACAAGAAGAAAGTTAAGGAAAAAAAAAGCACGGGAAAAAAAAATCCCTAGGACTACGTAGTTAACCAAATCATATTACACTAAAGCTGCCTTCTGTAAAGGTTTGCCCAAGGGACTCTGAAAGATCAGTTTCTCCAACCTCAGCTAGAATCTTCACTACTTTCTCTTTACTCTTTCTGTAGCCTCCACAGCCCGCAACAGTTAAGCAAAGAAAATCCAGGTCATCCCTATCTCTACAACCTACAACCTAAACAAATTCCAAATGTATAAAAAGGTATCTACAGCATTAGAGATTTTTCAGTTTTGAAGCTAAAACTGAGCTCAGTCTTTTGGGGAGGTTGGGTTAGTCTGGTAAGCAGAATAATGGCACTTCAAAGATGTCCACTTCCTATTCCTCAGAACCCAAGGAATGTGTAAATATAAATATGTTAGGTTATATGACAAAGGCGGGGGGGGGGTGACCTCTTGTCCCTTCCCTGAGTTTTCATTAACTGAACTCATACCGCAGGAAGAAAGACTAAAGTCTGTCAACACACCTGGAAGGACTTTTCACAAACCATGTCTGTTCTGCAGGCCTAAAAGACTGTCCCAGGCCACTTGTCCTTGAAGCCCACTGAGTTCCCCTAAAAATCATTTACAATCCCCATAAAAACATCCACATTTCCCCATCTCCTTTTCCCCTAAGAAGTAGGGTAATAAGCATCTGTACCCCAGTGGGTTATTAGACAATCATTCTGTGATTCTTCCCCATGCACACTAATAAATTTGTATACCATTTCTCCTATTAATCTGGTTTTTGTAAGTTGATTTTTCAGTGAACCTTCAAAGGGCAAAGGGGAAATTTTCCCTTGGGTCTACACAGCCATCATTAACTAATATTTTGAAATTCAGTATATTCATTGAAAAGTAGCTACTCAAATAGCCTTGTATTCTCCTCAGAGGATTTCAGAGTGCTTTATACTTGGTTCATGAAACATTCATCAAATTCTTAGCTTTTTAACAAGAGGGCTGATAGAATTATTCTCATTAAATAAACTAAGGACTTGTCTCACAAAACAGATTCATTAGCTAAGGGCTTGTATTTCAAGATATATGAGCATAAAGTAACCAAAATATTCATAATAAACACCTCTCACCTCTTTAAGGACACCCATCTTTATCTTCCTTACTGGGGCCATGAGGCAACCAAGTCATGGTCTTCAACATCATTAATGGTGTCAAAATATTCCCACATCTCCTAAGAACTCTCTAAGCCTAAATAATGTGCCTTCTCTAAACCACAACTTCACTCTTTTTCTTCCTCTTATTCCCCAGTAGAAGAGGAATACTCAAAATCCTGAAAGACTATCCATTCTCTGAAGAGTTAATTTCTGACTCCTTAACAGGGCAATCTTTCCCTCCTCATCTCTAACAAATGAACCAAAGACCTAACTAACCTAGATTTAGAGGTCCCCAGGCAAACACCACACTTCCCAATCTCTTCCCTTTGTATAACCTGACCTACCTAATCCTAACACTCACCGTTATAACTACGTCCTCAGAAGCTTTACCCATTCCATTAGGTCGTTTCAAATGCTACTTTCTCTAAAAAATGTCCACACTTCACTCCACACACAAGCTTAACATGTCACATGTACTTATTCAATACTCGCTGAACAGCACTTTGTTTTACTACTTTATTCTCCACTTATTTAATAACACCAAAGCATTATTATAACTAGTAGGTAAAACTTTAGTTTTCAATCCAAGACAACATGCTTTTTTCTTTAGCACCAACAGGAATTTACTAAATTTAGGAGCTTATGAACCCAAAATATCTGAGACAGGTCTCAGTCACTTTAGAAAGTTTATTTTGCCAAAGTTAAGGATGCACCAGTGACAGCCTCAGGGAGTACTGACAACATGTGCCCAAGGTGGCCAGGGTACAGTTTGCTTTTATGCATTTTAGGGAGACATAATACATCAATCAATACATGTAAGACTTAACTGGTTCCATCTGGAAGGGTGGGACAACTCAAAAGTGGGGAAGGAGCCTTCCAGGTGACAGGTAGATTTAAACATATTCTGACTGGCAATTGGTTGAAAGTGTTATTATCTGTAGAAAGGAATGTCTGGGTTAAGACAAGGGGTTGTGGAGACCAAGGTTTTTACCATGCAGATGAAGCCTCCAGGTAACATAACAGGCTTCAGAGAAAATAGACTGTAAATATTTCTTATCAGACTCAAGCTCTGTGTTGATGCTAATGCTGGAAGGGTATAATGAGGCACGTCCAAATCCCACTTCCAGTCATGGCCTGAACCAGTCTTTCAGGTTAGAGTGCCCTGGCCAAGGAGGGAGAGTCCATTCAGATGGTTGCTGGGGGCCAGGGTGGTTGGCAGTTCAAATTTTATTTTTTTGGTTTACAAGCTAAAATGGGATAGTGTGGTTCTCAGCTCTGGCTCCTCATTAAAATCCTGTGAAATGCTTTTCTTTACAAATAAATAGCCATGTTATTCCCCACTTCAAATTCAATCAGAATCTCTGGGAATTTGCTATGTAGGTAATTCTTATTTATTTCCAGTACTGTGAATCACTGAAAAGAGTCAGAGTTAAGAGAAGGTGCTCTCATTTCACTTCTAGAACAAGTTATTTCCTACTGAAATCGCTACTGCAAAATTATAACTCAAACAGTGAAAGAGATCTGACCTAACCAACTCTGTCTTGCTTCTAACCTCCAAGCTGTCCTTGTTCATTCCTAGGCATAGGCCAAACTTGTTCATTCCTGGGCACAGGCCAAACTAACTTTGGGAAAAACTTAGTTTATAGTTTAAAACAGGGGTCCCCAAACCCCAGGCCATGGACTGCTACTGGTCAGTGGCCTGTTAGGAACCAGCCCACACAGCAGGAGGTGAGCAGCAGATGGGCTGGCATTATTACCGCATTACCGGGTGGAGCCTGAGCTCCACCTCCTGTCAGATCAGCAGTGGCATTAGATTCTCATAGGAGCGCACAAACTCTATTTTGAACTGCACATGCAAGGAGCCAGGTTGCACACTCCTTGTGAGAATCTAACTAATTCTCGAAGATCTGAGGTAGAACAGTTTCATCCTGAAACCATATCCCCACCACCCCCAAGTCCATGGAAAAATTGTCTTTCACAAAACTTTTCCCTGGTGCCAAACAGGTTAGGAACCACTTAAAACAAAGACAATAACAGCTCTTTCACAAACCAAACCCTTCTTCCTGGAGACCAGACTGCCTTTGTGGGACTAACAAATTAGCCAAAAGATTAGAAATTATGTTTCAGGAGTCATGCAGCTGGAGGCTACAAGATTCTGACCCTCCCCAAATCGCCCCTGGGGATAACAACACTATTGTAAAACCTAAGATCAGTGCTTGAAATATTTTGCAGACTCTGCACTTGATGGATCAGCTGCCATCACCCAGATCAGTAAACTGGCTCATGTGGTCTTGTGGCCCCCACCCAGGAACTGACTCGGCACAAGAGGACAGCTTTGACTCTCTATGATTTCATCTCCGACCCAACCAATCAGTACTCCCAACTCACTGCCCACCCCCCAACCAAATTATCCGTAAAAACTCTGATCCCCTTGTAGCAGGAAGAGCCACAGACAAAACCCCTCAGACACCAAGTTAAAGAAGGAAGGGGTTTATTTGGCCAGGAACATCGGCAAGACTCCTGTCTCAAGAGCCGAGCTCTCCAAGTGAGCAATTCCTGTCTCTTTTAAAGGCTCACAACTCTAAGGGGGTCCGCGTGAGAGGGTCATGATCAATTGAGCAAGCAGGGGGTACGTGACTGGGGGCTGCATGTACCGATAATCAGAACACAACAGAACAGGACAGGGATTTTTACGATGCTTTTCCATACAATGTCTGGAATCTGTAGATAACATAACCAGTTAGGTCAGGGGTTGATCTTTAACTACCAGGCCCAGGGCGTGGCGCCGGGCTGTGGGCTTGTAGATTTCATTTCTGCCTTTTAGTTTTTACTTCTTTCTTTGGAGGCAGAAATTGGGCATAAGACAATATGAGGAGTAGTCTCCTCCCTTACCCAAACGCTCGAGGAGACTGATTTGAGTAATAAAACTCCCATCTCCCACACAGCTGGCTCTGCATGAATAAGTAACTCTTTCTCTACTGCAATTCCCTTGTCTTGATAATCAGCTCTGTCTAGGCAGCAAGCAAGATGAACCCATTGTATGGTTACACTACTTTAGTATCTATCAAATTAACCAGTGCAACTAACTCCCACCTTATTTTAGGCCCCACTGACTTGCCAAACTACAACGGCTTCACAACATATCTCCCCATCTTGAACCTCTCTCAAATTCTTTCCTATTCCAAACCATCCTAAAGTAGTGGCTAGAATTAACATTAAATGGTTTTCATAATGTGACCACCCATAATGTGTCCTATTACCTTAAGATCCTGTATTACCTCTCTCTCTTTTCCACCATCTCAAATCTAACATCAATTCATGTTGATGAGAGTGTGAGCAAATAAGCACACCATACAATGTTAGAAAGAATGCTGAGTAGTCACCTGGTAACTAAAAGGATTTGTATGTATCAAGATATAACATATATATAAATACTTACAAATACTTAATATATAAACACATATGCAAAGACAAAAAAAAATACTTTGACCCAGTAGCTCAATTCCAAATAGTTAACCAAAGGAAATAATCTGACAAACGAGCAAAACATATGCAACTTAATGCTCACTATAGCATTACTTACTATTGTGAAAAAGAGAATTTAGATATACATCAATATAAAATAGGTTAAATTGTGATTTAACCATGCAAATGAATCTATGCAGTCATTAGAAGTAATGAAATTAGGTCGTGCTGCTCGTGTCAGTCAACACGGAGGCAGAGGAATCGGAGAAGGCCGCAACAGAGCAAAGGCGCTGGAAGGGACAGACCAGACACTAGATGTGGAGGAGGAGCAGGAGGAATCCAAAGCAGCAGCCTGTGGCAGCAAGAAGCGGGTAGTGCCAGGTATTGTGTACCTGGGCCATATCCCACCACACTTCCAGCCCCTACATGTCCGCAACCTTCTCAGTGCCTATGGTGAGGTCAGATGCGTTCTTTCAGGCTGAGGACTGGTTTGTGAGATGCAAAAAGAAGGCAGCAGCAGCCGTGGGAGGGAAAAAAGCAGTACCACAGCAAGGACTACACAGAGGGATGGGTGGAGTTCCGTGACAAGCGCATAGCCAAGAGTGTGGCGGCCAGTCTACACAACACGCCTATGGGTACCCACAGGTGCAGCCCCTCCCATTATGACCTATGGAATCTCAAGTACTTGCACCATTTCACCTGGTCCCACCACAGCGAGCACCTTGCCTTTGAGCGCCAGGTGTGCACACAGGCAGCACCTGAGAGTGGAGGTCACTCAGGCCAAGTGTGAGACCATCTTCTATCTTCAAAGTGTGGAATGGGGACAATGCTTTCTTGCTGTTGATGGGGATCTTGCTCACCCAGATGGCTCCTGGACATTTGCCCAACGTCCTACTGAGCAGGAACTGAGGGCCCGGAAAGCAGCACAGCCAGTAGGGTGTGAATGGGCTCACCTGGCAACTGCCTAGGACAAGGCCCACTCCAACAAAGCACTCCTGGCCAGGATCTTTGGAGCCCCGCCACCCTCAGAGAGCATGGAGGGATCTTCCCTGGTCAGGGACTCCTGAGGGCAAGGGAGGCCCCTTCCATCTCCTGGCCCTGCTCTGTTTCCTGTCTACCTCATAATAGAATGATCATGACTACCCAGGCAGACATTTTATTGTGTTTCTAGACCAGTGTCTCTGGTGAGGGCCCAAACGTGGAAGTTTTGTGGGCTTCCACTATTCCCCCATCTAAACTCCTATATATGCCTGGCTAATTCATACTGTCATACTAGCATGATTATGACTACTGCATATGCTTGTTTTGACTCTTGGTTGCCTACTGCTATAGGGTCCTCTTGGAATCTCACTTCCTGCCCCCAGGAAGGGCCTTGTAAGGCATGAAGAAGTTCTTCTACAAAGTTTCTTAAATCCATAAAGGATTTATCATTCCCCGGTTAAATGTTAGGATGTGTATATTCCCAGGCTGCTCCAACTTGTTCCAGTAGGTTGAGATAAGGCTAAATGAGTCCCAGATTAGGATACATGCCATTCCTTATTTGGGAACCCCTCTGACCTCTCATCACTAACTTCCTCTTTTCTTTGTCCTTTTTCCCTTCTTCCTATTTAGGAAAGTTTTAAATTATTACCCAACCCAGTTAAGTTTAGAGTGTGAGGTCCCATCCCAGCCAATGGGAACGGGACACAGCCATAGGGGATTGTGTCAGGATGTAAAGGTTATAAATGTCCCTGTCTCCTTTGTTTGGTGTGCTCTCGTGGCTGGACTGCTGGTGAGTGTACCCTTTCTGCAGAAAGTAAACTAGCCTTGCTGAGAGATCCTTTGTCTCGGTGTTGATTTCTTTACAACATCAAATTCCCGTGCCCATCAATTTTGTGGCTCGTATGGGGACACTGTTTCCCCTCCAGTCCTTGGCCCTCTCTTGTGGGGAGGCACCCAGCTGCCCTGCTGCAGCAGCCCCAGGGAGATAGCCAGGGCTCACCCAGTAAGAGGAATACATCTGGATTCTCAGCAATGCAGGGGACAAGGAGACTTTTAAAACCGCGGGACCAGGAGACCTCGTGCATGAGCCAAGGTAGGAAAAACTGCTAGAGGGTGGCAAAGTACTTCTTTGGTGGTCCTTCCTTGAAGGGTTGTGTGATGTATGTGAGTGAATGACTGTGGTTGAGAGAAAGTGACTGTAAGAGGAATGTGGATTATCTTCAGAACAGGGAACAGAGGGGAGAAAGTTATCTCCAGGGAACTGAGAATACAGGCAATAAGAAACTAACACTAAAAAGGGGAAGGCTAATCCCCAGGGAAAAGGAGTAAATACATTTGAGCAGACAAGATATCCCTGAGCTGGAGGATCTGGGGGATTGAGTCTACTGGGAAAAAGTCTCACCCAACATGGGGAATACTTCTAGTAGGCCTGCAACTGGAAACAAGGCCAGAGATGAAGGAGGCAAGAAAGACTGAATCCCTCCTGATAGTCCTTTAGGACTTATGCTTACACACTGGAAAGAAAATGAAAGGACTAAATATAAGAAAAAGCAACTAATGATCAAGTATTGTTGCTTTCTGTGGACCCAAGAGCCAATTTTAAAACCTGCTGTTTTCTGGCCAAAATATGGCTCGAATGAAGACTGGGTCTGCCAGCTTCTAATACTGTATGTTAATAGCAAAAGTTGTATGTCTTCAGAAGAGATACACTATGCCATGTGCTGGCAGCTGGGGCCAGTTTCTCTTTATCCCCTAAGGGATCTGAAGCAAGGGATGGAGGAGGGTAAAAAGAGAATATCCAGTGGGATCCCCTAAACCATCTTCCTCCTTTTCTAGTCCCGCCTCCTCCTCCTCAGGCAGCAGTTAGTCCCACCTCCTCCTCAGGTGGTAGTCCCGCCTCCTCCTCCTCAGGCTCCGGAGGCAGAAGTCTCTGATATCTCCTTAAAAAGAGGGCTTCAGAGAGAGATAGAACAATGTAGAAGGGATATTCAAAATTTTCCCTTTCCCTGCGCTTCCGAAGAGCTGGCTTCTCAGCTCTTCCCTCTAATGGAGGTGCCACAGGGTAGGGGTACAACTGGATTCATGAACGCCCCTTTAACCACCTCTGAAGTCCGAGGTCTAAAGAAAGAGCTTAAGCCTTTGCTAGATGACCCAGAGAGAGTAGCAGAGCAAATTGACCAGTTTTTAGGTTCCAAACTATATACTTGGACTGAATTAATGTCAATCCTGGGTATCCTCTTTTCAAAGGAAGAGCGGAACATGATCTGCAGAGCTGCTATGGGGGCCTGGGAACGTGATTACCCTGCCGGTCAAAATATTCCGGCAGCGGATGTTACATTTCCTGCTCGGGACCCACAATGGAATAATAATAATGCTGCTCACCAGAAGAATATGAGGGATCTACAAGAATTAATTATAAAAGGTATCAAGGAGTCTGCACCCAGACCCCAAAACCTCACTAAGGCCTTTGATGAACAACAAGAGAAAGATGAGGGACCTATGCACTTTTTAGACTAAGGGAGCAGATAAGAAGGTATGCTGATTTAGATCCTGACAGTCCACTAGGACAAGGTATGTTAAAATTACATTTTGTTACCAATAGTTGGCCAGGTATCGCGAGGAAGCTACAAAAGATAGAGAGGTGGAAAAATCAGTCAATTGAAGAACTTTTAGCAGCAGCAGAGAAAGCATACATGAGAAGGATGAAGACAGACAAAAACAAAAGGCAAAAATTTTTTGGCAGATTTCACTAGGACCAAATATACCTGGGATGAGATTTTGACCAGTGTCCAGGGGTGCCATCTCACAGAGAGGCAGGGGTCGAGGTTGAAATGGAACATGAGAAGACCACAGCATATGTCATAAAGGGTGGAGATGTAGAGCAGATGAAGAGAAACTAAAACAAAGGATCTCCAGAATAGAACAAGAAGGGGGACAAGATAGGTATTATAAATGTGGAAAAACAGGCCATTTTAAGAGAGAATGCCCTGACCTAAAGGCCACAGAGGAAATTCCTCCTCTCATGCCAACCTTCAGAGAGGAAGAATACGTGAGTCAGGGGCTCTTTCTTTTCCACCTTGAGTCCCATCAAGAGCCCTTGATAAATTTGGAGGTGGGACCAAACCATTAACTAATAACATTCCTCATTGATTCTGGAGCTACTTGTTCTTCCTTACGCTTTTCTCCAAGTGGCCTCAGCTGTTCTCCAGAAGAGCTACTATTATCTGGGGTGAAAGAAGAGAGGTTTAAGGCCAAAATCCTAGAAGATATAGAAGTCAGATACAAAAATGAGGCAGCTAATATTCAATTTCCATTAATTCCTGAAGCAGGCACTAATTTGTTAGGAAGAGACTTAATGCTAAAGTTAGGTCTTGGACTGCAAGTAGGGCCAAAGGGGTTCCTTCCCTCTCTCCACCTGCTAACTACTGTTGATGAGAGGAAAATTCATCCGGATTTATGGTCAAGAGAAGGAAAGCAAGGGAGTTACGGATTCCCCTGATACAAATACATTTAAAGGTTCCAAGGGGGAGTAGCCCGGAGAAAGTAATACCCGATCTCCCTGGAAGGCCGGGTAGGACTAAAACCTGTGATTGAAGGCCTTATTAAAGATGGACTTTTAGAGCCTTGCATGTCTCCGTATAATACCCTTATCCTACCTGTCAGGAAGCCTGATGGATCCTACCTATTAGTACAAGATCTCAGAGCTATAAATGAAATAGTTCAAACCACTCACGCTACTATGACAAATCCATATATTAACCTTAGTAAAATTCTGTAAAGTCATCAATGGTTTACTGTAATAGACTTAAAGGATGCTTTCTGGGCACGTCCTTTGGCTGAGGACAGCCAAGATCTATTCACATTCAAATGGGAGGACCCCCATACAGGACAGAAGCAGCAGTACCGGTGGATAGTATTGCCCCAGGATTTGAGGATTCACTGAATATTTTTACTCATGCTCTAGATAGGATTATTAGAAAGACAGACACTCCACCACATTTACAATTAATCCTATATATGGATGACATACTTATATCTGGAGAAGATATAGAAAAAGTAAGTGAATACTCTGTGTACTTCCTGAATCATTTATACTCTAAGGGACTGCGGGTCTCCAAAGAAGAGCTCCAATATGTAGAAACAGAAGTTAGACATTTAGGTCATCTAATTAGCACGGCCAAAAGGAGAATAGGACCTGAACAGGTCGAGGGAAATGTCTCCTTGCCCCTGCCTCAAACAAAACAGGAACTTATTTCTGGGATTGACTGGATACTGTAGATTATGGATTGATTCTTATGCATTAAGAAGTAAATTGCTTTATGAGAAATTAACTAAAAATAGGCCAGACCCACTTATAAGGACTTCTGATGAAGTAGACCAAATAAATGAATTAAAAGCATGATTAATATCTGCCCCTGTTTTAGCCCTGCCTTCTTTAGAAAAACCCTTTCATCTTTTTGTTAGCACAGACAATGGAGTGGCCCTTGGAGTACTCACTCAACAACATGGAGACCACCGGCAACCAGTTGCCTTTCTGTCCAAAGTCTTAGATCCAGTTGCCAGTGGCTGTCCCCAGTGCATCCAGTCTGTGGCAGCCAATGCCATATTAGTGGAAGAAAGCAGAAAGATTACCTTTGGGGGATACTTAACAGTAAGTACACCCCATAAGGTCAATGTCATCCTAAATCAAAAAGCGGAAAGATGGCTGACTGATTCTAGGATTTTAAAGTATGAGGCTATCCTATTAGAAAGAGATTATCTAACTATAACCACTGATAGTTCACTTGACCCTGCCGGATTCTTAAGAGGGAATCCATTGCTGCAAACAGAACATTTGTATCTAGATTTAATTATGATACCAAGGTATGACCAGACCTATCTGAAACCCCTTATAAAACAAGACAACATTTGTTCCTAGATGGGTCCTCTCGGATGTTTGATGGAGACAGGCACAGTGGATATGCTGTGGTGGATGGAGAAACTCTTGAGGAAACTGAATCGGGGCAATTACCTGATAACTATTCCGCCGAAGGCTGTGAACTATTTGCTCTCAGTCAGGCCCTTAAATATCCAGAAAATGAGATAGGAACACTTATACAGGCTGTAAGTATGCTTTTGGGGTAGCGCATACATTTGGAAAAATTGGGGCAGACAGAGGCCTGATGAACAGCCAAGGCCAAAAGCTTGCTCATGAGTCATTAGTGACTTGTGTTTTAAATAATCTCCAGCTACCAGGAGAAATAGCTATTGTACATGTCCCTGGACACCAGCATGACTTTTCATTTGAAAGTCGAGGTAATAATCTTGCAGATCAGGTAGCCAAAAGAGCAGCAATGGCTGTGAAACAAATATTTCATCTAACTCCCTCCCTCCTCTCCCCCAAATTAGCTCCTATTTTCTCTTCAGCCTAAAAGGAAAAACTAAGCGAAATGTGGGCTAAAGAAAATACAGAAGGGAGATGGATTCTCCCAGATCAGAGAGAGATGCTCTCCAAACCCCTTATGAAAGAAGTTCTGTCCCACTTACACCAAGGAACATGCTGGGGCCCTCAGGCCCTATGTGACGCTGTCCTCAGTCTATGGATGTACTGGGATCTACACCCTGGCCAGACAGGTCACTGACAGCTGCATTATCTGTAAGAAAACTAATAAGCAGACCCTAAAGAAACTACCTCTAGGATGAAGAACACCTAGGCTAAGACCATTCCAAAGTGTTCAAGTTGATTATATTGAAATGCTGCCAGTAGGCTAAAATACCTATTAGTGATAGTAGACCACATCACTCATTGGGTAGAGGCCACTCCTTTCTCAAAGGCCACTGCCAGTAATATAGTGACGGCCTTAATTGAACATATTATACCCAGGTTTGGATTAATAGAAAATGTTGACTCAGATAATGGGACCCACTTTACGGCACACATTATGATAAAACTGGCCCAGGTGCTGGACATAGAATGGGAATACCACATTCGGTGGCACCCCTCCTCCTCCAGGAGAGTAGAAAGAATGAATCAGACAAGTCATCTAACTAAATTTTAGAGACTCATCTACGATGGACCAAATGCCTCCCTATTGCTTTATTCAGAATCAGGACAGCTCCCCGAAGAGATACAGGTTCATCCCCCTATGAAATGTTATATGGATTGCCTTACTTACATTCCTCAGCTGATGTGCCTACCTTTGAAACCAAAGATCAGTTCCTTAGAAATAACATATTTGGACTCTCCTCTACTTTTTCTTCCCTTAAAACCAAAGGTCTTTTAGCACAAGCACCACCCTTGGAATTCCCAGTACAATCGCATCAGCCTGGAGACCACGTCTTCATAAAGGGATGGAAGGAAGGAAGGCTCGAGCCAGCCTGGGAAGGATCCTACCTCATGTTATTGACCATCGAAACCGCAGTTCGCACTGCCGAGAAGGGGTGGACCCATCACACTCGAGTCAAGAAAGCGTCGACACCCTCAGAATCCTGGATTGTGGTCCCCGAGCCAAGTCCCACCAAGTTAAAATTAAGAAGAACCTAACATACCTTTATTTCTATTTTTCTTTCTTTCCTCTCACTATCTCTCATTTTATTATTAACATAACTAGATTGGAATCATCTCAAGTGATATCCTTTGATGCTTGTCTAGTGATGCCATGCGGGGACCTACATAACCAAAGGCAACTAGCCTCTTCAGAAAAATATCTATGTCCTGGTCCCCCATTTAATCTAACAGTCTCTCACTCCCATAGATGCGATCAATTAAAGCCAAGACGCCGCTTCTTCATTCCCACCGAATGGCAGCCTTGCAGCAGTTGGAATAATGTTCTATGGACCACTCAATACAGAGGCTGGACCTCTACAGGAGGGGTTTGTACTGAGCTTAGGCCTAATCTTTATTTCACATAAGGAAGCATTTCCCCTGATTGTAAGCTTTATCAGTGTAACCCTATTCTTAATTCTAATATAGATAATCAGCCAGCTATCGGCCATCTCTACGGTATTGGGCAAATGTCAAAGGGGAAGGATCCGATAGGGAGGTTTGAAATACGCCTTCTCCCTCTTCCTCCTTTCCCTTCTCCAACCCCAGTAGTCTCGGCTTTAAATCAAACTTCTATTATCCCAATTAGTCCTTTACTAAATGATAAGACAAAAGCATCAGTAGTACAAGTAAATGACTTAAAGCAGACTTAAGCTATTGAGACAGGGTATCAAGATGCAAATGCCTGGTTAAAACGGATTAAATATTCTGTCCACACTCTAAACAAAAGCGACTGTTACACTTGTGCACACGGTAAGCCAGAGGCCCAGATTGTCCCCTTTCCACTTAAGTGTTCTTCACATGCGACGGATTTGGAGTGTGTGGTAGCTCTCTTTCAAGATTCTACAGCCTGGAATGATGAATCTTGCCAAGCTCTCTCTCTGCTATATCCTGAAGTACAACACCCTGAGGGTCAGCCCCCGAGGGCCATTCAGCCTCCATCTTCCAGGGCAGAGTTTGCCTCATGCCTCTCACAGCAGGAGGAGAACTCAATATTCCTTGGAAATTTCACAGGATGCAGGGAGGTAAGGCACTTCTAAGAGCTAACCCATGAGGCCTCCATCAGCCATCCTTGAGTGGGACATATGGTGGTAATGTCGGGGGGCACTTACTGGATACTCTGCCATATAACTGGAATGGTACTTGCACTCTAGTCCAATTGGCTATCCCTTTTACCCTGGCATTTCATCAACAAAAATAGGAAACACCCCACCACCAACACACTACAAGAGCTCCTTACAGATCCTTTGATCCTCATATCCACCTAGATGCGACAGGTGTTGCAAGGGGGGTTCCTGATGAATTTAAGGCCAGAGATCAGATAGCTGCTAGACTCGAGTCAACGTTATTTTGGTGGGTCACGATAAACAAAAATGTAGACTGGATAAACTATATTTACTATAATCAACAATGATTAGTTAACTACACCAAAGTGGTCAGGGGAATTGCAGATGAATTAAGATCTACTAGCCAAATGACACAGGATAACAGAATCACTCTTGATATGATGCTAGCTGAGAAAGGTGGTGTTTGCGTAATGATTAAGACCCAATACTGCACGTTCATTCCAAATAACACAGCCCCAGATAGAAGTATAACAAGAGCCCTAGAGGGACTTACTGCTTTATCAAACAAGCTAGCTAAGAACTCTGGCATAAATAACCCATCTCTAGCTGGCTAGAAAACTGATTTGGAAATTGGAAAGATATCTTAACCTCAATCCTCACTTCCTCTATAACTGTGTTAGGTATACTTCTACTTATTGGATGTTGTGTCATACCCTGTATTCGACGGCTTGTACAAAGGCTCATCAGTACAACCCTTAATAATCTATCCTCTGCCTCTCCCCCACCCTATTCGGAAAGGTTGCTTTTATTAGGGGATCAAGCCAAACAACAAAGCAGAGACTTGCTAGACAAGTTTGAAGAATTATAAAACAAAAAGAGGAGGGAATTGAAAGGAATGGAGAAGTTCCTCAAAGTTTCTTAAATCCATACAGATTTATCATTCCCCGGTTAAATGTTAGGATGTGTGTATTCCAAGGCTGCTCCAGCTTGTTCCAGTAGGTTGAGATAAGGCTAAATGAGTCCCAGATCAGGATACATGCCATTCCTTATTTGGGAACCCCTCTGACCTCTCATCACTAACTTCCTCTTTTCTTTGTCCTTTTTCCCTTCGTCCTATTTAGGAAAGTTTTAAATTATTAACCAATCCAGTTAAGTTTAGAGTGTGAGGTCCCATCCCAGCCAATGGGAACGGGACACAGCCATAGGGGATTGCATCAGGATGTAAAGGTTATAAATGTCCCCGTCTCCTTTGTTTGGTGTGCTCTCGTGGCTGGACTGCTGGTGAGTGCACCCTTTTGGCAGAAAGTAAACCAGCCTTGCTAAGAGATCCTTTGTCTCAGTGTTGATTTCTTTACAAGATCAAACTCCCATGCCCAACAGCCTTTATTTCCAACTAGGGGAATAATGCCTAGTCCAGGCAATATTTTTCTGTTTAGCAGTCACAGGTGAGGGTGGTATTAGCATCTTTTTTAGTAGAAAAAACTGACAGTTAATGGGGTGGACTGGGTTGGGAAGAAATAATTTCTTCCAAATGTATTTATAGAAAATAAAAATATTTTCATAAAAGAAAGAAGTAATGAAATTAATCTTACATGTGCAAAGAAGTCTACAATGTCTTAGGTTTTAAAAAAATAGGTAAGTTAGAAATGTGAAAAATCCACAAATATGTGGAAATGAAACATACTCTCAATCCAATGTGTCAAAGAAAAAGTCACAAGGGAACTTCAACACAAATAAAAACAAAAACATTTAGTATGCAAAACTTACGGGATGCATAGTAAGAACCTTGGTCTTCACAATCCCTTATTTTAATCCAGACACTCCTTTCTATTAATTCCAGTCCCCTAGATAATAAGTTGCCTCTTTCAACCAACTGCTAATCAGAAAATCTTTGAACCCACCTATGACCTGGAAGACCCCACTTCAAGTTGTCCCACCTTTGCGGACCAAACTAGTGCACACCTTACATGTACAGATTAATGTCTGCCTGTAACTTCTGTCCCCCTAAAATGTATAAAATCAAGCTGTAACCCAACCACCTTGGGTACATGTTTTCAAGAACTCCTGAGGCTGTGTCACAGACCTTGGTCGCTCTTATTTGGCTCAGAATAAACCTCTTTAAATCTTTAAAAAAAAAAAAAAAAAAAAAAAAAACTTTATGGGATACAGCCAAAGATGTTTTAAAAGGAAAGTCTACAGCTGTAAACATATACACTAAAAAAGAAACACCTCGGCCGGGTGTGGTGGCTCATGCCTGTAATCCCAGCACTTTGGGAGGCCAAGCGGGGCAGATCACCTGACGTCAGCAGTTCGAGACTAGCCTGGCCAACATGGTGAAACCCTGTCTCTACTAAAAATACAAAAATTAGCCGGGCGTGGTGGCAGGCACCTGTAAGTCAGTGCAGCTACTCGAGAGGCTGAGGCAAGAGAATCACTTGAATCCAGGAGGCAAAGGTTGCAGTAAGCCAAGATTGTGCCACCTCACTCCAGCCTGGGTGACAGAGCGAGACACTGTCTTGAAAAAAAAAAAAAAAAAACTCACATTAACAACCCGACTTTTACCTCAAGAACTAGAAAAAGAAGAAAAGATAAAACCTAAGGCTAACAGAAGGAAATAATAAATATTAGAAATTAATAGGCAATAAGGAAGACTGAGGTGGGAAGGACTGCCTGAGGCCAGGAATGCAAGACCGGCCTGGACAACACAGCAAGACCCCATCTTTACCCAAAAAAATAAAAACAATGAAAAGAAAGTGGCCAACCCTTAGCTAGACTACCGAAGAAAAGAGATAAGACTCAATAACTAAAAAGGAGGAGAGAAAACTTCCAAGCTCATTTTGTTTTGTTTTGTTTTGTTTTGTTTTTTGAGATGGAGTTTCACTCTTGTTGCCCAGGCTGGAGTGAAATGGAGCGATCTCTGCTCACCGCAACCTCCGCCTCCTAGGTTCAAGCAATTCTCCTGCCTCAGCCTCTCGAGTAGCTGGGATTACAGGCATATGCCACCACGCCTGGCTAATTTTGTATTTTTAGTAGAGATGGCATTTCTCCATGTTGGTCAGGGTGGTCTCGAACTCCCAACCTCAGGTGATCCGCCTGCCTCAGCCTCCCAAAGTGCTGGGATTACAGGCATCAGCCACCACGCCCAGCCCAAGCTCATACTTTGAAACCACCATTACCCTTATACCAAAGCCAGATAAAGACTAAAGACCAGTATCCCTTATAAATATTGATGCAAAATCTTGAACAAAACACTAACAAATAAATTCAATAGCACACTGAAAGGACTATACACCATGACCAAGTGGAATTTATTCCAGGAATGCAAGAATATTCAAAAACAAAAATCAATTTAATACATCACATTAACAGAATGAAGGATAAAAATCACATAATCATCTCAATTGATTCAGAAAAACCATCTGACAAGATCTGATACTCCTTCAAAATAAAGACACTCAACAAACTAGGAATACATGAAAATTACCTCAACATAACAAAGCTCATATATAAGACGCCCATAACTAACATCAAACTCAATGGTGAAAGACAGAAAGCTTTTCATCTGAGTCCAGGAACAAGATAAAGATGCCAGCTCTCATCACTTCTATTCAACATTGTATTGGAAGTCCTAGCCAGAGCAATTAGGCAAGAAAAAGAAATAAAAGGCATCCAAATTAAAAAGGAAGAAGTAAAATTATCTCTGTTCACAGATGACATGATCTTATACATGTAGAAAACCTTAAAGATTTCATTAAAAAAAAAACTGTTAGAGCTAATAAACTAAAGTTGCAGGATAATCAACATAAAAATCAGTTGCATTTCTATACACTAACAATGAATAATTTTAAGATAAATTAAGGAACAATTCCATTTAAAAATAAATTTCCATTAAAAATAAAATACCTAGAAATAAACCTAAACTAAGGAGGTTAAAAGACTTGTATAATGCAAACTACAACACGTTGCCAAAAGCAAGTAAAGGCAACACAAATAGAGAGACATCCCATGTTCATGTATCTGAAAACGATAAGGTTAAGATATCAATATTACCCAAAGCAGTTTACAGATTCAATGCAATCCTCACCAAATCCCAATGGCATATTTTGCAGAAATTGAAAAAAATTCTAAAATTCATATGAAATCTCAAGGGACCCAAATAGCCAAAACAATTCTGAAAAAGAGCAAATTTGGAAGACTCACACTTCCTGATATCAAAACATACCAGAGCTACAGTAATGAAAATGGTGTAATACTGGCATAAAAACAGATACACAGACAAATGGAACAGAATCCAGAAATAAATCCTTGTGTATTTGGTCATGTGTGTTTTTTGGGAGGTTTTTGTTTTTTAAAGATGGGGTCTCACCTCGTCACCTAAGCTGGAGTGCAGTGGCACAATCATAGCTCACTGCCACCTCAAACTCTTTAGGGCTCAAGGGGTCCTCCTGCCTCAGCCTCCCAAGTAGTTGGCACTACAGGCGCATGCCAACACGCCTGGCTAATTTTTGTATTCTTTGTAGAGAAAGGGTTTCACCATCTTGCCCAAACTGGTTTCGAATTCCTGGGCTCAAGCAATCCTCCAGTTTCAGCCTCCCAAAGTGCAGGGATTACAGGTGTGAGGCACCACACCTGGCCTCAGATGATTTTTGACAAGGGTGCCAACAGGCAAAGAATAGTCTCTTCAATAAACACTGTTGGGAAAACTGGATCCAAATGCCAAAGAATAAAGTTGTGCCCTTATCTTAACCATATATAAAAATTAACTCAAAAGAGATTAAAGACCTGAACATGAGACCCAAAACTATAAAACTCCTAGATGAAAACATAAGGGAAATGGGGAAATACTTTGTGACAATGGACTAGGCAATGATTGTTTGGAGATAACACCAAAAGCACAGGCAATTAAAGCAAAAACAGACAGATGAGACTACTCAAACTTAAAAAACTTTTGTTCATCAAAGGACACAATCAACAGAGTAAAAGGTAACCTATGGAATAGGAGAAAAGATTTGCAAATAACATACCTGGTAATGGGTTGACATCTAGATTATATTTTAAGACTCTTACAACATAATATCAAAAAATGAATTAACCCAATTTTTAAAATGGGCAAAAGACTTAAGCAGACATTTCTCCAAAGATGATATATACTAGCCAACAGGCATATGAAACGTGCTCAACATCACTAATCATCAGAAAAGTGCAAATCAAAATCTCTATGAAGTATCAGCTCATACCCATTAGGATGACTACTATGAAAAAAACAAAACAGAAAAGAACAAATGTTGGTGGGGATATGGAGAAATCAGAACCCTTGTACATTGTGTTGGAATTGTAGAACAATCCAACTACTATAGAAAACAGAATGACTGCTCCTCAAAAAACTAAAAACAAATAATCGTGTGATCCAGCAATCCCACTTCTGAGTATAGATCCAAAAGAACTGAAAGCAGGGTCTCAAGGAAATATTTGCACGCTCGTGTTCATAAGCACTATTTACAATAACCAAGAGGTAGAGACAACCCAAATGTCCATCAAGAGAAGAATGGATAAACACAACATGCGGTACACATAAAATGAAATACTATGCAGCCTTACAAAGGAAATCCTGTGACGGGTACAACATGAAGGAACTTTCAGGGCATTAAGTGAAATCAGCCAGTCACAAAAGAACAAATATTGTGTAATCTGACTTATATGAAATGTCTAAAGTAGTCAAATTCCTACAGAAAGTAGAATAGTAGTTACCAGGGGTTTGGGAAACAGGACAAAGGAGAGTTGCTGTTATAGGGCTATGGAGTTCAGTTCTGCAAAATGAAAACGTTCTAGAGATCTGTTTCACAACATAAATATGCTTAACACTACTGAACTATACACATAAAAATAATTAAGACAGTAAAATTAAATGTTTTTTATAACAAATTTTTTAAAGATATGTAAAAAATGGTAAATTACAAAACTGTATAGGTGTATATAATGCAGAGCAACAATTCTATTTTATTTTGAAAGATAAAAAACAGCAGCTAACATTTGAGATTTTACTACATACCAAGCACTGATTAGGCAGAGAATTAATCCTCACACCACTACCAAGACATAGGTACTATTATCACAGATATCTCATTTTACAGATGAGAAAGCTGAGGCACAGATTAACATGTCCAAAAAACACAGGGGTAATTAATGACAAGTCCAAGTTTTGAATGCAGGCCCTCTTAAGACAGCATCCATGTTCTTAACCTGTATATAGTACATATGTAAAAATCTGGAAAGATAAGAAACCAAACAATGCTTTGGTTTTAGGATGCTAGAATTATGATAGTTTTCACCTAACACACTTCTGTTTTAAATTTCTGCAAAGATCATGTACTCCTTTTTATAACAATATATTTAACAGGAAATATTTACATTTTGGAAAAAAATATTCAACTGAACAGCAAGGTCTCTATCCCTACTAACGATCATTTCATTTCCTTATATTTCTGTACTTGGACTCTTCCTTAAAGTAAAGCTGCTAATCTACTTGCTATTACCTACATGCCTCAGCTTGCTCCTACTTCCATAAACACATCCTTTCCCTGCAGAGAATGTCCTCTCCTTCACCTTAATATATACCATTTTATTTACCTACTCCTCTATTTGATTTTCACACCTATTTATCAAAATTCAGTTCTTAACTCCTTCATGAGGCGTTTCAAAGCCTGTCTTTACCTAGTACATTGTTCAGCTACTTAGTGTGCTGCTTTTAAAAACTGTTCTTTAGCTGTTTTATCTGTGTCCTCCACATGAGCAATATTCCTTGAAGATGTCACTACCCCTTCTTCTAAAGGCAAGGACATTACAGGAGGAAGCATACCTAGCACTCAGATGTAGATTTCTAAAAACATTCCTGCCAGAAACCAGGGCTGCTTAGAAACAAGACTGATTGCAGATCTGGGGCTGGGAAAGTATTAGGGAATGTGTTTTATCATATGCCAGAGAGCTAGGAAGCAATCAGAGAGTAATGGAGGAGACTCAAAAGGATATAGAAGCCACTTTAAAGGTGATAACACTAATCAAATTTGAGACAATTTGAACATGAAAAAGAAAACAATCCAAAGCTCCTAATTGAAAACAACAAACATTTGCAACTACTGGTTAGTGCCCAGTACACAACCATTTCTATCTTCTTGGTAGGAATGGTGGAACGTAGTTCATTTACCAGTTGATGAGGGAAAACTCTACCTTACAGAAAAAAAAAAAAAGATCAGCTATTGAATGACAGACTTAGGGAGAAAATCACCATTTGCAACCTCCACTGAAATAATTATCAGGTAAGGATCATCGCAATGCTAAAACCACTCAGAGAAAGATTGTTGAGAAAATGCATACTCTCCAAGTGCCAGAATATCATCCCACAGATTAAATGCCAATTGTGAGGTTAAAAAAAAGTACCTGTGCAATCAATGGTGATCTGCTAGGAACAGAACCACCAGCCACTCTGTGCCTCCTGATGTGATGAAATGTGAAGTGGATAACATCACCTATGAGTCTTGTCAACAGCGTTTCACGGTCAGGTGCAGTGGCTCACACCTGTAATCCCAGTACTTTGGGAGGCCGAGGCAAGCAGATCACTTGAGCCCAGGAGTGAGACAGCAGCCCGGGCAACATAGGGAGATCTCCATCTCTACAAAAAGTACAAAAATTAGCCAGGCATGGTGGCATGCCTATGGTCCCAGCTACTCAGGAGGCCAAGGCGGGAGCATCACTTGAGCTCAGGAGGTTGAGGCTGTAGTGAGCCATGATCACACCACTGCACTGTAGCCTGGGCAACAGAATGAGACCGTCTCAAAAAAAAAAAAAAAGTGTTTCACAAATCTAACAGCAGTTGGGCTTGATTTCTGGCTTACAGAAACTACAGGGGACAAAAGAACAACTTAAAGACACTTTGAGGAAACAGTTAATCAAAAATGTGTAACATTCTACAAGACAACTGACTAGCCTCTTCAAGAAGCTAGTATCATGAAAATAAGATGAGGACTATTCTAAATTAAGAGACATGACAGCCAAATGCTATATGTGAGCTTTGATAGGTTCCTGAGTCTATAATCAAAAAGCAAAACAAACAAAAAAGCTTTTATGGATGACATTTGGGAGATAATTGAGAAATTTAAGTAAGATTGGCCTATTAGATGAAATCAGAGAATTCTTGTTAATCTTCTTAGGTGTAATAATAGTATTATAGTTAAGAATGCCCTTGTCATTAGAAAATGTTTGCTGAATATTTAATAGATTCAGTGTCGTGTTTTCTGTGTCTTATTCCCAAAATATTTCAACAAATACACATATACACACACACCCAATACACATACAAGCACACATAAATAAAACAAATACAGCAAAATGTTAACTTAGGTGAAGAGTATACTGCAATTATACTATATTCTTCTTTAAACTTTTCTATTTGTTTGAAATTTGTCACAGTAAAAAGCTAGAGAAACTCAGTAAAATTATAAAAAATTCAAGGAAAACATAGTTCCTTGTCTATAACATTCACTAGCACTTCCCTGTTATTTATCTTTTTTCCAGTACTTCTTGTCTATACAAGAATAGCATAAGCCCCTTGAAGACAGTTAAACCCTTTTAAATTTTTGCAAGTGTACTGATGCAAATAGCCCAGTGAACACTGCTGTTCATGAGTAATACACAACTCCAGACTGGCAAAAATAAAAAGTCTGTTAACAACAAGTCCTAGCTAGCATATGAAACAACATAAACTCTCTATAAGTACCACCATTTTTGTTTTTTGTTTAATGCTAAAGTCTGAGATTTTAGTGCAGTCATCCTAGTATGTACATTGTACTAAATATGTAGTTTCTTATCCCTCACCCTCAGCCAGCCCTCCCCCTTTCTGAGTCTCCAAAGTCCATTATACCACTCCGAATGTCTTTGAGTACCCACAGCTTAGCTCCTACTTGTAAGCGAGACGACCTGGTACTTGGTTTTCCATTCCAGAGTTACTTCACTTAGAATAACAGCCTCTGGTTCCTTCCACGTTGCTGCAAAAGATATTATTTCATTCTTTTTTTAATGGCTGGGGAGTATTTCATGATGTATATATATCAAATTTGCTTTATCCACTCATCAGCTGACACTTAGGTTGGTTCCCTATCTTTGCAATTGTGAAATGTGCTGCGATAAACATACATATACAGGTGTCTTTTTATATAATGACTTCTCTTCCTTTGGATAGATACCCAGTGGTTTCTACAGTGGTTGTACTAAATTACATTCCCACCAGCAGTGTTTAAGTATTCCCTTTTCATCACATCCATGCCAACATCTATTGTTCTTTGACTTTTTAGTAATGGCCATTCTGGCTGGAGTAAGGTGGTATCTCATTGTGGTTTTAATTTGCATTTCCCTGATGATTAGTGACATTGAGCATTTTTTCATATGTTTGTTGGCCATATCTTCTTTTGAGAAAATTCTATTTAGGTCATTTGCCCACTTTTTGATGAGATTATTTGATTTTTTTTTCTTGCTGATTTGTTTGAGTTCCTTGTAGATTCTGGGTATTAGTCCTTTGTCAGATGCATAGTTTGCAAATATTTTCTCCCTACAGGTTGTCTGTTTACTGTGATTATTATTATTATTTTTGCTGTGCAGAAGCTTTTTACTTTAATTATGTCCCAATTATTTATTTTGAAGTACAACCACTTTGGAAAACAATCTGGTATCATCAAAGTAAAGCTAAACACATATCCTATGACCCAAAAAATTTACTCCTTAGGGGTATACCCAAGAGAAATTTTTACAAACAGGCACCAAGAATCAGGCACAAGAATGTCTAGAGGAGGACTATTTATAATAGAAAAACCGTAACAACCCAAATTTCCATTGACAGAAGAATGTAAAAGTTATGATATATTAATTTATTGGAATATCACATAGCAGTGAAAACAATGAAAATGAACCAGAGCTACAATGAAACATGGATAAATCTCAGGAACATAATGACAAACAAAAAAACGCATGTTGTAAAAGAATACATGTAATCATTTTGTTGGTAAAAAAAATTTCAAAAACATTAAAAATACATTTTTTAAGAAATCAAACATGGAAATGCAAATGAATGATAAACACAAAATTCAGGATATGGAATACCTCTTGGATGAGGGACAAAGAAAAAGGAGCCTTCTGTTTTCACTTGTTTTCCTGGTAATGTTCTTTTTAATAAGTTAGATGGTAGGTATATAGGCATTTACTGTATCATGCTTCTTTAGATCCCGTGGATGATTTGCTGTGTTATTTTGTGTGTGTGTGTGTGTGTGTGTGTGTGTATGTGTGTGTGTGTGTGTGTGTGTGTGTGTGTGTGTGTATCTGTCCACAGTTCCTTGGCTAATAACTCCCCTAGCCTTGTTGCAGTCTCGTTATAGTGTTGGGTGCTTTAGGCCTCAGGAAACAGACTCTCTCCAACCTTCTCCTGCTCTCTTCCTTTCACCCTACCTGAAGGCAAGTGTCTAACCCCCACCTTTGTGATGTGGGTCATAAGACTCTCATTCCAGAGAGGGTCCCACCCCATATACCCTGAAGGAATGAAGATTCCATAAAAACCCAAGAGGATTGGGTTCAGAGAGTTTCCAAATAGCTAGCTGAACACTGAACTCATGGAAGCTTGGCATCCCTTCCCCAATACCTTGCCCTATGCATCTCTTCATCTGTATCCTCTGCAATATCCTTTATAATAAACTAGTAAAATAAGTATTTTCCTGAGTTCTGTGAGCTGCTCTAGCAAATTAACCAAACCCAAAGAGGGGGAGCCATGAGAACCCCAACTTGAAGCCAGTCAAGTTTTAAGTTCCGGAGGCCCAAACTCGTGACTGGTGTCTGAACAGGGTGGGAAAGGGGCAGCTTCGAGGACTAAGCCCTCTATCTCTGGGATCTGACACTATATCCAGTCAAACAGTGTAGGAAATGAACTAAAGGACACCCAGTTGGTGTCCACTGCAGAAATGATTGCTCGCTTGGTGGTGAGGAGAAACCCCCATAGGTTTGGTTACAGAAATCATCTGTGTTGATGACTGTTGTGGTATGAGAACAGAGGGAAAAAAGTTTGAGTTTTTTTCCCAAACATTTACTAATATTTTTATTCTACTCAATATCAAAAACAATTTAGAAAACATACATCGACAGATCCTGACTTTATGGTCCTTAAAACTTTAATTCAAAAGCAATATTAAATTATTCATGTAACAACATTCACATTTTTCTCTATCATTTGTTTAGTGGAGTGAGAAGTTAACAGTATTCTAATAGTCAATCCCATCCCTATTACCAGTTAGTGAAATAATCAGTAATAACATAAATCCCCACTCAGAAGACAAAAAAAAGTTATGACATTTTTAAAACCTAACGGAACTTACATTTACCTATTTTATTGAACGACTAAGCCTGTAACTTGCTGGATAAGACAGGGTTAACCTTCAGAATGTGATGCAAAGATTGGTTTGCGTTTTGTACTTAAATCACAGAAGAATCATTAAACACACATTCAAAACACAGAGAAGTCTCTGTTGCCTCCCACTTTATAATGATAAGGGAAGTTGCTAAAGTTACAATTTCACTTATCATTTATATCCTAACCACTCTTTAAAGGCTTGAGCCTGTGACCCAGATAAATGCCACATTAGCAGATAGCAGACCCCAATTAACAGGGGCTTTTCTTGGTTTGTTGTTTTTTGTTTGTTTGTTTGTTTTTGAGACAGTCTTATTCTGTTGCCCAGGCTGGAGTGCAGTGGCGCAATCTCAGCTCACTGAAACTCCACCTCTCAGGTTCAAGAGATTCTTGTGCCTCAGCCTCCTGAGTAGTAGCTGGGATTACAGGCATGCACCATCACCACCCAGCTAATTTTTGTATTTTCAGTAGAAACGGGGTTTCCCCATGTTGACCAGGCTGATCTCGTAGCAAGATATCTGCCCGCCTCAGCCTCCCAAAGTGCTGGGATTACAGGCATAAGCCACGGCGCCTGGCCTTAACAGGGTTTTTAGAAATGCTTTCCAACAGACATGGCACAGCTCTGGTGTATCAGGAAGAAATCTTTACTGAGCCTTGCAATAAGTCAGGTTACTGGAGATAAAAACAGGAGAGAACTTATTTACAACTTACAAAGCATGAGAAGTTCCATGGGGTCCCTATCCTAGTTTCATCCATAAGGTGCCCCACACACACATGCACACACAATGAGAAAGGCAGGCCTCGTTTACAGAGTGTTTTGAATTGCTCTTTATTCAAACCCAGAGACAAGACTGATACCAATCAAGGAAATCAAAGGAAAAGACTTATAATTGTTGAGCTGGGAGCACTACCTGCCCAAGCATGAATAAAAGAATGCTTCATGTTAAAACTGTGAGGTCAGGCGAAGTTCAGGATCAAGCACAAAGGGTTGTAATTACATTTATATTCCATTACATTAAACATTTGATACAGAATGAAGCTCAACGGTTGCTTTATAAAGTATTTCTGCCTATTTAATATCTATCTAAAAGTGTTTGCTATTGCAGTAATACCAAAGACAATTACAGAAGGAGTTACCGTGCCACTGCTTTTCTTCCGAATATCTAGAGCTGGAATGAGCTTAGCTATGCACTTATGTCTGTCACTCCTATGAAATTTACTAAAACTTAACTAAAATTTTGCAAATATGCTAAACATGAAAAAGATTCACCTTAAAAAACCATGACTAAAACTTGATTTCAATCCACAAACTAAGTGAACAGTATAAGATCACATTTCCTATAGCACTTCAATTTCCAAAAAGGTAACTCAAAGACTGGTATAACTTTTGATTGCCTACCAACCAAATGATGCTCGTTTTTTTGTTGTTGTTGTTTTACAAATTCTACTGTAATGTAGGTATATTTCATGCCAAAACTTCATAGATGACCAGAAGGCCCTCAAACCAACAATAATCCACTAACTACACTGTGAGAACCACTGTTCTGGAAAAGGATATAGAATTAGCTTAGGATAGTTCAATTCTGGGTTCATGTACCAAATCCTGTACCATTATTATACGTTCCTGAGTAAGTCAAAATGATTTAAATTTTCGAGGAATATTTATTGAAGAGTAAACAGAAGGTAAAAAATTGAAAAGAAATTAAATTCAACTATAAGTGAATAAACAAATGACAGTACACCCATAACAGTCTTTATAAAGGATCATGTAAATGTAGCCATGACATGACACTACCAAAACACTGGTTAAGACATTAAGGATGAGAAAATTCTCTAAGATTATATGTATTATGGTTGCCATTTTTGTAAAAACATACACAACTGTGTGCACATGAATAAATACGCAAATATGTTCTTAAGAATACACACCAAAATTTCATAGAAATCATCTCTGGGTAATTGATTATCTTCACACATATTTTCTATTTTTCTACAATAAACAATTTATGAAATTATTTTTGTTTTGTTTTAAAAAGACTCATAATTTCTCTTTACCTCATCCTATCTTTTTGCTTATAAGAAGCTATGGCATTTGTACCTAAACTCAGCTAACTTACAGGAGTGTTTAAGGGTGGTCTGAAGTGACATGAGGAATTTAAAGAAAATCCCTATAAATAAAAACGCACAACATGATAATATCTCCTTTAATGAAGATGAATTCCAGAAACACCCTGCACTGGCAGGAATGTTGTTACTGACAGAGAAAGTTTCAGAGGGCAGGGTTGCATTTCAAAGATACTGCATGTTATAACGGCAATTCCTTCTCTACCTTCTAACTCCAACCTACAAGATGCTCAACAAGACTTTCTTCCAGCCAGGTGCAGTGGCTCACACCTGTATAGACAACACTTTGGGAGGCTGAGGCAAAGTGGAACTCAGAAATTCAAGACCAGCCTGGGCAACACGGTGAAACCCCGTCTCTACCAAAAACACAAAAAATTAGCCAGGTGTGGTGGCTCAAACTGGTGTTCCCAGCTACCTGGGAGGCTGAGGTAGGAGGATCACTTGAGCCTGGGAGGTGAAGGTTGCAGTGAACCAAGATCACGCCACTGCACTTCAACCTTGGGTTGACAGAGTAAGATCCCAACTCAAAAAAAAAAAAAGAGAGAGAGAGAAGAAAAACTGTCTTGTTATTTAAAAAAAAAAAAAAAAAAGACTTTCTTCCTGGATTCAGTTAATCATGTTACCTACCACTTCTTTTAAAGAACCTATTATTGGATTTGTCAAAAATGTTCATAAACAAGTAACATTTCCCCTCAAAGATTTTTAAGCCTTCCTTGGTACTGATTTTAATAACATTACATATGAGGTTATATGCACAATAAGGCCCAAATTTACTATATGCTCTACTAGGCACCCTGGATGCTCTCTTAGTCACCTTCTGCTCAACTCCATTGAAGAGGATGCTTCATTAAGCAAAGGAGGGGACTTACCCAAGGTCATGGGAGCAAAATCCAGGTCTCCTTCCACTTACACTATGCTTACTACCTTTTATGCCTTATAAATATAAATAGTTACAGATCACTCAGGTCCCTCCCAGCTGATCCTCTAACCAGAGGAGACAGCAACTGCCCTATGCTATTCACAAAGTTAAACATCAGCTAAAAAACTGAAAAGTAACTAAATTCAACCATAAGCAAATAAATGAGTGTATCAACAATATACTATACTATTCAGTGTTTACAAAGGATAATGTAAATACAGAATTTCTTTGTTTTCCATTGCAAGCCCACTGATGTCTTTTCTTTCATGTAAGGAAATGAGGGCCTACTGTGGGCAAGGCACTTTGGAAAATACAAAAATGAGTAAAACACACCCTCTGTCCTCAAAAAATTCTTACACACAAATGAAAAAGACATACATAAACTATTAAATAGGAAGGAAAACTTCTATTAATAAACACAATCGAACATCAAGAACTCTTGGAAAACTCAATTTTCAAGTAAAACTGGTTGTACTCCTCTAAAGAACAAAAGCTTTCCTTAAAATCAAACATCCTAGGCTGGCACAGTGGCTCATGCCTGTAATCCTAGCACTTTGGGAGGCTGAGGTAGGCGGATCACGAGGTCAGGAGTTACAGACCATCCTAGCTAACACGGTGAAAGCCCGTCTCTACTAAAAATACAAAAAAATTAGCCAGGCGTGGTGGTGCGCACCTGTAATCTCAGCTACTGGGGAGGCTGAAGCAGCAGAATCGCTTGAACCCGGGAGGCAGAGGTTGCAGTGAGCCGAGATCACACCACTGCACTCCAGCCTGGGTGACAGAGCAAGACTCGGTCTCAAAAAAAAAAAAAAAAAAAATTAAGCATCCTAGATAAAATATTTCTACTTTCCTAAACATAAAACAGTATAACAATAAAAAGAGCTAACATTCATTAAGTTTACTAATATGCTAAGAGCTTTACATACTTTGGATTTAGTCTTCATCAAAACCCTGAGATAGGTATTATTAATAGCCCCATTTTAAAAAGATACAGCTGAAAAAGAGAGGTTATTTGCCCAAGTCACATAACTAGTAAATGATGGAGCTGTGATTCAAACACAGCAGTATACCTCTCTATTTTGATGCATTTATCCATTAATTCAAACATTTAATGGCCACCTACTGCATACAGAGCATCATACTGGGAAATGAGAACAGGGCAGTGAACAAGATAGGATCATTCATGAAGTTCACCTTCCGACTAAAAAACAGACATTCTCGGCCGGGCATGGTGGCTCACGCCTGTAATCCCAGCACTTTGGGAGGCCAAGGAGGGTGGATCACCTGAGGTCAGCAGTTCGAGACCAGCCTCAACATGGAGAAACCCCATCTCTGCTAAAAATACAAAATTAGCTGAGCGTGGTGGTGCATGCCTGTAATTCCATCTACTTGCGAGGCTGAGGCAGGAGAACTGCTTGAACCTGGGAGGCGGAGGTTGCGGTGAGTCGAGATCGCACCATTGCACTCCAGCCTGGGCAACAAAAGCGAAACTCCGTCTCAAAAAAAAAAAAAATCCTCATTTTTCTAACAGGTGAGGTAATCATAGATTGCACAAAAGGTCATAAAGGAATAAACAAGGTGGTGTGACAGAGTAACTGGGAATGCCTTACTTCTGTTAATGGTGTGATAGAAAGGCCTCTTGCAGTTTTGTTCTGTTTGTTCCCAAAGACAAGCTGGCCAGACAGCCAGGCCAGGGACCAGAGCAGTAGAAAGAAAGACCTCCTAGTGATCACAGAAGTGTTAAGGAAAATCCCTAATTTCTTCTTTTTGGTTTTTTGTTTTGTTTTGTTTTTGTTTTTTTCTTGAGACGGAGTCTTGCTCTGTTGCCCAGGATAGAGTGCAGTGGTGCAACCTCGGCTCACTGCAACCTCCACCACCCAGGTTCAAGTGATTCTTGTGTCTCAGCCTCCTGAGTAGCTGGGACTACAGGCGTGTGCCACCACGCCCAGCTAATTTTTGTATTTTTAGTAGAGACAGGGTTTTGACATGTTGCCCAGTCTGGTCTCAAACTCCTGACCTCAGGTGATCCACCCGCCTAGGCCTCCCAAAGTGCTGAGATTACAGGTGTGAGCCACCATGCCCAGCCAAGCCCATATTTCATCACAGATGTATAAAGCGCTTAGAATAAGTTACAGTGACTTGATCAAGGTCTCAAGCTGGGATTGGGGGAACAGCTGTGATTTCAGAAGACAGGTGACACTTCGGAAAGGAAAGAATGTAAACATAGCCTTTGGCTAGAGCAAGAGGCTCAGAAGAGGGGCCCTGAATGTGGGGCTGGAATCCTGAAAGCAATGAGGGATACGCATAATCAGACTGCGGGAAAAATAACTTCTGTACAAAAGGTTTTGTTTGATAGGGTTTTTTGTGGGCGTTTGTTTGCAAGGGGAGGAATTACAGTAGAGAAATAAATTAAGAGAGTATGACAACTGATTTGGTGGGAAATTTTAAAAGCTGACCATAGGAGGTGGTAACAGAAATGAAGAAAAAGAGACAGTTGGGACAGCCACTCTGGGAATATTTGAGTGCATGTCTAACAGTGATACCAGAAATATACCTGCAGAATCCAACATGTAAATACCTCCAATCCTAACACACGGAATAAACCCTAGATGTTTTGTTTTCACAAATTTGTCTAGCATTTTTCCACAAACCCCAGTGATTCACCTTCTTTCTACCTGTTTCATGAATGTGGTTTCACACTACCTTTTTAAAATCTTAACAGAAGATTGTAATACATATTAATTCAAAATGCCACCTACTTTTAAAGTTATTCTACTCAGATGGTACAACTGTCAAAAGCAAACACTGTTTCTTAATTTCAGGTCCCACACAGGCCACAACAAGATAGAATTTGGGAATTTTAAAGAATCTAAAGGACGTGTACTAGGTCTAACATGAGTAATGCTCAACATGTTAAACCTAGTACAGGTCCTTTAGATTGTTCGGTAATGCTATTTTTAGATCAAGCAACACTCCTCCACGTGCAAGTTTTTCCAAATTATACTAACAAGGTCAAGGATCATATCCTATCTAAAAACAAGACTGTATAACACAGCTAAGACCTTTTGCAATCGCTTATCTACAAATATTGTGACGTAAAGATTGTATTTATTTATATCTTTACGTTTTTATGTTTTATGTTGGAAAACACTTTTATTATTTGTATTGTGTTCATATATCTGCCTTCATTCTTATTCATATTTTTATTTATGGCAGAGTTAAATCGTACTAGAATCCTTTAAAAAATAAAGGACTTTACATTATAACAGCATTTCACGTTCCTTGGATAATCTGGGTCTCAGAAGAAGCTTGTGAAACTTACAAAGAAAGCTATAATCATCCCCTCTGTACAGTGTAACACTGGAACTCAGAAAGATTAAGTAACTTTACTAATTCAAGATCGCACAATAACTGGCAAGGGCAGGGCCCCAATCAGGCCTTCTCTTTATTCCGGCTCTCCTCCCCACAGGACGCTACCAATTTAATATTTGAATATTCATGTGCCTCTCTTCACTAAACCTGGACTGTAACTAAGAGCCATACTATTGCCGCCCAGCCCTCATCCTGGGTCTCGAAATGCAGCAGCAACACTAGTACTCTTCAGTAAACAGAAACACGAGCACACGCTTCAGTCTGGACCCCATTCAACGCTGGGTTTGCTCTACTGCACAAAACTTAAAATACACTACAGCATTCACGCCTAACCCTCAATGGAACTGTCCTTTTCACTCTGGGAAATTCAGTCACAGGTGACTCATCCCGTTAGCTTACAGTTTTGTAAATTAATAATTTTATATACCGAAAGAAAAGAATGAATTACACAGACCTCTCCCTTCCCCACCCCCAAAGTTGCTTAAGTGTCAAAGCACGGTAGTAAAGCACAAAGAAGTGGGGCTGGAGCTAGCTAGCGTTCCTCCTCTCTGCGACTCCGACGGTCCTCGGGCCACCCATCTCTCAGAGCCCGGCAGGTAGCTTCAGCCCCCCACCCCGCAGGGACCCGACGGACGGCCCGGCGCCTCCAGCGCCCAGACCCGAGCCCCGCCGGTGCTGCGGATGTGGAGGCTCGCGACGCTCGGGCTGCCCTCCTTCCCGGCGCCGCTACCTGCCTCCGGCAGCCCGCACACCTGGCGGCCCCCGCCCCAGCGCGGGGAACCGGCCCCAGAACGCGGAGGTCTAGCGCGGCCACGCGACCCCGCACAGCCCGCTTCCGCCCCAGCCCACATGGCCGCGGCGGGTGGCGCCCCCGCCCCCGCGTGAGCCCAGCGCGGTTCCCGAGGACCCAGGGACCCCAGGAGGCAGGAGGGGGCGGTGGCGACGCGGGTGGGGGGAGGAGGAAACGCGGCCGGGGGGAAGAGGAGGAGCGCGTCCCGACTCGCCGCAAGGGCGGGAGGAGCCAGCAGGGGAGAAGCGAGGAGGGGTCCCGCAGCGGCGGCATATCCGCGGGGCAGCGGGCGCCTACCTGCGAGCAGAAGTACGAGCCCTGGATGCCCAGCTTGATGCAAGTGGGACACTGGAGCTTGGCCTCACTGCTGCAGCCGTCTGTCTCGCACACCCGCGTCTCCACGGCCGCCATGCTGCCTGCCCGCTGGAAGAGCGCCTCACCGAGGAAGAGGCGGCGGCGGGAGGGAGGAACTGCCGGGCGGAGGGGAGGGGAGAGAGACCGAGTCGGGGGAGGAGCTGGGCCCGCCGCTGGCCTGGGCGCGGGAGGGGGAGGAGCCAGGGCCGGCCGGGACCACGCAGCGCGCCCCGCCCCGGCCCCGCCCCCGCCCCGCGCGCGCAGCTGGTGCCCCGCCCCGCCGGCTTCGCCCCGCCCCCCGCCGGCGGTGCCTGCGTGCCCAAGCCTCCCGGCGGCGCGCACATTGGGGCTGTAAGGGAGCTCGGCAGGGCCCCCCCATTCGGCGCCTTCGGGCGTCGGCCAGCAGAGAACGCGACCTGCCGGCGCCTGACGGTGAGGAGCCGCCCTCTCGCGGCGCACTCTCTGTGCCTACAGTCAGATAAGACAGTCGTCTTCACTGACGAACACCCAGGAGCCCTGATCATCCCCGACACCCGCAGGAGGCTAGAGAGGGCGCTGCGCTCCTCTGCGTTGGATTCCCCCGCCGCTCCTTGGAGAACAGTCCCTTGGGTTAAGTTCTGTTTCTCACTGACATTGTCGGGTCTGAGGCCTAAGGACCACCGCTCATTCACAGAAAGGAGAGCCATAGAGCTGTCAACGGGACGGTGGGCTGGGATTCACATCTGCCCTCCCTCCTGCCAGACTTTTTTTTTCCACACACCACCACCTCCCCTTCAAAACCGATAGTGCTAGTAATAGTAACACAACTGTCAGGTATTCAATACAAATAATTTTTTTGTATAATCCCAGTTGATTGCTTCAGCAGTAAATAGGGGAGAATTGTGCTGATCCTGAAATGTCAGAGTCGAAAGAAGCTGTAAAGGCCTTCCCCTGCGAACCTGTTGCTTCAATCTTTTCAGCTGTATTCCAGGTCGGTTGTGTTGTAACTCATGCTTGAGTGCCTCCTTGTCACTAGGGAAGAGCGAAAAACTAACATTTACTGATCACAAAAGGCTGTGAACTTTGTTATTGTATTTTTTTAACTTCTCCGTACTTAATACACCAGAAAAGCTCATACTACTTTTATTTTTAAGAACTTTGTTTTGGCTAGGAGCGGTGGCTGACGCCTGTAATCAATCCCAGCACTTTGAGAGGCCAGGGCATCCAGGGCACCAAGGCCAGCGGATTCTTTGAGGCCAGGAGTTCGAGACCAGGGTGGAAATATGGCAAAACCCCGTCTCTACAAAAACTAAAACTAAAAACTAAAAAATTAGCCGGGCATGGTGGCAGGCGCCTGTAGTCCCAGCTACTGAGGAGGCTGAGCTGGGAGGATCTGTTGAACCTGAGAAGTCAAGGATATGGTAAGCTATGATCCTGCCACTGCACTCCAGCCCAAACGGCAGAGCAAGACCATGTCTCAAAAAAAAAAAAACTTAGTTTTGCAATATAAGCAGTAAAAATGATGTAATAAAATCAAGTAATAGAAATGTTTACATGCATACATACATATACTTTTGTATACAAGAAAAAAATCAATAAGTATGTATGTATGTATAAAATATTTTTTAAATAAAAACTGCACCATACCATATAAAGTAATTTACTTACCTGATTTCTTCAGTTACTATGATGTCAACTTTTTGTTTGTCGTTTGGTTTTTCTTTGAGACAGCATCTCATCCTGTCAACCAGGCTGGAGTGCAGTGGTGCTCACAGTGAGAGGTGACAGCGAGGTGACAGCATGCTGGCAGCCCTCGCAGCCCTTGCTTGCTCTCGGTGCCTCCTGGCCTCAGCTCCCATTCTGGCCGTGCTTGAGGAGCCCTTCAGCCGCCGCTGCACCGTGGGAGCCCTTCTCTGGGCTGGCCGAGGCCAGAGACGGTTCCCTCAGCTTGTGGTAGGTGTGGTGGCAGAGGCACGGGTGGCAACTGCGGCTGCGTGCGTCGCTTGCGGGCCAGCTAGAGTTCCAGGTGGGCGTGGGCTTGGCGGCCCGCACTCAGAGCGGCCGGCCGGCCCCGCCGGCCTCGGGCAGTGAGGGGCTTAGCACCTGGGCCAGCAGCTGCGGAGGGTGCGCCGGGTCCCCCAGCAGTGCCGGCCCACCAGTGCTGTGCTGGATTTCTTGCCGGGGCTTACCTGCCTCCCCACGGGGCAGGGCTCAGGACCTGCAGCCCGCCATGCCTGAGCCTCCCCCGGCCCCACCGTGGGCTCCTGCCCACGTGGCCCAAGCCTCCCCACGAGGGCCACCCCCTGCTCCAGGGCACCCGGTCCCATGGACCACCCAAGGGCTCAGGAGTGTGGGCTTACAGCTCGGGACTGGCAGACAGCTCCACCTGCGGCCCCAGTGCGGGAACCACTGGGTGTAGCCAGCTGGGCTCCTGAGTCTAGTGGGGACTTGGAGAACCTTTATGTCTAGCTAAGGGATTGTAAATACACCAATCAGCACTCGTATCTAGCTCAAGGTTTGTAAACACACCAATCAGCACCCTGTGTCTAGCTCAGGGTTTGTGGATGCACCAATCCACACTCTGTATCTAGCTAATCTGGTGGGGACTTGGAGAATCTTTATGTCTAGCTAAGGGATTGTGAATACACCAATCAGCACTCTGTATCTAGTGCAAGGTTTGTAAATGCACCAATAAGCATCATGTGTCTAGCTCAAGGTTTGTAAATGCACCAATCAGTGCTCTGTGTCTAGCTAATCTAGTGGGAACTTGGAGAACTTTTGTGTCTAGTTCAAGGTTTGTACACGCACCAATCAGCAACCTGTCAAAATGGACCAATCAGCTCTCTGTAAAATGGACCAATCAGCAGGATGTGGGTGGGGCCAGTTAAGGGAATAAAAGCAGGCTGCCCAAGCTAGCAGTGGGAACCCATGGGGGTTACTTTCTGCACCGTGGAAGCTTTGTTCTTTCACTCTTTGCTATAAGTCTTGCTACTGCTCACTCTTTGGGTCCACACTGCATTTATGAGGTGTAAGACTCACCATGAAGGTCTGCAGCTTCATTCCTGAAGCCATCGAGACCACCAACCCACCCGGGAGAACAAGCAACTCCAGAAGTGCCGCCTTAAGAGCTGTAACACTCACCGTGAAGGTCTGCAGCTTCACTCCTGAGCCAGCGAGACCAGGAACCCACCAGAAGGAAGAAACTCTGAACACATCTGAACATCAGAAGGAACAAACTCCAGGCACGATGCCTTTAAGAACTGTAACACTCACGGTGAGGGTCCATGGCTTCATTCTTGAAGTCAGTGAGACCAAGAACCCACCAATTCCGGACACAACAGCTCACTGCAGCCTCAACATCCTGAGCTCAAGTGATGTTCCTGCCTCAGCCTCTGGACTAGTTAGGACTACAGGTACACGCCACCTTGCCCAGCTAATTTTTTAGCTTTTTTGTGGAGACAGGGGTCTCACTATGTTGTCCAGGCTGGTCTTGAACTTCTGGGCTGAAGTGGTCCTGTCACCCCCGCCTCCCAAAGTGCTGGGATTACTGGCACAAGCCACTGCACACAACATTCTTTATTGTCATCAATTATACTTTTACCACATAATTTTAATGTCTGCATAATATTCTATCGTATGGGTAATTTACTGAACCAAATCCACTAATAATGGACATTTAGGTTATTTTAAATTGTTATCTATTATAAACAAGGTTTCAGTGAATATCCGTTTAGCTAAAACTTTACATACATCCTTATTTACTTAGGAGATATATATATATATATATATATATATTTTTTTTTTTTTTTTTTTTTTTTAATAGCAACAGGGTCTCCCTATGTTGCCCAGGCTGGTCTCGAACTCCTGATCTCAAGCCATCCTCCCACCTTGGCCTCCCAAAGTACTGGGATGAGCAGGCATGCAGCCTGCATGCAGGCATGAGGCGAGGAGGTCTTCAGATACAGTCTTAAAAGTGGAATTGCTGCGTTAAGAGTTTTCACTGTCTTTTGTTCTTTATATAGTTTGCCATATTTTTACATATCTCAGTGTAACTCCCTACAAAACGTTTATCATTTAAAAAGGAAAAATAGTAACTTTAAAGTGGAGAGACCTGGGAGATACTCTTTATTGTGATCAAAGTGAAAAATCACCAATAATGTGACAAATAGACATTGTACACCTCTCTATATGAACCATTGAGGAGAATACAGTATTATCTTTTCTAGTGTTCCTGAAAAAAAATGCATAAATGCCTCTAATCATGAGGAAATATCAGACAAACACAAGCTGAAGACATTCTACAATATAATTGACCTATGCTCTTCAAAATGCCAATGTCCCAAAAGACAGATTTGAAGAACTCTTCCAGATTCAAGGAGACTGAAGAGACCTGACAGCTAAATGCAACACATGATCATGGGTTGGATTTTTGGATCAAAAGAAAGAAAGGTTTTTGCTATAAAGGAAATTAGGTTGCGTTGTATCCTTATGAATTCCCTGATTTTGACAATTACACATAGTGGAAGTCAGAAAGAGAAATGAATGATAAGACAAATGTGAGAGAACGTTAAAAATTGGAGAACCTGGGTATAGCAGAGTTTTTTATTTTTTCAATTTGCTACTTTTCTACAGCTTTGAAATTATTTTAAAATAAAAGTTTTAGAAATTCTTCCTCTCAAAAGCAAGTAAATGGTGCTAAAAATTAAAAATTAGAATTAAAAATTCTTCCTAGATGCTCAACTGCAGGATCAAGTCCAATCCAGGCTTTTTGTGTATACCTCCACGTAACTCAGCCTCGTCTCATTATTTTTCATGCCTAGGCCTTGACCATTTAGCAATAGCAAGATGCTCATGTTTTCCTGAACACATAGTGCTATTTCATTCTTCCATGTTCTTATACATGTTGTTTCCTCTGTCTGGATTGCCTTTCCCCACTTGATCTCTTGGTGAAAGTACCATTTCCTTAAGATCCGGCTCTGACATCGCTTCACCCATTAAACTTCTGCTGACCTCCTTAGCTCTACTTAATCAGTGCCTCCTCTGTGCTACCTCTAAACCAAGTACAAAGTGCTATTGTTACAATTGACAATAATTTTAGGTAACATTTATTAAGGACTTAATATATCCTAGGCATATAGTCATGTGTATGACATTCCAACACTTGGGTCAATGACAGAGCACATATACAACAGTGGTCTCATAAGATTTATTATGCCATATTTTTACTGGAACTTTGTATGTTGAGATACATTTAGATACACACATACCACTGTGTTACAATTGCCTACAGTGTTCAGTGCAGTAACATGCTGTACAAGTTTGTAACCTCAAAGCAGTAGACTGCCTGTGCACCACACAGCCAGGCGTGTAGTAGGCTACACCACCTAGGTTTGTGTAAGGACACTTTATGATATTCACACAACCACAAAATCACCTGACAATGCGTTTCTCAGAGCATATCCCCATGGTTAAGCAACACATAACTAGTGAGATGTAAAAGTATAGATACTAGTGCTTTTACTTTTAATCCTCACAACTACCCTATAAGGAAGGTACCAGTAGTAATCCCATTTTTATTTCTGTAGCCCAAGGTCACATAGCCAGTAGGTAACAGAACCTAGAATTGAGCTCAGGTTTCTCAGACTGCAAATCCCATGTTTTTAGCCACTATACTTCATTGCCAGTTTTTCACCTGTGTCTCCTACTAGACTGTGACTTCCTTGTAACAACAGATTTAATTTATTTTTCTCTCTATCTCCAAACCTTAACCCTAGCACAATGCTTGATATATAATAGGTGCTCAATAAATGTTTGGCTGGGCATGGTGGCTCTCACCTACAATCTCAGCACTTTGGGAGGCCAAGGCAGGAGGATCACTTGAGCTCAGGCATTTGGGACCAGCCTGGGCAACATAGCGAGATCTCATCTCTGCCAAAAGTAATTTTTTTTTTTTTGAGACAGTTTCGCTCTTGTTGCCCAGGCTGGAGTGCAATGGCGCAATCTTGGCTCACCGTAACCTCCGCCTCCTGGGTTCAAGCGATTCTCCTGCCTCAGCCTCCCGAGTAGCTGGGATTACAGGCATGTGCCACCACACCCTGCTAATTTTGTATTTTTAGAAGAGACGGGGTTTCTCCGTGCTGGTCAGGCTGGTCTCAAACTCCTGACCTCAAGTGATCCACCCACCTTGGCCTCCCAAAGTGCTGGGATTACAGGCGTGAGCCACTGTGCCCAGCCTAAAAGTAAAATTTTAAAAATTAGCTGGACCTCGTAGTGGTCACCTGTCATCCCAGCTACTTAGGAGGCTGAGGCAGAAGGATCGCCTGAGTCTGGGAAATTGAGGTTGCGGTGAGCTATGCTCACACCACTGCACTGCAGCCTGGGCGACAGAACAAGTCCCTGTATCAAAAATTAAAAATAAAAGTTTTTTCTTCTCAACTTGTTAGCACATTATGTCAAATATGCAAAAAAAAGATTCATGTGTCTGGAGAGAGAAAAAGAGAGAGAATATCTATTCTATCAGTCAGAACTCAGCAACCCAGCAAAAAAACAGATGGCACTCTCAAGCTGGGTAACACCAAATAAATAAAATGGTATTTTTGTGTATTTATTTTAGAGTCAGGGTCTCATTCTGTCCCCTAGGCTGGAGTGCTGTGGCTCAGTCATGGCTCACAGTAACCTCGAGCTTCTGGGCTCAAATAAGATTGTCTCACACTACAAGTACTTACCGCCACTCCCAACTATTTTGTTTTTATTTTTTATAGAGATGGGGTCTTGAAATGTTGCCCAGACTGGTCTCCAGTTCCTGGCCTCAAGCCATCCTCCCATCTCAGCCTCCCAAAGTGATGGGATTACAGGTGCAAGCCACCATGTCCAACTACAGTCTCTTCTTTTTCTTTGTCCCCTTCTCTGTTCCTTAATTCAGGATGGCTATAGTCTCGATTAAACTCTTCATTCTTTTCAAATTACCTGTAATCCCAGCACTTTGGGAGGCTGAGGCAGGAAGACAGCTTGAGGCCAGGAGTTCCAGACCAGTCTGGGCAATATAGCAAGACCCTCATCTCTTTAAAAAATAAAAGGCCGGGTGCAGTGGCTCACGCCTGTAATCCCAGCACTTTGGGAGGCCGAGGTGGGCGGATGTTCGAGACCAGCCCAGACAACATGGTGAAACCCCATCTCTACAAAAATTATCCAGGCATGATGGTGGGTGCCTGTAATCCCAGCTACTGGGGAGGCTGAGGTGGGAGAATCGTTTGAACCCTGGAGGCGGAGGTTGCAGTGAGCCAAGATCGCGCCATTGCACTCCAGCCTGGGCGACAGAGCGAGACTCCATCTAAAAATCATAATAATAAAAATTAAAATTAAAAGAAATTAAAAACAAATAGTTAAAATTAGCCACAGGTGGTAGCATATGCCTTTAGCTTCAGCTCCCTGGCATTGCTTGAGCCCAAGAGTTCAAGGCTGCAGTGAGCTATGATCCAGCCACTGCACTCCAGCTTGGGTGGCAGGGTTTCGGAAAACTGTAAGGAATGGTGTAGTAACTGAGTGTTAACAATAGGACATTTCCATTTCTGGCCCTGCAGGCACAAGGGGACTGGGCAATTACCAAAACTCACAGTGGGCTGGGTAGAGAGGGCCTCCAAACAGGAGATGTGACCTCTGCTTAAGAGACCTGGCCAGCCCAAAGTCATCCTAAAAAGTCAGGAAGCTGAGACTTCATTCTCTTCCACCTTATGATCTTCTGAAAGCTGGGACAAGGAGCCCATTGATCCTATAGAAGACCACACAAGTCAGCCTCTCAGGACAGAGGGCAGAAATGAGAAGGTAGAAAACAGATTCAGACGGACAAAAGGAAGATAATCCAGAATAATGTAATATTCACCACCCAGCTTAAGAATGAAATATGGCCAATACAGTTGATCTCCTCAGCATAACTCTCTCTGATTGCATCGGCCTTCTTCTCTTCTGCAGAGTCACTATCCTAAATTTGGTGTTTATCATTCCCATGAAGACCTTAAACCTTTGTCATGGCATTATACTCTGTACTCTTCATTCTTGCCTTCATTATTCTTCATCATGATTGTGAGATTCATCCTTGAAATTAGGGATACTTGAATCCCTAATTTCTTTATTTTCCCTACCATATAATTTTCTGTTCTCTGAATATATCACAATATGTGCATTCTCTTACGAATGGATATTTAAATCTTTGTTTTCTGTATTTTGCCCTTACAATCAATGCTTCCATGAATAGACTTACACTTGTGTGGAATACATTATTTTAAGACATAAAATTGAATAATGGAATTTTCTAACAAGGATTAGCACTTTCCTTGCTCTGTCATATCCTCATACTTGAGAATCATTGTGAGTAATGGGTTGGGAGCCAGAAAACTGATTGATTTGTCTAGTTCGTAATTCCTTGTCTCATACAAGACACTTAAAATCTTTGAGCTTTTGTTTCCTTATCTGTAAAATATTGTTATAAAAATTGGGCCAGGCACGGTGGCTCATGCCTGTAATCCCAGCACTTTGGGAGGCCAAGGCAGGTGGATCACCTGAGGTCAAGAGTTCGAGACCACCCTCGGCAACATGGAGAAACCCCCGTCTCTACCGAAAATAAAAAAAAAAAAATAGCCAGGTGCGGTGGCATGCACCTGTAATCCCAGCTACTCGGGAGGCTGAGGCAGGAGAATCGCTTCAACCTGGAAGGCAGAGGTTGCAATAAGCCGAGATTGCACCACTGCACTCCAGCCTGGGCAGCAGAGCAAGTCTCCAACTCAAAAAAAAAAAAAAAATTAAATGAGTTGGTGCCCATGAAAGCACTGTGTAAACAGTAAAGCACCATGCAAATGTAAGTTGTCACTGTTTATTGTGTGCCACCCCTTTTATAAGGTATCTCCTGTGAGAGGAGGAATCATGTCTCTTATTTGTTTCCTGTTGCATCCCTAGTACCCAGAATAAGGCTGGCACAGAATAGACATTGCATTTGTATTAATCAGGGAAGACTCATGGCTGTAACAAACAATCTCAAAACTTTTGGGAGCTTAAGAAAATCAAAATTTATTTCTCTCTTATGTCACAGTCAGCTATAGGCCAGCCAGGGAAACCCTACCTTAGCAAAGATCTCAGATCCATCTTGTGGCTCCACCAACTCCAAAGTGCTTGGAGTCCCCACCCGAGGAGAGGCTGGCACATGAATGTACAGAATTGTGCATGAGATTTGACAGGCCAAACCTAGGAGTGATGTATTTCACTCTACTCCATTCCATTGTCCAGAATTCAGTCAATGACCACATCTTATTCTGAGGATTGCTAGAAAATGTAGTTCAGCTGTGGCCTTAGGAATAAAACAAAATTGGTTTGATCAACATCTAGCCAGTCTTTGCTACAACAATTGATAAATATTTATAGAATAAATACATCAATAAATGAATAAAATATACATATCTAAATGTAGCCTATATTCCTTTTGGTTTGGTTTTTTAGCTTCTCAATAACGCCTTAAACTTGAATTTGCATCAGCTAAAATGCCTAAAGCATTTTCACTATTTGCTGTTAAGGCCCCACTGAGAGAATAGTAGTTTCCCAAAAGTCCCATTTCCGGCTGGGCATGGTGGCTCATCCCTGTAATCCCAGCACTTTGGGAGGCCAAGGCAGGAAAATGGCTTAAGTCCAAGAGTTCAAGACCAGCCCAGTCAACATAGGGAGACCCCCATTTTTACAAATAATTTTAAAAATTAGCCAGGCATAGTGGCATATGCCTGTAGTCCCAGATACAGGGGAGGCTGAATCAGGAGGATTACTTGAACCCTGGAGGTTGAGGCTGCAGTGAACTATGATCGGGCCATTGCACTCCAGCCTGGCTGACAGAGTGAGACCCCCAGCTCAAAAAAAAAAAAAAAAAAAAGTTCCATTTCCCAGGATGGATTTGGAGAAATTTGTAACCAAATGCTGCTGTTTCCCCATTACTAGGCCCATTCTCTAGTATGGGCCTCACGGACTAGACCCATTCTGTGATAATGTTGTGACAGCATCTACCTTCCTTAAGAGGCAGAGCCAAAAGTTCTTTTTCTTGAAATTTTGCTTCCAAAATCTCACTTGGATTGTTCATAATATGTTTCTGTTGGCCAAGAAACTAACTTTTTCTATTTCATTCTGAAGCAAAAATGGCCCCACTTGAGGTTTTGCTCTTATTCCACCTCAATCTTCTTCACAGGTGGGCAGCCCTGGATCAAGTGAATGTTAAAACTTCTGAAGTCAGGCCTTCAGAGATCTGGAGCTTCAACCTTAACCCCTCTTAGAACATTCTTTCTCAGTAGGTACCCAACAACCATATAAGACTTTTGCATAGAGGTCACATTTCTTTTCTTTGTCTTGTATGGATAGCTGCCTAAAAATTTGATTTTGGGGGAATTAGAGACATAAATAAGAAAAGTAAACAATATAGCTTCTAGATGATAACACTGGACAGTATCTCACAACCTTATGGAAGGTAATGATTCCTTAAAGAGGACAGGAAAACTTCATTTATTGAAGCCCACCCTTTCCCCGCTGCTCTGCAGACCATCTTTGTCTTATATCAAGTAACCATATGTGAGTGGAGTCATGTCTTAACATTCTATATTATTCTATTTGGCTATCCCTTGCCTCTATACAATACAGCCTTATTTACTGTAGCTTTATAATAAGTTTTGCTATCTGAAAGAGCAAAGCCTCACATTTAGTTCTTTTTCCAAGATAGTTGCAGTCCTTAACACCAAGGGAGGCTGAGAGTGTAAGAGCTCAAGAGGAAAGAGTCCGTACAGGGGTGGGATCCATGCAGCTCAGAATAGACTGTCAGAACCTACACAAGATGTGGAGAGGGTCCATGCAAGGAAATAGCTCAGCACTGAGGCTGACTGCCAGAGCCTAACACACACCTCACCTTGCTCAGGTTCCAACTCCCACCCTAGACTGCCTCTCTTTGGGAATTCCCTTTTCATCTTGGTCAGGCTGTAATACTCAGTATCAAGAGGGTGTCTCCCTGAAGGGGATGGCCTGGAGTAGGATGTCAGAGCCTCAGAACAATGATGTGCAGATGTCTCTGCAGTGTAAGGGTCCAGGCTGGGATGTTATAACCTGGGTATGGTGAGAAGAGCATTACCACTGAGGGACAGCCTGGCAAGGGGAGTCATCCGCCAAGTGTGATGAGAAGGGTGCCCACAAAGGAGGAGGCTCAGGATGAAAAGTCAGTGCCTGGTGGGGTCAGGAGGGTGTCCTCCAGGGGTGAACCAGCATGGGAGTCAGAACCCTAGTGCAGTAAGGAGGAGTCCATTGGGAAAGGGGCAGGCATAGGGTGTCAGAGCCAAAGCCATATGAGGAAGTCATCAATTAGAAAGGAGAGACCGTAGACCAGGCATGGTGGCTTACACCTGTAATCCCAGCATTTTGTGAGGCCGAGGTAGGTGAATTGGTCCCAGCTACTTTGGAGGCTGGAGCGGGAGGATTGCTTGAGCCTGGGAGGTGTAGGTTACAGTGAGCCAAGATCACGCCACTGCACTCCAGCCTGAGTAACAAAGTGAGACCCAGTCTCAAAAAAAAAAAAAGAGAAAAGAAAGGAAAGGGAAGACTAATGTGGGATGAAATAAGCCCCGGTCTGTCGTAGCCCTCCCAGGCTTATTAGGACAAGGAAATTCCCGCCTAATAAATTTTGGTCAGACTGGTTGTCTGCTCTCAAACCCTGTCTCCGGATAAGATGTTATCAATGACAATGTGTGCCCGAAACTTCATTAGCAATTTTAATTTTGCCCCGGTCCTGTGGTTCTGTGATCTCGCCCTGCCTCCATTTGCCTTGTGATATTATATTACTTTGTGAAGCATGTGATCTCTGTGACCCACACGCTATTCACACACTCCCTCCCCTTTTGAAAATCGCTAATAAAAACTTGCTGGTTTTGCGACTTGGGGGGGCATCACGGAACCTGCCAACATGTGATGTTCCCCCAGACACCCAGCTTTAAAATTTCTCTCTTTTGTACTCTGTCCCTTTATTTCTCAGACCGGCCGACACTTAGGGAAAATAGAAAAGAACCTACGTGAAATATGGGGAGTGAATTTTCCCAATAATCAAAGAATTGTGGGGACACGTAAAACAAACAAGTATACAAAAGAACCAGAAAAGTATGCTTGATGAAGTTCCCACAGTCAAAATCACAGAGAATATTAGCTCCAAAATAAATAATGATAGCAATAGATTACGGCCTGTTGAAATAGGCTGTGATTTCATACTAATAGTAAATGATGAAGCATACTGATATAAAATGATAAATGAATAAACTGACGGTTTAATGAGAAACAGAATATTTACATAATCCCAAAGTACTTCCCCACAAAATCCTTATTAATTATAATGGGAAAAGTAATTTGAGTTGATAAGCCAGGCAGACACCACCTTAATCAAGTAATCAAAGTAAACAATATCAGCAATGGGACAAATTGAAATTGTGCTCTCCACATGATAGGCTGCAATAAAATGAATGTAGCATGACTTCTGTGATGCCCCTCCCAAAAATGCATAACCTGAATCTAATTATGAGGAAACATCAGACAAACTAAAATTGAGGAACATTATACAAACATGCCTTATAATTTTCAAAAGAGTTAAGGTCATGAAAATAATGGAAAGATTAAGGAAATGTTTTTGGATTTGTTATGGACTGAATGTTTTGTGTCGCCCTCCCCAAATTCATATGTTGAAATTCTAACTCCCAATGAGATGCTATTAGGAGGTGAGACCTTTGGGAGGTAATTAAGTCATGAAGGTGAACTCCTGAATGAATGAGATTCGTGCCTTCATAAAAAAGAGACAGGAAGGCTTGCTTCTTCTCTCTGTCTCTCTCCCTCCGCCACCCCATATGAAGATACAGCAAGAAAGCAGCCAGTAAACCAGGAAGGATGTCCTCATCAGACATCAGATCTGCGGGTGCCTTGATTTTGGATTTCTCAGCCTCCTGAATTGTGAGAAATAAATGTTGATTGTTTAAGCCATTCCATCTGAACTAAGACAGGGCTGAAGGACACTAATGAGACGTGATGATTAAAATTAAGACACGGTTCTGAAATTGATCCTTTTGCTCTAAAGGATATTATTCCAACATTTGGTGAAACTTGAATGAGGTCTGAGGATTAGATGGTAGTAATGTACCAATGGTAATTGATTTTTTTCATAGTGTTTTTCCTGATTTTTTTAGTAGTGTTTAGCTATATAGGAGAATGTCCCAGTTGTAGAAAATATACTCTGAAGTATGAGGAACTGATGGGGCATCAGGCTGGCAATTTACTCTCAAACCGTTTAAGAAAAAGTAATTTTTGTACTATATTTACAACTTTTCTGTAAGTTTCAGATTGTTTCAAGAAATGTTGCCTACCCAATGCAAGATATTTATAAAATAATGCCTTATGTATGCTAACTTAATGCATTTTTCTAATGTATAGTACAATAAACTATTTTTTTAATGATGGGCAGAGCCATTGCCTGACCCACAGATGTTGCAAAAATTGTCTGACCTATTCTGAGGAGATAGTTTGACCTTGATTGAAATGTTTCAATTTTAGCACATGCATATTTTAATTCTACTAAAAAATAGTTTTTACAATTAAGAAACAAATGTTATATACTTGTACATTCATTTTTGGATGTCTATGTGCACAGAGTAACAAAATAACAGAAGAACAGGGTTGCACAAATGCACATTTCAGCTGTGAGCTACATAAAACATATCTCTGTGTGCCTATACTCAATATTCATGGGGTCATTGAACAGTAGATATGGTAAATTGCATCTCCAATAATGGTTCTTACCAAGGAATTGCAATAGAATTAGCACGCTTTGCTGCAGACTCTCTAAAAGTCAGTATTTCCTTTACTGTATTGCCATTGAGTGCCTTTCCAGAATATGCTTTTTAAATTTTCTTTAAAAAACAGATTATGACAGGCTGTTTATAATTCTGAACAAAGGCATCTTGTTCTTATTAAATTATAAAGAACTAAATGCATTTTAATAGTTGTTTTGATTAAATTATATGAATAACAAAATTTCTATTAGTCTTAAATTACCAATGTGTATGTGGAATCATCATCGGGGAAAAGAAACTCCCATACCTGTCTTACACATAAATACATGATTCTTAAAATATTTAAAATATGAAATTTGCATTTAAAACCATATCAAAAATGGATTTTCAATAAATATTAGCTGATAAACATCTGTTAGTGATTTTTTGTTGTTTTTTTTTTTTTTTTTTTTTTTGGAGACAGAGTCTTTCTCTGTTGCCCAGGCTGGAGTGCAATGGCATGATCTCAGCTCACTGCAACCTCTGCCGCCTGGTTTCTAGCAATTCTCATGACTCAGCCTCCTGTCCTGCATAGCTGGACAGGAGCACCCACCACCCCAGCTAATTTTTTTGTATTTTAATGGAGATGAGATTTCACCATGTTGCTCAGGGTTGTCTTGAGCTCTTGAGGTCAGACAGGTGTGAGCCACCACCCCCTGCCTTATTAGTGCTTTTAAGAGGATGATTTTCTCACTTTGTAAAGAACATCTAGTAGATACAGCAAACTAAGAAAAATAACAAAGAATATTTCTTTTCTTGTCTTTTTTTTTTTCTTTTGAGATGGGGTCTCACTCTGTTGTGCCCAGGCTGGAACACAGTAGCACAATCATGGCTCACTGAGGCCTCGACCTCCCCAGGCTCAGGTGATCCTCTCATCTAAGCCTCTCAAGTAGCTGGGACTACAGCCATGCATCCTCACACCCAGCTAATTTTTTGAATTTTTTGTAGAGATGGGGGTTTCACCATGTTGCCCAGGCTGGTCTTAGACTCCCAAGCTCAAACAATTCACCCTACTCAGCCTCCCAAAGTACTAGGATTACAAGCGTGAGCCACCACACCCAGCCAATATGTCTTTTATAATAGCAATTTTTAAAATACCAACGAGTAGCTTGTTGAGAAATGGGTTAATATCAAGATGAAAACATTTAGAAAACTTTATTGAGAGACTTAAATAAATGGAAGGACACATATTTATATACAGGAAGACAAATTTTTCAAAAAATGTCGGTTTGAGGCTGGGCACAGTGGCTAATGCCTGTAATCCCAGCACTTTGGGACACTGAGGCAGGTGGATCACCTGAGGTCAGGAGTTCGAGATCAACCTGGCCAACAAGGCGAAACCCCATCTCTACTAAAAATACAAAAATTGGCCAGGTGTGGTGGCGTGGGCCTGTAGTCCCAGCTACTCTGGAGGCTGAGGCAGGAGAATCACTTGAACCCAGGAGGCGGAGGTTGCAGTGAGCCGAGCTCATGCCACTGCACTCCAGCCTGGGTGACAGAGCGAGACTCTGCCTCAAAAGAAAAGAAAAGAAAAGAAAAGAAAAGAAAAGAAAAAAAAGAAAAGAAAAAAATATTGTCGGTTTGTCCCAAGTTAATATATAGGTTAGTTACAACTACAAAACCAGTGAGAGATATTATTTTGTTAATTGTATTGAAATAATTAAAATAATTTTTTGAATAAGGCAAGGATAGCCACAAAATTATGGAAGAGACATAAATTAAATGAAAAGCCTAATTCTACCATATAGAGATGCTACCATAATAATAATATAGTCCCAAGGGACAAAACAGTCTAGAAAGCAGAGTGGGAAAAATAAGAATATCTGAGTTCAAGTTCTTCTCTCTCTCCTTTTTCTTTTTCTTTTTTTTTTTTTTTTTGGTAGAGAGGAGATCCTGCTTTGTTGCCCAAGCTGGTCTCAAACTCCTGGGCTCAAGCTATCTTCTTGTCTCAGTCTCCCAAAGTGCTAAGATTACAGGTGTGAGCCACCATGCTTGGCCAGAGTTCAAGTTCTAATTCATCTGCTTTGCAGTTAGTTTCTCCCTATCCTCTCCAATATACGACAATTTCTTCATATGTGATGTCTAATGAAAATACTACAAATTCATGTGAAAGGGAAGAATGATCAAATAATTTTAGAAAAATTGGTTAACAATTTGGAAAAAATCTTGATGAAAGAGCAAAAGTAAAAAAATTAAAGATAACAAGATTGGCCAAAGAATAACTAAAATAAATAAAATCAGCATTTTCTAAAATTCTATTTAAAAATTATTAAAAATGGAAGAATATGTCCAAAATTCAACTTTATCATGTATTTAGTGAGCACCTACAACATTCCAAGCACACTGTTCTAGGTTCTCGAGATACATCAGTAAGCAGTAGACAACATAGAATTTATGTTTTTGAAGGTTCAGACAATAATCAAATAAATATCAGGAGTAGATAACTACTATCAAGAAGAAGAACATACAGGCTTATAAATAGACATAAATCAGTGGGATATAATTGAGAGTTCAGAAATAAACTCATACATTTATTTTTCAAAACATGAAAATAATCTGCTATGGTCTAAATGTTTGTGTCTCCACAAAATTCATCTGTTGAAACTTAATCCCCAGTGTGATGGTATTAAGAAGTGGTGCCTTTGGGAGGTGATTAGGTCATGAGGGCTTCACCCACATAAAAGGAATTAGTACTCTTACAAAAGAGGCCCAAAGCCGGGAGCTTGAGACCAGCCTGGCCAACATAGTGAAACCCTGTTTCTACTAAAGATACAAAAATTAGCCAGATGTGGTGGTGCACACCTGTAATCCCAGCTACTTGGGAGGCTGAGGCAGGAGAACTGCTTGAACCAAGAGGCGGAGGTTGCAGTGAGCCAAGATCTTGCCACTGAACTCCAGCCTGGGTGACAGAGTGAGACTCTGTCTCAAAAAAAAAAAAAAAATGAGACCCAAAGGAGCTCGTTTACCCCTTCCACCACGTGAGGATACATAGAAGGCACCATCAATGACTAGCAGGCCCTTACCAGACACTGAATCTGTTGGCACCTTGATCTTGGGCTTTCTCACTTCCAGAACTGTGAGCAGTAAACTTCTGTTGTTTATAAATTATCTAGTTTAAAGTCTTTTGTTATAGCAGCCTAAAAAGACTAAGACACAAACCAATATCCATCCACTGATGAATGGACTTTGCTTTTTCCTAGAGATGAAAAACATTTTATTTTATTTGCCTTTCCAACTTTCAGGGGGTGCACGTGCAGGTTTGTTACATGGGTAAATTGTGTGTCATGGGGGTTTGGTGTAGAGTTAATTTTGTCACCCAGGTAATCAGCATACTACCTGATAAGTAGTTTTTCAATCCTCACCCTCCTCCCACCCATGAGTGGACTTTTTTAAAAAAAGTGCTATATCCCTATAATTTATATCATTCAGCCGTATAAAGAAATGAATACATGCTATAACTCAGATAAATCTGAAAAACATTATAATAAGTGAAAGAAGCCAAACATAAAAAACCACATACTTTATGATTCCATTTCTATGAAATATCCAGAATAGGCAAATCCATAGAAAGTAAATCAGTGATTTCTAGGGGTTGAGGGGAGGAGAAAATGGGGAGTGACTGAGGGTTTCTTTTTGAGTGATAAAAATGTTCTAGAGTTAGATAGTGATGATAGTTATACAGCTTTGTAAATATGCTAAAAGTCATTGAATTGTACACTGCAAAATGCTGTATTTTATGGTAGATTAATTACATTTCAATTTTAAAAATTTACTTTGCTCTGTGTCCTGTGGTTTCATGATTTTAAAAATAACTTTGAAGCAAAGTGAAAAGAAAAATAAAGATATAAAGGCTGACTCCTGGAAGTGCTCCTGAAAAGGACTTTAACGTTATTGTTCCAATGTCTCCTGGTTTTCATACTCTTTCTTTTTTTTTTCATACTTTTGTTTAAAAGCTGGATGTTAGTCTTATTGCCTATTCAAAAGTAATTTTTTTCCTTCCAAATGGTTTTAAGATTTCTCTCTTTGTTTTTAGCTTTCGGTAGTTTTGCTATATTTGTACATAGATCTCATTTTCTTTGTATTTATCCTGCTTGGAGTCTAGAGCTTATGAATGCTTTGGATGAATGTCTCTTGCCAGATTTTGAAAATTCTTAGCCAATATTTCTCATTACAACACATATTAAAAATAACTTCCTGGCCAGGCGTGGTGGCTCACGCCTGTAATCCCAGTAGTTTGGAAGGCCAAAGTGGGTGGATCACCTGAGGTCAGGAGTTTGAGACAAGCCTGGCAAACATGGCGAAACCCCGTCTCTACGAAAAATACAAAAAAAAGTAGCTGGGCATGTTTGCGGGTGCCTGTAATCCTAGCTACTTGGGAGGTTGAGGCAGGAGAATTGCTTGAACCCGGGAGGTGGAGGTTGCAGTGAGCCAAGATCATGCCATTGCACTCCAGCCTGGGTGACGGAGTGAGACTCTGTCTCAAAAAATAATAATAATATAAATAAATAAAAATAAATTCCTCTAAATTCCACAAACTTTCTCCTTCTCCTCCTCCTCCTCCAACAGGGTCTCACCCTGTCACCCAGGCTGGAGTGCAGTGCTACAATCTCAGTTCACTGCAGCCTCAATCTCCTGTGCTCAAGCTATCCTCCCACCTCAACCTCCCAAGTAACTGGGACAGCAGGTGCATGTCACCACACCTGGCCAATTTTGTTTATTTTTCATAGAGACGAGGACTCACTATGTTGCCCAGGCTGTTCTTGAACTCCTGGACTCAAGTGATCCTCCTTCCTCCACTTCCCAAAGTGCTGGGATTACAGGTATGAGCCACCACGCCCAGCCCATGCCTTTCTTGGATGTGCAAAAAAGGTCTGGCTTTAACATAGATTGATGGATGACAATCCAAAGTGCTGAACAGCCCTACAAGATTCCTGCTCAATGCCATGGGTTTGAAAAAGAATGGAAAGAATGTACATAAGGAATCCATAGTATCCGGGCAGAGAAAGAGTGCAAGATAAAATTTGATGATTTCATAGTGTTTGTTTTGGCAGGAAACAATCAGACGTGTGAGTACCATCCAGAAGCAGCAGAACAAGCTAGTAAAGGAAGGGTAATATACCTCTCCACGTCACCAATTCGGCAAGGGGATACTAGGCCCTGAGCAGAGCAGCTGCTGATGGCTGGAGGCTGATTTTCATGTTCTCTGTTCTCCACAGGAAACATTGTTTACTGAAAACCTTTTTGTCAAAGTGTGTAAAAAATAAAGGATTGCTCCATCCTATTTGTTATATTTTCTCTTGGATTATAATATACTTTTCTATAATGAGATTGCAACCTATTTTTAAATTTGAAAAAATGGCCGGGTGCGGTGGCTCACACCTGTAATCCCAGCACTTGGGGAGGCCAAGGAGGGTGGATCACTTGAGGTCAGGAGTTAGAGACCTGCCTGGGCAACATGGCGAAACCCTGTCTCTACTAAAAATACAACAATTAGCAGAGCGTGGTGGCTCATGCCTGTAATCCCAGCTACTTGGGAGGCTGAGGCAGAAGAATTGCATGAACCCAGGAGGCGGAGGTTGTACTGAGCCAGGATGACATCACTGCACTCCAGCCTGGGTGATAAAGCGAGACTCCATCTCAAAAAAATAAATAAATAAAATAATTTGAAAAAATGCCTCTACCTGTTCCTAAAAAATTAGCATCTATAGAATAATAACTAACATTTTATGAACGCTTACTATGTATGAGAGACTTTAAATATGTTAACTCATTAAAGAAGTTGCAGTATTCTTTAGTGTTTTCATCCTGGGTTTTCTTTTTTTTTTTTTTTTTTTAAACACACGCTTCGGCTGGGAAAGGGATACAGTGGATACAGTGGTATAAGTGTTGAGAATGTAGTTGAAACCTTGGATAGCCTATAAATTTTTTTCCAATTTTTTTATCATGGTAAAATTATAAAATTCACTACTTCAACCATTTTTAAATAGTTAAGTGGTATTAAATATGTTGTTTTTGTTGTTGTTGTTAGCGTTGAGTTTTAGGAATTTACTGTATTTTCTGGATATTAATCTCTTATCAGCTATATGATTTGTAAATATTTTCTCCCACGCTGTGAGTTGCCTTTTACTTTCTTGATAATGTCTTTGGGTGCACAAGATAGTTTGATTTTCATGAAAAAAAAAAAGTTGAGGAAAGAAATTTAAGAAGGCACAAATAAATAGAAAAATACTCTATGTTCATGGATTAGAAGAATTAATATTGTTAAAATGTCCATATTACTCAAATCAATCTACAGATTTAATGCAATCTTTATCAAAATTCCAATGTCATTTTAGAAAATATAATCCTAAAATTCATATGAAACTATTAAAAAAAAAAAAACAAAAAAAAAATAGCCAAACCAATGATGAGTAAAAAGAACAAAGCTGGAGGCACCACAGTAATCTGACTTCAAAATATACTATATATAAATTGTAACCCAAACACTATAGTACTGGGAATAAAAAAAAAATAGATACATTCATCAATGGACCAGAACAGAGATCCCAGAAATGAACTCATACATGTACAGTCAATTGATTTTCAACAAAACTGCCAAAAATGCACAATGGGAAAAGGATAGTCTCTTCAAGAAATTGTGCTGAGAAAACTGGATCTCTACATGCAGAAGAATGAAAATGGACCCTTATCTCACACTGTATACAAAATCAACCCAAATGGGTTAAAGGCCAGAAACTGTAAAACTACTGAAAGAAAACATAGAAGAGAAACTGTATAACATTTTTCTGGCCATGATTTTTTTTTTTCACTTGGTCCCCAAAGCACATGAAGCAAAAACAAAAGTAGACAAATGTGATGTCATCAAACTAAAAAGCTTCTGCACAGCAAAAGAAACAATTAACAGTGTGAAGACTCAACCTACAGATTGGGAGAAAACATTTGTAAGCCAAAGCCCTACATCCTAAAGGAGTTAATATTCAAAATATATAAGGAACTCAAACCACTCAATAGCAAGAAAACAAAAAAAATTCAATTTAAAAATAGACAAAAAGGGCCGGGCGCGGTGGCTCACACCTGTAATCCCAGCACTTTGGGAGGCCAAGGCGGGTGGATCACGAGGTCAGGAGATCGAGACCATCCTGGCTAACACGGTGAAACCCTGTCTCTACTAAAAATACAAAAAATTAGCCGGGCATGGTGGCGGGCACCTGTAGTCCCAGCTACTCGGGAGGCTGAGGCAGGAGAATGGCATGAACCCGGGAGGTGGAGCTTGCAGTGAGCCTAGATCTCGCCACTGCACTCCAGCCTGGGCAACAGAGCGAGACTCCATCTCAAAGGAAAAAAAAAAAACACAAAAAGGTCAGGCACAGTGGTTCATATCTGTAGTCCTAGCTACTCTGGAGGATGAGGGAGAATTGCTTCAATCCAGGAGTTTGATGCTACAGTGAACTATGATGGTGCCACTGCACTCCAGCCTAGAAGCAAGATCCTGTCTCAAAAAAAAGTTGGTGGGGACAAGGACCTTGAATAGATATTTCTCAAAAAAAGAAGATATACAAATGGCCAGTAGATATGTGAAAAAATGTTCTACTTCACTAATCATTAGAGAAATGCACATTAAAACTACAAATCACCTCACATCGGTCAGAATGGCTATTCTCAAAAAGACAAAAGATAAATCTTGGCAAGGATGTGGAAAAAAGGCAACCCTGTACAACTGTTGTTGGGAGTGTAAATTAATGCAGCCAGTATGGAAAACTGTATAGAGGTTTCTCAAAAATTAAAAATAGAATTCCATATGATCCAGTAAACCTACTTCTGAGTGTTTACTCAAAAATTTTGAAATTAATGTGTCAAAGAAATATCTGTACTCCCATGGCCATTGCAGTGTTATTCACAGCAGCAATATTATGGAATCAACCTAAGTGTCCACCAACAAATGAATGAATGAAGAAAATGTGGCACATACACACAGTGGAATACCATTCAGCTTTCAGTTATTTTCAACAACTTAGATGGAATTAGAGAGCATTATGCTAAGTGAAGTAAGTCTGGCACAGAAAGACAAATACTGTATGTTCCCACTTAGATGTGAAATCTAAAACAATCAAACTCATAGAAGTAGAGAGTAGAATGGTAGTGAGAGGCTGGATGGTGGGGGACATGGGTAGATGATGGTCAAAGGGCTACAAATCTCAGTTAGACAAGAGGAATAAGGTGGTTTTAAAAAAAATATATTGCACAGTGTGGTGAGCATAGTTAGTAACAGTGTATTGTACATTTCAAAATTGCTAAGAGAGCAAATTTCAAATGTTCTCACCACAAAAAATAGTAAGTTTTTGAAGTGATAACTATATTAACTTGATTTAAGTTTTCCACATCATATTCATAAATCATAACATCATTTTGTACCCCACAAATATATATAATTATCAATTATCAATTTATACTGAAATTTTAAAAATAAATTTCAATTACACATATATTCTATTACCTCTTCATGTTCCATAGGTTTCTAAGCTCTTTTCTATTTCTATCCTTTGTTTTCTCTTAGTTTTTGTTTGAATATTTTGGACAACAAGCTGGAAATTGTACTGGGAGCCCAGAATATTGTTATTTTGTTGTCCTTTCTCCTAATCTTGTAATTCAAAAACGAAAAAAAAACCTCTCCTATTTCATGCCAAAAAGTCATACATCTGACTGTCTGTGTTTGAGGCTAGGAAACTCAGAAGAGTTTATGTATTTTCATTTTATTCTCCTAGTCAGCTCCTGAAGTCACAGCTTTCTGTGCTCCAAATCTCCTGTTTTCACTCTCATTTTCTTTGATCTTATGGGTCTGTACATATATTTTACTCTTTTGCTCCCTCTTTAATAAAATTTTGAGTAGAGGAGAAAATAAATGTATATGATCATTCTATTATGTTTAATAGGAAGTCATATATATATATATACACACACATACATGATGCTATTCAATGCTGGCAAGACTGCCACCAAGCAAAGCATTGTCATAGATTTCTGATGATAATACATTTTTTGAATGAGTCTTTAAATTTTATTCCCTTTCTGAGAAAAAAGCCTAAACATAAAATCTAAAATTCAAAATTAAGAGTATTTTCCATACATAAAGATATAATAGCATACTTTATGAAAGGGAAAACTTAGGTCCACCTAAAAAGATCTGAGACTAAATAAATAAATTATGGAAACTGCATGTAATGGAAAATTGTACTATACTGTAAATTTCTTTGTAAAGGTATGTATTAGCATTCATAGATAAATGCTATTATATATTGTTAACTGAAAAGGCAAGAATTAAAAAATTTTCTAAAAATAAACACACCAGAGCCAGGCACAGTGGAACATGCACATGTAATTCCAGGTACTCGGGAAGCTGAAGCGGGAATATCACTTGATCTCAGGAGCTGGAGTGCAGCCTGGGCAACACAGTGAAATCCCAGTTCTAAAACAATAATAATAATATAATAAAATAAATGAAACACACAACACAAAACAAAAGAATAAGTATAGTGGAAACGGCCAGGTGTGGTGGCTCACTCCTGTAATCCCAGCACTTTGGGAGGCTGAGGCAGGGGCATCAGTTGAGGTCAGGAGTTTGAGACCAGCCTGGCCAACATGGCAAAACCCCATCTCTACAAAAATACAAAATTAGCCAGGCATGGTGGCCCACGCCTACAATCCCAGTTACTCGGGAGGCTGAGACAGGAGAATCGCTTGAACCCGGGAGGTGGAGGTTGCACTGAGCCAAGATTGTGCCACTGCACTCCCACCTGGGCAACAGAGCAAGACTCCATCTCAAAAAAAAAAAAAAAAGGTATAGAGGAAACATACCTAAATATAGCTAATACCTATCTTTAGTGGACAATGACAGTTTTTTTCTTTATACTTTTCCATATTTTCTAGTATCAATTAATGAATATTGATTGTTGAATCATAATGAATATGATTCGACCCCTTAAAATTAAGGGGTTGAAGCCAGGTGCAGTGGCTCACATCTGTAATCTTAGCACTTTGGGAGGCCTTGGTGGGAGGGTCGCTTGAGGCTAGGAGTCGTGACCAGCCTAGGCAACATGGGGAGACTCCCATCTCTACAAAAAATACAAAAATTAGCTGGGTGTGGTGGCACACACCTGTGGTCCCAGCTACATGAGGCTGAGTCAGGAGGATTGGTTGAGCCTAGGAGGTTGAGGCTACAGTGAGCCGTGATCACACTCCTGCACTCCATCCTGGGTGTCAGTGTGACCCTTTCTCAAAAAAAATTTTTTTATAAATTAAGGGGTTGATTTGATCGTTACACATTGTATACATGAATTGAAATATCACACTGAACATCATAAGTACATATAATTATTATGTGTTAATTAAAAATAATTTTAAAAGAAGGGGAAAAGCTATTTTTAAAAGAAGGAACATTATTTTTAAACTTATATAATATGCTATTTACAATAATGTAATGCCCACATTATTTGTCCAAAATTTTCTATTTCTTTTTAATTTATTACAAGGTCTAGATTTCAGTTCAGATTATAACAATGGAGAATTCTACATCAGCATTTCTAAAATGTAGCATGAGAAAGAGTTCTGGACTCACAAGCCTAACACACTTCAGGTACTATCCTTTCTACTTTTCATATTAAAAAAACATGTTTCATTCTACAATTCAGCCTCAAAATTAGTTGACTAAAATTTTGTGCTACTACAATTCTACCATCTAAAATGCAATGTCTCAGATAAATATCAACCAAGCATTATAAAGTTTAATTGGAAATATGTGTTCCATATCTGGTTTCCCTCCATACCATTTAACAAATTAAAATGGCAAGTGGTGTCATCTGCTATTCCTTTGAGGTTAGTATGAGCTGCTGAAGGGTTGCTTGAATTGATTTCTGCTGACTTATTATACAATGTATTACAAAACTGTTCTAAGATTGATTATAGAGGCAAGATGAACTAAAAGTAATTTTTTACAAAGTGGGTCTGGAGATGTGGTATAAAATAAGCACCATTCTGATTTCTGTCTTGAGTGCTTGTGATAAATTTAAAATAAGTGGAAACTTTGAGTAGAGTTAAGACAAATATCCATGAATTGTGGAATATTGGATATGTACATTAACACCAAAGCCTCATTGCAAAACTTTATTTCTCATTTGAACTGTGAAAGTAATACATCATACAGGCTAGTAGGATCTAAAGACTTGATTATCCAGGAACATGACATTTTTATGTTAGGAAATAACCTTTTATATTCTGCTTGAGTTCAGAACAACCCTTTTAGCAGAAAGAGGACCAGAAAGAGGAAAAAAGGAAGGGGAAGTACAGTTCTTTCATACCTTCCAGTTTGGGCTCAAATTACACAGAATACTTTGTCATGTCTTCCAAGTAGGAGCAGGAAAGACAACTACATCACACCAAACCAGTTTGGAAATGAAAGAAACGCCTCTGTTTGATATACATTTATCAGCTTCTTACAAGCCCCTCTCCAGCTGCCATTCCACATTGCTTAGTGGTACACTCATATGAAGGGAGTTTACAGATTTCTGTTGCTTCTTTTCTTAGCAAAATAGTACTTTTACATCAGTCCTTTCTGGTTACTCTATTTGCATATCTTTAAGTATCTCAAAGGAACACACACCACATAGCATATAAATTAGGAATTTTATAGTATCCATTCACAGATTTTGATTTATGGCAGGACTCCATTTCAGCTCTATTCTGGGCATGCCTGAAAGCAGCACAAGAGGGGAGATCCACAGGGGCTAGCAGAGAAGTCTCAAAGGAGAGGTCAGACATGATACCAAGGTCAGAATGCCTTTTGAGAATGCCACTACACCCAGATGTGAGTACAGCTGCTGTTGTAAGAATGACCACTGTGACTGTGTGATGCTATTTAATCAAATGTCTCTTGGTAATTCAAAAAGTGGCAATATGCAACTGGGATTGCATAAGCCATCCATTTTGCTTTATCTCAGTCTTATCAGCATGAAAATGAATAATGCAATTGAATAATGCATTTCAGTCTCCTTCCATATCTTACAGTTAAATCATATTTCTTCTCAAAACACTTGCTGCATTTAGGCAAATTTTTTTTCCAATAATAGTCTTTACTACAAGAATACAAGTAACGTGTCTTTAGGGATTCTCAAGTAATTTTATCTTCATTACTGTTTATTACATGTATTCTGATATTTAAAAATTTTTTTAAAAATGTGTGGGTACATACTAGGTGTATATATTTATGGGGCACATGAGATATTTTGCTACAGACATATATTGCATAATAATCACATCAGGGTAAATGGAGTATCCACCACGTCAAGAATTTATCCTTTCTTTGTGCTACAAACAATACAATTGTATTATTTTAGTTATGTTAAAATGTGCGATTATTGTTGTACTGTAGTCATCCTCTTGTGCTAATTCATTCTAACTACATTTTTGTTCCCGTTAACCACTCACTCTTCAACTATCTTTCCCAGCCTCTGGTAGCCATCATTCTACTGTCTATCTCCATGAGTTCAATTGTCTTAATTTTTTAAGCTCCCACTATTCTGATATTTTTTACAAAGATGATCAGGATAGGCTTTCAATTCCTAACATCATTTCATCTTACTTAAAGCAATGCTATTGTTGTCTATAAATACTTGAGTCTATAATTTAGAAAAACTGAATAGGACATGCCATAAAACATTTTTGGAGGACTCTGAAAAATCTGATATTAATGAAGCTGCTCTTTTAAGGCTTCTATCCTCTTTGAATATAAACAACAGTACAGGTCCCTGAACAGAATTATGTTATGCTCCTGATGGTCTGGAATGCTGAATAACATTGAAAGAAAATATCTACCCTAATAACATCTCTTTTTTCTTTTTCACTTAGGAAGAAAGCATTTGATGAATTTCTGGGATTGTTGAAAGAATCTTCCTTACTAATACTGTTAGTGATACTCAAAGGTTGATCCGCAATCAACAGTTTAGTAAGAATATTCTTGGCTTAATTATCAGTCTCAATTCAGAAAATAAAGGAACAGATCCTAATATAAAGAGATCTCACAGAATACAAGCAGAGAGCACTGCTTATAAAAAAGCTAGACTGCCTGGCTAGAATCCTAGCTCTGCTGCTTACTGGCTATGTGATCCTGGAAATATTGTCAACTTTAACCACCTTAGCTTCCTTATCTGTAAAATGGGTATATTATTTGGAAGGTTGAACAGACTACACAGCACTTAGAACAATGTCTGGCCCACGGTTAGCACTCCATAAGTGTTCGCTTTTATTCTTCATCTCACAGGGTCTGCCACAATTACAACTCCTTGTGAGGTAAGCTCAGAAAAGCTTGAGAACCGGCCGGGCGTGGTGGCTCACACCTGCAATCCCAGCACTTTGGGAGGCAGAGGCAGGTGGATCACTTGAGGTCAGAAGTTCAAGACCAGCCTGGCAAACAGGATGAAACCCCGTCTCTACTAAAAATATAAAAATTAGCCAGGCTTGGTGGCACAAGCCCATAATCCCATCTACTTGGGAGGCTGAGGCAGGAGAATCACTTGAACCCAGGAGGCAGAGGTTGCAGAGAGCTGAGATCGCACCACTGCACTCTAGCCTGGGCAGCAGAGCAAGCCAGCTCAAAAAAAAAAAGCTTGAGAACTCCTATCCCTGGCTGCAGCTTGGACCAGGGATAAGCAAATGATTCAGGAATGATAGCCTTGCCCAACAGAGGTGGCCATGATTGAATGAATGGATCAGTATTCTCTCTTACAAAGCTGAGTGCACAACACACAGAGTAAGTCAGCAGTTTATCATGGGGGTAGAATTCAAAAAAAGAAAAGAACAAAGCCAACCTTTTCTCACCCAGAGAAAAGGCAATGATCAGAAGCCATGAGACAATAAAAGCCAAGAGTAGTCAGAAACCATGAATGGCAAAAGCTGAGAAAGACAATGGAGAGAAGTCAGTTCATTGCTCAGTAGCAGGAATAGCAGCTACAGAGAGTAGCTGAATCACCAGAATGGTATAGGACGGCAATAGGAATCTACAGCAGCATGAGAACACAATGGCAAGAACTGGTAATATCCCAAATGATTTTCCAGATTCATTCCAACGCGGGTGGGAGGACTGGCTGTAAGACAGAAATTTGTCTTCTTTACTTTAACACCCCTAAGATTCCCTAACATGTCATTTTGGCTTGTAATTAGAAAGAGCCTAACTGTCCTTGCAGCCACTGTGATCCATTGAAACTCAGAAGTGAGCTTGATTCTTGTCTTTTCTGATAACTCAGGTATAGTGGGTGGGAATATCAGTTCTCTACAGATGTGCAAAAAATTTTGTACATCAAGATACTTTCTGATTTTGAGCAACACTCCCCACCCAGATTCTACCCAGAATATAGAAATTTAACTTTGTTCATTCTTTAAGCTTGATGCCAATCTCCCCAGGGCTGTTCGTGGTTCTGGAATCTTATGCAGTGCCAGGGCATCAAGGAGGTAACAGAAAGGCCCACTAGTCATTGGTCATCTCTTCATAGACCTGTCCACGCTCTTTCTGCATCATCCCTTCACATCCAGTAGGGCTTAGCTGCTTCCACACCAGGTTTGCAGCATGGGTATTTTTTGCCAAGGCTGAGAATTTCATACTTTGGGGTCTCTTGCTCTCTCCCTAGCAATACTATCACAAATCTGGATCAGGGTCCTCATGTCCAAAACGCAAGTTCCTCTGGTATTATCGAGCATGTGGGATATTGTTTTATCAACTGAGCAAAGTTCTTTTACTTCAGCTTTCTGCAAGTCATTTTATCTTTACCTGCTATTTCTCTCCTTTACTGAGGCTTAGCGTTTTGAAATAAAACCAGACAGTTTTCTAGGCAAGTTCAATGTCCATCCTTACAACAGACTTCACCTTGAAGAGGAAAGTACAGACCTGGCTAATATGAGAGGAGGGAAAGGGAAAAATAAATGAAGATAAAAGTTAAATATTTTAAAATATTTTTGTTCTCATTTTTTTTTCTTTTTGCCTTAAATACTTGGAAGCCAAGATTCGAATTTCATGCTCAGTACCCACAGAGTAAGAATATTTTCCAGCGTTATATCTCTTTTAGAATTTGTCTAGCAGCTTTTCCAGTTTTCACTGAGGTAAAAAGAAGTAAAAAAAGAAGGCTGAGCATGGTGGCTCACACCCGTAATCCCAGCACTTCGGGAGGCCAAGGCAGAAGGATAGCTTGAGCCCAGGAGTTTGAGATCAGTCTGGGCAATAAAGCAAAACCTCATCTTTACAATGAATAAAGAAAGAAAAGGAAAAAATAATATTTATTAGTTTTTCTTAAATTTTGATTTCTGTCAGTCTTGTTTCACTTTGTTACTAATGCCTACTAATACGTTTTCCTACTTATTTAAATCAGTATTGATTTTTTAAAAACTGGTAAAATTCATTGCAGCCATGTGGGAGTAGCTAGAGTTTAGTAGGTTACAGGAATAAAGACATGCTGAAGCTATCCTGCAGGACTCAAGGAGACAGAACATGATTTGAGAACTGAAAATTCCTTCTTGATGTCCAGTTGTTCTGGTTAACTGGGTAGCTTCTAATGGCTCCATTTTGTGCTTCACTATAATGGAGACAATTATTCTGAGTCTGATTGTCCTTCCAATAAGTCACCAGTATGTGTACTCTCTTCTTTTGCTCAACATAATAGCATCTGTTGTATTAGCTTTTCCTTCTTTTTGGCTTCTCCTGCTTGTAGGCTTCTACTAGTTACATTTCTCTTTTTCTTTCAGTTTTTGCCTTTGCTAACAGTTGAACTCCTTTCAAAGAAAGGTGATATTCTTCAGTCCAGTTAGCTACAATTATCTCCATTGAACAGTCTTCATGATCGGACAAATCACAGGTTTTTGACTGAATGATGGGTTGCTTTTCCTTGGATTAGATAACTGCTCTCATTCATATCAATTGTGGTTAAGGTGACAGGGTCATCTTACACAAGAAAAAAACTACACACAGAAGTAATATTCTAGAAGAAGACTATAGGGAAAATCCTTTCTAAGGGACTGTAAGCAGACAGCTATCTTAAGGCTTAGCTTGTTCAGTATTGCTGTTAAAAGTAAGATACATAAGGCAAATATTACTCTCAAGATAGTATAAATATATCCTTTCTCTTTGGGAATAAAATCCCACCCCAACTCATGAAGACATTGTTTGGTCCTATGACTTCTATGAGATAATGACCACAGTGTAAATTGGTACATTCTCACAGTCTAGGTTATTTAGTCTTACATAAGAACTTATACAACATTGTAACCTGTGACTATAAAATGAAATTACACTTTCTATTTGTACCTAAGTTATTATAACATAAGTTGCCCAGTGGCCCCCTAAATATTCCCATCATCTCTGATGACAACTTCTAATCTCTAGATTATTTTGTAGATCCATTTGCTCAGTGCCTTAGTCTGTTTAGTGTCGTTATATTTTATTTTATTTTATCTTTTATTGAGATAGGATCTCACTCTGTTGCCCAGGCTGGAGTGCAGTGGTATGATCATAGCTCACTGCAACCTTGAATTCCTGGGCTCAAGTGATCCTCTGGCCTCAGCCTTCTGAGTAGGTAGGACTACAGGCACACATCACCATACCCAGCTAATTTTTAAGTTGTTTTTGTAGAGACAGGGTCTCACTATGTTGTCCAGACTGGTCTTGAACACATGGGCTCACCCCTGCCTCCCAAAGTGCTGGGATTACAGGCATGAGCCACTGCACCTGGCCTGTTTAGTGTTGCTATAAAGGAATACTTGAGGCTGAGTATTTTATAAAGAAAAGAGGTTTATTTAGCACACAGCTTTGCTGGCTGGAACGTTCAAAATTGGGCATCTGGTGAGGGCCTCAGGCTGCTTTCACTCATGGCAGAAGGCAAAGGGAAGCTGGTAAGGGCAGAGACACAGTGAGAGAGGAATGAAAGAGACAGAGAGAGGAAGTGCCAGGCTTTTTTTTTTTTTTTTTTTTTGAGATGGAATCTCTCTCTGTCACCCAGGCTGGAGTGCAGTGGCGCAATCTCAGCTCACTGCAACCTCCACCTCCCAGGTTCAAGTGATTCTCCTGCCTCAGCCTCCCAAGTAGCTGGGATTACAGGCATGTACCACCACACTTGGCTAATTTTTGTATTTTTAGTAGAGACGGGGTTTCACCACATTGGCCAGGCTGGTCTTGAACTCCTGACCTCAGGTGATCCACCCACCTCAGCCTCCCAAAGTGCTGGGATTACAGGCATGAGCCACCGCGCCCTGCAAGGCTCTTTTTAACAACCAGCTTTCATGGGAACTAAGAGAGTAAGAACTCACCACCCCCACAGTGAGGAGGTTAATCCATTCATAAAGCATCCACCTCCATGACTCAGATATTTTCCATTAGGCCCCATCTCCAACACTGGGGATCAAATTTCAACATGAGGTTTTGGGGGAAAAATATCTGAACTATGGCACCCAGCTTCCACTAGCTTGTAGATACAAGTAAGTCACATTAAGTGGAATAACCCAATAGTCACAGGCTCACAGCACCTGCATAATGCAGGACTTCAGTCTCCTTTTAAAATGTCAGTTTCTAGAGGTGTTTTTAGGCATCTTCAGTGGGTGTCTCACATATGCTCACAAACACACACTGATTCAGCAACCACCCACCAGGCACCACATTTGCTTACTGGAGCTATAGTTCTTCCACCAGCGCTGTGTTTCCCCAAAGGATCTGGTTCTGCTCCGTTGGCATGGTAATTTCTTCTGGGTTTTGCAGTGTTCAAGGAGGCCTCTGGATCATTTGATGAGCACTGCAGGCACCAAGTTCCCTATAGATGCTGCAGAGCCTGGGCATCAGCTTCTGCCTCTGCTCCACCAGGCAGGGCAGTTCTTACTGGTCTCAACCACTCCTCTGCCTGTTAGTGCCTCTCTCTTTAGGCAATGCCTTCACCACTATCTCTCACCAAGCACCACCACAAAGGCACTGAAGGAAGGATGCTTCTCTTCCTCTTGGATTCAATTCTGCAGGAGGAATTCAAATCAGTGGCATCAGTGTTTTACAACTTTAAGTGAAACAGTACTTTCAATTTTTACTTACAGACCACTCTTTCTCTAGGTCCCAGACACCCACTCAGGGGCTTGTATATGATAAGAAACTGAATGATAGCCACCAGCCTGCCTACAGAGCACTATTATCCTCCTACGAAGGCTCTCTTACAAACTCAAGTTTATTGTTTCTGACTCAGCTTTTCTTCATCGTGATTTCTCCCAAGAGGGAAATTTTTCCTTATAAAAGTGGTTCCTGTTGGGCCAGACATGCCTGTTCATGTCGGGAACTCACCTAACTTCAAACTGAGATTCCCTTCTGTGCTTGGATACTCTTTGGTACATTGTCCTTTCCCAGTTTCATCTGGTAGAGTGGAAGATCTTCAAGTAATGCACAAACACATATGCTGTCTCCGCCATTGAAAGAGAACCAAGACATCCCTATAGACATTAGCAAGTGACAACATAATGATTAAAAATACTGTTGAGATGAGAAAAACAAAATCCACTTCATTTGTGTGAGAGCCAACTGCTTAGTCTAATATGTATAATTATAGACTTGCAGTTTTCAGCAACTTTACAGAAATTTTTTCAAAAATAATAAATTATTGAAATCCAGAATCTTAGAAAAATTTAGAAAGCTGTCAGTAGCTCATAGAACTCAATAACAAAAGGCTGGGCGTGATGGCTCACGCCTGTAATCCCAACACTTTGGGAGGCCGAGGCAGGCAGACTCACCTGAGTTCAGGAGTTCAAGACCAGCCTGGCCAACATGGTGAAACCCTATCTCTACAAAAATACAAAAATTAGCCATGCATGATGGCATGTGCCTGTAATCCCAGCTACTCGGGAGGCTGAGACGGGAGAATCTCTTGAACCCAGGAGATGGTGGTTACAGTGAGCCAAGATTGCATCACTGCACTCCAGCCTAGGGGGCTGAGCGAGAGTATGTCTCAGAAAAAATAATAATAATAATAATAATAGTGCCTGTCTCACAGGATTGTGGTGAGGATTGGGTGAGATTTCACACATATATCCTAAAAATGTTGCCTACATATATCTAAAAAGGCATGTTATCATTTTAACAAGTATATATTATTACATTGTATAAATGTTTCATAATTTATTTGTGTTTAAGTTTCAAGTATCAGAGGAAAATCTTATTTCTTTTATTATTTCTAAATTCTTGAAAGTTATCTCACCATAATCTTTCTGGAACAACTAACCAGCTGACACATAGCAAAGTATATGTGATCATTATTATTACACCTTTAATTTATGTATGAGTACTTTTCATTTTAAGTTAAAAAAAAACCTTAAAAGATTTTGAACTAATATGTTTTAATAAGCTAAAAACTAAACTTTTCTTTTTTTCGAGACAGAGTCTCCCTCAGCCATCCAGGCTGGAGTACAGTGGCACCATGTCGGCTCACTGCAACCTCTGCCACCCGGGTTCAAGTGATTCTCCTGCTTCCTGAGCAGCTGGAATTACAGGTGGACACCACCACGCCCAGCTAATTTTTGTATTTTGTATTTTTTTTTTTTTGACATGGAATTTCGCTCTCGTCACCCAGGCTGGAGTGCAATGGCACCATGTCAGCTCACTGCAACGTTTGCCTCCCGGGTTCAAGTGATTCTCCCACCTCAGCCTCCCGAGTAGCTGGAATTACAGGTGCCCACCACCACACCCAGCAAATGTTTGTATTTTTAGTAGAGACGGGGTTTCACCATATTGGCCAGGCTGGTCTTGAGCTCCTGACCTTGTGATCTGCCCACCTCAGGCTCCTAAAGTGCTGGGATTACAGGTGTGAGCCAGGACTTTTTTTTTTTTTTTTTTGGAATGATTTATTCCATTTCATAAATGGACAGTGTAAACAGACACTTATGATGCCTCATATCACATCCCTGGGGCCCACCCCTTATTTCTACAACAGATATGGTACACAGATACCAGCAAGTTAAGACTCGAACTCATAGAGTCCACCTCCAGCTCACCTTGTGTGTATGTTTCTGCTTCTGCCTCAGCATCCTACCTGTAGATGCAAGCGCTCACTCTGGCAGCAAGCACAGAGTGGCTATCAACCTGCAGAGCTTCCCACATTTGTGCTGTTGTCATTGCTACTTATTACTACAGTTATGTTGCTGTATTTATTGTGGTAAAGTTCAGAGGAAAATAAGGTCTTATACAAACATGTTATATGTTTCTTAGAAATAGAAGATTGTATTTTTTTCTTTTTTTGTGGTTTAGTCCATTTGTGCTGCTGTAACAAAATACCTGAGACTGTGTAATTTACAAATAATAGAAATGTATTTCGTACAGTTCTGGAGGCTGAAAAGTCCAAGACCAAGGTGCCAGTAGGTTCAGTGTTTGGTGAGGGCCCTCGTCTCTGCTTCCAATAGGGTGCCTTGATCACTGTGTCTTCACATGGAGGAAGGGAGGGAAGAGCCAAAGGACCCAGGCTGTTTCCCTCCAGCCTTTTTATAAAGCACTGATCCATTCATGAGGGGACAGCCCTTATGACTTAATCACTTCCCAAAAGACCCCTCCTCTTAATACCACCACAGTGTGGATTAGGTTTCAACACGGATTTTGGAGGGGACACATTCAAACCATAGCACTGGCAAAGAACATTTTATAATATCCTGGCTACTTCATCCATTTATGCACCCTGCCTTTCCCTGTAGGTATTTAAGTTTCTGGGCCATCTTCAGAAACTTAAGTTAAACCACATAGTAAATTATACAAATATTACCTTGGTAAAGATTTTCAAAAGAGTGGAGGCCAGACGCAGTGGCTCACGCTTGTAATCCCAGCACTTTGGGAGGCCGAGGCGGGCGAATCACAAGGTCAGGAAATCAAGGCTATCCTGGCTAACACTGTGAAACTCCGTCTCTACTAAAAATACAAAAAAATTAGCCGGACATGATGGCGGGCGCCTGTAGTCCCAGCTTCTCAGAAGGCTGAGGCAGGAGAATGGTGTGAACCCGGGAGGTGGAACTTGCGGTAAGCCGAGATCGCACCACTGCACTCCAGCCTGGGCGACAGAGCGGGATGATGTCTCAAAAAAAAAAAAAAAAGAAAAAGAAAAGAAAAGAAAAGAATGGAAATGTCAGGGCTGGCTTCAGATGAATGCCTGTAGTATTTCATTGTTAAGTATGACATTGGCTATTGGTTTCATATAAGTAATTATTATTATGGTAAGGGAGCTGCCTGCAATTCTAGTTTGAATCTGAGGTTGGCACTTAATTTGTATTAAATATATTTTCAGCATTTATCTAGATGCATTCATGAACTGTTTCCTTTAACTGTTTAATGTGATTGACTTTGTACATAACATATACATACATATGACAGGCTTTCAAAGAGTGGATTATTTTTCTTTTTTTCTTTTTTTTTTTTGAGACAGAGTCTTGCTCTGCCACGCAGGCTGGAGTGCAGTGGTGAGATCTCGGCTCTCTACAACTTCTACCTCCCTGGTTCAAGCAATTCCCCTGCCTCAGCCTCCTGGGTAGCTGGGATTACAGGTGCACACCACCATGCCTAGCTAATTTTTTTGTATTTTTAGTAGAGACGAGGTTTCACCATGTTGGCCAGACTGGTCTCAAACTCCTGACCTCAGGCAATACGCCCACCTCGGCCTCCCAAAGTGCTGGGATTACAGGCATGAGCCACCGCACCTGGCCAGATTATTTTTTATTATTGAAATAAATCTCACTTTGAGACATGACTGGTATATTTTTCTAATATTTTATTTGGAATTATTTTCCATTTTAATTTCTGTTCTTAATCAGTTTTGATGACAGAGTCATCTTAGCCTCCTAAATTGAGAAGTTTTCTACTGTTTCTATTTGCTCCAAAATATCTAAATAGAATATATGGTATCTGTTCCCTGAAATATGATGTAAAATAGTTTATCAGTTAAACCATTTGTGTAGTTTGTTTTGGGGAGAGTTAATTATTTGACCATCTTCTCAACAACTTCTGTTGTTACTAGTCTATTTGGTCATGACTCTTCTTGGCTAATTTGTTCAAAATTTTGCCATAAAGTTGCATATTACATGTTCATGCAATATAATTTTTTTTTCGGATTTTTGAGTGCATCTCTTTTCTCATTTGTAACCTGGTATATTTGTTGTATTTTTTTCTCCTCTCACTCTCTCTCTTTTGTTATAATTCAATGCCATTTGGCTGGGAGTGCCTGAGATACATACCCCTTGTCAATAAGGCCTCCCCATTGGCTATGATTCCCCCTTTCTTTCACAGTGCATGGATCATCACTGCCTAAGTTTGTTTCTCTGATTCTTTGCATTCAGTGCTTCAATAGCTGACACGTCCCCTACTCGCCAACACATTCATACTTTGTATATGTTAATGCTGTTACAGTCTAATCCATCTTTTACAGTCCAATCAAATTGGTTTAGAGTCTTGCTATTTGAGGTGACTTCACCCATTACTGGTTTTTGCTTTTGACATGAAAACAACATTAATTTTCTGATTTTAAAAACAACACAAACTGGTAGTAAAACATTTAAATATTACACTACAGCATAAAGAATGTAAAATTTACCAGAGATATACTACTCAGTTAAAGTCACTGTTAATGTTTTGGAAAACATCCTTTTAGATCTCCCTTAATTAAAAAAAAAAATGGCCGGGTGCGGTGGCTCACGCCTATAATCCCAGCACTTTGGGAGGCCGAGGCAGGCGGATCACCTGAGGTCGAGAATTTGAGACCAGCCTGACCAACATAGAGAAACCCTGTCTCTACTAAAAATACAAAATTAGCTGGGCGTGGTGGCACATGCCTGTAGTCCCACCTACTCGGGCTGAGGAAGGAGAACTCGGGAGGCAGAGGTTGCAGTGAACCGAGATTGCGCCATTGCATTCCAGCCTGGGCAACAAGAGCAAAACTCCCTCTCAAAAAAAAAAAAAAAAAATACTGTAAGTATATGCCTTTTTGTTACTTACTTTATGTACTCAAAAATATATCACAGACATTTGCCCATGTCAACTGCAAATGTATGTTATCATTTTAACAAGTACATATTACTAGATTGTATAAATGTTTCATAATTTATTTGTGCTTAAGTTTCAAGTATCAGAGGAAAACCTTATTTCTTTTATTATTTCTAAATTCTTGAAAGTTATCTCACCGTAATCTTTCTAGAACTAACCAATTTCTTTCTTTTCTTTTTTTTGTTTTTTGAGATGAAGTCTCGCTCCATCGCCCACTGGGCTCACTGTAACCTCTGCCTCCCGGGTTCAAGCACTTCTATTGCCTCAGCCTCCTGAGTAGCTGGGATTACAGGCGTGCACCACCAGGCCCCCGGCTAATTTTTGTATTTTTTAGTAGAGATGGGTTTTACAACGTTGGTCAGGCTGGTCTCGAACTCCTGACTTCATGATCTGCCCACCTCAGCCTCCCAAAGTGCTGGGATTACAGGCGTGAGCCACCACGCCTGGCCCCAATTTCCAAGTTTATCATGTCCCAGGCCCTTGGCTAAGATACTTCACATGCATTAGCTTATTTCATTCTTCTTACAAAATAAAAGCAAAACCTCAGTGAAAAGTGAAATCACAGACCATATTCCAGGTGACTGGGCACCATAAGTTTACCACATGAGAGTGATTTTTTTCTCTACTTGTTTTCAAAGCCTTCTTGAAGGTACTTGTTGACCCTCTGGGGCTGAATTTTCACTTTCACTTCAATTAGCATTTATTGAGCCCTTTACCAACACTGATTTGAGCCCAGTTTCTTCACCTATAAAATAAGATTATTGGATTAGATGTTTCTAGGACTTTCTCCAGCTCTGAAGTGTTTGATTCTAAGTAGAAGATATTGTGGCAGGTGGGTTTGTGTGTTTTCAGGGAAAGGGGAAAGACACAATGATTGTAAAATGTCCCTTACTATTAAAGAGTTTATGATATATCAGCAAAGACAAGTATATAGACAACTCATTAGAAAGTGTAAAGCTTAGGCCGGGCGCGGTGGCTCACGCCTGTAATCCCAGCACTTTGGGAGGCCGAGGCGGGTGGATCATGAGGTCAGGAGATCGAGACCATCCTGGCTAACAAGGTGAAACCCCGTCTCTACTAAAAATACAAAAAAAATTAGCCGGGCGCGGTGGCGGGCGCCTGTAGTCCCAGCTACTCGGGAGGCTGAGGCAGGAGAATGGCGTGAACCCGGGAAGCGGAGCTTGCAGTGAGCCGAGATTGCGCCACTGCAGTCCGCAGTCCCACCTGGGCGACAGAGCGAGACTCCGTCTCAAAAAAAAAAAAAAAAAAAAAAAAAGAAAGTGTAAAGCTTAAATCTTTTTTTCCCATCTTACTCCTTTTATTATACAGCAAAACACCCTTAGTGTGAAATTAATGGTTAGATATATAAATATGAGGGATAACATGAGAAAATCTAGGAGAAAAAAAAAATCCTCATTTAAATCTGAGATTGTGGGATTATCAGCTCCAATTAGCCTTAATCAGCAACTTACCTATTTTTATTTATTTATTTTTTGTAACAGAGTTTCACTCTGTCACCCAGGCTATAGTGCAGAGGCATGATCTCAGCTCACTACAACCTCCGCCTCCCAGGTTCAGGCTATTCTCCTGCCTCAGACTCCCCAATAGCTGGGATTACAGGCACCTGCTACCATGCCTGGCTAATGTTTGTATTTTTAGTAGAGACGGGGTTTCGCTACATTGGCCAGGCTCGAACTCCTGGTCTCGAACTCGCGACCTCTGGTGATCCACCTGCCTCGGCCTCCCAAAGTGCTGGGATTACAGACATGAGCCACTGCGCTTGGCCTCTATTTTTTTTTTTTAAATGCACAAATAAGACAACCTTGATAATTTAACTTTTAAATTGGCAATTGAAGCTCTAGGGTATCCTTAACTTTTTTAAAAGATCATTTTAAACCAAAGCACTAATTCAACACACAGCAGAAATGGTACAAATTTCAGATTTGGCTTTTGCTGAATAGAGCCTAAGAATGAAGAAACATTTCTCTTTTCCAGATTATTTAAGTAATTTAAAATATAAATAATTGCATTAAGTCTCACTGAGCAGAGAATGTGAAAGTTCCTGGTATAAAAAAATAAAACCCTTAGGGTTTGAAGTTTGATAGTCATTTCATTTTGTAGTAGAAAAGAGACGAGATTTTGTTTGCTTTCCATAATTACTTCACTGTCTCCCTCCATTTCAAAATTGAGATTCCCAAATGAACTGAATACCACTGTCCCTGGTTGATCTGTCTGAACAATGGAATCAGTCTGCAATTTATTCTGTTGGGGTTTTTTTTTTTTTTTTTTTTGAGACAGAGTCTCACTCTGTCATCAGGCTGGAGTGCAGTGGCACAATCTCAGCTCACTGCAACCTCTGCCTCCAGGGTTCAAGCGATTCTTCCGCCTCAGCCTCCCAAGTAGCTGGGACTACAGGGGCGCACCACCACACCCAGCTAATTTTTGTATTTTTAGTAGAGATGGGGTTTCACCACGTTGACCAGGATGGTCTCGATCTCTTGACCTCGTGATCCGCCAGCCTCAGCCTCCCAAAGTGCTGGGATTACAGGCGTGAGCCACCACACCTGGCCTTATTCTGTTGATATTGTCTTTCTGCTCATACAGACATTCTCCTCCTCTTCCTCCTCCTCCTCTGTTGGTAATGTCTTTCTGCTTCTGTAGACATCCTATTTTTCTCCTCCTCTTCCTTCACTCCACCTCCTCCACCTCCTTCTTCTTCTGGGTCAAGAGTAGGCAAAACATCTTTCCTCTCTAGGCCATCAACTTCATCTTCATCTGTGCTGTATTCCTTCATTGTGTCATCACTAACAAAGAGGATGGCTCTCCTTGGGACTTTCTTCTTTCCTTGTATCACTCCCAGTTCTACATTTTCAAAGCCTCTTTTGTCACTCATCCAATCTCATATTTCCCCATGAGATAAAATTTGGTTTATGGTTGTCCTGACATCAACGGTTCCTTTTGGACCATCTAAAGTTTAAATCTTTTAAGTGGCGTTTTATGGGAACACATCAGAGGACAAATTGACTAAACAAGTCAGAGATGGCTTCATGGAGAACGCGAAAATTAAGCTGAGCTCAAAGGCCAAATAAACAGCAAGCGGGCAAATATTCAGGTATGTAGAGATTTAATCTGTGATTTGAGATGAAGAGTAGGCTGAGTGTGGTGGCTCACGCCTGTAATCCCAGATTTTGGGAGGCTGAGGTGGGCGGATCACAAGGTCAGGAGATCAAGACCATCCTGGGTAACACAGTGAAACCCCATCTCCACTAAAAAAAAAAAGAAAAAAAAATTAGCCGGGTGTGGTGGCATGCGCCTGTAGTCCCAGGTGCTCAGGAGGCTGAGAGAGGAGAATCCCTTGAACCCAGGAGGCAGACATTGCAGTGAGCCGAGATTTTGCCACTGTACTCCAGCCTGGGAGACAGAGTGAGATTCTGTCTCGAATGAATAAATAAATAAATAAATAAGTAAATAAATAAATAAATAAATAAAATAAGATGGAGAGTAAATCGAATGGAGGATGTGCCTGACACTGTCCATTTAGCCTTTGGCTTCCCTCCCCACTGTGCTCCATTCTTCTCCATAATGCTTTGTGCCCTGGGAAGCTTAACTGCATTGGTGGACTTGTTTATCCTCTGGATTCGAGATGGCTTTAGCTAGCTTGGAGATAAGAGGGTGGGGAGAGAGTGAAGTATTCGAGATCTTTATTCCTTTGGCCCCTTCCCTACCATGTTTCCATGGCTCACTCACTCTCTCTACTGAAGTCCGCAACTTTTGTCTAGAGTCCTGCTCTGTACACTTCTCTCTCTGGTTTCTGGCAGAGTTCCTTCCCCTCAGCCTTCATACCTAGATATTCGGTTGCAACAGTCCCCCACCCACCCTAAAGCCAGCCTGGGAATACTATACCATGTCCTATTGGCTCCCTAAACTTTGCCCATGTCTGCAAATAATTACCTTACTAAAAATCTCCTATAATTACGCAGGTTAATATGCCATCCATTTATTGCTGTTACCTTAATACTGTTGCTGTGATTACAGGAATAATTTAATATGCCTCTACATTTTCATAATTGTGAAATCACAATGTATCTTATCACTGATGCGTAGGTTCCATTGTGCCTCTTGGTCCCTGACCCAAAAGCTTTTGCTAAATCAATGACATATAATCATAATATATAGTCTATAATCAATGGCATGTTAGAATTGAGGAACTATGGTATATAGTGAAAGATACTCTAGTGAAGGGCTGAAAAGGGCCATCTCATGTTCTTGTGGAAAAAAAGACCATTTGAATTTTACTCCATAGGCAACCGAGAGCAATTCCTTGGCTTCTAGAACAGAGTGCCATAATTAGGCTTGTGATATTAAAAAAAAATAAACTTTCGACAGTACGAAGAGTGGACTGAATATAGAGGTCTGAATACAGGAAGGCCAATTAGGCTGCTGTTGCAATAATTCAGATGAAAAGCAGTGAAGGTCCAAGTAGGGCAATTAGAGTAGAAATAAAGAGGATGAGATAGATATAACAGCCTGATGAGCTGCTACAGTTGCAAGAAAAAGTGTTTAAATCATGATAGCTCAAGTATTGGGTTTATGACCTACAGGAAATCTGAAAGGATAGGTACAGACCCACAAAGCTTCCTTCTCCTAGGTGCTAGGAACAATAGCACCATCTACGTGGAAACTAGGGAAGAGTTCTCAACCTTATACTAATAACTTTTTTTTTTGAGATAGGGTCTCTCTATATCATCCAGGCTGGTCTCAAACCGCTGGGCTCAAGTAATCCTTCCAACATACCAAGAACTATGAAGGCCATAAGACAATAACAATTAAAACTGGATGATAGACCGGGCATGGTGACTCATGCCTTCAAAACCCAGCACTTTGGGAGGCTGAAGCAGAAGGATCACTTGAGCCCAGAAGTTCAAGACCAGCTTGGGCAACATAGTGAGACTCCGTCTCTATTCTAAAAAAATGGAATAAAAATAACATAAAAAAATGAAACTGGATGATGGGTAAATGAGATTTATTGTTATTCCTCCAGCTTTTGTTTAATGTTTGGAGTTTTTTATATTAAAAAATTAAAAAAATTTTTTTAAACTTTGAGAAACATCTCTCAAATACCGAAGAATTTGGACTAAATTGAAGAAAAAATAGAGAGACAAAAACATTAGAGGTTAGGAACACAGTCTCTGAGCAAGACTGAGTTCATTTCTAAATCAGAAACCAAGACCCACAAAATACTCAAGCTTCCCATAGCTTCAGCCCTCTTCCTCTCTCTCTTAAGCCATAGAAGGGGATAATCCTAATTCTAAAACTTACAAAGCCTTGACTATGTACCAGGAACCATTTCATACATCTTACAAGCATTAACTCATTCAATCCTAACTAGTCTCCTGTTACAGATAAGGAAACTGAGCCACAGAAAAGTTCAGAAGTCCAAGGGCAGCTGGGCGCAGTGGCTCACACCTGTAATCCCAGCACTTTGGGAGGCTGAGGCAAGTGGATCATGAGGTCAGGAGATCGAGACCATCCTGGCCAACATGATGAAACCCCATCTCTACTAAAAATACAAAAATTAGCTGGGTGTGGTGGTGCGTGCCTGTAATCCCAACTACTTGGAAAGCTGAGGCATATGAATCACTTGAACCCAAAAGGCGGAGGTTGAGGTTGCAGTGAGCTGAGATCACGCCACTGCACTCCAGCCTGGTGACAGAGCAAGACTCTGTCTCAAAAAAAAAAAAAAAAAAAAAAAAGAAAAGAAAAAGAGAGAGAGAGAAAAAAGAAGTCCAAGGGCACACAGATGGTAAGCAACAGACACAATCAGACATTCTGGTTCCAGAAGGTGAGTTTGTACATACTACATATCACAGAGTATAGTGTAGATGTTATTACAAAGAGAATATACCCATTTCTAATATTATGGTACAGTTTACAGTTCCCAGGTAAAAAGAGAGTGGACAGTCAAGCAGAATTCACCAACACTTTTTGGGTGAAAAGCAGATTTGGACAGAACTGCTCATAAATGAACCATGGAAAAAGTCTACTATAATAAACAAGTACACAAACTAAAAGAAAGAAAACATCATGGTACTATTGGATAATAGTTCAGAAAAAATACAGGTTTTTACATAAAAGTTTTTATATAACACATTATATAAGGGTTTTTATATAACACATTAAACCAAAAAAATTGCTAAATAATCCAAAGATTTAAACTTAAGATCTAAAAACATGAAACTGCATAAAAAATAATTAAATACACACACACACTCTCAGTGTGCAGATGGGTGGATTAAAAAAAAATATATAAATAGGGCCAGGTGCAGTAGCTCATGTGTAAGTGCCTGTAATCCTAGAACTTTGGGAGGTTCACAAGGCAGGAGGATCACTTGAGCCAGGAGTTCCAGACCAGCCTGGGCAAGACAAGGAGATTCTGTCTCTACAAAAATTTTTTAAAAATTAGCCAAGCATAGTGGTGCACATCTGTAGTCCTAGCAACCCAGAGGGGTGAGGTGGACGGATCACTTGAGCCCAGGAGGCCAAGACTGCAGTGAGCCATGTTCATGCCACTGCACTCCAGCATGGGTGACAGAATGAGACTTTGTCTCCAAAAAAAGTAAAACATGAATACTTTTATATTATAAATATTTATATATACTATAAATATATATTCTTATATACATATATTACATATAAAATATTTTAAAAATATTTATTGATAATTATTCAGGATTGATAATATTTATTTGGGATTGAGCATAGCAATGGGAACATGGTGAGCATATTCAGGGAGGTAATGAAAGAAAAGAGTTGTTAAAGAAAAAATGAAAATATTACATAAGTGTCTGTAAACAATTATTCTTCATTACAAGAATCAATAACAAGGGTGGCATCAGTGCAAGGCTGGACAGGCAGTTGCTAGGCAGATGTACTCACAGAAATATTTTTTGTGTATGGTTGTGATGGCCTTTGCGCAAGGTTGTGGTTTTTCGCAGTCAGTCTTTTGTGATAGTTCTTATCAGGTATACAAGCATGACAACCCTCCCTTTGTGGCCTTCTCTGGCTCCATATTTCAGGGTTTGACACAAGTGACTCCTTTTTGATCCTGACAACTTTCATACGTCCCCCTCTTGATCAAAAGATTTTTCTACAAGCATTGCTGATCAGTTACCCATAGTTAGGGCTTGGTTTTTTTGGGGTTTTTTTTCCCTACTTTTAAAAAAAGTAGGCCAGGCGTGGTGGCTCACCCCTGTAATCCCAGCACTTTGAAAGGCCAAGGCAGGCAGATCACTTGAGCTCAGGAGTTCGAGACTAGCCTGGCCAACATGGTGAAATCCTGTCTCTACTAAAAATACAAAAATTAGCCAGGCATGGTGGTGCATGCCTGTAGTCCCAGCTACTCAGGTGGCTGAGGCAAAAGAATCACTTGAACCCGGGAGGCAGAGGTTGCTGTGAGCCAAGATTGCACCATTGCACTCCGGCCTGAGCAACAGAGTGAGACTCTGTCTTAAAAAAAAAAAAAAAAAAAAGTCTAAACAGTGTCTTGATATGTTGCCCAGGCTGGAGTGCAGAGTCTGTTCATAGGCTCAGTCACTGTGCACTATAGCACTGAACTCCTGGGCTGAAGTGACCCTCTTGCTTCAGCCTCCTGAGTAACTGGGTCTGGAGGCAAATGCCATCACACCCAGCTATGGAGTTAGGTTTTGATTGTCCCTCAATGCCAAGACTTATGTGTCCCAGGTTGTTGTCTAGTCCTACATTGGAGGGAGTGACTCATGACTAAGAGTCAGTGGCAAAACCTTTTTAGCAAGGGAGGTTTGGAGGAAGTGACTCTCAGGCTAAATCTGCCAGGAGTCCATTGTTAAGTTTTTGTGTGTTCCATAGGCGTTGTCTATCATCTCAAAGTGCTGGACCAGCATTATTCTGCAAAGAGTTGTATATCTGCAGAAATGTGACAGGCAACAGGTACAAAGTTTAAAAAGGAAAACACTAAGTAAAATTAATAGTAATATGATAATCCCAGTTTGCATTATGGTTTTAAGCCATGAGCTTATGCTTAAAGGCAACCAATTGAATAAATCAAATGGCCATGGGAAATTGGATGAGACCTGGTGTTTTTGTTGTTGTTGTTGTTTGTTTTTTGAGATGGAGTCTCATTCTGTTGCCCAGGCTGGAGTGCTGTGGCACAATCTCGGCTCACTGCAACCTCCGCCTCCTGGGATCAAGTGACTTTCCTGACTCAGCCTCCTGAGTAGCTGGGATTACAGGTGCATGCCACCACGCCTGGGTAATTTTTATATTTTTAGTAGACATGGGGTTTTACCATGTTGGCTAGGCTGGTCTCGAACTCCTGAGCTCAAGTGATCTGCCCGCCTCGGCCTCCCTAAGTGCTGAGATTACAGGCGTGAGCCACCGCACCCGGCCATATGAGACCTGCTGTGACCATGGCTTCTTTTCTTATTTTGTGTATTTGGGTCTCAACTTCCCCAGAATAATTTATCCTGGTACAGCATGTAGTGTTTGTGTTGATACAGATATCTCTGTTTAGCTAGTAGGTAGCAATCCTGTTATTTAGCATTCCATGACTTGGTTGAATTAAAGCAGAGAGAGCTAGCTCAAAAAAAAAAAGAAAAGAAAAGAAAAGAAAAAAGGACCCTTAGTATAATATGAACAAAAAGTTGTATTAGGGATGTTGCCACAGTTACCCACTAACTAAAGGATTTCTTAGATCAGGTTCTGTCAAGTTACATGCAATAGCTACTAATTGTGAAATTTCCATTACACCTGTCAAAGACAAAAGGTAGGCATAAGCAAAGAAAAAATAGGGATAAGAGTCTCATTATGATGGAGAATCTTATTCCATTGTCTTGGGAAAACCCATCTACAGTATGAAACTGTCAAATTCACATCCTGGTTTTGGTGTGAATGTTTCTGGTCCTGGCACTGGGTGGTCCAGTGAACTTTTGGGGAAGCCCTTACATTAGGCATGAGATTTGTCCCTTAAAAGTTACTCAGTTTCATCTTATAAGGCCTGAAAAACAGAGCAGTTCCTTTTTTTTTTTTTTTTTTTTGAGATGGAGTCTTACTCTGTCACCAGGCTGGAGTGCAGTGGCTCGACCTCGGCTCACTACAATCTCTGCCTCCTGGGTTCAAACAATTCTCCTGCCTCAGCCTCCCAAGTAGCTAGGACTACAGGCACGCGCCACCATGCCCAGCTAATTTTTGTATTTTTAGTAGAGACAGGGTTTCACCATGTTGGCCAGGAAGGTCTCGATCTCTTGACCTCGTGATCCGCCCGCCTTGGCCTCCCAAAGTGCTGGGAGTCACCGCACCCGGCTAAAACAGAGCATTCTTATACTTAGTTGAATAGTTGTAGCCAGATATTGGTAGGAATGAGGTGAATTCAGGATCTAATCTAGTCTATAAGCAGATATCGAAAACCCAAAACACTGCACAGGGCTACAATTTTGTTTTTCAAATTAAGCAGAGGTCAACCATGATACAGGGCTACAATCTAGTCACAGGTGTATTATAGCTTTTTTAAAAAACAACAAAAAACAACAACAACAAAAACACATAAATTTCCAGTCATCCCAATTTCTACTAAAAACAATCAGAAAAAGACAAAATTATTTGTAAAATAATTTAGTGTCATCAATGTTGGTATGATCATTTACAGAAGTGCAGCAAGAATAGTTATTTTTCACATAGAAATTTCATCTTTTTTCTTTTTCCTTTTTGTTTGTTTGTTTGTTTTGAGTCAAGGTCTTGCTCTATTACCCAGGCTGGAGTGCAGTGGCATGATCTCAGCTCACTGCAGCCTCGACCTCCCAGGCTTAAGCAATCCTACCAGCTCAGTGTCTCAAGTAGCTGGACCTACAGGCATGTGCCACCATGCCCGGCTAATTTTTGCATTTTTGTAGAGATAGGTTTCACCATGTTGTCCAGGCTGGCCCCAGACTCCTGGTCTCCAGTGATCCGCCCACCTCAGCCTCCCAAAGTGCTAGGATTATAGACACGAGCCACTGCGCCTGGTGGAAATCTCATATTTAAAAACCACTTGAGGCTGGGAAGCCAAACCAAAAGAGACTTCAGATTTTGCCTGCAGTACCTATAAATGATTTTTTTTTTTTTGAGACACATTCTCACTCTGTCACCCAGGCTGGAGTGCAGTGGTGCCATCTCGGCTCACTACAACCTCTGCCTCCTGGGTTCAAGCGATTCTCCTGCCTCAGCCTCCCAAGTAGCTGGGATTACAGGCGCGGGCCACCACACTCGGATAATTTTTGTATTTTTAGTAGAGATGGGGTTTCACCATGTTGGCGAGGCTGGTTTCAAACTCCTGACCTCGTGATCCACCTGCTTTGGCTTCTCAAAGTGCTGGGATTACAAGCATGAGCCACCGTGCCCGGCCTAAATTATTTAAATATAACATCCCAGTCAAAATCTTGCTAGTAAAGCCAACATTTTCAATTGTATCCTGTTATAAAGAGAGCAGATCTTATTGAACTTATGCAAACTATTTTATTTATCTATCATTTATTTGTTTATTTATTTATTTTTTGAGACAGAGTTTCACTCTTGTCGCCCAGGCTGGAGTGCAATGGCGCAATCTCAGCTCCCTGCAACCTCTGCCTCCCGGTTCAAGCGATTCTCCTGCCTCAGCCTCCCGAGTAGCGGGGATTACAGAGGCCCACCACCACGCCTAGCTAATTTTTGTATTTTTTTTAGTAGAGATGGGGTTTCACCATGTTGGCCAGGCTGGTCTGGAACTCCTGACCTCAGGTGATGCACTCGCTTTGGCCTCCCAAAGTGCTGGGATTATAGGAGTGAACCACCACGCCTGGCCAAAACTATTGATTTAAAAAAATTTAAACTAAAATACAAATAGTTTCGGAATTTTGGAGGAATCAAGTAGGAAGAAAAAGTAGATTCTTCCAATTTTATTACAAAAGTATGCATTATCAAATTTCCATAAACTATAGCTAGTTATGAGAAAAGGTTTCCTTAAATCTGGAAAACAAAACATTTAAGTAAAGAGCCAACAATGTTTCAAATAAAAGTTATAAAAACATTATCCTTTTCAGTTATACAATCTCATGTAATTAATTTTTGTTTTACTTGGTCTTGATTAACAGTTTCATGAACTCATCAGTTTCTTCATTACAATTCTGTAAATTTTTACTAGAGCCATTGATTTTAAAGTTATCAGAAACCTGTATTCAAGAGCATTTGCTAGAGTCTTTCCATGAATCTGATTGCAGATGCTCTTATTTTTTATTTATTTTATTTTATTTTAAATAGAGACAGGGTCTTGCCGTGTTGCTCAGGCCGATCTTGAACCTATAGTCGCAAGTGATCCTCCTGTCTCAGCCTCCCAAAGTGCTGGCATTACAGGCATGAGCCACCATACCCAAGCTGAATGCAGATGCTTTTAGTGAAAAATCAAAATTGTGGATGACAGAGACTCTGAATAACCATGGGGAGAAATCTGATGAAAGTTTAGCAATTGACAAGGAAATTCAGTTATATTCAGATATGAAAATTTCATATATCATTTTAATATAACAACCAGAATCATGACTGACAGCAACACATCAGGATCATCAGACTTTCAGAAATTTTACATAATCTTCAGAACAGTCACAGTGTTAATATATAGAATATCAATATTATATTCGTATAAATATAACTTTAACAAAGATTTAACATCATTTATTTGACAATGCTTCCCAAACAATTTAATACATCTAATAAGCCTAATTATTAACATTTCTACCAGATGAGAAGTACATTATTGGAGGCTCTCCACAGGTCCAAGTGGAAAATCTCAAAGTTAATTGTAGGTCAAGAAAACTTAATTTAGAGCTTTGATACGAGGAAGCCTGCCAAAGATGTCAAAAGGTTTAAAACATCTGATCAAAATGGGATCACATGTCATTGTGAAATAATAGTCATTCACTTAACTAGAATGGTAATTAAAATATTTCAAAAGCAAATACAGAATATTATATAGATGCAAAATAGAAACAAAAACAAAAGAAAACAAAACAAATAAAGAAGCTTTAACTCTTTTAAAGCTCAGTTTTCCTACATAATAAAAAACCTAATAAAAACAATATGATACGCAGGAATTATCTTGATAAAACACCAAATCTTTGTTTCCTAGGCCAATTACCAAAGTGAAAAGAAAAACCTCCTGCATTGTGATTGCTTTTCTTTATGGGAAGCACATTCAGATAACCTGGAAGTCAGATTTGATATAAAGGTACTTGAATTCAATCAGACACTGGAAGAGTGTATGTCCAAGGTTATGAGTGTACACTGTGTCATAGAAGTAAACAAGAAAACCAGTCCCTTGAGCAGGGAGAATATATGGCTCTTAGAAAAAGCAGAAGCATGTGAAATTGCCTGGTTACATGGAACAATCCAGACACATCAAGAAAAGCCAAGAGTACAGAATCTAGTTATATTGGAGGAAAGCATTGCTCTCCTAGGCCTTCAAGACAAAGATATTCGGTGTCAGGTCACAACAGCAGAGTTAGGACTGGAGAAAAAAGTTACAAGAGCTGACAAAAAGGCTGAAGGCAAGAGTCATCACCCCAGCCAAACAAAAAGAGTACCTTCTCAAGGAGAAAAAGAGGAGAAGCAGAAGGTAATCATGCCTGACCTGCAAATCACATGCAGTGAGATGCAGCAAAATTTGAACTTCTGAGATATGAATCCGAAAAGCTTCCAAAGGAAAACTCTATTTTGAGAAAATAAATTACTATTCGCAATGAAGAAGATAGCATTTTTAACCTGGAATTATGGAAATTAAATGGAGACTATAAAACAGAAAAAAGCTTAGTTCAGAAGATGGTTAAAAACTTAAACAGATTTCAGAATCGATTTTAGAAATCAAAACCTCTTACAAATTTTATGAAGAGCAGATCAACACTCCAAAAAAAGTGCTTCTAACATAGGGAACTAAAATTTTAGTTTTGTATCCATAACATATTTATATATATGTATACATATGTAGCTGTTTTTATTTAATTATACATATAATTAAATCTAAATCTTTAGAAATATTTATAAATAATTCTCTTCTAATTTTAGCCAACTTCATCGCTTCTCAGCCTTTTGGCTAAAACCAAGTGTAATTTTAGCCAACTTTATCACACACAAAATTTCTTTCGTAAGAGTCATCTTTCACAAACCTTTTACAACTAGCTCAGACTGTCTGTGACCTGCCCAGACTTTTGGTTTTGTCCTATTTATAGTTGCTCTTTCTTTAACAACCAGTCATTTTACTTTAGGACACAATTTACTTTTTTTCTTTTGATTTTGACCACTTGAGATTCTCTCTCATACCAAAAAAAAAAACCTCTTCTCTTTTTAACCTCCCTTTCCAAAAATACATCTTCATACCTATAACTTTCTATGCAAGCCTCTCTTCTTCCTACTGGTTCCTTTCTGTCTTGCTGCTATCTTCTTTCTAAATTTACTTTTAAAATAACCTTAAATAACCTCTGAATTTAGACAAAACTATTCTTTTCTTTAAAAAAATTCTCATCTTCAAAGTTTTTCTCATCAAAAACACAATTTCTTATATATCTTGCATGCAGAATCACATACATTAATTAGAATTTTTAACTCTCAGTAACCCTAATTTCTAGTGAAAGCCCAGGAAGCAAGCAAACTCTGAACTATCTGACATACATCAACCTCCTATGAATATGTATTTCATAATCTCTAGAAACATGTGCTTTCTCATAGAACAATTTTCCAATGTGAAACAGAACGTATTTATTAATAAGCCCAAATAGCTTTTCTCTTTCTTTAAAACTTAAGAAGCCAAAAGTAGGCCAGGTGTGGTGTCTCCTGCCTGTAATCCTAGCACTTGGGGAGGCTGAGGTGAGAGGACCGCTTGAGCCCAGGAGTTCAAGACAAGCCTGGGCAACATACAGAGACCCCATCTCTTAAAAAAAAAAAATCAAAGGCTGGGCATGGTGGCGCATGCCTGTAATTCCAGCTACTCGGGAGGCTGAGGCAGGAGAATCTCGGGAGGCTGAGGCAGGAGAATCGCTTGAACCTGGGAGGCGAAGAATGCAGTTAGCTGAGATTGCGCCATTACACTCCAGCCCAGGTAACAAGAGCGCAACTCTGGCTCAAAAAAAAAAAAAAAAAAAAAAAAAATCAAAAAATTAGCTGGGCATGGTGGTTCACACCTGTAGACCTAGCTACTGGGGAGGCTAAGCTGGGAGGATCTGCTCAAGCCTGGGAGGTAGAGGTTGCAGTGAGCTGTGATCATGCATTCCAGCCTGGGTGAGAGTGAGACCCTGCCTAAAAAAAAAAAAAAGAAGGCCGGGCATGGTGCTCATGCCTGTAATCTCAGCACTTTGGGAGGCCAAGGCGGGCAGATCACCTGAGGTCAGGAGTTCGAGACCAGCCTGGCCAACATGGTGAAACCCTGTCTACTAAAAATACAAAAATTAGCTGGGTGTGGTGGCAGGCGCCTGTAATCCCAGCTTCTTGGGAGGCTGAGGCAGAATTGCTTGAACCTGTAAGGGGGAGGTTGCAGTGAGCCGAGATTGTGCCATTGCACTCCAGCCTGGGGGACAAGAGTGAAACTTTGTCTCAAAAAAGAAAAAAAAAAAGCCAAAAGTAAATTAATTTGAATCTATGTTCAGTAATTAATGTTTTCATATTTTATCTTATTTGGCTATGACCCAGACATTTAATGAATAACTATTACTTATTTAACATAACTTTAAGATCTCAAATCATATGAAAAGTTCATTTATACATACTTATTCCCTTTTCATTTACCTAATTTATTTTTTAACCATTATACCTAGATTACTTATGAAAACAGATATTACACAGAGCTAATCATTATTTCAAGTTACCTTTCTGTTAGCCATTTTTACAGCATGTGAATGTTAGATGTTCACATTAAGAACCTTAAAGTACATGGATATTTTATTGATTACTTAGAAGATACAGCTGTTTTCACTAAAGTAACAATATTAAACTAGTCTTATTCATCAAAAAGTTGCACAAAAATAGGCTGGGCAGGATGGTTCATGCCTGTAATCCTGACACTTTGGGAGGCTAAGGTGGGAGGATCACTTGAGCCCAGGAGGTTGAGAGTAGCCTGGGCAACATAGTGAAACCCTATCTCTATAAAAAAATTAAAAAGAAAAAAAAAGTCCCATCTATTTGGGAGGCTGAGGTGAGAGGATTGCTTGAGTCTGAGAGGTTGAGGCTGCAGTGAGTCATGATCGTGTCACTGCACTCCAGACTGGGAAACAGAGCAAGATCCTGCCTTAAAAAAAAAAAAAAGTAGGCCGGGTGTGGTGGCTCATGCCTGTAATCCCAGCACTTTGGGAGGCTGAGGTGGGAAGATTACCTGAGGTTGGGAGTTCGAGACCAGTCCGATCAACATGGTGAAACCCTGTCTCTACTAAAAATACAAAATTAGCCAGGCATGGTGGCGCTTGCCTGTAATCCCAGTTACTCAGGAAGCTGAGGCAGGAGAATCACTTGAACCTGGGAGACAAAGGTTGCAGTGAGCAGAGATCGTGCCATTGCACTCCAGCCTGGACAAGAGCAAAACTCCATCTCAAAAAAAAAAAAAGTGACATAAACTGTATCAGTCAGGGTTCCCTAGAGGGACAGAGTAATAGGATACATACATACATACATACATACGTAACATACATACATATATATATATGTTTATAGATATATAGGGGAGTTTATTAAGTATTAACTTACATGATCACAAGGTCCAACAATAGGCTGTCTGCAAACTTGAGGAGCAAGGAAACCCAGTCCAGGTCTCAAAACTGAAGAACCTGGAGTCCAATGTTCAAGGACAAGAAGCATCCAGCATGAGAGAAAGACGTAGGCTGGGAAGCTAGGCCAGTCTCTCCTTTTCATGTTTTTCTGCCTGCTTTATATTAGCTGCAGCTGATTAGATGGTGCCCAGCAGATTAAGGGTGGATCTGCCTTCCCTAAGCCCACTGACTCAAATGTTAACCTCTTTTGGCAACACCCTCACAGACACACCCAGGATCAATACTTTGTATCCTTCAATCCAATCAAATTGGCACTCAGTATTAACCATCAAAGATCATTTTGCTTTTAAGGCTGGAATTATAGTTTTATGACCTGTGTGTCGAATCCTGACACTTTAAAACAGCTAGAACAAATATAAAAATTGTCTGAACAATAAGTGCAGGCAAGAATGTATGCTGACAATTCTAAAAACATTTCTATTTTACTGATAAATTTAAAACCAGCTTATTTATCAAAGATTCACTTAAGTCACATAAACAAAAAGGCATTTGGGTTAATTACTATATATTTCAACAGTTTTAGATATAATTTTACATGAGTACCCATTTCTCTCTAAGCCAATCTAAATAGGCTTCCTTAAGGGATTTCTGGTCAATTATGCCAGATTTTGCCATGTATACACAACATATAACATACATAAACACATATGTTAACAAAGATCTTATAGCTTTCACTTTTATATGTATTCATGAGACTGTAAAATATAGTAACATAAATTCACTGGTTGGATCTGAGTTACATCCCTATAGCAGTTGGTAAAAAGAAAAAAACTCTCTTACCTTTTTTTTTTAAAGCCTCAAATTTAGTGGTTAGTTTCTCAGGTGTTTTTACATTTCAGCTAGGACTCACTGAATTGTATAATGGCTGCGAAGGCATGCAAAAAGAAAAAAAAAAGAACTCACCAGAAAATACATGAGGTAAATTTTATAGAAATCAGAAGTGTATACTCTCCAGAAAGATAAAATATCTTTGTACCAGAAAGGATTTGTCAGAAAAAATGTATTTTCTAGTCTCAAGAGAGATACAAGGTCCTTTATTAAGGCAGCCATTATCCAAAACAAATCCCAAAGAAAGTCAAAAGAACTCACCAAAATGAGGGAGTTCAAGAACCTGAGAGGAGATTCACCATGACAGAAAAGGTGAGCTGTAGGATTGGAGAGCTCAAAGGGGCTCAATGTGGGAACTTCATGTGATTCCAGGAGTCACCGATCCATCAAGGTGAGCTCACTTTGGTCCCACTTCTTGACACCAGATTATGTCAACCTAAATAACAGGCAGAGAGAGACTCTATAAAAGAAAATGATAGTTTTGGGGATTGAGCCTTGCAATGGGAATACAGGGAGCATGTTCTGGGAGGTAAAAGGGTTTTTCAGTGAAAAATGAGGGGGATTACATAACTATTTTGAAACAATTATCTTTGCCTACAGAGACCAATAACGAGGATGGTGTCAGTCCAAGGTTGGACAGGCAGTTGCTCAGCACATGTGCTCACAGAAGTATTTTTATTTTTCACAGAAGTATTTTTTGTATGAGGTTGAAGTAGCCTCTGTGTAAGGTCATGTTTTTTGCTATCTTTTGTGATAGTTCTTGTTATTAGGCATACATGCGTGACAACCCTCCTTTCAAGGCCTTCCATTTGCCAGGGTTTTACACAAATGATTCCATTTTCATTCTGACAAGTTTTATTATATAAACTGAAATTACATTGCATATAGTATTTCATGAAATTACCAAAGCACAAAAAGTTTGATAACTGGCTGGGTGCAGCGGCTCAAGCCTGTAATCTCAGCACTTTGGGAGGCTGAGGCAGGCAGATCGCCTGAGGTCAGTTGGAAACCAGCCTGGCCAACATAGTGAAACCCCATCTCTACTAAAAATACAAAAATTAGCCGGGCATGGCGGCCCATGCCTATAATCCCAGCTACTTGGGAGGCTGAGACAGGAGAATCGCTTGAACCCGGGAGGTGAAGGTTGCAGTGAGCCGAAATCGCGCCACTGCACTGCAGCCTGGGTGGCAGAGCGAGACTACGTCTCAAAGTTTGATAATTTATTAATCAGAGTATGAGGCTACCATATGTTGATAATGAGAATGTTAATTCAATCTCTTCCCAGGATATTTTATAATATCTATGAAAATCACACATGCACACCTAATAATTTGTCTTTTTTTTTTTTTTTGAGACAGAGTCTCACTCTGTCACCCAGGCTGGAGTGCAGTGGCATGATCTTGGCTCACTGCAATCTCCTCCTCCTGGGTTCAAGTGATTCTCCTGCCTCAGCCTCCTGAGTAGCTGGGATTACAGGTGTGTGCCATCACGCCCAGCTAATTTTCTTGTGTTTTTAGTAGAGACGGGGTTTCACCACGTAGGCCAGGCTGGTCTCAAACTCCTGAGCTCAAGTGATCCACTTCCTCGGGCTCCTAAAGTGTCAGGATTACAGGCATGAGCCATGGCGTCCGTCTTAATAATTCCTCTTCTCAAGTCTATTCCAATGACTTGTGTATAATGGAAAGTTATGGAACCATTCTTTGCATTAGAAAAAATGTTTTTGTTTTTGTTTTTTTTTTAAAAAAAAACACACATAAAAGACTCCAAGATACTGGTTAGATGAATTATTCCTTATCTATGAAATGAAATAATTTGCAGTCAATGAAAAGAATTAGGCAGCTTTCTATATACTTATATGAAAGCATCACCTACAAATATGTAAAAAGAAGTAACACAAAGCATGTACAGTACACTCCCATTTGAGCTGTTTTTTTTTTTTTTTTAGTACATACATATATACTCAAAAATAAGTGGTAGTACAGAGATAAGATTGTTTTAGGCTCATGCAGAGAAGTCATCGGCTCAACAGTTAAGGAGTAAAATTTATTCTATCTCCTACTTTACATTCCTTATTTCTCCATTTCCCCCTCCATGTTGACTGCAGCCAGTTTAAGTATTCACATAAAAACAACTTCTCTCAAGAAAATGCTCTTAATTCCAGTCGACTTTCTCAGGATTGTGGAAACCTTCCCAGAAGCCCTCTAGTGGACAAAACTTTTACACCTTACATTGGCCTGTTTTTGGAGACCAATGAAATAAGCAATAGGATTGCCACAAATAGTTTAGGCCAGTAGTTCTCAACCTGAGATGATTTCACTGTCTAGGAGTCACTTGGCAATATCTGGAGTATTTTTAGTTGTCACACCTTAGAGAAAGGGTGCACTGGCATCTAAAGGATAGAAGCCAGGGATACTGCTAAACATCTCACAATACATAAAACAACTTCCACAACTAAGAATTATCTGACCCTAAATGTCCACAGTATGGTGACTTCTGACTTAGACTAATCATTGTGAGAGACTCTTGTTGAGAAGTCATCCACCATGACCACTACGATAACCTTGACTTGTATAAAGTGAAGTGTCTGCATTCACCCTTTCAGTTATGACTCCTTCTAATTTTCCACCCAGGTCATGTGCCTCCAATAATGGTGTAAGGGGAACCATGAGGCAAGTCCCAGTAGAACCACATGGTTAGAGTGAGAAGGAATAGGTCCCCAAAAGATCAGAATTGCAAGTATTACAAAAAGAAAGCTGAACTATAGATATATAGATGTCCACTACACTAAGACAGTGAGAATGAAGAGGAGAGGGAATACTTGAGAACATAAAAATATGGCCAGGCATGGTGGCTCACATCTGTAATCCCAGCACTTTGGGAGGCTGAAGCAGGTGGATCATTCGAGGTCAGGAGTTCAAGACCATCCTGGGCAACATGGTGAAACCCTGTCTCTAATAAAAATACAAAAATTAGCCGGCATGGTGGGGCGCGCCTGTAGTCCTAGCTATTAGGGAGGCTGAGGCACAATAACCACTTTAACCCAAGAGGCGGAGGTTGCAGTGAGCCAAGATTGAGCCACTGCACTCCAGCCTGGGCAACAGAGGGAGACTCCGTCTTGAAAAATAATAATAATAATAATTGCTAAACCTTGCTGATTTACTGGATGTGGAGGATGAAAGAGTGACCATCATTGGAGAGATGATGACAAGATTTTAGGAAAGGAGTGACTGGAAGATGATTTTATAATTAACCAGGATAAAGAATTCAGGAAAAGAAACATATTTGGTGAGGTAGAAGGGAGATTAGTACTGTTTTTAGAATTCACTTACCTTCATCAGCATTCATCTAGGAGCAATTATCAGGATTAATTTTATAAGGTTGTCCTTGAGGTTATGTATTTTATTTATTTTATTGTTAAAAATTAATTTATTTTTTAAAATTATGTTGCCCAGGCTAGTATCAAACCCCTGGGCTCAAGTCATCTTCCTCCCTTGGCCTGCCAGAGTGCTGAGATTACAGGCATGAACCACCACACCTGTCCTGTTCTTGAGTTTTATAACCTATTCAATAATGATAAGTGTCACTAACTTTCCTAGTCTGACATAGGGAGATACTTACCCCATGAGTCAGCTACCATATTTGTATTCTAGGGCCCCGAGTAGTGCAGGCAACACACAGCCAAATCTTTCTGGACTTTCCTTTTCAACATGACAGGGAGACTACTACCAATTTCCTTTCCTCTGCTAAAGCACTTTTTTAGTTCAGGCAGAATATATTGCAACCACATAGTTTTACATTCCTTGGTTGAAATCACAATCCAATTGTTCTTCCCTAAAATTACACCTCAGTTATATTTATTTAATTTTGGTACTTTCCACTCATTATTGGGGAAGTAGTTTCTGTTGTCGCATTTCCCTCTGAATTAATTAAAAAGCCTAGAAACTTACTAGTCCAAGAGGACTATCCTAATACCAAGCTACTTGGCTGCTGAAGAGAGAATTAGAGAAGTGGAGCAGTCTACCAGCAGCCCTAGTTTGCAATTATGCTTTTGCCCATACATTTACATAACTAAAAGCAGCCACTACTGTGATTCTTCTCAGAATAAAAATGTGCTAAAGGGAAATTCTGTCTCCACTTAAAGTAGCAGCTGACAGTTTTTAAATTTGTTAAAACAAATATCAAATTCTACATACCCAGGCAACACATTTTACTTACTAATTCCATTCACACCTTGCATCATGCCTTGCTTTTAGCTCTGTGAACTACTTGTTTACTCACTCCCTTGTCATTTTTGTTATTATTATGTAAATTATTGGCTACAGGTCTATCTCAAGAGACTGGGCCTTAGAAATATTTTAACTATCTCCAGCCAACTTTCTCTTGTCTCAGATTCCTCTGATACCTTATTTTTCTTTCTTATTTATTTAGACTAAAATGCACTTTGTAATTTCATGTCAGTACCAATTTCACCAATTTCTTTTCCTTCCTTCCTTCCTTCCTTCCTTCCTTCTCTTTTGAGGCGAGTCTCGCTCTGTTGCCAGGCTGGAGTGCAGTGACGCTATCTCAGCCTACTGCAACCTCCGCCTCCTGGGTTCAAGCGATTCTCCTGCCTCAGCCTCCCAAGTAGCTCGGACTATAGGTGCACACCACCAAGCCCAGCTAATTTTTGTATTTTTAGTAGAAACAGGGTTTCACCATGTTGGCCAGAATGGTCTTGTTGGATAAAAAAATGTTCTGGAAATAAATGCTCGGTGCCACAAAGTGAAACCAGCACTCAGGCAAAAGTTGTCTCAGCAGGGCAATTTACTTCGGAAGAAGGGTGCCACTTGTGTCAATCGAGATCGCAAGAGCACAGAGAATAAAGGACATCAGGGTTTTTTTATATCCTTAATGCAATCCCTACCTCTTTGTCCCTCCCCGATGGGCTGGGGTCGGACCGCACAATCTGAGCTGACCCGATTGGCTACTTGCAAATATTTTTCTAAATATGGAAGGGCAGGGGGACGTGAGGTACAGTGGTAAAGCATGTGAGACTGTTTGAGACGTGCAGTTTCGGGGGAACAATGGCTGCAGGTAACCAAGGGAAAAGATGTGAGTTATTGATTAGAGCTGACAGGAAGGGGGTAGGCTGTTTTACAGTAACTAGGGGCAAGGAGGAACAGGAAAACTGAGTTTGAGAACAAAGGACAAGGAAGTTAGCAGGCTAAACCTTTGAAGAGAAGTTCAAAGAAATTCATTGTATCTTACAGTCTCGATCTCTTGACCTCGTGATCTGCCCGCCTCGGCCTCCCAAAGTGTTGGGATTACAGGCGTGAGCCACCATGCCTGGCCAGTACCTTACCAATTTCATTAGCCTGGAAGTCTCTTACAGATAGTCTTCTCCCAGAGAGTAAAACAGCTATTCCCTCTTCATTTCAAATCTACAAAATCGTTGACCACTACATTCTACAGATTCTGTGTGGTTTTCATTACAGAAGACACATCTGTTGGTTTCCCAGTAGTTGACCCTTAAACAATGTGTGAATTAGGGGTGTTCAGCCCCCCACGCAGTTGAAAATTCACATATAACTTTTTTATTTAATTTTTTTAAATGTTAAAACACTTTTTTTTTGAGACAGTGTCTTGCTCTGTTGCTCAGGCTGGAGTGCACTGGCATGATCTCAGCTCACTGCAACCTCCGCCTCCCGGGTTCAAGCGATTCTCGTGCCTCAGGCTCCCAAGTAGCCGGGATTACGGGTCCACGACACCATGCCCAGCTAATGTATTTTTAGTAAAGACAGGGTTTCGCCATGCTGGCCAGGCTGGTCTTGAACTCCTGGCCTCAAGTGATCCACCCGCCTTGGTCTCCCACAGTGCTGGGATTATAGGTATGAGATGCCCAGCTGAAAATTCACATATAACTTTTGACTCCCCCAAAACTTAACTATTCATAACCTACTGTTGACCAGAAGCCTTACCAATAACATACTCTATCTATTAACACATATATTTTATGCATTCGTGACATACCTTTTTCTTAATTTTTTCAATATTTCTAGGCTATGCAGTTTGTGAGATTTTTCAAATTGTCCTAAATCTCCAAAAATATTTGCAGTATATTTATATTTAAAAAGTCCATGTGTAAATGTACCCACAAAGTTCAAACACGTGTTGTTCAAGGGTCAACTGTATATAATAGTCTCCTATTAATGTTGCTTAAAAGACATTTAAGGAATTTTGGACCTTCCATTTTTATTTGCTTTTCATGTATTACCTGAACCCCGTATATCCTCACTTAAACAGGAAGGCTAGGATAGTACTTCAGGCTCTGGGTATCAATGTCAAGTCAAACCTGAGTCCGGCAGTATTAGAACTGCTTGGGTGTTCCCCTTTACAAAGCATACAGTTGCACAAGTAAACAGCCATAGATCATTTTGGGGGAAGAACTGGGGAATCATTAACCCCATTGCTTGCCACGGTTCCTTTCTCCCTCGCACCTAACTTCTTCAGTCAATGGATTTTGGGTCTAAAAATTGGCTCAGGTCCAGGAACTTGGCAGGAGATTTTGATGTTTTATTGGTACAACTGCCTATGGCCTCCTTATCATCCATCATTTATTTTTATGTTTATTTTTTTTTAGAGGCTGGGGCTTACGGTGTTGCCCAGGTTGGTGGGCTCAGGCAATCCTCCTGCCTTGGCCTCCCACAAGTGCTGGGATTACAGGCATGAGTCACTTCACCTGGCCCTAATTTTTACTTATTTATTTTTTTTTCGTAGTGTAAATTGAATAATACCCTTCTTGGCTGCCCATCTATATTGCACCTAGAGACTCCATGTTCCATTAACCATTTCCATAACTCTTCCATATGTGACAGGCCCCTTGGCTACTACATACTTTTCAAAATTACATCAGTATTCTTATCAGTCCTTATTTGTTTGTTTGTTTTGAGACAGACTCACTCTGTCGCCCAGGCTGGAGTGCAGTGGCACGATCTCAGCTCACTGCAAGCTCCGCCTCCTGGGTTTAAGTGATTCTCCTGCCTCAGTCTCCTGAATAGCTGGGACTACAGGTGCACGCCACCATGCTTGGCTAATTTTTGCATTTTTAGTAGAGATGAGGTTTCTCCATGTTGGCCGGCTAGTCTCAAAACTCCTGAGCTCAAGTGATACACCCTCCTCGGCCTCGCAAAGTGTTGGGATTACAGGTGTGAGCCACCACGCCCAGCCCTTATCAATCCTTATTGATTCAAAGATTAACAACTAGAGAATCTAGGTGAAGGGTTTATAAGTGTTTGTTGTATTGTTTCAAATTTTTTGTAGATTTCAACATTTCCAAAATAACAGGTAATGGAACAAAGGTAAAGGCTGTGAATAAGTAAATATTGAAACTAGCAACAAGAATCATTAACGATACATTCTTTTAATTCCTTTAACACCCAACACTGATAAGTTGGCTGTGACATCTCATGCCGATACCACACTTTTGGAGAGCAACATGAATTCCATTATGTATAAACAGTCAAAACTATGTATCCTATAAACTAATTCTATTGATGAAAAATTGTCCTGAGGAAATCATCTAAATAGGAAAACACATTTCTCATAAATGTATGCATTAGAACATTATAATAATATAAGACTGGAAATTACCTGAATATGTAACCATTTGGAACTGATTAAGGGAACTGTGATATATCCACTCAGCAGAATATTCTGAAGCCACTAATGTTACCGATGATGTGATGCACCAGGAAGAATACAATATTATTTTTGTAGTATTTCTGTCAAAATGAGTGAAGAAACTGGCAAAATACGAATATTGATTTTATGGTTTTTATTTTAGATAAAACTACTATTATATTTCATGATTTCATTATTTGTATTACGGTGCTGTAAGAAAACGTCTTTATTCATAGGAGGAACATGCTGAAGTATTTAGAGGTAAAGGATCATCATGCCTGCAACTTCCTCTCAAATGGTTCAGAAGTAATGAGATTAAGAGAGGCAATGCAACAAATTAATAATTGGTGAATTTAGAAGGGCTTAGAAGAAGAGTTACTATTACAAGTATTCTGTAAGTTTAAAATTTTTCCAAAAAAAAAAAGTTTAAAAACTGTTATCCCATCTATAGGCAATGTCCAAAATGTTTGCAATAAGATGTCATGTGGAAAAAAATGTAGAATTCAAAATTGTTTGTGCAGGCTGGGGGTGACTCATACATATAATCTCAGAGTTTTAGGAGGCCAAAGCCAGAGGATCACTTGAGCCCAGGAGTTCGAGACTAGCCTGGGCAACATAACAAGATCTTTTCTCTACAAAAAATAAAAAAATGAGCTGGGCATGGTGGCACATGTTTGTAGTCTTAGCCATCGTTCAGGAGGCTGAGGTGGGAGGATCGCTTGAGCCCCAGAGTTAGAGGCTGCAGTAAGCCAGGATTGTGCCACTGCACTCCAGCCTAGTAGTATAGGAATACCCTGTCTCTAAACAAACAAACAAAAACTCTTTGCACCCTATAATTGTAAAAGCATAAAATGTTGGCACACGGATATATTAGAATAGCAGAAGAGGTTTCCCTTAAAAAATTTTTTTCTTTTTCTTTTTCTTGATTTTCTTTTAAAAATCAAGGTGCCTTTTTAGCCAGTAGGTAGTGCCTCAGTCTCATAAAAATCACCAAGGAGAGAGTAAACAAAAAACTAACTAGAATAATAAAATAATTTTTTAAATTCCAATTCTGCTCCAATCTTTTAATATTCAAAATTCCTTGGTCATGTTTGCGTACATCCCATGTTTTTAAGCAATGTCCTGAGTAGGTAATGGGAATTGGTGTCTCTCAAACTGTAAAATTAAAATAAGGGTTCACAGTGGCTCAGGCCTGTAATCCCAGCACTTTGGCAGGCCGAGGCGGGCAGATCACGAAGTCAGGAGTTCGAGACCAGGCTGGCCATCTCTACTAAAAATACAAAAGTTAGCCAGGTGTGGTGGCACGCACCTGTAGTCCCAGCTATTTGGGAGGCTGAGGCAGGAGGATCGCTTGAACCCAGGAAGCAGAGGTTGCAGTGAGCCAAGATCTGGGCAACAGAGTGAGACTGCATCTCGGGAAAAAAAAATTACATTTGAGTTTTCCCCAAATATTTGATAGCAATCTATCTACAAATCATCAATGAGCTAATATTTTAGTAGTAGGGTCAATCAACAACTAATTAAATAATGTTTAACAGCAAGTTTAGAGTTAGGGTTATGAAGTGGCCTAAAGAAAACCAAAGCAGAGTGAGGGGATAAAGAGTAATGGAAACAGTAATTTAGATAGGGTGGTCAAGGAAGCCTTCCTTCAGGAGATCACATTGGAACAGAGGCCTGGATGAAATGAGGGAAGGAAGTATATGATTCGCTCATTCATTATGTGAATGTGTGCTGGTTATGGTGCTTGTTAACTGCATCCTCTTGGTTCTTAGTCACACCTCTTTATATGGGTACTGAACTATTTATATTTCTATGACTTAGTACGCCAACCAGATTTTACAGTCGGGGAAGGAAGTGCCTGTACTTCCTGTGTCCTTTAAATATCCTCCACTGGTTACATAGTTCCCATTACTAACTTAGTACTTGTTGGATGGTTTCTGGTCAGTTCTGTAAATGAACTTGGAATTACAAGTCCTTTGAAGAGCAATAAAGAATAATAGAGAATAAATAGAGAAATAAAACATAAAATTTCAGCTCTATATATTTAGGATTGGCAAAAACAAAACAAAACAACCACATACACACATACATAAAAACCTAATCGTTAAATCTTTGAAATGGTAGAATCTCAAATAGGCAAAGACACATTAATGGTCATAAAACACACACAACAAAGTATATACAAAAATGGAGATTTTCCTGAAACTCTGTGCTTGAAAATTATAAAGAAAAATTGTTGAAAACTATGTAAAAAATGGAAAGAAACTAAACCATAAAGAATAGAGCATCCATAAGTATTGTAAAAGTATGAGTCTTGGTTGACAAGAGGGAGTTTTTTTTTTTTTTTTTTTTTTGAGACTGAGGGAGTGCAGTGGCGCGATGTCCGCTCACTGCAAGCTCCACCTCCTGGGTTCACTCCTTTCTCCTGCCTCAGCCTGCCGCGTAGCTGGGACTACAGGCGCCTGCCACCATGCCCAGCTAATTTTTGTATTTTTAGTAGAGACGGGGTTTCACCGTGTTAGCCAGGATGGTCTCGATCTCCTGACCTCGTGATCCGCCCGTCTTGGCCTCCCAAAGTGCTGGGATTACAGGCATGAGCCACCGTGCCCGGCCCGAGTTTTTTGATTAACAGAAAATTTAATAAAAATGGAAACTGTTGTTTAAAAAAAGTTTTAAGAACATCACTGGCTTTCAGTCCTATAGGTATTTTCTTGCCAATCTCATTGATTTTTTGCTGTTATATAACAGCTTCATGAAAATAGGACATCTGGCCAGGAATGGTGGCTCATGCCTGCAATCTCAGCACTTTGGGAGGCCCAGGTAGGGGGACCGCTTGAGCCCAGGAGTTTGAGACCAGCCTGGGGAACATAGCTAGACGCTCCTGTCTCTGCAAAATATAAAAAAATTAGCTAGGCATGGTGGCCCATGCCTGTAGTCCTAGCTACTTGGGAAGCTAAGGTGGGAGGACCCCTTGAACCCAGAAGGTCAAGGCTGCAGTGAGCCATAATCATGCCACTGCACTCCAGCCTGGGTAACAGAGCAACACCCTGAAAAGACAAAAAGAAAGGAAGGAAGGAAGGAAGGAAGGAAGGAAGGAAGGAAGAGAGAGAGAGAGAGAGAATGGGAGGGGAGGGGAGGGAGGGGAGGGGAGGACAGGGGAGGGGAGGGGAAGAGAAGGGAAGGGAAGGGAGGGGAAGGGTAGGGAAGGGAGAGGAAGGGTGGGGAAGGGTGGGGAAGGGGAAAATAGGACATCTATGCTGTCTTTTTCTCTTCAAAGAAGGTAACCTGACACCACTTCTAACCAGCAGAAAATAACAACGCGGTCAACAGAATTATTTTGGATAGTCTAAGTAACAGTAGATAGTCTCTGTAAGTAGAAATCCACTTATCCGTTTATTATCATTTTTTTTTTTTTTTTGGAAATGGAGTCTCACTGTGTCGCCCAGACTGGAGTGCAGTGGCGGGATCTTGGCTCACTGCAACCTCCACCTCCCAGGTTCAAGTGATTCTCCTGCCTCAGCCTCCTGAGTAGCTGAGACTACAGGCAGGTGCCACTATGCCTGGCTAATTTTTGTATTTTTAGTAGAGACAGGGTTTCACCATGTTGGTCAGGCTGGTCTCGAACTCCTGACCTCAGGTGATCCGCCCGCCTTGGCCTCCCAAAGGGCTGTGATTACAGGCGTGGGCCACTGCGCCTGGCCTGTTAATTCTATCTACTTTAAAACCTAGTAGAGCTAAGCCCACTAGACAAAAGCTTTCATTAATCACTTCTGATATTCAGGTAAACCAAAACATATGAACAGGCAATGGCTTTGAGTTCTCATACAGCCTCAATTATGTGTTAGTCAACTCAAGCATCCATTATGTACTCAATAATAGGTATGACACAGCTCTGGACCTCATTAACACTATAAGCAGACAGGCACAGGCAGCCTGCATACACTCCTTTTCCTGGTGTCAACATTATTTAAAAGCATGGGAAATAGTAATGAGACAGTGTCTTCTTCATTAGAACCTTAGGAGTCTACTAGATTTCTTCATCTCTATTTGTTGTTATTAGTAGCCAAACTGTGCAAAAAACACGGTCTTGAGAAATGACAGCACAGTATCTTAGAGGGAAAGGAAATGTAGGATGCCAGTGTGGGGACAAATTTCTGATTGCCAGTGATTGTTGTGAGCATAACAATAATTTCATGAACATTAAAGCCTCTATTGAGGGCAGCTGCAGTTGTAAAGGAAAAAAAATGGTCCTGAACATTTAAAACTACACTGGTGTACATCATAATCAAACAAAGTAAACAGAAAAAAATTTAAACTTTGCTAAAAAAAAAAAGCAGAAGCACTTGATCTTTAGGAAGGCACGCAGTTGCTTATTATGAATCATTTCTAGAGTCCGATGCATTTTCAAAGCCGGTTACAGTCATTACGAAGCACACCCTTGTGAGGTAAGTGTATCATCACCTTTGGTTCATAAATAAAAAAGCTGAGACGCCGAGCGATTAAGTCACTCGCCTAAGGAGAATGAGTCAACGTCAAGAGTCATAGTTGACCCGGCCTAAAGACTCCAGACCATCAGTCCAGGGCTTAGTCAGCGGGGCCCGGAGTGGCTTCCCTGGCTGGCATCTGGACTTAGGCTATTTCCGTGCACGTAAAAGCGGAATATTGGAACGGTTGCACAGAACTTCCAAATAATTTTTACCGCCACGCAAGATTTAGCCCTGAGGTCTTAATCTCAGGATTTGGGACAGTAAAAGCTGTCGTCCCTCCCCCTCGTCCAGCCGGTGGCAAGCGGGTACTGCGGGCGGTTCCGTCCGTCCCCTTTCGCAGAAATGGCAACGAATGACCACCAGCATTAGCTGAGCCAGGGGACGTGGGAGGGTTGATTGCCTAAACGACTCTGCATCGCCGCCTCTTTTTGAAACTAAGAGAAAATGGTGGGAGATCAAAAGAAAACTAAATAAACACACAGGCAACTTGTCCTGGGACCTCAACTAAGCAAATGAAGCCTTATTGTGTGTGCTGAGCCTGCAGTTCCCAACCTTCCGGGGAAGATGGGAGGACAGGGCGACAAAGGGCACAGTAGGCTTGCCTGGCAGTAAGTGTGACCGCAGCTATCCAGGCGGAAGAGCAGAGGACTGAAACCACCCTCCAGCAAGCGAGTGTCCGCCGCGTTGAGAACCGCGCACCCTACCCATCGGCCACGTGACCAGTCCTTTTTAAAAAAAATTTCTTTACCTTAAAAAAAAAAAAAAAAAAAAGGTGGGGGAGAGACTCCACTTCCCAGAAGCCTCTCGTTACTCACGCAGCCGCAGTCTTGCGCAGGTGCCGCCAGGGCCAAACGGACATATCCGTCACGTGGCCAGAAGCTGGCCAATCCGGTTTGAATCTCATTTTTTTCCTCTTACCCCCCCTTCTGGAGCGGTTGTGCGATCAGATCGATCTAAGATGGCGACTGTCGAACCGGTGAGTATTGCCTTTGGCCCCCACCCCCACGGGTCCCCGCGCTCCGTCTTCCTTCTGACTGGGGGACTCCGCGGGACGGCGTTCCCGGCGCGCACTGTACCCCTTGCCGCCCCTTCCCCTTCATGTTGGACCTGACCTCCCGCGGACAAGTGGGGACGTCCCGGAGGATGGCCGAGGCGGCGTGTAGCGCACACTTTCTGGTGGGGGCCCGAGAACTGGGGGAGCGGTGTGGGGGAGGGGCGGCGTGGCGCCTCCTGCGGAACCGCGAGGTGTCTACAGGGTGGAGGGTAGCTGGGGTTCTGGGCTGGGTATGCGAGGATGGTGTCTTCATGATAGGAAGGCGCAGGGCCGGCTCCCAGCGAGTACTGGGATCCGCAGGCAGGGTGGGCGGCGAGCCGGCCTGGAGTGAGATGGAGGAGGGAGCCCTGGAGCAGCCTTTCCCTCCCTGCAGAACCCCAGCTCCGGGGCTCGGGTGCGGGGCGCGCGCACGTCTTCCTTAGACCGGTGGACTGGGGAGCTGGTGGGCGAGTGTTGCCGGAGGGTGGGTTAGGCGGGAGTGGTGCCGCGGCACGCGCGGAGGAGCTTCGACCTCGCTTAGGGGAGTTGAGAGGGGCGAGCGTCTGTTAATCCAGCGCGCCGGAGAGTTGCCGGTGTTTGCGCCAGGGGAAGCGAGAAAGGTCTGGGGTGGGAAGGAACACTCGTGTGTCACGGTGAAGCTCTCCAAGTAGAATGAGGGATGGTGGTGGTGAGAAGGGGTATCACATTGTCCTCGCCCCTCCATGCTTGGGACTGGGCTGTCATGGAGGAGGGAAGGGGGAGGAGCGAGGCCTACAGATCGCTGTAGCCGGTCGGCTTGCCGGCCGGACCTGCTGCATTTCACACGCGCCCGTCTTCCATTCATTCATCCTTTCCGCGTAGTGCGCACGCCTCAGAGAATGCGAATGGGTCTCAATCCCTCTGTTCTTCCGAGTCTTTATCTCCTGGAAGATTTCTGAGACGCAGTTTATTGGAAATAGAAACTTTTAAATTTACTTTTCCATTTGACTTTTTTTTTCTCTTTATCTATGCTACAGACTTTCATTTCAATTTAGGCACCATTTTAAACTTAACTGAAGCAAGCTGGTCCCAGGGTAGGTTTGTAGTTAATCTTTAAGCAGAGGGTATATTTTTCATAATTTGGGTTTGCCAGGACTGGCTCACTGAAACTTCTGGGCCCTGTTGCCTTTTTAGAAACGACACAGCTAAGTGAAGATATCTTGTGTGCATAATGGGGTTTATTAGCAATCAGAAAACCTTTCACACTCTGGAACCAGCTCTAGACCTTGGTTGCCAGATACTTTTGTGTATCTTTTCATGGTAGCTTGTGGTTTTGCTAATGGTTTACCAGTTTGCTTTGACTTTTAAAGACTTTTTTTTTTTTTTTTTTTTTTTTTTTTTTTTGAGATGGAGTCTTGCTTTGTCGCCCAGGCTGGAGTGCAGTGGCGTGATCTCGGCTCACTGCAACCTCCGCCTCCGGGTTCAAGCGATTCTCCTGCTTCAGCCTCTTGAGTAGCTGGGATTACAGGTGCGCACAACCGTGCCTGGCTAATTTTTGTATTTTTAGTAGAGACGGGGTTCCACCATGTTGGCCAGGCTGGTCTGAAACTCCTGACCTCAAGTGATCCTCCCGCCTCAGCCTCCCAAAGTGCTGGGATTACAGGCGTGAGCCACAGCACCCGGCACTTTTAAAGACTTTTATAAAACTATTTCAAAAACTCTTATAGACTACACAAAGGCTTATTTTTCATTGCGTTGGTGTAAACTATCCTTACCTTGTCAAAATTCAAGGCAGCTTCTCTGCTTGCTTACTTGTTTTTTTATTGGCACCAGTTTTCATTTATGTTCCTGGGAATTAAATTGACTGAAAAACTCATAAGTTGTTGCTACAGTTAACTGACTTTAGGACATTAATATTACATAACACTAATGAAGAATAAGTATGTAAAATATACATTTTAAACCCCTTGACAGGTTCTGATGTCCACTTTTGTCTAGATCTGTTCCTACCCCACTACACTAGTGTCAGTAAAAAGCATTACATCTGGTAATAGGGGCAAGGCTACGAGACTGTAAACTATAAAACAATAAGGAGTTCTGTGAGGTTTCTGTCACATTTAGGTCCCTTGAGTTTTGCAGAGTTTATGCAGTTTTGTTTCAGCAGCACAGAGCGGAACTGCAAAGTGATGAAGGACTATATTTTGAGTTAGTAAATATTAATAGCTCCTGATATATCCAGGGTGTTGTACCAAGTGTTCTTTAGGATACAAAGTTATACAAGATGTGAGTCTTGTTGAATGTAAACCCTTAAGGAACTTAATTCCTAGGGATGTGGTTAGTGATACAGTATTTGTTCTGGTACAGACTTTGGGAGATTTGGATGTTATGTTTAAATTTGGGGAGTAGGGGAACCTAAAAACAAAGTGTGTGAAGCTGGAAACTAAAGTATTTTGAGAATATATGTAAAATAGTATCGAAGTGTTTAGTTTTAGTGAGAAATGAATTTTTTTTTTTTCGATACTGACTTTCACTCTTGTTGCCCAGGCTGGAGTGCAATGGCGCGATCTTGGCTCACCGCAACCTCCGCCTCCTGGGTTCAATCGATTCTCCTGCCTCAGCCTTCCGAGTAGCTGGGATTACAGGCATGTGCCACCACGCCCGGCTAATTTTGTACTTTTAGTAGAGATGGGGTTTCTCCATGTTGGTCAGGCTGGTCTTCAACTCCCGACCTCAGGTGATCCGCCCGTCTTGGCCTCCCAAAGTGGTGGGATTACAGGCATGAGCCACCGCGCCTGGCCTGAAAATTTTTAGTACTTTTAATATACCCTTGTGCACAGGCTAGTTATGTGGAATTATTTTTGACAGTTTTAAATAGTTGGATTTTGTGTGTAGGGGTGCAGGATCTTGCTCTGTTGCTGGGGCTGGAGTGCAGTGGCGCGATCATAGCTCACTGCAGCCTCAAACTCCTGGGCTCAAGAGATGCTTCCATCTCAGCCTCTGGTGTAGCAAGCACTACAGGAGCAGGCCACCACGCCCGGATAATTTTTAAACTTTTTGTAGAGATGGAATCTCGCGATGGTTACCCAGGCTGGTCTCAAACTCCTGGACTCAAGTGGTCCTCCCACCTTGGCCTCTCAATATGTTGGGTTACAGGCGTGAGCCACCGAGCCTCGCCTGGATTTTTTTTTGAAGCAACTGATTAGAATTGGATTGTACTTGAGATACCCCTGCTGAAGGCTGCAAAAATCATGTTTTTTCTTACTTCAGCTAGTTTGTGAGCTTCCATAATGGTTTTCTGCTGTGCATAATCATAAACACTTAAAAAGAGCCATGGGCTTTTCCTGCTTATCCCATCATGCATAGGTATCTGGATGATTTTTGTCTATGGACATTACATAAAATATCATTTTCAGTTTGATATTATTGTGTGGTTTTCTCTTTGTATGAGTTGAGTTACATGAAGATGTGGCCCACAAATATTAAATTTGTTGAGAAGCTTGAAAGGGAAAATTAAGGGAAACATTTTACCTCTTAACGGATAATTTGGCAAAAATTTGAACGTTAGGGCAAACGGTACTCTGATGTTATTCTATCGGCATTTGAATTGTGGCTGGGTCAAAATTAGGTTTAATATTAGTCTGTGAAAATGGCAAGGCCATCTTACCTCCAGTAGGTCGTGTTTCTTTGTAGCTTTATCTTCATTCTACATCGTTCATTATTAGAATTAAAAAAATTTTTTTTTGACTTGTAGTTCCTTTTGAGGTAAGAGATTAATTTTGATTTCTTTAGCTTAACTGAAAGTGTATAATTTTACTTGTTTTTACATTGTAGCTCTTGAATTTTTTGAAACCACGCTAATTTCATAAGTGAATCAACTTGGACAATCAGCTAATTTAATGCTTCCTTTTTTATACTTTGGAAACATGCTCTGTACTACACAGCTTATTAATAAGAGTAAATAAGGTTTATATACATATTGACAAATATTTGTTGTACTATATAATTCATATTAATGAACAATTGAATGCCAACCAGACTATGCAAATTAGTGGACTTTTTGCTTAATGAAAGAACCCACTATATCAGAGTTCCTCGATAATCCACGTAAATTTGGCTCTGGGGTTCATATTCCAGATTTCTTCAATTAAAAGAAAAAAATATACTTGCTGAGTGCGGTGGCTCACGCCTGTAATCTCAGCACTTTGGGAGGCCGAGGCGGGTGGGGATCACTTGAGGTCAGGTGTTCGAGACCAGCCTGGCCAAAATGGTGAAACCCTGTCTCTACTAAAAATACAAAAATTAGCCAGGCCTGGTGGCAGGCGCCTGTAATCCCAGCTACTGGGGAGGCCAAGGCAGGAGAATCGCTTGAACCTGGAGGTGGAGGTTGCAGTGAACCGAGATGGTACCACTGTACTTCAGCCTGGGCGACAGAGCAAGACTCCATCAAAAAGAATAAAAAAAAAAACAGAAACAAATTTCACACTTCATTTTATAATCTGAGTTAATGAGCATGATTATTAGACTTAGAGAAATTCAATGTAGACACACAGTTTATACACAGAAGTTGCAGAGGGATAATATGCAAAATGAATTATGTAAGCTTACTCTAGTTTGGACAGAAAACTGTAGGCAAAAAACATTTAAGTAAAATATTGTTTAATTTACATAAAGTTAAGAATATGGGCCGGGTGCGGTGGCTCATGCCTGTAATCCCAGCACTTTGGGAGGCCGAGGTGGGTAGATCACCAGGTCAGTAGTTTGAGACCAGCCTGATCAACATGGTGAAACCCCACCTCTACTAAAAATACAAAACTTAGCTGGGCGTGGTGATGCGTGCTTGTAATCCCAAGGTACTCAGGAGGCTGAGGCAGGAGAAGCTCTTGAACCTGGGAGGCGGAGGTTGTAGTGAGCTGAGATTGTGCCACTGCACTCCAACCTGGGTGACAGAGCGAGACTCCGTCTCAAAAAAAAAAAAAATAAACAAAAGAAGTTTCCTTAATCTATTAGTACCGGTGAGTTGCACCATCTTAGTCATAGAGACTTTTTTGAGAAGTGGAAATGAGCATGGGTTATAGTCTCATCTTAATATCTGAGTGATCTTGAAGACTGAAATTTCTAAGTCAGCTGAAAGTCGGAATAAGATATATTACGGTGATTTCAATTTTTAAATGCAGTATTCAAAGGTGACAGTTTGTCAACTGTAAGGGACTAAAGTTGACATTCCATGAATGTTTTATACTCATGTATATCCATGCATTTACATACTATTTTCCCTCTTTTCTTGGAAATTCACATTGCTGCTTTTTAATTATCAATCCTTAGCCATTAGCAAGAAATGCAAAGCCTGTGATTCACAATCCTAAGATGTTCTTCCCACTCCTATCCCTACCATAAAAATCACTAGTGTTCCTTCAAAAGTCCCTAATCATGTCTCCAGAAAAAGAAAGGGGCTGGGCTTGGTGGCCCACACATGTAATCCGAGGCTTTGGGAGACAAAGGCAGGAGGATCACTTGAGCCCGGAGTTTGAGACCAGCCTGGCCAACATGGCGAGACCCTGTCTCTCCAAAAAATTAAAAAATTAGCTGAATATGGTGGTGCACACCTGTGTCCTAGCCTCAGGAGGCTGAAATGGGAGGATCCCCTGAGCCTGGGAGGTCAGAGCTGCAGTGAGCTGTGATCACACCACTGCATTCCAGCCTGGGTGACAGAAAGAGACCCTATCTCACCAAAAAAAAAAAGAAAAAGAAAATGATTTTGCGTGTGTGTGTGTGTGTCTAAAATACTAATAGTCATTTCTGGGCACTTCTGGAACCTGAGAATGTGGTCAGAAATATAAGGGGTTTTTTTTTTTTTGTTTCCCCAGTTGGAACTTTTGATACATTATTCCATAGAAACAGTAGGAAAATGGGCCGGGCGTGGTGGCTCACGCCTGTAATCCCGACACTTTGGGAGGCTGAGGTGGGCGGATCACCTGAGGTCGGGAGTTCGAGACCAGCCTGACCAGCATGGAGAAACCCTGTCTCTACTTAACAAAATTACAAAATTAGCTGGGTATGGTGGCACATGCCTGTAACCCCAGCTTCTTGGGAGGCTGAGGCAGAAGAATCGTTTGAACCTGGGAGGTGGAGGTTGCGGTGAGCCTATGTCTGCCATCGCACTCCAGCCTGGGCAACAAGACTGAAACTCCTTCTCAAAAAAAAAAAAAAAGAAAAAAGAAAAAACAGGAAAATGAAGTTTAGTCACACTATATTCAGTAAATTTTTGTGGAATCATTACAAATCTAACCAGCATTGGATTTATAGGGATATGGAATTAAGGATATGGATTTATAGTTGTAAGCAACTAACTAAAAAAACCTTATAAACATACCTTGTTTGTAACAGCTATTTTTAATGTAGAAAGATCGTTATTTGTAATTGCTACACATAGCACTTATTCTATGTTAAGTACCACACTGAATGCTTTACATATATTAACTCATTTATTTCTTTTTTTTTTTTTTTTGAGACAGCGTCTCACTGTTGTCCCAGCTAGAGTACAGTGGCGCGATCTCGGCTCACTGCAACCTCCGCCTCCTGGGTTCAAGTGATTCTCCTGCTTCAGCCTCCTGAGTAGCTGGGACTACAGGCACGTGCCACCACGCCCGGCTAATTTTTGTATTTATAGTAGAGATGGGGTTTCACCATATTGGCCAGGCTGGTCTCGAACTCCTGACCTCGTGATCCGCCCACCTCAGCCTCCCAAAGTGCTGGGATTACAGGCGTGAGCCACCGCGCCAGGCTAACTCATTTAATTCTTAACAGTACAGATGAAGTAACATTGTGTGACTAACTTGCTCCAAAATCACACAGCTATTAAGTGGTGGGGTGGAGTTTAAATTAAAGCAGCCAAAGTGCAGAGTGTATATTCTTAACCGTTGCACTCTTTCAAGTAGGCATGTAATGTGCTTTGCTTGGGTGACTTCAGAAGGGGAGATGTGTTTTGATAAGCTTACTATGTGTTTTGCTACAGCTATAAAATAAAACGTGTGGGCATTTATTTTTAGGCCCTGTTATATTACAATGTTAGATAACAAAAATATATAATCTTGAGGACTAAACCAAGCAATTACACCAATCGTGTTTTAGTAACTAATTGAGAACTTTGTGGATTTCTAAAGAAAGTGGATGGACACTTAACCTTCTCCCCCTTTCTAATTTGATTTCTGGCATTTGCTAGTTCGTATGATTTCCCAGTTAAAATATTTTGCTAGTGAAAAAAGTTTTAGTACATTTTTAAAAGTTTGTGAATTTTGGATTTATTCTAGACTTAACTACCTTAGTACTTTTAGTAATTTTGGTGATAAGTCTGGCAAAGGGTAAAACAGTTGTTTTGAAAAAGTTTAAGCTAAAATGTACACATACGTGTTTCTTGGTGTATTTTAAGCTTGTTACTACAAAATGCTATACAGAAATTAGTTGTAATATTTTTTTCTGTGCTCTGCTCATTACTGTCATTGTAATCTCTACTAAAAATACAAAAATTAGCCAAGCGTGGTCACGGGTGCCTGTAGTCCTAGCTACTTGGGAGACTGAAGCAAGAGAATTGCTTCAACCTGGGAGGTGGAGGTTGCAGTGAGCCGAGATGATGACATTGCACTCCATTACTGTCATTGTAATGAGCAGAGCACAGAAAAA